>NC_000018.10:72037528-73287528 GCF_000001405.40 Homo sapiens
AATAACCAGACACAGACACAGCATCCTCTAGTTTTCCTCAGAGGATCTTTGTGTCCATCAGGCTTAGTTCCCTAATGTTATCTCAGCACTACCATCTCATGCAATGTGACAAATTTGGAATAACAGATGAGCACTAACTGTAGGTGAAATATGTGCCAGCTTATAGGAAGTCATTTAGATTTGGGATTTAGTTTTTATACTTAATCAGACAAGCAATTTGAAACAAAAAACAAAAACAAAAGACAGGCAACTAACTTCCATTCTCCAGCCAGCTCTGCCCCATCAGTTTATTAATTCTAGGTTTATTTATATAAGCAACCTAGATTGATCAGATACATCTTATTAAATTATTGTTAGCTAAGAAATTTATATTTTTTCTTCCTTTATTAAGGATCTTTGTTATCAAATACGAACTACTTTTTTATTATTCCAAAGGAGCAAAAGGAGAGATGAAATAAGAAAAAACAAACACTGTGAATGAGCTCTATAATAGTGACATAAAAATTTTGTTTTCTTTCTGAAATAACTATCTGTTAATGATATACAACTACAACTTAAATTTTATCTCACTATGTTTATGATGAATAGTTATAATATGTTTCATAGGTGAGGCACTAAGCTTAGCCAAAGTAAATAAAGTTCCAAGGATCAGATATTAGAATATGACTGACATATTTAAAGAAGTAAAAGTAGAAATTGAAAGTGTGATAAAGCAGTAAGAGGCCACCAAAACACATGACATATATAAAATAATTAAAACAAACTAAAATTGAAGAGTAGAGTAATTAAAAGTAGAAAGTCACACTGTAAAAGTTGAATGAAATTTATTTACTATTGGGTACCAAGAGATGAAATAGTCAAGCAATTGGTAATCTTTATTAATAGAAAATTCAGTAAAAGGCTGAATTATAATTTACAGATGAATAGCTTTTGCCATATATATATTTACTGTGGCAACAAATAGGTGCTGTAAAATGCAGTGTGTAACCAAAACAAGCAGTCTCTGCTCTCACAGGCCTGCTGTGGGGTCGGGGGAGGGGGTAGGGATAGCATTAGGAGATACACCTAATGTAAATAAGGAGTTAATGGGTGCAGCACACCAACATGGCACATGTAGACATATGTAACAAACCTTCATCTTGTGCACATGTACCCTAGAATTTAAAGTATAATAATAAAAAAAAGAAATATTTGAGAAAAAGTTTCAGCTGGCTCAGAAATACATTTAAACCTCTCATTTAAAATGAGAGATTATGAGAACCCAGAGTATGAGGTATTTTATCAGATAGTAGGATGGAACATACTTAACACACCAACAGACTCAAAAGACACATGGTACAGAACAGAGTCCAAAAATAGAAACAAACCTTCTCTTCAGTAGGTGATTAAGATGCCATGCCAAATCATTGTGACAAAGATGTGCTCTTCTATTGCCAGTGATGGTACAACTGGGTAAACACCTTGGTAAAAATAAACATGGATCCACACCTACACTCGACAGCAGGACATATACAAAAGATTCAAACATTTTGGTGAAAAATTGAAACAAGAGAGAACTGTATAAAAATGTAGCAGAGTTTTGTTAGAGGTTTTTTTTTCAATGTTTGTAGGCTTTTTGTCACAAAATGCTGAAGTGTTGTTGTTCTATCTACCAGAAATTTGAAAAAATATTTCTTGCCCATGAAAAACCACAAACAAAAGTAAAATAATAATTAAAAACTGGAAAATATTTACAACTAATATCGAATTATATTTCTTCTTTTTAAGAAGCTCCTTGAAATGAATACCGAGAATACCCAAACCAAAATAGATTGATAAATCTTTAGAGCCCAAAGCAACTCCACAAATTTTAATAAAACACATTTATCAAAGCACAAACTTATTTATAATAAGAATTATTATAATATAAATGCCATGTAAATACTCTCCAAAAGCTTGAATGCACTTCATGTTGGTCAAGCCTTGCATGGGCAGGATCTTACTAGCATTACTGCTACAGTATGATATCATCTCATAGGATAATAGTTTGGGATATTTACATAAATTATGAATGAAGATTTTCACTTCTTTTTAAGATGTAGAGAGTTGCAAAGAACAGTAATCAAATCCCAATAATGAGAAGAAGACAGATCACTCTCCCATTTCTTTGCACCAGCAATACCAGCCCTTCCCATTACTTGGACACAATCCTTCAGCTGCCACTACAGGATTATGTATGAAGTGTTATATGGGATGTCCTTAATACTTTGAATGTTCTTCTTCCACATATTCCCAAACTACCTGTTCGAGTTTTTGCTCACAAAAATGTCACTTTCTTATTGAAGCATGATCTGAGCACATTCGTATATTTTTATCCCTTCAATATAGAATAGAGAGAAAAATGAATTCTGTAAGTGAAAAATCAAGGCAAAATAAAATATCTGAGAATAGTCTACTACAATGAACAAGAGAAGGATTTTCAGACAAGCTTAATTTTCTTAAAGAAAATCTATAGTATAATTAATGAAACATTGCAAATTTACCCTGAATTGATAAAATAAGTTATATTATATATCATAGTTCAAATTGCTTTTCATTTCCTGATGAAGAGAAAGAATTGTAGTACTACTTTTCTTCACTGTGCTTTTGTATTTCTATATTATTGACTTTTTACTTTACATAAACAATAAGACACAGCAGGCATAGAATTGCTAAATATAATTAAATTTTTTTGCAAAAGAATGAGTGGCTTTTATAATGACAGAAATGCAATATTCGTTACAAATGTTGATACTTTATCTCTTTAAAATCAGAAATGTTATATTACAAGAAGAATAAAACTAGTTTAATGTCTGAAACATTTCCCATCGAATATACCACAGCACACATAACATTTGAAGTACCCTTTTCTCTTTTGTACTGTGGAATCACTGGTAAATTGCATACTCTGAGGCCATTTACATCCTACTGGAAAGCTTTCAATGATAGTCTGCAACTTCTGAAGCCCATAACTAAAGTAACTTTTCCTTTGACCAGCAAATGACCCTTAGCATCTGAACCCTGCTCCCAAAAAGAAGGCAGAGCCAGAAAATTCTTTTGATTGCTCTGCAGCAGCCATATTAAAAAGCAAAAGACAGCAAAAGACAACAAAAACAAGAAAATTTTGTTTTTTTTTTTAATGCCTTTCAACTAAACAGGATTTTTGCAGGTAAGTTTTGGTAACAAAGGGAATATATCTTACCTTTACTCTTATTTTCTTTTAATTAATTATAAAGTTAATCAGAAATAGAGATAGAAATATCTCTAAGATAAATCACTAATAGTTTTAAATGTTTTATTTTGAATTGACAAATTATAACTGTATATGTTTATGGGTTATAATGTGATGTTATGATAAGTGGGGTAATTAAACTACCATATTCATTGTCTCAAGCATTTTTTGTGGTGAGAAACATTTTGCTCAATTGTTTACCATTAGCATGAAAAACAGCAAATATTTTTCACTGGGTTTTTTTCATAAAAGCCACGGCACAGAATAAATGCAATGTTTCTTGATGAAAAACAAACAAATTACACCAATTAGAAAGCTATCCGCTCCATGCGACAGAACACCTTTCTCACACTGTTGTATTGCATAAGGAAAGTAGATGATCTCATATGGAACAACGTCCAGGAGGACAAAACAGACCAAGTGTATTGCTACACGGTGCCCTTTCCTTGTGACTCCTGCATTTTTCTCCTGCTCTCTGCCTTGCATATTGTATGTCCTAGTCCTCATTCAGATATGATATCGCTGCATGTTTCCAGTTAATCCCTAAGTCTAAACTACAGAAAATGTAGTAGGCATGGTGAGGTTTTTAGGAAAAATTAAAAGTTTGGTGTCCTGACGTTGGAGAATGCAAAAGCCCTTTTTTTTTGTTTTGTTTTGTTTTTGTTTTTTTTTTGTTTTTTTACAGAATCCCACCAAGTGGACACACTCTTGTCTTCTTGGCCAGAAGTGAGGCCCAAGGACATGCATATGCCACCTCCTGGCAAGAGGATGGAATTTCTTTAATTGCCTACAATCATGATCGATCTCTGGGCTCCCAAAACCCTATTTATATCTAGAGTCAAACTGGTCTGTGACGTGCATACCTGAATCCCTTTATTTTTCTTTTAAGAAAAGAGAGGGAAAACGTAAGTTGGGCAGGCCTCTGACTTTTCACAAATGCTTTACTTAAGAAATTGAATACGTTAAAAAATGTAATAAAAACATTTAAAAATATAACATCTGCTGTCTGGCTGGGCACAGTGGCTCACGCTTTTAATCCCAGCACTTTGGACAGCTCATGTGGGCAGATGACTTTTGGTCAGAAGTTTCACACCAGCCTGGCCAACATGGTGAATCCCCATCTCTACTGAAAATACAAAAATTAGCCTGGTATGGTGCTGCATGCCTGTAATTCCAGCTACTCAGTAGGCTGAGGCATGAGAATCGCTTGAACCCAGGAGGCAGATGTTGCAGTGAGCTGTGATTGCACCACTGCATTCCAGCCTGGGCGAAAGAGCGAGACTAAAATATTATATGCATTATATATAATGACAATATGTTATATGTAATATATATAATGTTGCTCCAAACTCCATAACTAAGACAACAATCAATACTATTAAATTGCTGCTAAAATAAATTTAAAGCAATGCTGAAGTTATAAAACTATAGTTTAGGAAGGTTTTAAGCACCAAGAGAATAAAGCGTGATGAGATAAATTCTCTATACTGACATAGTATTTCAAAAACTTATTTTGAATGCTCAAAATATTTAATTAACATTCAATTTAAAAGCACACTTCATACCTCCTGTTTCCATTGCAATACTTTATTTTTCAGCACAGTATTTATAAACACCGTACATTTTTGTCAGTTTATATTTAATGGTAGTTTTCACCCCCAAACTTAAAACCTAAGCTTTATTTTTTCTACTTTACTAATTGTTGTAAACTAATAGAGAGTAGGCATGCAATAGATACTATTAATTGGGAATTAAATTGTTTCTGCACAATTGAGATTATAGTATGACAATTTATCTGGAAAGCACTTTTAGCTTTCCAGTTAAAAATCTTACACACATTCACATATGTGTGTGATCATGTTTGAGTTTGAATACACACACATTATGAATATTTTACATTAGCAAAAACAGTTCATATGATATATATATATAATATGCTGCATAACATTCATTTTTTCAACTATTACTATTTCATCATATGATTTCATGGTAGTAAGTTGTCACCAAATTTAAAATTGAATGTAAGAATTAAACAGCAGATTAAAAACTGATTGAGAGAGTAATGAAGTAGAAGATAGAGTCAAATAATTTTCTTAAAGTAATTCACACAGAGAAAAGATATTGGCAAGAATAACAACAACCAAAAACCCTTACAACACATAGAGGATGAAATGAGAAGTTATAGCATACAAATAATCAGAAGTCAAGGGGGACCTAATAAAGCAGTTAAAGATGACAGTAACTCAATTGATAAGGGCTAACATTTTCTTGAGGCAAAGAAAGTTAGGGATTTACTAAACAAGAATGAATTATATCAAGTAGGTTCAGATAAAGAAGCTCATTACATTGTGTCTTCCCCCCCGCCCCCAATAATTCCATTTTAGAAAGGACTTTTTAAAACCATTCCATGACCATATAGATAACAAGTGTCAGTTTGCTCCAAGCCAGTGGTCATAGTGAAGTCTGTTGAGTCTGGTTTATTGCCACATCTGGTTATTATGCTTCCCTTAATTTAGCTCACTAAGTACAAAGCCAATCACACAGTTGATTTTTTTTTTTCCTTTTTTTCTTCTTCCTTCTTTCTAGAGGCCCCAGCATGGAGATTGTTTTCTAGTTTGTTTGTATTAATTTACTCAGAAATCTAGAAAACATAAATTAATGATAATGATGATGTGTGTTCTCTCAGACTGTTTTTCAACAGTTTCTTCCTGGGTGCTATATGTTGTGTAAATGAAATCTTAGAGATATTTACTATTTTTTCCTTTGGCCTCCCTGTCTGTTTAGTTTTCTTCTCAGATGAAGTAAAGATTCATAACCAGTTGGGTTCTTCAGAAACCTTTCTGTCACTCTCTTCAGACAGTGCATGTTGCCTGAGATACGGAGAGATACTTATCCACATTCAGAATTCTCTCTCAAATGAATCCAAATTTCACTACAATATATTTGGCAGATGATATGTGCTTTGGGATCTATATTCTATTTTAATTAAGGGTGAATTTTATAAATGACTTAACTATTATCTTTCTGTGGTATGATATTTTTAACTATAACTTCGGCAGGTTTTACAAGAAGTGAATGATACTAATTTAGATCTATGCAATTGATGGCCTACTAAAAGAGAAAATCTTTTAAAAAATCTGATTTATTTGCCAGTGTTAATGAGAAAGGTAAGCATTTTAGCACACTGCTTGCTCATTTTCTCTTTTGTGCTTCCCCTATAGCACATCCATGTATGTTTTCGTGTAACCATCTGTTTTAGAACCCATTTGAGTCCACACGACACCTATTACTTAGATTTATAAGACAGGTAATATTTAGCCAAATTAGCAATCAGAATGCCTGAATGTTTTAACATCATTTATAATTAACTGCTGGGTGTAATAACAAATAGGAACAGCAGCTGCAACAAAACTCCGATTAGGCAGTCGGAATGGGGAATAACTCAAGTTAATGGAAGGCCCCAAACTCATCTTCAAGCCATGGAATAACATCTCAATAATTACTCAACTAGACTACTACACACTAACATCCTGAAGTTCAGCAGAGGGAGAGAATACTTCTGAAAATGATGCTTCTTCCTGAGTTAATCTCAATAACTCTTGGAAATGTAGGATGAGATTTAAACTGGAATTGTATTTCTGTCTAGACTAAGTACCAAATTCACAATACTATGGAAACAAAGAAGTGAGCAATCAATGCCAAGACCTACTTGAGGGTGGAGGGTGAGAGGAAGATTAGGATTGAAAAACTACCTATTGCTTACTAAGCTGATCACCTGGGTGATAAAATAATCAGCACACCAAACTGCCATGACATGCAGTTTACCAATATAACCAACATGCAGAGGTACCTGAACCTAAAATAAAATAATTTACCCATTATTACAAACCTAAACAGGTACCCTGAACCTAAAATAAAAGTGAAAAATAAAAAACAAAATAAAATCCATAGTACAAACTCTATTCAATTAAGGTAGTTCTGAAATATTTCCAGTTTTCTCCTTTTTTTTTCAATTAAATCACCATTCAATGATATTTTTAGATCATTGAATGATGATAAAAATCCTGTTCCTAAAAAATCAAAACAAAACAAAAAGTACATTATACCCGGGATACAGCGTACATACAGCTATCTAACTGAAATACTTTCTCAGATGAGGAAACTGAAGCCTAGAAATAAATAAATTGCCTTATGAGGTTATTCAGAAGTTAGTAGTAGACCTTGGAATACATTATGCTTTTCAAGGTACTTCCTCTGGATTTACAATAATGATTTCTTTTTATTTTTTGGAAAAAAAAAATAAATTTTTGGCAGTCAAATTCAAATCTATAGTATAAAAAACCTTTTTCAATATTACAAATAGTAAAAATCACTAGTAATAGTAGCAGTAATATTAATAGTAGGCATTAAGTTTTATTTTGTTTTTACTTTTTTACAAGGCTTTTTAATAAGCATTTAATGCATCATTTAATCCTGATGACAACCTTTTGGGTGTATAATCTATCTCATTTTCATACACAAAGTGACACAGTATTGAAGTTATTAAAAATGAATTTATATTCACTGTCTAAGACTGGAAGAATTCAAATCAACACCATTTGGAGGAATAGTCAATCTTTCTCTTCATTTTCCCTTGGAATTAGTAGTTTAGAGGTGCTATGAGGAAAAATTCAGTAGTTCAAAAGTTGTGACAACCATGACAGTGTCATTATGTGTTTTTAACGCTCAACCTGTTTTCCCTTTCCCTTCTCACTGACTTAGAGGAATCCTTCTCTGATACGCCATGGGCTTGACAAAATTGTCAGTGACAGCAATGGTTGTTAGAGTTATGACTCTTTTGAATACAAATGACAAAGGCCTATCTAAAACTACTAAGTAGAAGGATCATTTATTGATTTAGGTTAACATATTTTTAGGGGAGGGAAGATTTGACTCATAGGTGCATTGGGCCTCAAAATATCGAAAAGGAAACGTTACTTCTTCTTCTTTTTCATTTGTCTCATTACCTCTCCTGTGTGTTCATTTTATTCTGAGTTTGTATTTGGTGGTAAGATGGTTGAAATGGAAACAATTTATAACATAATCCCAAGACATTTCTAGTGGGGGAGTACATTTGCCTTCTTTTCAGAAGTTGCGTTATGTCTGAGTCATGGTTTCACCTTCTCTGTCCTAAACTGTCAGAGGGGCCAAAAATATGGAAATAATTTACAACAATTAGGATTGATGCCTGCAGCTTCAGTTTGAGGCATCACATTCAGTACACGCTGCCTGAAAGTGTGAGTGAAGTGATGTTGCAAACTAAGTGAAGGAGGGGGCCTTATTTTGCTAAAAAAAAATCTTGCATGCATGTTGGAGATATGAAAACAACAACAACAGAGTAGCTTATGCCTATCATGTGCTTATTATGTTCTAGACACAGATATGAGCACATTACATAAGTAAATTCATGTAGTACAACTTGGTAAGAGGGTTTTTAAAATTTTTTTCTCTTCTTTCACAGTTTGAGACATTGAGACACGGGAGATAACTTTTTCAAGATGGCATAACTAAGATAGGATAGAGTGCGGCTCCAAAATCAGATGTCTATTTGAAGACTTTATGCTTAACCATAATCGTATAGTGCCTTTCTACACTGGAAAAATACACAATCCTAGTAAATGAAAGATGCAACTAATTAAACAACTCAATAACTAAATATGTAAATACAGAAAGAAAACAAGAAATAAGCAACACATCAAATATTCTAAAATAATAAGTAACCATCAAATGGAAATGTATGTCAAATCTGAAATGAAAATGATACCCAAAACATAAATATCAGAAATAAAAACAGTAACATCAATATAGATCTTACCAACACTAAACATATGACAGAAATTTTACTTTACATCAGTAGGGAAGAAGGAGAGTTTCTGATTCCTGCTTCTAGACATATTATAGAAGATGTTCTGACAATTATAGTAAGAAAAAATAAACCATATAAAATGTCAAAAAACAAAAATTATCATTTGTATCAGATAACATAATTTTGTAAGAAAAATATAGATATCATTAGAATTGATAGCTTTATTTACAATACCTCTAAATGCAACTCAATATAAAAATAAAGTATATATTTACAAAAAAGAGAAAATTAAATTGTGAATCATTTAAAAACAATATTAACAGCAATAAATAAAAACAAAATAAGAGTAAAATAAATTAAAATATAAAACACTATCATACATATTACAATAATTTACAACATTAGAGAATTTATATTATGTGTGAGCATCCTCCTCAATCAAACCCCATAACTGTTTTTAGGGAAGGAATGTAACAACTTGCTCATAAAACACATAGACATATAAGAGTTGAAGAGTATGAAAGAGTATAAAACTAAAACAATCTTGAAAAAGGGAAATGACACAGAGTTTTTTTCTCTTAAACAATAAGATAATAGAAAACTATAGACTATTGTATAGTGTGATATTGACACAGTGAATAATATCTCAATTAAACAGAATAGAGTATGAAAATGTATCTTATAATGAAGTGGCACAATAGGACAGTGGGGCATATGTAGTCTTTTTCACAAATGGTGTTCACTAGAAATAAATTACAGATAGGAAACCAAAAACATTCACAAATATGTGAAAACTAAATAATACACCCCAGAACAACCACTGAGTCAAGAAAGGTATCAGAAGGTTAATTAGAAAATTTATTAAGACAAATGAAAACATAAGCACAATATACCAAAATGTGTTGGATGCAGAAAAAGCAGTACTAAGAGGGAAGTTTATAGCCATAAATTCCTATATCAAAAAGAGATTTCACATAACTTAACAGCTCAAAGAACTAGAAAAAGGAGATCAATCGAAGCCCAATGTTGACAGAATGAAGGAAATACTAAAGATTATAGCAGAAATAAATGAAATAGAGAACAGAAAGACAGTCAAAAATTAATAAAAGTGAGTTGGTTTCTAAGAAAAATAAAATGACAAAACAAACCCTTATCTAGATTTAAAGAGAGGATTCAAATAGAATCAGAAATGAAAAAGACGACCTTACAGCTCATACTGAAGAAATGAAAAAAAAAATACCAAGAGACTATTGTGAAAATCATATGCCAACAAGTTGGATAACCTAGAAACATACAACCAAATAATACAGAATAACAAATATAAAGCTTGGACAGACTTTTAATTAGTAGGGAGATATGAATGAGTAATCAAAAACCTCCTGGCAAAGAAAATCCTAAATCCAGTAGACTTCACTGGTAAAACCGGTCAGCATTTAAAATAGAATTAATACCAATCCTTCTTAAAACCTTAAAAATAACTCAAGTGGGAGCACTTCTATACTTATTTTATGAAGCTCCTATTGCAGTGATACAAAAGCCAGAAAAAAGACACTAAAAGAAAATAAAATTAAGCCTGACAAATGCAAAAACCTGAAACAAAATCTAGCTAAATAAATTCAACAGCTCATTAAAGAAATAAACACTATGACAAAGTATAGTTTATCCCTGTGATGCAAGGATGGTTCAGCATATGCAAATCTATTGATGTGATATACCACCTTAACAGAATAAACACAAATCTCATCGTCATCTCAGCTGATGCAGAAAAAAAACATTTGACAAAATTTAACTATCTTTCAGGATAAACCCTCTCAATAAACTAGGAATAGAGGGCATTTTCTTAAAATAATATAAAGCATACATGAAAAGCCCAAAGCCAACATCCTCAATGGTGAAAAACTGAAGGCTTAACTTATAAGATCAAGATAAAGAAAAGATGCCCACTCTTGGAACTTTGTATTAGTCTGTTCTCACACTGTTATAAAGAAATGTTTAAGACTGGGTAATTTATAAAGAAAAGAGATTAATTGATTCATGATTCTGCAGGCTCTATAGGAAGTATGGCACTGGCATCTGCTCAGCTACTGGTGAGGCCTCAGGAAACTTACAATCATGGTGGAAGACAAAGGGGGAGCAGCACTTTACATGGCTGGAGCAGGATGAGTGGAGGTTGGTGCTACACACTTCTAAATGACTGGATCTAATGATAACTCACTCACTACTATCAAAAGAATACCACCAGGGGGGAATCTGCCCCCATGATCCAATAACTTCCCACCAGGCCCCACCCCCAACATTAGGGATTACAATTAAGCATAAGACTTGGGTGGGGATGCAGATCCAAATCATATCAAACTTTTATTCAACATAGTACTGGAAATCCTAACCAGAACAATTAGATGATTAAAAAAAATAAAAGCCATTCAAATAGGAAATAAAAAAGTAAAATAATCTGTTTGCAGCCAATGTGACTTTATGCATAGAAAACCCTATGGACTGCAGAAAATAAGTGTGAGAACTAATAAACAAATTTAATAAAGTTTCGGGATACAAAATCAACATGAAAAATTAGTTGCACTTTTATGCACTTAGAATGAATAATCAAAAAAGAAATTTAAAATATCTCATTTACAATAGCATCAAAAATAATAAAACTTATGAACAAACTTAGCCAAAAGGTAAAAGACTTGTATAATAAAACAAAAGAAGACTGATGAAAGAATTTAAAGAAGACACAAATAGTAGAAAGACATCATGTGATGGTAGATTGGATGACTTAATGTTGTTAAAATGTTCATAAAATCCAAAGTGATCTACAGATTCAATGCAATCCTTATCAAAATCCCAGACATTTTTACAGAAATAGAAAAAAAGTTCTAAAATTCTCATGGAACTATAAAAGATCTCAAATATCCAAATCAATCCTGAGAAGAACAAACCTGAAGTCATCACACTTTCTGACTTATAAATATATTATAAAGCTACAGTAAATACAGCTTTACATAACTGGCATAAAACAAACATATAGAGCAATAGCATAGAATAGAAATTCCTGAAATAAGCCAATGCATGTGTGGTCAGCTGATCTTTAATAAGGATGCCAACAACATAAAATAGGAAAAGTATAATTTCTTCAACAAATAGTCTGAGGAAAACTGGACATCCACTTTCAAAAGAATGAAATTGGACCCTCATCTTACACCATACACAAAAATCAACTGAAAATGGATTAGAGACTTAAACATAAGACCTGAAACTGTAAAACTCTCCTTTTCTCATGGGAGAAAAATCACCATAAAATTTGTTTGGGAAATGATTTATGGATATAATAGCAAAAGTGCAAGGAACAAACGCAAAAATAGAAAAGTAGAAATATATCATACTAAAAAGTGTCTTCACAACAAAGGAAACAATCAACAAAATGAAAAGTCAATCTACAGAATGTGAAAAAATATCTGTAGAAACCATATGTCCAAAAATGGATTAATATCTCACTAAAGCTATTATCTAAAATATATGATACTCCTGCAACTAAATAGTATTAAAAAAAAAAAAAACCAAACACCCAAATAACTCAAATGGTCAAGAGGCATATGAAAGATGTCAACATTACTCATCATTAGGGAAATACATATGGAGACCTCAATGTCAGGATGGTTATTATCAGACAAAACAAAACAAAATAAGACAAACATTGGCAAGGGTGTGGAAAAGTAACCTTTTTGCCGTGTTAATGGGAGTATAAAGGAAAACCAGTTCAATTGGTTATACATTTGGGTAAATAAATAAATCTGTCTCACAGTTCACACCTTAGAAACTCATTGTAGGTGGAGCATAAATCTAAATGTGAAAGGTAAAACAATAAATATTTCAGAGAGTAATTAGGAAAATATCTTCTTGTCCTCCTCAGGAAACTCAAAATAGAACTTCTATATGATCTAGCAATTCCACTTCCGGATTTTTACCCAAAATAACTGAAATCAGGATCTCAAAGAGATATCTACACTCCCATATCCATTACAGAATTATTCTCAATATCCAAGATATGGAAACATATTAAGTGTGTCTTGAAAGATGAAATGGATAAGGAAAACGTGATATACACAGTACATGCACTGCAATATTATTCAGTCTTAAGAAGAAATAAACTTGCAATATGCAACAACATGAATAGAACTTGAGAACAACATGCTACATGAAATAAGCCAGTCACAGAAGGACAAATTCTTCTCCTATGAGGTGTCTAATATAAACTCATAGAAACAAAGAGTAGCATGTAGTTGCCAGGGTCTGGAGAGTAAGACAGATTCAGTGGGTATAAAGTTTCTAGAAATCTGCAGTATAACATTGCACTTATCGTTCACAAAGTATTATGAACTTAAACATAGTTAAAGGAGTAGACCTCCAGTTAAATATTCTTACCACAATATAATAAAGTAAGAAGGAAACTAATTAATTAACTGAATAAATAAATATCTGATTCTCTGATATGATATCCAAGATTTACTTGAAAATAATGTAGTTGATTCCATGAGGGTAAGGGCATTAAAAAAAATAATGTGGTTGAGAATTGAAATTTCAATGAGGCTACATTCTAAATGTGATTGGCCCTAAATTGACAGTTGCTGAAGTTTGGAAATAATATGTGGGGTTCAGTGTATATTTTCTTCATTTTTGCAAGTATTTAAAGGTTTTCATGGTGAAGGGTTAGGAACAAAACAAAAAATTATCTATAAAAAACAAACACACAAACAAAAAATGGTGCCAGTTCAACTGGTTATACATTTCAATAAATTAATCTGACTCATACCTCATACCTTACTAATTCATTATTTTTGGAGTGTAAATATAAATGTGAAAGGTAAAACAATAAATTTTTCATAAAGTAATTAGGAAAATATTTTCTTGGCTTGAATCTTTATTTACTTTAATATTATATAGTTTGCTTTTTCCTCTCTCTGCAACTTACTGGATAATTTTTATAGCACTCTTTTCAATTTCATTTTTTTCCCTTCTGACATCAGTAATCTTTTATTTAGGCTCTCTAGTAGATTTTTTATTTCACTTATTGTGTCTTTCTATATTATCAGTCATGCAACAAGAAGAATTTCAAGGAAAAAGTCACAACCAAACACAGTGAATAAATTTGTAAAAAAATAATTGAGAGCATGAGTAAACAAACTCATCACTGCAAAATTGCTCTAAAGAATTAGAACCACAGTACATTTCTCAACTATTCATTCTCTACGCAGCACTTTAATTGTTGGAAGCAGGAGTGGAGGATGTTGAGTTTTAATTTTATTTTTTCCAACCCAAAGTGACTTTATCATACAAAAATTATATTACGATGTTTATTCTCAAGAGAGCACTGCAGCAGACAAAGAAAATGCACAAAAAGCAATCACTCTCAAGTAGAGAAAAACGGTATTGCAGTACAATGTTGCAATTTCCATGATCTCATAAGGCTTATCAGCCTCACAAGAAATGCTAAAGGGAATCCTTCAGCCTGAAATGAAAGGACACTAGAGGTTAACTTAAATCCACATGAAGAATGAGCAGCACCAGCAAAAGTAACTACACTGGTATTACGAAATAAATTATGAAAGCGTTTTGTTTGTGATATTTTGTTCTGTTATTTGTTTATCAAAAATTATAAAACTGTGTTCATAGGCTTTTTTTACGTACACAGATGTGTAAGTTGTATAACAATAAATAACTCATAGGAGGGAAATATGGCATATATTGGAGCAAATTTCTGTAGGGAATTGTAACTAAATTAATATTAATTTAAATAGATTATTTTAAATTGAAAATCATTTTTAATTTTTAATGTTTAACATAAGGAATGAGCTGTTTATAAATAAACATATACACACTCAGACACACATAGACAGACACACACACACTGTCCTTGTGGATGTATGAAGGTATTAAATTACAGTATAATATGGCAGATGCAAAGACAGATGTATAAACAGGGTGCTCTGTGAGTTCTGAGGTGAACTTCAATCACTGTTGAGGTAACGGCTGACCAGAATTCTAGCAAGATGATAGCTGGATATTCCAGGTTTAAGGGGCAGAGTAAGTCATATCATAGAAGAAAAAAATTAACAAAGACAGTACGAATGCACTTGCCCTGAGAATAGTGAACATGCAATCTGGAGAAATAATTTAGAAATATTACTAAATGAAATGTTTCATATCTAACTTTTAGTTATTTTTACTTTGAAATAAAATCTTAATCATTATTTACAAATATTTTAAAATTTAAGTTTCACTTGTTATGTTTGTAACATGTATATTCTTTCACTTTTGAAAATATGAAATAGTCTATTCAGCAAGCCACATTTAATGTTTAAAACAGCATAGCTTAAAAATAGAAAAAAAATGGCACTATTACCTCACAGATATTTGTTCTCATTTTTTTTAAAGGACAACGTAGTTCTCAATTTTCATATCACCTTTAGTAACTTAAGAACATTTTTTTAATGAAGCATAGAATGAGCAGGGAATTCTCTGGGGAATGTAGTGGTGTTTAACTGAGCTTAATTGGTTGAATGAAGCAGTATTTACTCTGGGCTGGGATCTGATGGTGAGAATACCAGAATGAAGAAGGACCAGAAGAAAGCCATTTGAGAAAGAGAAGCAACTGTCCAAGCCTGAGACTTGAGATGTGACAACAATCTCACTTGAGGGAGCAAGGGAGGGTGAGGGTGGTGGGAGCATCCAGGGAGGTAGGGGAAGAGTTGCACAAACTGAGATGGGCTACACACCCCTGGCCTTGGCTTCCATTGAGTTCTCCAGTGCTGCTATTGTAATTCTTTCCTCAAATATTGCAGAGCGTTACGTGTTCCCTTAATTAGAATGTAAATCTCTATATGGAAGAAAATATGGCTTGTTATTTCCATCTCGAGTTCTGAATGAAGGATGTCTGGCAAATAGACAAGCTCAATGTTGAATTCCTGAGTGTGTATTTTAAGGAACGTGTTCTTTTAAAAAATTACATAGAGAGTACTCTTATTCTTAAAATAATATTTGTTCACCTTGAGTTTTTTAGTACAAAAATAAAAACATTAATCAACTATGTAACTACCCAAAAATAAACAATTCAAAGTCAATAACTAATAATACTTGATAAATTTACATGAAAATGATCCCATAAGTTTCAAGCAATTAAAATTTTATGAATACAATATTATATTCTTCCTTTTTACTTAAGAAATGTAATTGTTATTATTTAATATGTATTTATTTATCAATGATATATTTTGCCATTCCCCATCTCTTTTTTACTTAGAAAATCCTCACTGTTGTAGAATTCATAAAAATATCATTCTTTTCTATTTGAATATGTCAGTGGTATAAGCATTTACATCTTTTAAGAATTTTGGTAAGTTATCATGGAGACGACAGATCTGGGTAAACACAGGTAAAATACCAAGATTCTCTTAGAACACTACCAATTTATTTTATGCCATCAGTAGGCCGGGAAGTTGATATGCAGACATGAGGATAATGGAAAAAATGTAGGATATGTAAGAACTTTACAGGAAACTATAACCCACGCTGTTCTTTTTGATGCACTAGTTTTCTTAGTAGCAGCAATGGGTAAAATAGCACTGAAAGTATCGAGTAGTCCCACATGCTCATAACACATTATCTCTAATAAGAGCTGGAGGCCAGCTGCAGGGGCGCATGCCTGTAATCCCAGTACTTTGCGAGGCCAAGGCGGGCGGATCACCTGAGGTCAGGAGTTCAAGACCAGCCTGGCCAACATGGTGAAACCTCGTTTCTACTAAAAATACAAAAAATTAGCTGGGTGTGGTGGCAGGCGCCTGTAATCCCAGCTATCCAGGAGGTTAAGGCAGGAGAATCCCTTGAATCCCGGAGGTGGAGGTTGCAGTGAGCCAAGATCACGCACGCCATTGCACTCAGCCTGGGCAACAAGAGTGAAACTCCATCTCAAAACGGTAAATAAATAAATAAATAAATAAATAAATAAATAAATAAATAGAGCTGGAAAACCACAGGAACCTTAGAACACTCCCTTTTCTATTTATATTCACTCCTTTGGATAGTTTCATTCAGTCTTCTTACTTTAATTGTGCATATATACACCTTAGGTTTAGAACCATTCCTGCACTACAGACTCAAGTATTCAACTGTCTAGTCAACATCTCCACTTGGATATGTAACAAGCATCTCATATTGAACATGTCAAGTACTGTGGTCCTGATATTTCCTACACTGACTTCCAAATCTGCTCCTCAGATCATTTTTCCACTTCAGGAAATGACATCCCCATTTTTACAGTAGCCAAACACACACACACACACACACACACACACACACACACACACACACACACACACACACAGAACAGCCCTTGACTTCTTCTTTCTCTACTACCACTCCAATCATTCATCAATAATTTTTGCTGGTTCTAATTCAAAATATTCCCAGGACCTGATTCTGTGACAACTTATATACATCTGTTGCTTCCACCTTGTACAAAATCATTGTTACCACTTCTGCCCAGATAATTTAAATACCCTCTTATCTTGTCACCCTAATTCCACCTTTGACTTCAGCTGAGGCATTAATCTTAGGAAGTAATAAGTCAGCTCAACACATTCCTCTGCTCAAATACTTTCTGACAGTGTTCCATCTCACTGAGAGTAAAAGCCAAGGCGTTATCAAATCTGAAGATTCCCTAGATAATCAACCTCCTTCCTCACTTTCCTTGTTCATTTCCATCCTCCTGGGACTCCCTGCACTCCGGGTGCCTGGGTCTCCTCGCTGTTTCCGAGGCAGAGTTTCATGCCCTGCCTTGAGACCTATGGGCTTGTGTTTTTCTCTCTTGCCCTGTTTCCCCTCCCTCCTTAAGATGGTTATTCATATATCACTCCCTCATCAAGACCTTCCTTAGTCACATTATTTATAATTGTATTTCTCACGCTTTTTCTCTCGTTATCTTCTAATAACATATTGATTGTATTTATTATCTGTTATCTTTCTGCCCTTTAGAGTATAACTTTAGTGAGAGTATGAATGTTGTGTTTTATTCCCTCTTTCACTTGGAGAACGTAGAAGTGAAAACGGCTCATTGTAAGAAAACTATGAATTTTTATGAATAAAGAGTTTACTAAAATTTATTTGAAAATATCACCCTGAGGTTAAGATTGATAAGATTATTAATTTTATGTGAAGCTGATTATCAAGCTTATGTTGTTTTAGGATCCAGGTAAGTCTACTTATGATTTTCTCTCATCATCCTCACTGACAGTGTCTGACATGCTTTGCCATTTTTGCCAAGTACATTGAAAATGGAGTCTCCAATGGTACTTTAGGTGTATGTTTGGGAGAGTAAAAAAAAAAAAAAAAATTCCATGGTAATTACTGTAGGTTTCATTTCCTAAAGGCAGAGTACAACAAATCTGTTCCTTCTCTTTATCCTAAAATACTTCAAGTAAAATAACCATGAGAATACATCCACATTCAGCAGGTGGATACACTTAGTTTACATCATCAAAAATCATGTAGCTGCAACCCTCAGCCTAAATAAATGGTGGTTTATGTCATCCAGATTTTCCCCAATGGCTGAACCAGCTGTGATTCCTCACAGAGCCAGGCACCTGCAGCCTCCACTTTTGTTCTCCTCATAATTTGCTAGCATGTGTTCAGTGAGAATAATGCACAGTGTCATATGAGGCAGAGATGGCCTAAAAAATCTCATTAACCAACACTTGAATTCATAACTAGAGTGCCTGTGGCATAGCATACCACATCCTAAATTATGTGATTACACTTTCAATTTCACTTAAATTAAATGGAGAGTATATTCAGTTTTTTGTTTTGTTTTGTTTTGTTTTCAAAGAGAGTTATCTCCATTAGAAGATGGGTTTTTGCAATAATATCAATAAAATAATGTGATGGGTAAAATATTTTGATTTTCTAGGCCTTTTTTGAAAGTTTATTTCTCTTTGTATTGGATGGACTCGCCTTCCTAGTAAAGTGGCAAGGAGACTCAGTTTGAATGTTCAAAGGCTTTAGTGTGTTTTACTCTGGAAAATATTGATCTGAATAAGTTTGAGATTTGTTTCAGGATGTGTAAATGACAGGATTGGAGTGTGTAATCCCAAATTATATTAAATATAATTATTGTATTCTAAGAAATTACAAGACAGAACATTGAATAGTTGTCATTCTTAGAATATGATCCTTCTTGTACCTTGCTATGAGAATTGATATCGCTATGAACATTTGGATACAAAAATTTAGATGAAATGTGGCTGCAAATTGTTATCACAATTTCCCTACAAAAGCTACCAAAAATGGATTATTTCATATGAAGAAGGAAAAGTGTGTTCACTTGTGTCAAAGTGCGGAGGATTTTGTCCATAGGAGCATCCAGTGGTTTAATTGCACTTTTATTATAACGTGAGTTCAGCATAAATTTCTAAGTTGTGGAAAACAGTATCAAAAAATATTCAAAAGGCATGAGCTACAGTATTATCGCTCTAAAGTATGAGGGATTTATTGTTATCACTATAATAACAAATTGTATTTTTGTTATAAATTCATTTATTTCAACTATAAGCTTGGTATTGACCGATTCACTGACACTGTAAGGTTATAATATAAAAATTATTTGTGTAAGAATTCCTCAATCTTGTATCAAAGTTATTTTAATATGCACTGTTTAATACTATCAAGAAAATTATAATGACCATGAACTCTGTTGTGTTATTAATCTATTTTTAATAACTATTAATTAAATTTCAATATTTTATAGTACATTTATTTTAAAATAGAAGATTAACTAATCCATAGTCATTAACTTAACATTTTGTGTTTTCCAAATTTTTAACGTTCAGTTTACGATTTTATTGGAATATTGAGTGATCAAATCTTAAAATAAAAGTTGCCAATTTACTAAGTCTACTTGCATTACATGGAAATGTTTTTTTTTTCTTTTCTTGAACACTAATGTAATAATAGAAATCTAGGAACATCTTGGCCTCTGGAGGATCAGAAAGAGTTTAAAATATTTCATAAAAACTAACAACATTTGTAAATATATCACTGTATTTTATGCTTAGAAAAATTGTAGTGATGCATTTCCTATATGCATATATACATATGTATCTATAGAGTGCTCGAATCAATTTAGCATAATAACTAACATAAACGAGAGGCAAAAATAAACAGATAAGTTTAAGCATCTGCTAGCAAAATCCTCAAATTATAGGAAGTTATTGCAATATAGCACATCTATCATATCTGCTATGGAGTTGTGGTTACTTCTTTTAACAAATTAAGAACCTGTGTTCTTGTTCTTTACAGCCATGTAAGCAGTTGATCTTTAAATTAAAAATGGGATTCTATATATCAGTCAGATTCTGAAAGTCTCCAGTAATTTTATAATACCAAGTTTACTTTCTGCATTAATACATCACAATGACAACCTCAAGTATATCAAATGGCATTGTGCGGTAAATATTATAGCATTACATAGACTTTATATAGAATGAAGCTTCTATTAGGAATGCTGTAAATTGTACCACAGTTGCTAGAACAGACGCAAAGAGAGATAATAATAGAACATTCAAACAAATGCAGTAAAGGCACTGGAAGAGACACACATACTGAAGCAGAGGGATAAAACAAGATCACACATTTTGAAAAACGAACTAAAATTATGTGGAATGTACAGGGATTGCTTAAGTTATTCCTATTATCCCAATGAATCTTCACACATGCCAACCTAGCAGATTTTAAGTTACATGTAGGGCAATTATAATATACTTGCTAAAATAAAAAGACCACCAACAATAATTTTTCCTCACATACTTGCAAAAATACAAACATTATTCGTACAATTTTAAATTGTAATCCAAGAATAGCTATTAAGGGCAATTATCATAATAATGATATATGTTGTATAAGGTTTTCAATACTCATGACACAAGTTTTTATTTTTAACTATGGCAAAGTTATCGCAAAGGATAATTTTAAAAAAAGCAAAAACAAGACACAAAGCCAAACAGAATATAAATCAGATTGCTGTTATTTTTAACATTCTTTGTCCTACATCATTGAAAACCTCTCAATATTTCAATTTCTAAAATGTAAGAAAAAATACACAGATATAACAAGGGTATGAGGGATACATCAAATGAAAATAAAGGCACAAATATTTAACTAAGATCCCTGAAGTCAAAAACAGTTTTTTGGGTTTTTTTTGTTTTTTCAAACTTAGGGCTTAATTTATGAGGATTTCTGAATTCCATCGGAATTGTCATCACAGTCAGCTTAGGAACTTGGTATTTCCTACTGACTGGTTTGGATTATTTTGCTTTCCTTATTCATAGGCCATTTTGTTAGTGGCATGCGTCCTTTCACAGTCACTTGCCTTGCCTTGGTGTGTTATGTTCAGTATGTCGTCATCATTCTAGTTTTTACGTCTCTTAATTTGAGGATAATTGTAAATTCATCTGCAGTTGCAGAAAACAATACAGGGAGATCCCCTGAACTCTTCAGATTTCCCCAATTGCAATGTCTTGCAAAATATAGGACAATATCACAACCAGGAAAATGGCATCGATCGATTCGCCAATCTTATTCAGATTTGAACAGTTTAACCTGCACTCACTCATGTTATAGGCACAGGCACTTCTGTCTTCCCTCCTCGGCAACCACTGATATAATCTCCATCTCTCTAATTTTATCTTTTCAAGAAATTTAAATAAGTGCATTAATCGCATCAAATGGCATTATGTCATATATATGATAACATTTGTTTTGAAGTTGGCTTTTGTTTGCTTAGTACAATGCACTTGGGATCCATGAAATAGTTGTGTCTATTAGTCATATGATCTTTTTTTTCTTCAGCGTGGTGTTGTATGGTATGGATATTTCAGTTTGTTGAAGCATTCTTTATTTGAAGGCTGTCTGAGTTGTTTCCAGTTTTTCAGTTATTACTAATAAAGATTCTAAGATATTTGGGTATAGGATTTCGTGTAAAATAAGTTCATTTCTCTGAGTTAAATACACAAAAGTTAAATTGTCTAATGATGTAAAGTGAATGTTTAATCTTGTAAGGAACTCCCAGACACATTTCCAGACTGACTGCACTTTACCGTCCCAGTAGCAATGAATGTTATCCAGTTTCTCTACAGTTCCAGCATTTGATACAGACAGTTTTTTAAAAATTTAACTGTTCTAGAAGGTGTGATATCTCACTGTGTCTTATTTTGCATTCCCCTAAGGACATACGATGTTGAACTTCTCATTTGTGTATTTGTCACTTGTACATGCTATTAAGTGAAATCTCTTCCTTTCTTTTGCTCACTCCCTAATTGGATTTTTCTATGCTTGTGTTTTAATGGTTCTTTATATATTATAGATAATACAGCTTTGTCCAATATGTGGTTTGCAAATATTTTCTTCTGGTCTATAAATTCTCTTCATCCTTTTACCAGGGCAACATTTTTAATTTGTTGAGTTTCAATTTATCTAGTTTTCCTTTCCAGTTCATGCTTTGGATGCCAGGTCTAATAGCACTTTGTCTAGTCCTAGAATTAAATAATTCCTTCTATTTTTTTAAGTTCTATAGTTTTAAGTTTTACATTCGAAGCTGCAAGCCATTTTAAGGTACTTTTGTTTCCAGCCCTCGGCCTTCAAGCTAAACTGGCTGATGCTGTGTAGAACAGAGAGGAGACATTTTGCTGATCCACTTCCAAACATAGTGCAGATAATAAGTGGGTATTCCTGATTTAGGACAGTACTTACGGAGCTTACTCATTTTATCAAAAATGGATTTTTTTGCCACATAAAAAAACATGGAAGTATCTCATTAGTAAAACTTTAAAGAAAGCAGCCAAACATGAGTATACACACTGTGTGGTTCCAGTTCAGAAAAGTAAATCTAATCTGTGATGATGGAACAGTGGCTAACTGAAGTGCTACGGGGAAGAGAGGGAGCATGGTGGAGATAACTAGCTGTTTTTCTTTTTCTATACCTGATTTGCCTGGTAATTAAACACATGTGCTGCTTTCATCCAAACATTTTTTAAAAATTCCACTTGGGATTCTCTGCATACACGTAACAATAAAATAATTAAAAATAGCTAAAAGGCAAAGAAAACAAATATATAAGTAAACTATGACTTCATGTGTGAGTAAAATTTCTTTAATATTCTACCCTTTATATTTTGTATTAAAATTTTATTACCACTGAAAGAGGTAACTAGGACTGCAGGTGTAATGCTCTAGTTATGCGGACCTCTGCCCACAGTCCAATAGTTGTGCTCCTCTCCTTAAAATTAAGGGCACTTTGAGTCTCTCAACTCTGTATCCTATGTGAGTACTATTCCTGATCATAACCAGGACAGATTCAAAGAGCCCTGGACCAAATTTTGATCCTAAGAAAACAAGTTGCTTTTTGCTTATCTGATTTAGACTCTGTGCCTTAGGTTTGATTTTAAAATATCAGCTTTCGTTCCAATAAATTGGCCCTATAGTGTCATCAATTTTTTAGAAATTGGCTCTTGCCTAGTGTGTATCTGAGTGATGGGTATCCTGGGTCTGAGTCCCCAGTTTAGGCATTTCCTAATATAGATCGTAAGTGAAAAATGCAAAATATAATGCTGTTCAAGTATTTAAACTTCCAATTTATAATCTCACAATACACAACACAGGAGGCCAAATAATCTCCAATATCAGGTTATTTTGGCTTTGTTCCTTGTTAACATCGTTCTGGGAAATCCTTATAAGATTCCTTCTTTTTCCCAAAGAATTCCACCACTGAATTAAATACATTCCTCTTTACAATCTCATACATGATTCAGAAATATTCCACTCTCTTAACCTCCTCCAAATATGTGAACATAATGCTTCTAGCTATATATATAATGTGGCCTCTCTGTCTGTCTCTTTCTCTCTTTCATTTTAACCTCATTGTGAAATTCTGGTGTGTACTATTTGTTTAACGTTGATTTTTCCTGCTCCATATTAAGACATGTCTGGCTACTTGCTTGAGTCAGGGTGGCTTTAGCTCCTGTGAGATCGTTAATTGAATGAACCACGTTCTGGCTCTCCATTTCATATGCCAAACACATTTCAAGAGAATCCTCAGGTGGATAAAGTGATCTTTCTTCTCCTCCTGTTACACATTCTGTGACACAGGCAACAATTCAGTATTTCTCTGTGCTCTCAACACCTTTTACAATTTTTTGAAACAGTTTGATTTTTTTTTCCATTTTCTCTTGTCAGAACTCTGACAAATTCTCTTGCAGAAACAGTGGTGTGAGAACTGTCCACTAATGTTATACTCAGCTTCTACTCTGATCGAAACCAGCGGTTCTCTTTAATTCGGACACATTGATTTAAAACAAGTTTAACAGGTGTTTCTTGCTACAGGAAATCACTTTCTGGACTCTTCATGCAAATGCACCTATCTCCATCTGCTCTAAAGTCTCAGCACATTCACTGACACAATCCTTTGGCGAATAGTGTCCATGCTAGAATACTGAAAGGACAAAAACTGAGTAAAACATAGAGTCTACACATTACAGCAGAAACACTCTTTTCCTGTAACATCTTCAAAGAGGATATAACTAGACACTTTGGCTGGTGACTCTCATTTCATGGGCCTTTCCAGTGATGTTTGCACTTTTTCCTGTTATGGGTCAATTTGGCTATCACCTCCTCTTGCTTTTCCTTTGCCTACAAAATGGACTTTTCTCTAGGATGCTGAGCTACATCTCATTTTGTTACGGCATGGCCATCTCCCGGATTCTCCTGTTTCATAGATCTTAACTGCAGGCCTCTGTCCCTCCACTGGATAAGGACCTTTATGTTTTTGAAGTGCTGGGAAAGCCCTGCTCTGTTTTTAATAGTCAGGGAGCAGAATGACAATGAAAACTATACACAACTAAATTACTGTGGAAATAAACAGATGTAGTCAGGAAAATATACACATAAAATACGTAAGATCATTTGAAAAGAACATAGCTGAAAGTAAGTTACATTTAAAGCACTTGACTTAGTATTATAATTTAGCCTATAATATGTCGTGGAATGCTAGAAACCTCATGCGTCCGTGAGTTATAAAATATATTTTTATTTAAGGCAAATATAAAGAAGTACCTTCATTTAACTCTTCTCTTTTTTCTTGCACACCTTAATTACAGCAATTTTCCTTGAAAATGTACTTTTGGTTCATGCTCCTCTAATCTTCTGTTTTAAAAGTATTTCTGTAAAATATTTTACTGAATGAATTCTGGCTCCAGATTATGACTAGGATACTTTTTTTTTTTGCTTTATGCACATCTTAAAAGTACTGAATTTCTACTTCTCCTTAATTGACTCCCTTCCCTGTCATTCAACCTGAGCACCCCTGCTTTAGCTCAATTTCAACTCTGCCCTACAGAAGGCACGCTGCCACATCTGCGAAACTCAAGTGACTAGATGTCACTTCAACTCAATTAACTGTCCCAGCTTTCTCCTCTGTGAAAGGGAAAAGCAAAGGATGCCTGATCAAACACTTACACCTCAGATACAAAGGGATGGATTTGGCCCTGTCACCATGGCTCTGACAGTGGGAAATGACATGCACAGACACGCCAGATGCCGAGCTTGCCGAGGTGTATTTGAACTCTCTGCTCCAATGTCAATGTGCTGAATTAGAGGTTTAATGAACGCCTGAAGAGTAAAGGTTTCCTCTTCCTCTGAATATTAAAGACTTGAGAAACCACTTTGGGTCGTTCTTTCCTAGTGCCTTTCATTGATGTAGTTTGTGATAATCAGCGCAATATATGATAAAACACCTTCGGAGCGGGATGGATCCAACACAGTAATTGTTCATTTCTATGGCAGCGTCCCCATTCAGCCCATTTCACAGATGCATGTGACAAACTACAGATGCCATTTGAGTTATATGACTTATGAAATCCATGGGCTACACCTTACCAAATGGGCATTTTCATATTGCCTAACATTTTTCTGAAAATAATTGAGAATTTTAGGGCCACAGGGAATTCCTCTCCAAGTATTAATGAGTATGTAACTTTGATATACGTTTTGGGACGAATGTCTAGCTTATGTTGAAGAACTACCTCTTACCTGTCAATAAAATTTGCAAGTCATTACAGGGTTAAAGAGACAGAGCACTTTCTTTGACTCTTATGGTGTCTGTTGTAGTTAATAATCTCAGGAATTTATTTCCAAATTATTTTCAAGACAAATACATTCAGGATAATAGAAGAAAAGCTAAAATTGCTGATAAACCCAGTCCCCCATATGTTCTATAAGAAGCTTTAAATTTGATTAGCATGTTTTGAGGAAAGTCAACATTCTTAGGACGAGATCAAACTGTCTTGTAACAGTACAGCTAACTGTGCTAAGCAGAGTATCAGAATATATTCATTTGCACAAAATGTGTTTTGTGAAAGATTATGAAGCAAATCCAATTTCCAATCTGTAAAAGAAAAGGGGGGATGACTTGCATACTACATTTCTATTCCTTGATGTTTTTAAGCATGACACAAATTTTGATATCAGCATTTTGAACCTGTTATTTATTACAGCTTCAAGAATGTGCCCTACTGTCTGCCTGCTGTCTGGGACTGAGTCAGTTGATGATGAGGTGTTATGCAATTTAAAATAGCCTGGGGAAGCCTCCCGGCAAATCTTGCAATTCGTTCTCTTTCTGTGTGTATATTTCTCATTATATTTTATTTTTGAAAATATACCTTAAAATATAGTTAGATACAGTTATATTTTGGAGTGAGGCAAAACGTCATGATAGTTGCGTATGCCATTTAAGATTGTACTCCTTTCAATATCATGGGTATTATTTTCCTGTCGGCTGCCATTCTGTAGGCAAATATTAATCTCAACTAGCTGTATTTATTGTTTGAGGTAGATAGAACTTACAAAACACCATAACAATTATACTGCAACAGGATAAATAGCTTTAGTGTGTGTCTTATGAGGAAAGAAAAGAATAAGAAATAAGCAGAAAAACAGCTTTTGTGTGTCTTATGAGCAAAGAAAAGAATAAGGAATAAACACAGAGTGATGGGCTGCCTCTTATATGACAGTCACTTTATTAGGCACTGTCTTGTATCAAACCTGTCAGGAGAAAATGGTCTGTACAGTTTAATTAAATTACCTATTCCGTTTAGTAAAATCTAATTGATCACACCCGTAATCCCAGCACTTTGGGAGGCCGAGGTGGGTGGATCACCAGGTCAGGAGATTGAGACCATCCTGGCTAACACAATGAAACCCTGTCTCTACTAAAAACACAAAAAACTAGCCGGGCGTGGTGGCAGGCGCCTGTAGTCCCAGTTACCCAGGAGGCTGAGGCAGGAGAATGGCGTGAACTCGGGAGGCAGAGCTTGCAGTGAGCCGAGATCGCGCCACTGCAGTCCAGCTTGGGTGACAGAGCAAGACTCTGTCTCAAAAAAAAAAAAAAAAAAATCTAATTGAAAAAAAACCTTTATCTAATTTTTAAAATATCCTGATTAATTCTTTTTTGGTGTCATTCAAAAAAGCTTCATTCAGAAATGCCCCAGATACCGATTGAAAACAAACATCTGTAAAGTATGAAAAATTACTATTTTCTAATCAAACTATGTCCTTGTACAAATGCAAATATGCTTAAAATGTTAAGCAAATATTTTTCACAAGAATGAGGAGATAAATCACCCTCACTCGCTTTCTGTTACTTTGCTATTTGAATAGAAGTAATAATATCCCAGCTTATAAATTTGTTTATGCTAATGTTTCTTAAAGTCTAAAATGACATTTGATGGTATAAAAAATTAACAAAATAAGGCAACATTTTTTCCCAGGGCAAAATATCTAGTGTGAAAAAACAGATTTGGGGGCCATGTAAATTAAGAAGACAATAAAATTAATAAGCATTCAAATAAAAATGCATTTTCACTCACAGTCAAAATTAATATTCTAAACTCCTTTAACATCTGATTTTTTTTTTCCAACTGAAGTCTCTCACCACACCATCATTGCTAAGAACAATCACTCTGGTAATTACAAGGAGTCGGGTAATTCCTTTGAAATCCATCTTGATGTAATAGCCAAACAAAATTTCCCATAAGTAGTAATATTATATGAAAAACAAAAGCCTTTTTTCCAAAATTACAACTACTAAATATAATATTAGATCTTTTTCAAGATAAACCCCTCTGTTGATTAAGCCTTAAGATAATAAAGCAAATACAAGTTCAAACAATAGATTTCTCAGTAAAAATTTCATTGTGGTCTGCCCACCCCAGTGATTAAATTTGGGCCGTTAATTTCTACAGTATAATTAGCAAATTAATAGAAATACTTGCTTTATGTATAATGTCAATTATTACTTGAACTTAGTGTTATTAATAAATGTTTTATTTTTGTTCATTTTGAATGTATAATTAAAAATAACCTTAATATTTTTAATAAACTTTTTTGTTCTTTATTAATCTATTATGTCATACTACATGTAACTATATGAACAAAAGGTTTGTCAAAGACAATATTTGCTGTAGTTTTTATAATGTTGCCAGACAATGAAAGGAATAACAATCCAAGACTACATAGAAAGTAATGAGAGAGACATCAGATTTCTCCATAATATAATGGAAGCAAAAAGCCAATAGAACAGTATTTTAAAAATTCTCCAGGAGATTCTTTTCCATCCTAGAATTCTATCCACAGGTAAATTATCAATTGTTATAATTGAATAAATATATTCTTGGAACCACACTATTGATATTACAATACAATAAAAGAAAATAACTCAATGGTTGATGTTACTGGTTACATCATTACTGAAAAACTTTACAATTAATTTAAGTGTGCATTTCATACAATTCTAAGGATGTGTTCAAATAACATGTCACATTCTCTCACTTCAAGTAATTCATGACTTATGACAAAATTAGGGTTAGAGGAAAGAACAGGGCCATTGATAATTCTCTTCACAGTCAGTTGGGTAAACTGTCTTTTGACTAGTTTCCCTATAAAGACAGACTTAGCAGAATTGTGAAACCTTTAGAAAATCTTAACAATTTTGGTTAAATATTACAAAAAGAATCAGGCTATTTACATGCTAATAAAATTTTGAAAGATGGATTTTGGTAAGTAAAAATAATAAAAAACCTGAAGCTTCCCCTGAGTTTAATAACTTTCCCTGAAGTTTAATAATTTCACATCTTAAAATGAGTTCCACCTAAAGTTAAATAGTAAAAATACGTGGAAATATGCTCTTTATTGTGAATATTGGAGCTAAGTTAAAATTAAAAAAAAATCTGGAATTATAAACTATATTTAGTTACAAATTTAAGTAAAATGTAATTGAGCTTTGTTAGCTATATAAATAACAACTGCATATTCCTTTAAAATTCACTGTATTCTACTTAAGACAATAAAAATATGTTCATCCTATTTATAAATTTTTTGAAGATATTTATTTACACTAATAAGGGAAAGAGTAAAACCCTTTCTGACAATCACATTGACATTTTACTGCAGTAAATTTTCAAGAATTATGAAGAATGGTGCTTTTTATACTGTGTTCTCCTAAAATTTTCAGCATAATCATGGTATTCCGTATTTTCTTGCAGGTGCTTATGTTCATTCCTCATCATTTTCTGTGAGAGCTTATCTTAAGGAGCACAATCTGAATATACAAAGTGTATTTGGCTTTTGCATTTTATTTTGAGATGTAAAATCCACTAGTGTGCTTCCCTTACAGGAATAAATAAAATGGGAACATTTTAGATGATCAGAAATCCAAGATTATATGGGACAATCAAGACTGTTTCCTTTGCAGAAGAAATGTGTGTGTGTGTGTATGTGTGTGTGTGTGTGTATGTGTGTGTGTGTGTCTTACTTTCTACATGTAATTATTTTCTTTTACAAACTTTTTATTGTAGCAAAATACAAATAACAATCTTAAACCATTTTTAAGTATAGCTCAATGATACTAAGTACATTCATATTGTTATACAACTATCACCCACTATCATTCACAAGAATTCTTTTCATCTTGCAAAACTGAAATTGTACATGCATTAAATAATAACCACCCATTTCCGCCTCCTTCCAGCACCTACTAATCCGCATTCTACATTCTATGATTTTAATAACTCTAGGTATCTTATATAAACAAAATCATAGAGCATTTTTTTTGTGTGACCGGCTTATTGCATTTCGCATAATGTCCTCAATGTCCATTTATGTTGTAACATATATCAAAATCTCCTTCCTTTTTAAGGGTGAATAATTCTCCATTGTATGTATATACCATATAGCTTTTATATTTTCCTCTGTTCATCTACACTTCATTTGTTTGAAAAATTTTGAGAATTAGTGTTATTTATTCTTGAAATATTTGGTAGAACTCATCAGTGAAGTTATAAAACCCAGAGATTTTCTTTGTATTTTATTTGGAGATGTAAAATCTAATACTATACTTCATTTAAAGAAATAAATAAAATGTTAACATTTTTAGGTAGGCATACATTATATCTCCCTTGGGGCAATCAAGACTGTGTCCTTTGCAGAAGAAGTGTGTGTGTGTGTGCGCGTGCGTGTGTGTGTGTGTGTGTGTGTGTGCGCGCGCGCGTGCACCAGGAGATCTTGGAATACTGATGTAATCTCCTTATTAACTGTAGGGCCATTCAGATTTTCTGTTTCCATGATTCAATCTCGGTAAGTTATATGTTTCTAGGAATTCATTCTTTTCATCTAGATCACCCACTTGTTGGTGTGCAATTGTTCACAGTATTCTCTTACAATCAGTTTATTTCTGTAGAATTGATAAGGATGTCTAATTTATTTTAGTAATTTGAGCATTATTCCTTTATTATTAATAATAATATATATCTTAAGGTTTGCCAACATTTTTGATTTTTTCAAAAAATCAGCTTTGGCTTCATCGATTTCTTCTGTTGTTTTTATATTCTCTATTTTGTTTTGCTCTTCTCTAATCTTGATTATTTCCTTTTTTCTGTTAGATTTGGCTTCAGTTTGTTTTTTTTCTTTTGGTTCCTTATGTTGTGAAGTTATTGATTTGAAATCTTTCCTGTTGTTGCTGGTGGTTTCTTTGCTTTATATGAACACTTATAGCTTTAAATTAAAAAAACTGATTTCACTGAATCAGTGAAATCAACATAAGTTTGGTATGATGCATTTTTGTTTTCATTTGTTTCTAAGTATTTTCTATTTCTATTTCCTCTTGTTCCAAGGAAAAATCCAAAGATTTTTCTTTGATCCATGGGTTGTTTAAGAATGTGTTGTTTAATTTCCATGCATTTGTGTATTTTCTAATTTTCTAATTTTTTAAATAAATTCATTCATTATAGTCAGAGAAGATCCTTTGTATTAATATTAATCTTCCTTAATGTACTGAAACTTAAATTTGAGAACTAACTTATGCTGTGACCTAGAGAATGTCTCATGCACACTTAAGAAGAATATGTATATGCTGTTGTTGGGTAGAATGCTATGTATATGTCTGTTAGTCTGTATATGATGGTTAGATATGGATGTTTTCCTGTGTTGTTCAAGTACTCTATTTCCTTATTAATTTTACCTCTCACAGTTCTATATATTATTGGGAGTGAGGCATTAAAGTATCCAACTATTATTGTAGAAATATCTTTACCTTTAATTCTGTTAATTTTTGCTTCATATATTTTGATTGTCTATTATTTATCTAAATGTTTATAATTATCACATCTTGCTATATTGAACTTTTTATTGCATATGATGTTCTTTGTCTCTTATTTTTTAAATTTAAATTCTATTTTGTTTGGTGTTAGCATAGCCAGCTATACTTTTTGTTGTTGTTGTCGTTGTTACTATTTACATGGAATATCTTTTTCCATCTGTTCACTTTCAACCTTTTTGTGTCATTGGATTAAAGTGAGACTCATAAACAGCATATATTGCATCATGTTTTATTTTTATCCATTATGCCAACCCTTGTATTTTATTGGATAGTTTAATCCATTTACACTTAATGTAATTTCTATTAAGAATGGACTTTCAACTGTCATTTTGATAGTTATTTTCTATATTTCTTACAGATTTATTTTCCTCACTTATTTAACCACTGCCTTCTTTTATATTGAGCTGATTTTTTCTAGTGAAATGTTTAAATTCTCTTCTCATTTTCTTTTCTGTGTATTTAATAATTCTTCTCTTTGCAGTTACCATGGGGATTATACTTAACAATCTAAAGTTATATAACACTTTAATTTGAATTTATAGGAGCTTAACTTCGATAACATAGAAAAACTGTGCTCCTATACATCTCTACCACCATCCCTTTCACTTATTTGTGTTACAAAATTATAAGTTTATATATCATGTGTCCAAACACATAAAATAATAATTGTTTTTAATGAATGAGTATGAATGTGGAAATAAAATGTAGAGAAAAACCAAAGTTAGAATAATAACAGCTTTTAGATTAATTTTTTTAATGTATTAGGCTCTTAAACCATGTAGAAAACAGAAACGTAGAACTACAAATCATTTAAACAAAAATACTAGCTCTTATAATAACCTATTTATTTATCATCACTGAGATCATTCTTCAACAGCTTTGACTTGTTTTCTAGTGTCTTTCATTTCAACCTGCAGGACTGACTTTTGTTAGCATTTCCTGCAGGGCAGTTCTAATGGTAATGACTTCCCTAAGCTTTGTAAAATCTGAGAACATCTTAATTACTCCTGACTTTTGAACAAAAATTTTACCAGATACATAATTCTGAGTTGACTTTCTTTTCTTTTAGCACTTTAAATATATTAGCCTCCTGCCTTTTGGCATCCAGAATTTCTGATGAGTAATTTGCTGAGATTTATGTGATGAGCAACTTTTCTCTTGTGGCTTTCAAAATTGTCTCTTCATTTGTATCTTTTGAAATTCTGAGTTTTAATGTAGGTCTCTGACTTTCTCAATCAGAGTTAGCTGAGCTTCTTAGATGTCCATATTAATCTTTTTCATCAAATGAGAAAATTTTGGGCCATGATTTCTTCAAGTAATTTCTCTGCTACTTTCTCTCTACAATGTTTTTTCTGGGACCCCCACAATGCAAGTATCAGTTAACTTGATGTTGTCTCACATGTCCCTTGACTCTGTACTCTTTACTCTTTTTCTTTCTGTTCCTCAGACTTCATAATTTTAACAACCCTTTCTTCAAGCTCTCTGGGTCGTGTTTCTGCCTATTCAAATCTGCCTTTAATCCTTCTAGTGAATTTTTCATTTCAGTTATTGTATTTTACAGCTGTAGTGTTCTTTTAAATTTTAGATTTTCTATATCTGTATTGATATTTTCATTTGCTTTATACATTCTTTTTCTTGGTATCTTTGAAATGGTTGCTTCAAACTGAGAGACAGGACTAGCTAACCTACCTCAGTTCCTTACTGAGCTCCCCCATCTATGTTCAAGCTACTCCAGGAACACATGCACAACTCTCTGCCATAGCTAAAATGGACCCAAATTAACTAAAATGTGCAGCCTAAGCCTTTCAATGGAAATTGAAATCCTTCAGTAGATTTCAGAGTTCCAAAATAGTTATATGAGGAGGATTCTGTCAGTGCCATTATTTAGGTGGGGAGACATATTCCCACTATCTCCAAGATGCTCTGCCATCACCTCGAAATTTCTGATACTGACCCAGATCTTCCTCAAATATTTCTTACATGGATGATGGTGACTATTAAGGCACTATGGTATTTATAGACCTTTGGAAACATTTAGGAGAATTGTGTGGCAATCTGATTTTTAAATGTCAAGATTCATGGCAGAAATTACAATCTTTTGTGACAATTAAAATTGTGATGCAAAATTATAGACTGAATATAATCTATAAATATAATATAATCTTTAAAATATATAAGCAAGCAAGGTATAATCTTTTTCAAAGTTCTTTAGAGAGAACTCAGGAAAAATGTTTACAGCCCACCGCACTTGAAAGCATAAGTTTTCACGCTTATTGTAAGTTTTTGTGCTTTTCCAGCATAAGAAAGCCCCTGTAGATCATTTATAGGGATCACCCATATGCTCAGAAGTTGCCCAGATAAGGGAAGGGAGGCAAGACATAAGTAGATTTGGGACTTATTATCAGATATGAAAATATAAGTGGTGAGAAAGACAGTCAAAATAGTAACAATAACAACAAAAGTTGCTTTATAAAATTTGTGAATATAGTTTACTTTTCCTCCCAGCATTTTTGTGAGTCATGACCTATTTTTAGGTTATTAAATTTGAAACTGTTACTCTATTTGTCTAAAATATACTCAATGAATGCATAGGCATTCTTCTGCTTTACTGCAGAACGTTTCACGTATGAAATCAACTAGTAACATTGATAAATCTGTAATATCCAGCTATACCCCAAGGCATTGAGAATGGGATGTGACAATGGCTTAAGGGGGACGAAATAATGAACAATAACAAAACATATCCCCTGGGCTGGGGAAAATAAACCAAGAATTCTCTTTTAAAATGTTTATTTTTGGAATCCTTAAAAAACACTGGGTGTTTAGAATTATCTGCTTGCCCAAATATTTTCTCTAATTGTGGATCCTCTCTTTTCCTTCAGTTCCCAATAAAAAATTATAAAATACATTTATTCTGTCTCCCACTGATGAAAATTGAGCCCTTCAAAGTTTCCTTAGATTTTCATTAAGACTATTTTTGTAGAAATACTTTCATCAGGGATTCTGTAAATTAAATGAAGTGCCCGTGGTCTGTGCTATCTGGAAAGCCTCAAAATGGAGGCAGAAATACCTCTGTGTTGCTCCATTCAGTTCAAATCATTTTTTTCTCTCTAAATGACCAACTTCTCACTGGAGACAGCTCTGAAAATACAGGAAATTTTGCTAATAGATATTAATTTAGCAAAGGTATTTTGAAGGTCACGGTGTTCAGTATATTTACTAAATAATTCTTGGATTTGACCCCTGCAAATAAAAATATTTTATTAGAGAAACAAATTTTAACAGAATCATTTCATTGTTTAGAACAACAAAAAGTAGTTATTACTTATTGGCGTAATGAGCTACTTTTACTTGCCTATGTCCATAATTGTCGTTTTTCTGGTTATACTTGAGGAATCAAGCATCGATCTTTGAAAGGGTTTAGATCCATGAGCAAGAGGAGCAAAGGATAAAACCTAGTTTCTGAACTAAGGTAGGTTAGCTTTAAGCCTTATGTGCATGAAATGTGTTTTAATCACTTCACATTGCTTTGCCCTCTCATTCTTGTCTCACCCACTGGTCATCTCCCCCACGTAGTCTCATGTGTACATTATTTTCAAACATTTAATCTTAAGTATGTTGATGCATTTAACAGCTAAAGACAATTAGACTTAATTTTATTTTATATTTAATACATTTTATATATTTTATTAATTTATTATGTGACTTTATACCAACATTTCTAAAAATGATTAAAAACAGATACATTTATTGTTTTCTTCTAAACACTTTTGAGTATTAGCTGTGTGTCACAAGCCACATAATGATGCTAGGGTTTTAAAGATACAGCACGGACATTGACCTTTAAAATTTTACCTTTTAATGAACAAAATGAATAATTTTGTAACTATATAAAATAAGAGGAGTTTATAACATAAAACAAAATATGTATTATTATACTCAGAAAATGGAGTGATGCATTTTGGTGTGCTACAGGAAATACTGACAGAAAAGAATGAAGGTGACGGTGATGATAATGCTGACACTAATAATACCTAGTCATGATGTAAAACTTAAAATATCTGGCCTTCTAATTCCTTTAAGCATATACAGTAAAACAATGCAATCAATTAAATGTAGATGCGACATCACATGTAATTGTCCTTGTCCTCCACTTGTAAATCTGTCCCCACTACAAACCTCAAGCCATTATTTTCTCCCCCTGTTGTATCAAAAGTGACAGCCTAAAGTTCTTATCTTCTAAGGGAAGTGTGTAGGTAAATTCTGGAAATGAGTGATTCTATTGGGTGGGAACCTACGGTAGCTGTCATTCCAGAGCAGCCACTGTACACTGAGTCCTCCCCAAGCTGAGCTGAACGTGGTCTCTAGAATATGGCGAGTAGTCCTGGGACAGAAACAGAATTGGAGGAGCTCAGCTGAACCCACTGGTCTTCTGGGCAGCTGCCTGCATGGACCTCCCTGGTCATTCAGAAACCTCATCATAACGTCATTTCATATACTGCATTGTACTGAGGTTGTATGTTATTATCTAATTTAATCCTCAGGGCAACCATCTGCAGTAGTCATCCATATTACCTTATTTATTTATTTATTTATTTATTTAGAGACAGAGTCTCGCTCTGTTGCCCAGGTTGGAGTGCAGTGGCACAATCTTGGCTCACTGCAATCTCTGCCTCCTGGATTCAAGTGATTCTCCTGCCTCAGCCTCGTGAGTAGCTGGGATTACAGGCCCACACCACCAGGCCCAGCTATTTTGTGTATTTTCAGTATTGACAGGGTTTCACCATTTTGGCCAGGCTGGTCTCAAACTCCTGACCTCAGGTGATCTGCCTGCTTCGGCCTCCCCAAGTGCTAGGATTACCAGTGTGAGGAACCGCGCCTGGCCAACCTCTTCTATTTTTACATAGAAAGAAATACAGGCACAGCAAGTTGAATCAGTTGCTCAAGATAAAGTAGTGATTCTATGGCAAAGCAGGGTTTGGAATTCATACTTTTTAGCTTTGCTCTTCAGTGACTATGAAGATGATCTTGTAAATTAAAATATAAAGAAAAAAGTAGGGGCAGTTATATGTGAAATAAGCTATGGGCCATAAGAAAAAAAATTATCTAATTGTTCCTTTAATACAAATCCAGACTGATAATTTTTACAAATTCAAACTCACAATCCATCTCATGATGTAGATGTAAAGCAGAGGTGTCAGGAAAATTAAATTGTGAATTTTAAAGGCAGGACTTTTATCAGTATGCTTTAAGATCCATAGGTATCATAATATTTAAGATACCACACGATATGAAGAAGTACCAGAAATTGTTTAAAATTAAACGTAACATTAAGAATCTCAAGTATTAGGCTGGGCACGGTGGCTCATACCTGTAATCCCAACACATTGGGAGGCCAAGGTGAGAGGATCACCTGAAGTCTGGAGTTCAAGACCAGCCTGACCAACATGGTGAAACCCTGTCTCTACTAAAAATAGAAAAATTAGCCAAATGTGATGGCACTTGCCTATAGTCCCAGCTACTTGGGAGGCTGAGGCAGGAGAATCGTTTGAACCCAGGAGGCGGAGGTTGCAGTGAGCCAAGATCGCACCACTATAGTCCAGCCTGGGCAACAGAGAGAGACTCCATCTCAAAAAAAAAAAAAAAAAAAAAAAAAATCTCAAGTATTAGAAATAAGCTTCACGGATATGGAAACATACTGAGATTTTCCTTTTATGCAGTAATTGGGAAATCTCATACTTTCATGACCATTTGGCTTTTCCACTTACTAAATGCTGTGCTGAGGATGACTGAACACTGGCCTGAGAGCCAAGAAACAGATCATCCAAAGGGAGATTAATAATTGACTCACCGGAACAATATCCCAGATTCAACACCTGGTTGTATTACACTGCGGTGTGTCCTTCTTGACTACTCTCCTAGGTCAGCACTCCAAAAAAGACCATAAAAGAGGCAGCTGCCAAAAGGAAGCTGGGGTGGACTAGGCTGGCAGTCTGACCTGAGAGAATCGAAAGCTTTAGCACCATTGGAGAAATTCATCATTAATCACTGAATCAGGTAAAGGAAAAATTTAAATTTGGAGGCCTTCCCCACTTTCTACCCTCTCCAGCCCGGACTTTAAAAGGAAAGCACCACAAAAGGGAGCACTAAAAAGGGTGGAATAAGGAAATTCAGAAAATCAAGAGAAAGAAGCAGCAGAAATCTAGGTCTCTTTGTGCAGCATTTTCCTTGACATCAGTAACTGGGGCAGCAGCCTGCTGATTCTCATGCCGAAATGATTATGAGGACTCCCTTTTATTTTGAGGTTTAAGGATCTAAGGAAATTATCTTTTTTATAAACCTTTGTTCTTTTTTTCTCCCCTAGTCAAAAAAAACAAAAATATGATTTTACACAAATTACTTTGAAAATCATCCTCTTTCTAATTAAAACAGACAAAAATAATCATTTCCCAGACTCCAAGATTCTTCTGATTAATTTTGAAAGCACCAGAGTACTAACTTTTCAGGGGACAAAGCATATTTGAAATGTTTTAAAAAAGCGCACTTACACTGTAGAATGAACTTTGGCCTGATGTGGGACCTGTGGAGAATACTTCAGATGGCTCATAATACTGCCATAACTTCGTTTTAAAGGAAACCTCTTCACTGACACTTCCTATCACTCCTTACAGAGCTGAGAGAAGATGATACGAAGGTAACATGATAAGCTTGCCGATATCTTGGAGGTCACTTTGTCCAAGCTCTGCACTTTACCCTGATGAAGTGAGGGTAAAGGGCTTCTCCTAACAGCATGTAGCTAGTAAGTACAGAGCTGCTAATTCTGCTGTTCAGATTTCAAGTACCATTTGTTATTTCCAAACTGCCTCTTTGAGAGAATGAGGAAGCACGTAGGATACTATATGGACCCAAAGTTTCACACAATCTTGCTGTTTTAGTCCATTCTCACACTGAACTACCTGAACCTGGGTAATTTATGAAGAAAAGAGACTTAATTGATTCACAGTTCTGCAAGATGTACAGGAAGCATGGCTGGGAGGCCTCACGAAACTTACAATCATGGTGGAAGGTGAAGGGGAAGGAAGCATGTCTTACCATGGCGGAGCAGGAGAGAGAGGGAAAAAGGAAGTGCTAAGACTTTTAAACAACCATATCTTGTGAAAACTCACTCAGCATCATGAGAACAGCAAGGGGGAAGTCTTCCCCTATGATCCAATCACCTCCCACCAGGTCCCTCCCACAACACTGGGGCTTACAAATCAACATGAGATTTGGGTGGGGACACAGCCAAATCGTGGCACTTGTTTTCTCACTTGTCAAAAAGGTCATTTATAATTTTCAAAAAATGTCACAAGTGGATAAGACAGTTGTATATAGTGAAGAGACAGACATACTCAATTAGAATATAAACTAAGTAATAAAATGATCTTTATTTGAAATAATACTTAAAAAAACACAAGTAAACACATATCATAAAATTCCCACAACAACCTCATAACAAATGCCATCAATCTACATTGCCTGTAATAGTTCAAAGAGGAAAATTGTTTAAATAACTTTCCCCAAATCATGACATACTACAGGGAAAAGTCAACGTTTTAAATATCATCTAATGCTAAATCCACCATAATTTCTACCACTACGTTTACTTCTATCTGCTATGCTCATTTTAAGCAAGAACTGTTCATGTAAACCACTGATGAAAGAATTAAAATGCACATTTTAAGGTAGTTTAAAATACACTTTAAAAATGAATATAACTCTTAAAAGCAGTGAGAAATAATCTTCTACAAAATTGCAAAAAAAATTATACCAAATAAGAACACCTTATCGCTTGCCCATTCCTGACCACTTTATATTTGATTCTGTTTATGTCCATGAAATTTGCTTATTTTTATCCTAAGTATATCAAGTAATTTTATTAAGAAACTCATTTAAAAAGTGTACATACAACTTTTGTTTTCATTTTTTGCCTACTGGTGGTTTTACTTAAAAGTTTAAGAAAATATTATATACTTAGAAATTTATATATCTATCAGAATTTTTAATTTGAAAGATTGCATGATACAGTAAAATAATTAATTCAAAAAGCCTTTCTACAGTACAATGAAAATTCAAGAAGCACAATTTTATTCCAAATCTAAATGCCATAAAGTAATGTCTTATGATTCTAGTATAATATTTATCAGTTTTCTAGGTTAAGACAAATTCATTTCTCTTATAAGCCATAATAAAATTTAAGATTAGTGTAAAATAAAAATAAATTTTCCTTACTTGCTTAATAAATGAAAAAGTGAGCCATCAGGAGATTAAAACCAAAATAAGTAAAAACATTCCTAAAGCTTTCAGATTTGATTGACAGTACTGCCCAAAATAGCATATGATATCTCCTGAAGAATATTATTACATATTGATGACATTTCAAGTTACTAGCGAAATTGAAACACACACATTTCTGAAGGGATTTTTATCTGAAAAGAAAAAGAATGGATAAAAATGACCCATACAGTAATTAAAGCTCTAAGACACATTGGGCCTTTAATATTTTCCCTTTCCAAAGAAAAACTCATAGTATCACAGAGAATATAACATATGTGAGTAAATAAAATAACTGGATTTAAACCAAAGAATCACTTGTCTGCAATTGAAATATTTTTACTTGAAAAATTATTATATTTACTAATAAATGAAAAATATTTCCTGATTCCAAATGAGTAACACCAACATTTTAATGTTCAAACTTAGGTTTAAAACTAATATATTTTCTTTACAATGGATGGGAGATGGGCCTTGGAGAAAATAGCAGCAGGGTTGGGTCTGTTACCTTTTTTTTGTTGTTGTTGTAGTTATCTTAACATTTATTAGTATTAAGTTATTTCATGCAATAATATCTGATCATGTTTGCATTATTATCTGAAAACCAAATTCATTCACCCTTTTTTTCTCAAGTAACTACCTAAGTTTCTTTTTTTTTTTCTTTTATTATTATTATACTTTAAGTTTTAGGGTACATGTGCACAATGTGCAGGTTAGTTACAAATGTATACATGGGCCATGCTGGTGTGCTACACCCATTAACTCGTCATTTAGCATTAGGTATTTCTCCTAATGCTATCCCTCCCCCCTCCCCCCACCCCACAACAGTCCCCAGAGTGTGATGTTCCCCTTCCTGTGTCCATGTGTTCTCATTGTTCAATTCCCACCTATGAGTGAGAATATGCGGTGTTTGGTTTTTTGTTCTTGTGATAGTTTACTGAGAATGATGATTTCCAATTTCATCCATGTCCCTACAAAGGACATGAACTCATTATTTTTTATGGCTGCATAGTATTCCATGGTATATATGTGCCACATTTTCTTAATCCAGTCTATCATTGTTGTTACTTTTCGAAAATAGCTTTGTTGAGTGATATTTTACGTGAAATAACATTAACCCATTGTAAATATAAAATTCAAAGATTTTTAGCAAATGTAGAGTTGTGCAACCATCACAATTTTGTTTTAAAACATTTCCATCACTGCCAAAGCTGCTTTCATTTCCATTTATGGGTAATTTCTGCTTTCAGCTTCATGATTAGACAGTTGATGACTGGCTTTCTGTATCTCTGAATTTGGCTTCTCTTGAGATTCCATTTAAATTGAATTGTATAAGATGTAGTCTTTTGTGTTGGCCTTCTGTTACTTAATTTAGAGTAAAGACTTTGAGGTTCATCCACATAATGTATCAATAGTTTGTTCCCACTTACAGCTGAATAGAATTCTGTTATCTGGCTATGCCATCTTTTTTTTTATCCATTCACTTGTAGATGGAATTTGGGCTTATTCTAGTTTGGGCATATTAGATATAAAGCTGCTATGATCCTATGATCCTTTTTTTTTTTTTTTTTTTGATGGAGTCTCGCTCTGTCACCCAGGCTGTAGTGCAATGGTGCGATCTTGGCTCAATGCAACCTCCACCTTCCAGGTTCAAGTGAATCTCCTGCCTCAGCCTTCCGAGTAGCTGAGATTACAAGCGTCTGCCACCACACCCAGCTAATTTTTATATTTTTAGTAGAGATGGGGTTTCACCATGTTGGTCAGGCTGCTTGTGATCCTTTTTATACAAATATTTTTGTGGACAAATGTAACATTCCTAGAGTAGATTTTTAAGGAGGGTATAGAATAATTTCAACGAAGTTCAATTTATCACTTTTTTCTTTTATTCAACTTATCTCACTCAATACTTTTCTACTCAGGTTTTCTATTTCTTCTTGAGTCAGTTTTGACAAATTGCATAATCTATATTATTTTTTGACATACATTTGCACATAATTTCTCTCATCATTTTAATTTCTGGAGAATTGGTAGAGATGTATACTCTGTTTTTTTCTAACTTTAGTAATCTGTCTCTTCTTTCTTTTTCTTTCTTTTATTTCTTGGAGACTCTGGCTAGGATTTATATATTTTACAGCTGTTTTACCATACTCATTTTTGTTGTTAAATTTTTAATTTGCTTACTTATTTTCTATTTCCACACTTTCTGTACAAATGTTTACAATTTTAATTATACTTCCTTATTGGTGTTTTCCCCCTAGTTTTCTCCTGCCAACAAACTGAATAGTATTAATGGATTCAGCAAGTTCCTGCATATAATATACACAGAAGACAATCACTGTAATGAAATCAAAATACCAATTTTAATAGAAACAAACAAAACCTAGAAAGTACATATTTAATAAAATATGCATAAAATTTAGAAAAAGTAAGAATGTCACTTTATTAAAATTTATTAAAATCTACATATCAATGCTGATTTAATACATACAGACTCTAACTACATAAGGGCCTTATTTTCAAATCTGTGTGTAAATGAATGTCAAGTCAGTCACAACCCTATAGGGATTTCCATGGATCTTTTGAAGTTTGTTTAAAATTCTTCTGGAAGGATAAGTAGCAAAGAAAAGCTAAAAAGAAGACAAAACTGAGGAGAAGCAACAGGTGATGAAATGTTGATCTAAAAAAACTAAGAATCAAGGAATAATAAAGCTACACTAACCAAACAGCACAGCGTTGGCCCAACTGTCAACAAGCAATGAATCGAATGTCGAGCTGAAAGAGATCCTCATTGTAATTGAAGTGATAGTATTAGGATAACATATCAGTGAGAAAAGATTTAACCATTTTATTACTAATGCTGCTATACTAGACAATCTATATTTAATAAAACTAGAATTACCTCTCATCCCTTCATTGTCATCAATTCCAAGGAGATTCAAATCCTCAATATCAAAAGTAACACATGTATATTGTAATATAATGTTGAGAAATATATTCAGGACCATGCACTGGGAAAGGGTTTTATTCATGGGACTTAAAAGGACACAAAAGTAAACAGTTAGTATATTGCTGGAATGCAATACTTTTAGTTTTCCTATTTGTAAACACCCCTAATTTAATAGCAGAATCAGTTGGAGGTTGAGAGAATATTGTGATATAATACAAAATGCTTGGAAACTCAAAAAATCTGTCTTTATTGCATTGCTTCTTTACTGCTAAAATGTTCGTATTTTAGAGGTAAATACGTTTCTATAAAGAGGTGTATTGGCTTTCTTCATATCTCAAAATGAATCAAGGTACTGAAAAATAATGAAATGGTTCCTTTTCTCTTGACCTGTCTTATGTGTCCAGCATTTTCTTCAGTGTTTCATTAGATCATATAACATTTTTAATATTTGTTTTTTTATTTTATGGATACATAATAGTTGTACGTATTTATGGGGTACATGTGATACTTTGATACCAGCATACAATGTATAATGATCAAAGTGAGTGACTGGGATATTCATCACTTTAAATATTTATTATTTCTTTACATTAAGGACATTCCAATTTGACTCATCTAGTTATTTTGAAATATACAACAAATTGTTGATAACCATAATCTCCCTATTGTACTACCAAAAACTAGACCCTGTGTCTTTTGATGAGTGTGATGATAATATTGACAATAAATTTGTGTGTATGTATATATACATATATATGTATGTATGTATATATATTTATCAATCTAGTCTGAGAGTAACTAGGTGTTGCATCATGGCAAATACACCAGTTTTGTGAGTAATGACTGAACAATTGATAATCAATTATCAAGTCTGATTAAGTGGAAGTTTTTTTGTTTTTTTGGTTTTTGAGACGGAGTCTCGCTTGCTCTCTTGCCCAAACTGGAGTGCAGTGGCTCAATCTTGGCTCACTGCAACCTCTGCCTCCCGGGTTCAAGTGATTCTTCTGCCTCAGCCTCCTGAGTAGCTGGGAGTACAGGCGCCCGCCAGTATGCCAGGCTAATTTTTTTTTTTTTTTTTTGTATTTTTAGTAGAGACAGGGTTTCATCATACTGGCCAGGCTGGTCTTGAACTCCTGACCTTGTGATCCGCCTGCCTCGGCCTCCCAACGTGCTGGGATTACAAAGTGGAAGATATTTTAAAAATCTTTTCAAAAGAGATATTCAAATAAGAAATAAATCTTTTAGGCACAATATGTGTAACATAGATACTGCGTTAAAATAAGCCCTTCTATATTGATATTCAAATGCACATAAGTTACACTGGGAAAGTGTTTAGCAGTTAGAAAGTGATTCAAACTCTTACACTGTGTTTCCAAGCTTACTTGTAAACAGCAGAAAACATGTATTGTCTTTTTGAATACTCAGTTTATACTCATTCTCAAAGTTTGCATTACTTTAACTACTACCCTCTTAGGGAGTCACTGCATTAAATAATCTATAATAACTTGAAACAGCTGAGAAGGATCTCAGAAAATTTCTAATTTCGGAAAAGAGATCTATCTATAATTATAGCCTTCTCACTATATACCCTGACAATGCCATCTTGTTTATTTCCAAAGCGAAAAATGTATGTTTTGAGACTTCTGACAAGTGCAGCCATATCCTATGGGTGTTTGCAAATAGAAAATTATTAAAGCAATTCAAGAATAGCTAGCAAGCTTCAGATTCTACAGATTGTCAGAATAGGCAAATCCATTTCTATAGACATCTTAATGTATGTGCTTAGAGGAAGATTAATATTTAAATTCCAAAACTCACTCGTACTGCAATGAGGTATGAACACATTAACTGTGCCCTAGTAGACCCTTGGGGCAGACTGGAATACATATTAATGCCACCATGATGATACCAACCTTGATAATTTTTTAATTTGAGATGTATTTCTGATTAAAAGGAAAAAAAAATCAGCCAAAGGATTTATACCTGTCATCTAGAAGAAAGAGGAGGGCAAAATAGGAGAGATTGCTTCCATCTTTTCTGTTTAGGTAAATCAATATTGCAACAAAAGGAAACTCCACTGCTGTAGAGACAAGGACAAAAGAGCCACACATTTTCTGCTTTATACAATTTCGAGAATATTATTCTAGTTCAGTAAAACCCCATAAAAAGTTTTGGTTTGCTTTCTTGTTTATATTTCATTTGTCATCATCTTTCCTTAAAGCTACTTTAGAACATTTTTACAAAAACTGTGCATATTCACATGCTATGTTGTATTTGTTGAGTAAGAAGTAACATATACAGATGGTGGCCCCCAAAATATGTGTTTACATCCTAATCCCAAGAACCTGTAAATATTACCCTATTTGGCAAAATATGTGATTAAATTAGGAATTTTGAGAGGAGACCCATATCCTTGGTGATCCAGATAGGCTCTAAATTTAAGGACAAGTGAGACTGAATGAGATTTGAACTGCAGAGGAGAAGGTGAGGTATAGATAGGGACGGAAACTGGAGTGATGTGGCCACAAGCCAAGGAAATCAGCAGCCCCAGAAGCCAAAAAGGACAGAAACAGATTCTCCCCTAGAAACCCTATAGGGATTACTGCCCTTCTGAAAACCTGATTTCAGATTCCAGGCTCCAGAATTAGAAGATAATAAACTTCAGTTGTTTTAAGCCGCAAGTTTACGGTGTTTTATCTAAGGCAGCCCTAGGAAATTAATACTGTAGCTAAGGAAAGTTAATATATTTCCTAATACTAGAAAATAAATAATTGTTAAAATGTCTGAGAGATTAAATTATTTGCAAGCACATATTCAGCAATGTGGTTTGTAACATAAACACAAGCAATACATTTTTGGAGACACAACTATGTTCTCTTTCCACATGGCAAAGGAAAAATATCAGAATTATTTTATATCCTTTTAAGAGTTCTACAACCAGGTTCAGGATTGGGATTTGTAATATGTAATAATTTGCACTCGTTCCCATATACCAAAATATTTCCATCAGGCTGGTGCAGTATGCTTGGTAGAGTTAGTTGTCAATATGTTTTCTCTAGTAAAATAATTAATGCACTGGAAGGAAACATCCTGTAACAAGCCGTATGGAAATACCTTTCCTGGTTGCCTTCAGTTCTTCTTGTGGGAGTGAAAATCTTATGTTCAGATTTGTTTGTTACATTGTAGCAGTTCCAGTGGGCTAAGCCATCCTAATTTGTTATTCTATGTAAGGATATGAGGCTCTTCCTTTTTTCCTAAGAGAAAGTATAGGGAGTGTCAAGCAAAACTTGCAGACAGTTTTGTAAGAAAAAGAATACATCTCTCAGAGCATCTGGATACTAAATAAAAGAACACACAAATCGTTTGTAATTCCCTAAAAATATAAAAACATTCGTATACATTTAGACTCTAGCTTCTTGTCATTTTTGTCATTTATTTTTTCCCTTAATATGTACTTCCTAGAAACCTTTTCCAATGCTATGGCAATGATAATATCTATATAAAATGTTATATGTTTTATTGGGAAAAGTATTTCCACTTATTTTAAATCATAATAATTCACTTTCTAATTTGCTGATTGTATCTTGACACTAAGTAAAACATACAAATTTGAAGATCTTTATATTGTATGCATTTTTTTCTTACACACCTTAGGAAAGTGCTGGTCTTAATAAGATGCTCAATAATAAATATTTGAATAACTTCTGAAAGAATAGTCCACTTTATATAAGATTATCTAACCGACCTTACTATTACTACTATATTTTTATTTTATGTAAATCATTGCAGATATCTGTATTATTTGATACAGTAAGATAAATGCACACAAAAGCATATGAATTTTGAAACAAACTACAATTAATGAGACACAGGCCCTACCTTAACAATGTTATTATTAATATAAATATAATATTAATGTAAATGTCAATAATATAAATAAATAAATAAATAAAATATCTGCTAATATTTAACAGAATAAAATTTTCTCTATGGTGAAGTACAATATAATACTAATTACCAGCAATATGATATATACTTTCAGGATAATCAGGAGAGCTATATTTGTATTTGTATTTAGCAGGAAGATTACAATAATATTTTCTGAGAAACACTATGGCAATACAATGAATATACCAAGATCAGTAAACTACTGAACCACTCCATAAAATATTGATTTCTGTTTGTATTTCAGCATCTTCTCTTTTTTTTTTTTTTTGTAAAGTAATAAGGAGAGAAGAGGATGCATTATTACCAAGCTTTTGGAAGATCTATGTTGCTCACAATTGTTTAGCATATATAGGTTGAGATCATTTGATCTTAGACCAAGACACATTTTCAAATTGTGTGAAAAGCATGGGGCTTTATATTGTCTCATGTATTGGTTTATTCTTAAAAATTCTCTTAAAATAATGTGTCAATTATTAACTCATCATAAAAAATGTTAATGCTGGATGTAACCACAAAGACAATCCATAATTCTTGAATTGCTTTCACGGGTCTATTGTTGTTGTTGTTGTTACTAAATTACGAGGAAAACAACTCACCTTTTGGTAACTGATTTAGGCACAAATTGTAATGATCATTGGATATTTAAACAGAAAGCCAAAGATAAAAAGGTAAACCAAAAGGATTATCTCTGTCACTTGTACTTGTGCTAGGTAACTGGGAAGAATGGCGTTGCTTCTCATATACTTTCTTCAAGACTGTCTAGAAACAATACGGAATTTAGAATGTGCTTTTAATACCCCATTGTCATCTGGCTCTCTGATAGATGATTCAGGGAAGACAAATGAAAATAAAATACCATCTGAGCCTTTAATGAGTTTTTTAGACTAATGAATAAATAAAAGAAAACCAAAGTTTGCCAACAAATTTAAAAGATAATATGTACAGTAACAGAAGTACTAGTAATGTGGGGAGGATAGAATAATAAAAGTACCTTCTTCCCATGAACTGAAGAAAGGCTTCGTGAAACATTTGCACTTTAGCCTTAAAGAAAATGGTTATGATTTAAACAGTAACACTTGAAAAATCTAGAAGTTACTTAAGGCAGACGAAATAGCATGTAACAAGGTACATATGGGAGAGGTTTACAGTTTATAAGGAAAGAGCAAGGAGTCCAGTTTTCTTTTACTATGCATGAGAGTTAATGGGACTCTTAAAATCTCATCATTTGATCCATCATGATGCAACCAGCTTAAGTCAGGCTGCTTGCTGCTCAGGGGCTGAAGACAGGAGAAGCAAAGTGTGGTGATAGGAAAGCAACTTTATTGATTGAATGCTAGCAATTGGGAGATGGCCAGACTCTGCCTCAAAGGAGCCACGTCTGCCTTCTGGACTGAGTGAAGGGGTTTAAGAAGAAGAAGGTGCAGGAAACATGTGGGAGTGGTGCAGGAGGCTCCAGGTCTGCTTGCCTCCTTCCAATGGTTATCTTGAGTAATTGACAATCCAGGGAGGGCTGGTTTGCATCATCCTGACTTCATCCTGGTAGTGGTAGGATGTCCCTAACTCCCACTAAGCAAGAGGATTCTCCAGCTGGGTCTCTCTGCCTGGTTTGTTTCAAAATTTTGGATCCTGGAATTTCTAAGCAAGCAAATAATTAGATAAGCAAACACTGTTCAAGGAAGTGGCTTTTGGGAATTGTAGAAACAAAGAGTTTTAAATGTATTTTTTCAAGGCTGTAAACAAAAAAGGAAAAAGAAGTAGTTTTAAAATGCATTTTGAGCCTGAGATACTTGGTAACAGTAAGGCAGTTTTCACATTTATTCTTCACAACATTCCTGTGAAACAGGTAGTGTTCTATTTCCCCACAATGCAGATGAGAATATGGGGTCACAAAGACTTAGTTTCCCAATTTTGTAAATGAAAGAACTGGGAATACTGTCTAAACCATTTTTCTTTAGATTGCAGACAGTTCACTGCGTGTTTTTAGAATAGCAATTTGGGACCATATCGTGAAGAGTCTTACACGTGTTTGTACTTCAATCTCTGGATAAGGAAGTGCCCTCTGGGGGTAGAAAGGGAGAATAACAAGTTGTCTTTATGTTTTAAGATAATGATTCTGGTTGTGACATAGAGGACAAATTGAACTGGAAGGAACTTGGAGGCTCTGTTCCAGAAGAAGGACACGAAGGAAATGTTGTTGAAACTATAGATGGCTTACATAAAGCTTGTGTTTGTTGGTAGTGAATAGAGTGGCAAAAAAGCCTGAGTATATGTGGGAAATATCTTTCATTTAGATGAATTTAGGGCACACGGGTTTAAATGTTTCATAAAATTTGAACTAATGTAGATAATGTAGATTACAGTTTATAAGGAAAGAGTAAGGAGTCCAGTTTTCTTTTACTATGCCTGAGAGTCCATGGAACTCTTAAAATCTCATCATTGATCCATCACGATGCAACCAGCTCAAGTCAGGCTGCTTGCTGGTCAAGCATCTGACTTTGTATTTGTGAAAGTCTCATTAATACTGTACAGGTTCCTTCTGTTTTCTTTCCATTGATTGGACAGGTAAAAGATGTTAATATACACTTTTACTATGGTATTTTTAGACATATTTTAAGGTGCAAAAAGTAAATTTATTTGCCAATACTCTGCCAATAGTTTGTCATCCTAAAAACAGACGCTGCTAGACATTGTGCCATGCCTTTGTTACCAGGCTGATTATGAGATTCTAATCGATGGGATGTGCTCCTGGTAACATCAAAGATAATTTTATAGTAAAGACCATCATAAGAAATTACATTTGTGATGAGAAATTAATATTCTATTAGGCAAATAAATTATCCCATAACTCTGATATGGGAAATATATAAAATATTGTAAGTACTGTAATTATAACTGTAAGTCAAAAAGGAGATGGAATAAAAATAACATCTCAAAGAGATGTAACATTAATTTAGTGATCTTGCTTCATATTGATTTCTTCCTGTAGCTTTCACAGTAGACTTATTTCATTGGAAGTAGCATTTTACTGGAGGTAAACACTCACCAGGAAATTGCCACTGGAAATGACTTAGACCATTAACAAAACTGCACATGAGGACTAAACTACGCAAATGTAGCTGTCTGATAGTCCCATGAAATATATGAATCATAGAAAGATCAGGAGAGGTGAGAATATGTTACTCTGTGTTCTGCCATTAGTATTTTACCTTCTTGCTCTTTTATTTAGACATATCTATGAATAAAAAAATTTCAATGAACATAAATATGCAAAACTGAAAAAAGTACATTAAGAATTAATCCAGTATTAGGAAAAGCACAATGATATGCCTGTAAATATGTAAGACATGGTATTCTCATACCCACAGACTAAAATAAAATATTAATACATTAAGATCAAATTAGGAATAATTATTTCAACTTCTAAAGTATATTTAGTTGTGATTATCTTAAGAATTGGATAAAATGGAAGTGCATTTATTTAAAAATGTGTGAATTGAAATTGTCAACCAAATGCAGAGCATAAGATTAAAGTCATATTTATTTTTCTTGAAAATGATCACTGATTTATAAATTTGACAAGCTTTGTGCTAGAAAGACCAGTCACTCTTCAACAGATATTGAGCATTTAATGTCTACTAAAAACTTTAATAACTACTGGAGTATTTTTTAAAAAGAATGAGATAAACAATTTTCTTATAGCTATAGAAGGATATTTTAAGCCAAGAACATAGTGTGTAAAAAGATATGCAAGAAAATAGCATTTTTTGATAATGGTGAGAATTTAGTGTATTTACAGTGAGAAACACAGGGTGAGATGGGCAGGCCATTAGATCCTTTATCTGTCACTTTATGTATTCAGAAAATATGGATTTGTATCTACTCTTGTAAGCATCAGTGATGTACATTAAAACAAATCATAGCTGCATATAAAGAGCTGGCAACAGTTGATGTTTTTGTTAATCTCAAATTATCAAAAATATAACGAAACAAGCAAACAGAAAATAAACTAAAATATTAAGCACTGGGACAGAGGTATTAATAGAACACCACCAAAACACAGAGAAAGGACAGCAAAGTCCTTCAACTGCAGCACATCGCCTTCCATCCTGGCGCTTGCTGTGCACACTGGAGTTGCTAACCCACTTTCCTATTTTCCAGGAACATGATTGTTATGGGTTGAATTGTTTCTCTTTGAAGTTCAGATATTGGAGTTCTATTCCTCAGTACTCAGAAAGTGACCTTATTTGGAGACAGGGCCTTTGCAGAGATAATCAAGTTAAAATTAGGTCATTAAGGTGGGCACTAATCCAAACGACTGATAACTTTATGAAAAGGGGAAATTTGGACACAGAGGCACACACAGAGGGAAGAGCCTGGGAAGAGATGTAGAGCAGACAGCCATCTTCAACCCAAAGAGAGAGGCCTGGAACAAATTCTCCCTCACATGCCCCAGAAGGAACCACACCTGCCAACACTGTGATTTTGGAATTCTCGTCTGCAGAGACTATTTATTGTGAAACATCCCATTTCTGTTGTTTAAGCCAACTGGCTTTTGGTACTATGCCTCAACAACCTTAGCAAACTATTTTAATGGTGCTTTAGTTTTTTGAAAGCTGAGTTTGAGATGTCCATGAAACACTGCAGTGATGTTTCTAAGTAACAACTGAGAATACATCTGGATCTCAGCAGTCAGTCTTAGGTTAAAGGGAGATTTTGAGGAGTCATCAATAAGCACAAGATAAACCAAGAAGTGTCAAAAGTTCTCACTAAGGTAGTCTGTAATAACGTTCTCACTAAGGTAGTCTGTAATATACAGAAAGGAAAGTAATGACAAAGCTCTGTGATATATTGACATGTAAGGAGTGGTTGAAAAACGTTAAATTCATAAAGAAAATTTAAACAAAAAATCCAGAGCTAAATGAAATCAGAAGATTTGGTATCTCAAAAATCCAAGATGCGAATATTTTTTAAAAATAAGTAGTATTCAGGGCCTCAAGAAAGACACTGACTTCTTCAACCAGAGGGTAAATTTCTAGTTTCTCTATGTGGGAGCTTATGTTATTAAGGGATAGTTCCTCATTTTTCATATTTGCATTTAGTGCTACGAATTTTTCTCACAGCTTTGCATTAGCTGTATTTCACAAATGTTGACATGTAGCATTTTTATTCAGTTCAATGTATTTTTTTAAAATTTTGCTTTACTTTCTATTTGACCCATAGATTGCTTAGAAGTGATTCATTTAGTTTCCAAGAGCTTCTTCAGCTCCAATTCTGGACATTATGAGGGAAAAAAATCTAGGGAAACCACACCAATGTCTTCCTTTTGCCGTAAGGTCTCTACTTGTCTGCCCTCCTATTCTCAGTTTTTAAATTTTCTCTTATTTGTTTGCATATAATGTCCAGGGTTTTTGTTGTATTTAGTAAGAGGAGTACAACAATTTTTTTTTTCTATCTGTATTCCTGGAAGTGGAAACCTCAGATAATTCATTTTAACAAGTAATGCTTCTTAAAACTTTTTATATTATGATATATGGATGTACAATTGCAGAAATCATAAATGCATAGTTTATTGTATCTGTTCAAACTGAGAATACCTTTTTAAGCAAATCTCAGATCACAAAACAGAAAATGACAACACTTAGAAGCCCTCATTAACCAGTCACTAACCCTATGAGTTGTTACCAATATACTAATTTATAACACCAGATTTTAGTCCTCTGATTTTGTTTTTACAAAACTTATATTACAAAACATAATTTTATTCTCCCTACTCTGTAGCATTAAGAAATAAACGTGTCAAAATCAAGTTGACATCCTCTATCATTAGCGCTCACATATATTGAAAACCGAAGTTTCTATTCCCTGTACCAAATCCAATTTTTAAAGGCATCGAGCTAGAAGCAATATAAAACAGTGAGTATTGACTCTGATACGATAGCAGATGGTAAAATATACTTTCCCACTTACTAGTTATGTAAATATGGCCAATAAACTCAATTTTTAAAAACCTTAGGTGGACTATAGGTTAAAAATAGAACCTCATCAGAGACAGATTTTGTGGCTTAAATGTGACAATGCTCATGAACTGTAAGTTTGTAATCCCCCACAGAGACATAGCAAAAGATATATTACTTATTAAAAATCAAGTTGTATTTTTATAGTTTGGCACTTTTGTTTCTACACTTATCCAATTAATGCATTCGGTATATTCTACCTCCCTAATTTCATTCATACTTGCTTCTTTCTACTTTCCACTTTCAATGTTATTATTACAGCCACATAATCATGGAGCGTCAGCACTGGCCAGGTATTAGAACACAAGTGCAATCTCTGTGTATTCCTATGATAAAATTGATGAACAAATAAATGATATAATTTAGCCATTGCTACAAAGCTAAATAATAGTTAGTTTAAATTTGATTCTTAGGCTCCTAATTTAATACAGTCCCTTTTGCTTGCATAAAAAATATCTTTCTTGAATTCCCCTCTTGTCAGTTGTTTCCCTTTTAAGTATTTTTCTCCCTTGACATACTGGTTAGTCATTCTTAATTGCAGTTTTGATCATACAATTACCTTGCTCATATATAAACTTTCCTTTAGAGTAAAACAAGAGTCCAGCTATTCACTAGCTTGCACAGCTTCATATTACCTTTACTTTAGTTTTCAGTTTGTTTAGTTTAGTTTTCGTCAAAGATACTTAACCTAAGTTGAGATAATATCTATTTCTATTGTGGGGATCAAATGAGATAAGATATCTAAAACCATAAACATAGAGTCCTGTATCTCAGGTCACTTCTGTTTTCACTCACATCTGTGATCAAAAATTCCTTGGGTTCTCAAATTCAAGCAGAGGACACCTTATTCCAAGCACAAAATGCAGCTCAATCTTCTGCCTTAGGACACCTTATGAGGCAGGAACTGCATATGAGTAAGTGCAGCAGGAACCTATGGGTATGTTAATGCCACCAAATGGGGGTATCAGAGAGTCGACTGGTAATTTCCTCATTCTCACGTTAATCATGCAGACAATCCTCAGAAGGATTCTGCATGGGTTTCAGAAGTCACAGTAGAGTGAAACCCAGGTGCATGCAGTAGCAAACTGGAGAAAGCACGGGTTTTCCTTCGTCCTTGTTCCCTCACTCTTTCCCCGAGGAATCTTCTCTCAAACTACCTGCCTGCAAGCCCTGTCTCGGGCTCTATTTCTAGGGGTAACCTGAAGGAACATACTGATATATCATAGGTAGGCGAGTGACAGATTGCTTTTTACTTGTTCTAATGCATTTAAACTCCATTGCCTACCAAAGTAAGTGTAATTTCCTCTTCCTGGCAGTTAAGGTCATCCACAAATTGGCCACCAATTTTTCGAATCACACATTATGATACAGTATTTCTCTACAGGAACATTACTTGGCTGCAGACTGTTCCTTTAATGCATTTCATGTTTCACCCAGTTGTGCTTTTCTAAATGATCTTTCAACAGCTTAAGATGCTCTTTATCCCATTTTTGTGCATCAAAATTTTGTAGTCGTCAGGATTTTTATCAAATACTATCACCTTCATAAAGCCTTTCCAGATCCTTTCCTGTGAAATGTACCATTTCCTGTGGGGTTCATTTGGACACTAAGAGTACTTTATTTGTGTTCCTTAATTATCTTTACATTAAATTATAAGCTAGGATATTCTTGTTTTCTAAAGTTTACTAAATTTTAAACCTCTTACTGTGCCCGAATAATCCTAAAGGTTTCAAGTCTGTTACTGTGCCTGACACCTTAACTTAGTGTGTATGCGTGTGTAAATGTGTGTATCCTCTGTATATCTATCGAGTGGATATAATTTTATATGTGCTAATTGCAGAAAATCTCAAAGAGTCAATAAGCAAAAGAAAAATAAAATAGCCTCAAGTATCTCATGCCAGAGAAAACCTCTATCAATATTTTGCTACCCTGTATTTTTAAATTGTTTAATTAATGATAATATTATTTTACCATCCTATTTTAAAATTAATAATGCCTATATCATTGATAGGTATTCATTATAATGGACAGAAAATAAACGACAAGGAAAAATCTGTTAATATTTGAGGAGTTCTAGATTCAGAAATATGGGAAAAAACACTTTTAAAAATATATATGAAATACAACATTCTTACAATACGTACACGTGCGAGGGGTACTCCTGATTTTTTATGAAGTTCACTTTTTCTTGTAATTTGCCTTGCTGTTTCTCCATCCTACTTCACAAATGCAGCCGTTTCTCCTTATTTTGGATTTGTGACTTTTTAGGTGTTATATAACTATAGCCTTGTTTATACCACAGTCACTGATCCCCACCATACACTTTGAGTTGTCTACGATGTTGAATAAGTTATGACAGTAGCCAAACCCTTCCCCTACATTCTTAAGGGGAAAGTGTTCAGTCTCTTATGATTAAGTGTGATGTTAGTTGTGGGATTTTATTTTTTTAATATTTTTTAACTAACATAAAATTGTATGTTTTATCATGTACAGCAAGTATGTGTAGATTGTGGAATGATTAAATCTAGCTAGTTAACAAATGCGTTCGCTGTCATAGGTATCCTTTTTGTGGTAAGAACACTTAACATTCACTGTCTTTGCATTTTCTTAGGTACCCTTTATCAGGTTAGAAGTAGCCTCCTATGTCTAGATTACTGAGAAATTTTAATCATATATGAATGTCAAATTTTCTAAAATGCTTTGTCTGCACCTATTAAGGTGATTGTTTGACTTTTTGTTTTTTGTTTTTTAATAGGATGAATTACCCTGGGATGAATTACACTGGGATGGATTACACTGGGATGGATTACACTGGGATGAATTACACTGGGATGAATTCATGGGCAGGAAAAAATTCTCTGTTGGTCACAATGTATTATTATTTTTACATATTATGGGATTAGATTTGCTGAAATTGTATTTTGCATCCTTGCATTGATTTATACACATAAGTTGTTTTTTATAACCTATTACATAGTATTGTGTTTTTATTTTTATTTTATTTGTCAAGGGTGTGTGTGTGTGTATGTGTTTAATCAGGCTAACGCTAGATTCATAAAAGTTAAGAAATATTCAGTACCTCTTTGTTGGGCTGTATGTAGAATTGGTGTTGTTTCTTTCTTAAATACTTACTATATATTGACATTAATATTGGCTGGGTGCGGTGGCTTACACTTGTAGTTCTACACTTTCGGAGGCTGAGGCCAGAGTATCACTTGAGGCCAGGGGTTCAAGGCCAACCTGAACAACATAGCAAGACCCTATCTCTACAAAAAAAATTGTTTAAAAAATTTCCCTTGTGTGGTGGCAGGATAAAGTGGGAGGATTGCTCTAGCCCAGGAGGTCAAGGCTGCAATGAGTTGTAATTGCACCACTGCCTTCCAGCTGGGGTGACAGAACTTAAACCCTGTCTCAAAAGACAAACAGAAAACATTAATATAGCAAAACTACAAAATATTCAGTGTATTGGTAAAATTCTCCAATAAGCCCATGTGGTCCTGGAGTTTTTTGTGTGTAAAGGTATACAACTAAAATTTTAGATTTAATAGGGCCAGGCACGGTGGCTCACACCTGTAATCCCAGTACTTTGGGAGGCCAAGGGTGGGTGGATCACGAGGTCAGCAGATGGAGACCATCCTGGCTAACACGGTGAAACCCCGTCTCTACCAGAAAATACGAAAAATTAGCCGGGCGTAGTGGTGGGCGCCTGTAGTCCGAGCTACTCAGGAGGCTGAGGCAGAAGAATGGCATGAACCTGGGAGGCGGAGCTTGCAGTGAGCCCAGCTCGCGCCACTGTACTCCAGCCTGGGTGACAGAGCCAGACTCCGTCTCAAAAAAAAAAAAAAGAAAAGAAAAAAAATTGGATTTAGTATATATATATATGGTTACTCAAATTCTAATTTTGTTCTTAGTAGAGTGTTTTGGTAAGTTGTATTTCAAAGAATTTGTCCACTTTAAGCTATCAAATTTATTGCCATAAATTATTCATAATATGTTATTTATCTTTTTAAAATGCATGTTCTGTGGTAATAGACTTTCCTCATTCCTAATATTTAATTCTTTCTTCCCTTATTTTTGTCTGTCAGCCAATAGATGTATCAAATGTATTGATGTCCTAATGAATAGACCCTTTATTATCATGAAATGACCCTGTTTATCTCCAGTAATATTTGTAACTCTGAAATATGTCTAATATTAATATAGCCACTCTACCTTTCTTTTTTACATAAACCTTTTTATTCTAAAGTAAGTTTGATTTAGATAAAAATTGCAAAAAATTCTATAAATTACTGCATACATTTCACCCAGTTTCCCTATTGTTACTGTCTTAAATAACCACGGTATATTCGTCAAAATTTAAATACCAGTATTTATACTGTCTTTGTTAATGATTAGCGAAACTCCAGAATTATGCATGTTTAACTCGGTATTTTCCTAATATCTTTTTCTCCAGGACACGATCCCAGACACCTGCATTTAGCTATTACGTATCCTTAGGATCCTCTAATCTGTAACACTTTCTCAATCTTTGTTTTTCCTGACCTTGGGAGTTATAAGGAAATCTAGTCAGGTATTTGTAGAATGTTCTTCACTTTGAGATTGTCTGGTGTTTTCTTCAACGATTATACTGAAGTTATAGATTGTGGGAAAGAATACACAGGGGTGAAGTAACATCATAGGATTGCTTTGGCTATTTGCACTTTTTTGTTTTTACATGAATTATAGAACAGCTTTTTTTTCTAATTTTGTTAAGAATTACTTTGGTAGTTTGATAGGAATAGAGTTGAATCTGTAAATTGCTGTGGGCAGTAGTGCTATTTTAGTGACATTGAGTTTTTCGATTCATGAGCATGGAATTTTTTAAATTTATTCATGTCATCTCTGATTTCTTTCAGCAATGTTTTGTAGAACTCCACATAGAGATCTTTCACCTCTTTGGTTAGATGGATTCCTAAATATTTCATTTTCTTTCTGGTTTTTGTAAATGAGATTGTGTTCTTTATTTGACTCTCAGCCTTGATGTTATTGGCGTATAAAACTGCTACTGGTTTTTGTACATTGATTTTGTATGCTGGAACAAAATCAAACAAAAATTTTAGTGAGCTAAAAATCAGTTATCAGTTCTAGTAGCCTTTTGCCAGAGTCTTTAATATTTTTGAGGTATAAAATTATATCACCAACAAAAAGAGATCATTTGACTTCTTCTGTTCTTATTTGGATGCCTTTTATTGCTTCCACTTGCCTGATTGCTCTGGCTAGGAATCCAGTACTATGTCGAATAGGAGTGTTGAGAGTGGGCATCCTTGTCTTGTCTCAGTTCTCAAGGAGAATGCTTTCAGCCATTGACCATTCCATATGATGTTGCCTGCGGGTTTGTCACAGAGGGGTCTTATACTTTTGAGATATGTTCCCTTGGTGTCCAGCCTGTTGAGGGTTTTTATCATGAATGGATGGTGGATTTTATTGAAAGTGTTCTGTGTTTATTGAGGTGATTACAGAATGTTTGCTTTTAATGTTATCTATGTGGTGAATCACATTTATTGATTAGTGTATGTTAAAATAGTCTTGTATCCCAGGAATATAGCCTACTTGATCATGGTGGTTTAACTTTTTGTTGTGCTGCTGGATTCACTTTGTTGAGGATTTCTGCATCTATATATATCAGGTATATTTGCCTGAAGTTTTCCTTTTTTGTTGTGTTTCTGCCAGATTTTTGTATCAGGCTGATACCAGCTTTATAGAATGAGTTAGAGAGGATCCCTAGTTCCTCAACTTTTTGGAATAGTTTCCATAGGATGACTATCAGTTCTTCTTTGCACATCTGTAGTATTTGGCTATGAATCCATCTGGTTCACGAATTTTTAGTTGGTAAGTTTTTTATTACTTATTCAATTTCAGAGCTCAATATTTGTCTATTCAGGGTTTCAAACTTCCTGATTCAATCTTGGGAGATTGTTTGCTTCCACGAATCTATCCATTTTCTCTAGATTTCTGCATGTGCATGCATAGAGGTCCCCATAGTATTCTCTGAAGATCTTTTGTATTTCTGTAGGATCAGTTGTAATGTCATATCTGTCATTTCTAATTGTACTTATTTGGATCTTCTCTTTTATATTCTATGTTAGTCTAGCTAGTGGTCAATCCATCTTTTTTATTTTTTCAAATAACCAATTATTGGTTTCATTTATCTTTTGTATGACTTTTTGCATCTCAATTTCATTCAGTTCTTTTCTTATTTATTTTATTTTCCTTGCTTTCAGTTTGTTCATCTTTTTCTAGTTCTTTTAGGTGCTAAGATAGTTAATTTGAGATCTTCCTAAGATCTCGATGAAGGCATTCGGTGCTATAAGCTTTCTTCTTAACGTTGCTTTAGGTGCATCCTAGAGATGTTGGTAAGTTGTGTCCCTACTTTCATTAGTTTACAACATGTTTTATTTCTGCCTTAATTTTAATGTTCACCCGGGAAGTATTCAGGAGCACCTTGTTTAATTTATATGCATTTCTGTAGTTTTGAGAGGTTTTCTTAATATTGAATTCTATTTTTGTTGCACAGTGGTCCAAAAGTGTGCATGGTATGATTTCACATTTTTTTAATTTATTGAGACTTGCTTTATGTCTGAGCATGTGGTCAATTTTATAATATGTTGTGTGTGCAGATGAGAAGAATGTATACTCCCTAGTGCTGGGAGGAGTACTCTGTAGATGTCTAGTAAGTCTAATTGGTCAAATGTCAAGTTTATTAACTAATTAATATATTTATTTTTATTTCTATAGGTTATTGGGGAACAGGTGGTGTTTGGTTACATGAGTAAGTTCTTTAGTGGTGATTTGTGAGATTTTGGTGCACCCACCACCCAGGCAGTACACACTGCACCCTATTTGTAGTCTTTTATCTCTCAGCCCCTTCCCACCCATTCCTCTGAGTCCCCAAAGTCTATTGTGTCTTCTTATGCCTTTGCATTCTCATAGCTTAGCTCCTACTTATGAGTGAGAACATAAGACATTTGGTTTTCCATTTCTGAGCTACTTCACTTAGAATAATAGTCTCCAATCTCATCAAGGTCTCTCCAAATTCCAGTTTAAGTGCATAATTTATTAGTTTTCTGTCTTAATGATCTAACAATGTCAGTGGGGTGTTGAAGTCCCCCACTATTATTGTGTGTTTGTCTTAGAGCTTTTGTCATCCTGGAAAAACTTGTTTTATGAATCTCGGTGCCCCAGTGTTGGGCAGTTAGAATAGTTAAGTCTTCTTGTTGTATTGTACCCTCTACCATTATGTAATGACCTTCTTTGTCCTTTTTTAAAGTTTTACTAGTTTAAAGTTTGTTTTATCTGACATAAGGATAGTGATGTCTGCTCTTTGTTTTCCGTTTGCATGGTACATCTTTCTTCATTCCTTTACTTTGAGCCTACGGATGTCATTAAGCCATGAGGGATGGGTCCCTTGAAGGCAGCAGATGATTGGATCTTGTCTTTTTTCCAGCTTGTCACTTCATGTCTTTGAAGTGGGGTGTTTAGGTCCTTTACATTTAGGATTAGTGTTGATATGCAGGATTTTGATCCTGTCATCATGTTGTTAGCTGATTGTTTTGTAGACTTGATTGTGTTGCTGCTTTATAGCAAGTATGGGCTATGTGGGCCTCAGAATCATGAAAGGCAGTGAAAGGCACTTCTTACATGGTGGTGGCAAGAGAAAATGAGGAAGAAGCAAAAGCGGAAACCCCTGATAAACCCATCAGATCTCATGAGAATTATTCACTATTGCGAGAATAGCATGGGTAAGACCGTCTCCCATGATTCAATTACCTCCCCTGGGTCCCTCCTACAACACGTGGGAATTCTGGAAGATACAATTCAAGCTGAGATTTGGGTGGATATACAGTCAAGCCATATAAGACTGTTTTTAAATTGGTCTATTACTTACCAGGTTTCACCCCCTGCCTGCTCTCTTTCAGTTTTCTTTTCTAGGCCTCTCAACTTGACTTCCAAATTTTCAAAAAATTATCTGGTTTTTGTTGTAAGAAAATTCTCAACCTTGTAGCCTTGTATGTGAGGATTGCTCCCCTGGATTTCTTATATTAGAAAACGAGCTGAAAAATAGTTTGGCCTATGTTTTAGTCAGGGTTCTCTAGAGGGACACAACTAATAGGATAGATGTGTATATGAAAGGGAGTTTATTAAGGAGCATTGACTCACACAATCACAAGGTGAAGTACCACAGTAGGCTGTCTGCAAGCTGAGGAGCAAGGAAGCCAGTCTGAGTCCCAAAACCTCAAAAGTACGAAAGCTGAGAGTGCAGCCTTTAGTCCGTGGCTTAAGGCCCAAGAGACCCTGGCAAACCATTGCTGTAAGTCCAAGAGTCCAAAAGCTGAAGAACTTGGAGTCTGATGTTCCAGTGCAGGAAGCATTCAGCACAGGAGAAAGACGAGGGCCAGAAGATACAGGAAGTCTGCTCTTTCCATCTTCTCCTGCCTCCTTTATTCTAGCCAGGCTGGCAGCTCATTAGATGGTGCCCACCTAGATTGCAGCTGGGTCTGCTTGTCCTAGTTCAGTGACTCAAATATTAATCTCCCTTGGCAACATCCTCACAGATATACCCAGGAACAATACTTTGCCTCCTTCAAGCCAATCAAGTTGACACTCAATATTTACCAACATAGCCTACATCATGACTGGTAGAAAATAACTGCTGTAAGATGAATGTGAAGAGAATGTCATAAACATCTAAATAAAAAGGGAAACTTTGGAAAAATCTGAGAAAAATTTAAATTTTGAACAAGAGATCCTATTAAATAGTAGGTGACATATTTTATGATGAGAATAAGTATAAAACAATTTAATGAGTTAAATGCCTCAGGTAAAAGGCTCAGTTAAATGATAAGTGAATTTATAGGTTAATATGTGTCACTAAAGGGAAGTACAAAAAATCGACTATCTTTACTCTGCAAATTGTTTAACATTTCATTTTTCCCTAAAGAATATTAAATAGCAAATTCTCAAAATTTCAGGGCAAATTAGATATGAAGATAGGCCAGTGCAGTGGTTCAGACCTGTAATCCTGGCACTTTGGGAGGCCAAGTCAGGAGAATTGCTTCAGGTCAGGTGTTCAAGACCAGCATGGGCAACATTTTGAGACCCTATCTCTACAAAAATGAAAAACTGAAAAAACCTCATTTGGCATGGTGGCATGTGTCTGTAGGTCTAGCTACTCAGGAGGCTGAGGTAGAGGATTGCATGAAACCAAGAGATCAGGGCTGCAGTGAGCCCTGATTGCACCACTGCACTCCAGCCTCGGCAACAAAGCCCTGACTCAAAAAAACACAAAGATAGATTATTACTCAGAGGACTATTTAAGTTTTTGTAGAAACAATTATTAAAATCTCAGTATCTAGATTCTCTACACATGCACACACACACTAACATACATACACAAACACGCAAGAATATGTTTATAACATCACACAAGATGTGTTTCTAAGCACAAGACATTATCCAGGAAATTATTTTATAATGTTTAATTTGTCAATTAAAAGTTTCAACAGACAAATAAACATTGATATCACCAGAAAATAATCTATTTTGTTTTTAGGCCAAGGAGATAACAGACAGCAGAGAAAGACTCAGCCCAGTGTTATGGAAGCATAACTGAACCCAACTTGTGCATGTCATCTGGGGACCTGTTATCCAGGGCAGTGGCATTGTGGCCTGGGCTGAAGCAAGCCATTTCTGGTAGCAGTTTTGGTATTGTCCAGACTCATAAATAACAATGCCCAAGTTTTTGTCTAGCAGAAAAGAAGAAAAAAAATGTGCAAACTCTAACAAGCACCCATGGGTTACAAGACACATAGCAAGAAGAGGAGCAGAAAGAAAGATAGACAGGACTCCTTGTCTGTCTGGCATGGGGAGTGTGTGTGTTGAAGGCCTCTGTGGGAGGGGGCTGCACAGCATCAACTCCATTGCCCGCGCTCTGTGTTTTAGCATTCTAACCACTCAGTACACAGCAGGCTACATTTGTGCCAGTTGGTGTACAAGGATCTGGGTATGCTAATATGAAACTCTCAGTTTCTGTTGGTAAAAACAACCTGGAGAAGCAGAAAGTATGGCACTGAGTGTTACCCATTGGCGAGCTACTGTGCACAGCCCTGACAATTTCCAGTTGTATGAAAGAGGAGACAATGGGTGCAATGGGGCTGAAGCTCTCCCGATTATGAGAGAGCTGCACTCTGGGCAGCACAGCAGCAGCAGCCTTCAAGGGAAGGATGCTTGTGGAGCAGCAGAAATCATGTGGGAAAAACAGAAGATAGAAAGGAGCAGTTAATTAGAGCAGAAGAGCAGAACGGGATTGTCATTGAACAGTGGCCTGTGAGGATCTCTGTCCAATGCAAACACTGAGGACCCCAGCCACAGACACTGTTTTATTGATGTGCTTGATCTTCAGGAGGGCTAAGAAAAAACATCATCATATTTAATAATTCATATGGGCACTTCCACTTATACAGTACAGGCATATTTTGAGATCTTAAAGACACAAGCTATATAAAATGATTTTTAAAGATAGTTGGTATAATAATTGTATATCTTAATAAAAAGATGATTCAGAAAAGTTGAATAGTCATTACTAGAAGACTGTAGGCCAGGTCTGTATGTGTCAACTCTGACGCCACTTCTATACTACATTTTCTCACCAAGTAGGAACTTCAAACACTTCTTATCATTTTTAACTCTGATTTACTAAAATACACACAGATTTATAACTGCTACATAGATATTTACCTGTATATAATTAGGTATCTTACCTAATACTTACCTGTATACATACTGATGTGTAGATACTTTCCTGTGTATCATTTCCAGTGGTTACAACACAGTTTTAAATAATTCGGCCATACATATTTAAACATTTTAATTTAGAGTTATAAAATGCATGGAAAATGAATTTAAGCATTTAAAAATTGGCCCTTGTCAAGGAAAACAAATGTTTCTATCAAAATTTCAGTCAACATTTTCAAAAATGATAATCATTATTTCTCCATAAACTTGAGACCCTAGGCCTATAAAGACATTTCTTTCATTCCAGCTGCTATAAAATAAACAAGCAAATACAACTAAGGGAAGACATAAGTTTTGTGAAAAACATAAACTTTTACATAGTTTTATTGAATTTACTTAAGACTCCAGGCGATGAAAGTAAAAGCTGAGAGCGAAAGTTGCTGAAAAGATGTCAAGGATTATAAAACAGTCTCTTGAAATACCTGCCTTAATGTCACTGAAATTAATGAAACGTTTCTTGAAAATGGTAAGAACACAATTTAAATGTGAAAGAAATATGTCAATAATAAAAAGAATGGTTCTTCCGATGTTTAATTAAGTAGATATTAAACTAAATCTGATGTGAAAATAGGTCAAACCCTCAATGAGCTTAAACAAGAGACTTCACAACAGTACATCATCATTAGTATATATTCTGAAGCATGTTACGTTGGGGTTATAATAAAAGGTTAAAAAACACATATGTGCATGATAATGGCATTTTCACAAACTACAATTGAATGTTTGAAAATGTGCATTGCATTTATTGTCTGTGATAAATTATTTAACCTAAATTCAGTGCTAGTATACGTTGGAGAGTGCACCCAAAGGTGAAATCCCCTTTTAAATCTTCTATGGAAAGACAGCATGGCTTCATCTGAAACTACATATCAATTTCAAGGTAAAATAGATTATTGAGAGTGAAATCTTGCCAGCTATGTATTTTTTTTTTCCTGAAGTTTTAGGTATTGCGCTCAGTTGGCTAGTCTTAGTTCACATTTAACATTCCAGGTAATATGTCACTACATGCAGTCAGGAATCCTGTCTCCTTCAATGTTGATGCACTGGACCATCCAAGTGTACAAATAACACCTCAGAAGCTGAGCTGGTGCACATCTCCCGCACCCTGTTGGCCCAGCTACCAGGAGAGAGAACTAAAGCTAAGTGCACGGCACACCCTTCTCAAAGGACATAGCCAGGCAGCTGTACAGAGGCCACTTTTGCATATATTGAAATTTCCCTGAAAGTCATTGGAGGGCCACAGCTGGCTGCATGGGAGGCAGCTGTACAGCCATCTGACTCACTAAAAATGTGATTATGGCATTAAAGAAAAAATGGTGATAATGGACCTTTGAGGAAACCACCTGTCTAACCATGCTGTTTCAAACTTATTTTTGAGAATGATGTTTCATTTCTTTCTTCAGAATTTGGGGCAAATAACAGCAATAATAATATAATTCGTAGAATGCATAAAACAGAACAAGTAGGAAACATAAATTTTATTATTTAGAGTACCTGAGGAATAAGAACATAAACTTCTTATAGACATTATTAAATACTAAGTCAGGTGGGACATCTCTAAAGATAAACTCAACCCATACTAGAATAATTTCCACTTCAAATTAAATTTCTGACTAGGCTAACTTTGTCTCCTGTTAATGTATGTTACTTACTTTTCACGAATTAGAATGTGCAGATATTTACGCTCATATAGTCTAAAAACCCTCATGTGTTTAGTGAAACAAAAGTATTCAAGCAAAATAAGTAGCAGGCCATTCGCCTGGGGTTGTTTCTGCCCCCAGTGCTCTTATATCAACAACTGGAACACAACACGGAAACATTTTCTATAACTGGCTTAAAACAAAGCCAACCACACAAACAAACAAACAAACAAAAAACCGGTCTCAGTCCATCATAGACAGCCAACCAGCTGATGTCCGGTACAACTTGGGACATCCCATTGGACTATATCCAAATTAGGCAAATGTCTCATCACAGCATTCTCAAATAATGCAAATGCCTGGCTGTGGCCAATCCGGTAATTTATTTACTTTGTCTCTGTGTTTGGCCTAGAGACACCCATGGCTCACCCATGTAATTTTTTCAGTTTCTAGAAAAAGTATGGTCTAAAATTTTAATGCTGATCCAAGTTATGCTTCAGTCATAAAGGCAATAAACAAAGATTCCCCATGTAAAATGTCAGGGAATCTCACATGCATATACCCTTCTATAAGCTACTCAGTATCTAAAACCAGTAAAGAGATAAATCAAAATGTGGAATTGTGTAATAAAATGAAATCCTGAAGATAAAGATGGGCTGTAATTTTATCTCTGTGATTTAATTTAATTACACAATTCGTTGTGATATGTTATTCCCAAATGCAACAGAAGTGAAAGAAAAAAAAAAACTAACCTAAATTTGGTGTTTATCATCATCATGCATGGTTTTATAATTTGAGTGTATCTATCTACATGTCATATTGAGTACTGGTTTACAAATTTTAGATATTTGATATGAAGGAAATAATACTATACAGAAAATTCTGCACCTTCTCATTTTATTCTTGTGAAAAATAATCACAATATATTTTTACCAATTTATTCATAATACATATAAATTTTTAATCAAATATTCTCTATTAACTGGAATTTGGGGAATAAACAACCTTGTATATTTTCTTTGTGTGCATGTTGAAGACATCAAAGGTTTATCAAACTTTCTATGTAAAGGACAAGACAGGAAATATCTTAGACTTGAAGGCAAATTTAATGTCAACTCGAAGACATAAGCCTCAGAATTTCTGGGTTTTAGTTTATGCACACAATCAGCTTTCCCACAGAGTGCCAACTTGCTTTTGTAATTGTTTAAAAAGTTTTGAAAAAAAAAATCCTATTAGCAAGATGAGAGTATTCTTCTTGCTCCATATGCTGTCTAACACTTAATATTGACATTATTTCAAAATTTTTGCTCCCCTAATAGCCAAATTTCCTTTATTATTGATGGCCTGTTTCTAGCCTTTGATTGTATTTATTGTGTCTTCAATATTATGACCTCATTTTTTAAATTCTAAATGGATGAAATTATTTCAGATACTCTAGGACTCAAATACAGCACATGATTTAAGTACAAAATTTAAGTACAAAGAAAACAAATAGGGCCAATTTTTTGTGTTGTCATTTAAAATTTCAGTCTATGTATGTATTGTACAATTAAAAATGCATTGGATATAAACAGGTTAATATTTTTCATGATAATTATAATAATTTTTAATTTCTTTTGATATTTAAATATGTTTGTCAATAAAATAACAGAAGGCTTAGTGGTAATAGGAAAATAGAGCTAGGGGTTAAGCGCACATACTACAGAAATTAGATAAAACTGTATACATAACAAGTATGATTTTACTGGAAATGTAATTTTTCAAAGCTATAAAAGTAAAAAAGCCAACATGATACAGGTCTTCTACCTCAACAGTAGCAATTCCTCATTTATTTTTTGACTTATTCTATTTGTTGCACAAAAAAGAAACTAAATTATCCAAAATCACCTAGATTATTTTCCTCAACCCTCCCAATGAGTCAAAACCTAAAGTTAATGACTGTTTCTATGCTCGGTGACAGTAAAATCTAGTCAACTATGATTCAGCAATTACAGTCCTTGGCATTTACCCAAATGAGTTGAAAACTTACGTCCACAAGAAACCTGTATACGAATGTTTATAACAGCTTTATTTATAACTGTCAAAACTCGGAAACAACCAAAGTGTCTTTCAGTAGGTGAATGGATAAGCTGTAGTACATCCAGTCAATGGTATATTAGCCAACACTAAAAAGAAATGGTTTACCAAGCCACGAAAAAAAAAAAAAATTGGAGCAAAATTAAATATATAGTACTAAGTAAAAAAGCTAACCTGAAAAGGCTACATAATATATTATTCCTATAGCATAATAGTTTGGAGCAAAATGAAGGAGAAAGTCAAAAAGATCAGTGGCTGCCAGGTGTTGGAGGTAGATGAATAGGAAGAACATAGAGAATATTTATGGCAGTGCAATTAATCTGCACGATAATGGTGAATACGTGTAACTATACATTTGCCAAAATTCCTAGACTTTACAAGACCAAGAGTGAACCCGAATGTGAACTGTAGACTTTGTGTGATGGTGTGTCAATATAGGTATATGGATTATAACAGGTGGACCACTGTGGTGTGGAATGTTGATAATGGGGGAGGCCATGCCTGTGTTGGGGCAGGCCTTACATGGAAACTCTCTGTACTTTCTGCTCAATTTTTCTATGAACCTAAAACTACTCTAAACATAAAGTTTATTATAAAAAAACTTAATGACATCATGGTAATCGTTCATAGTGTGATGCAAACCTGACTTTTAAGTTTTTTCCGCAGGGTGTGGCCTTTAGTTCTATTTGCAAATTTTTCATTTGGTTGCTGCAGCCTTGATGGGTGATTTGCAGTTTCAGTGGTGATGAAGAGTCAATTACAGAAGAACTAAAGTAGAGAGATCTGAATAACTGGACCTAATAAGAACAGTCACTTACATAATTAGTATTTTGCAACTGTGACCAGAAATAAAAGAAAGTTGCAGTATTTCAGGAGGATATTGAATTACTTCTTACCATTCTATTAGGCTAAAATAACCATACAAATTCATCATTTAAAAAATGTTGATAGGTGACTCACGCCTGTAATCCCAGTACTTTGGGAGGCCGAGGCGGGCAGATCATGAGGTCAGGAGATCGAGACCATCCTGGCTAACATGGTGAAACCCCGTCTCTACTAAAAATACAAAAAAAATTAGCCGGGCGTGGTGGCGGGCACCTGTAGTCCCAGCTACTTGGGAGGCTGAGGCAGGAGAATGGCGTGAACCCAGTAGGTGGAGCTTGCAGTGAGCTGAGATCGCACCACTGCACTCCAGCCTGGGTGACAAAGCGAGACTCTGTCTCAAAAAAAAAAAAAAAAAAAAAATTGATGGATTAAAAGGCTAACTACTCTAAATAATAAATCTCAGTAAAGGTTTAAGTAAAAATGAAAAATAAATTAAAATGAAAATGCCCTTCCTAGACATATCTTAGAATTCTCAGATAGGTGAATAACTAAGAATCACAAAGAGAATAAGTGATTTTTCATAATAGTAGTAGTCATTCAGTTTACACATTCTAAGAATTTAAAAACAAACAAGCAAACAACACAACAATGCAATGATCAGTGGTGGACAGGGGTTAGGAACAGAAGGAGCAGAGGATGAGGGAGGGTGTAGTGTCTTGGCTGCAGGGGTGGATACAGCAACCTACACATGCAATAAAATTGTATAGAACTAGTATTACATCGCATTGATGGTTGCACAATATTGTGAATATACTAGAAGCCACTTTTAAATGATGAAAATAGTGAAAAATGTTTGGAAGTAAGTACATGTATACACAGACATGAGTACAAGTAAAATCTGAGTGAGCCTAGGTGGAGTGCGTCAATATCAGTATAGTGATTGTGATATTCAAAGAAACTGGACTAAGCTATTCTTTCTTATATCTGTATGTTCATCCAAAACTATTCAATAAGGTCTCAGCATAAACAATCACCGCAGTAAAAATACCAACAAAAAATTACCAAATATTGTCTTTCATTACTCAAGTAACCATACGTATAGTAAAAACAATTGTGAAATTTAAATATGGAATTTTTTGAGAAAACGGTAATGAAATACACAGAGTAGAATTGTATGGAGAAAATGGACTAATCTTTATTATGCATCATATATTATACTAGCAAAGACATGAATTTCCGTGATAGAGATTAGTAATACAAAGATGGCCCAATTAAAATAATCTAGTTCTTGGTATCTTATAGCATCTTAATAAAGCTTTTGAAGAACACAATTATTTAGCAAGGAATTGTCGAATATTTTATTATCATGCATCTGTGCTATACCCTAATTATCCTGTACTTTTTAGTAATGCATTTACATGATTGACTATAACCTCCTAAAACAGTACATAATAAATAATTATTTTATTACTGAAAATAATGTGTTATGTATATGGACTGGTGGTGTAACTTATTTTCTGTAAACATAGGTTAAATAAAATCACTAATGTTTGAAATTATGCATATTCCCCACACATTCACCATTGTAAGACAGAAAACTTACTTCTCTGCCATTTTTACGAGGCTACAACATTATATTTGGGAAGTTTAGTATTAACAGTAAAATAAAAATATATGTCATCATATATTTGGGCACATATATTCTAGTCCCACGCTGATCTTTTTGTAAAATTAGACTGGCTTTCCAAGAAAGCCTACTTATTTTTCAGAACATATTTCAAATAGCTAAGTTCAAACAGCGCGTGTCTCTTTATAGACATTCCAGCATCACACAGGCAAAACCAAACCAAACAGAAAGCAGCAGAGACTTCAGCGTCTATTGTTCATCACGCAGTGGGGGTGCAGGAAGTAGTGTTGGCAGAAGGAACTGTGCTTGCTGTCCTATGTTAATACTACAAAATGCCCTTACTCCTGGGTCTAACTAGATTCCCTTGTAAACTGATTGATTTGTTAAATTACATGGGAACAGACTAGTTTAATTTAAAGATGTTGCTCAAAATAACTTTTCTATGATGATTAACGTCATCTTTCATAAAAGTTCTTTAAAAGAAATTAGCAGTTAGAAATAGGTCTGGTTGAGAACTATAGTATATCACACTGGTGTCATTCTTTCCAAGAATTTACTGCAGAAATATGCCCCAAACACACGGTATTGTATGTAGTATTCAAGAATGCCTAAAACATTAATCCTGCTCTATTGAAGCCGGAGTCTGAAAAAGCTATGGACATATGCACAAGCTGCTATGCAACCATATAGCTATTATATGCATACACACACCCATTTATTTGTACATTAATACGTACATACATAATTATTTCTATAAATACATTTACACAATGCATATATGCAAACACATACACACATACATGCATACACATTAAATTTATTTTATGCTGTCAGATTTTCCCTGAAAATTTTTTATAAAAGTTTCCTTCAGCTATTTCTTAATGCCTTAAATAAATCAGTTCATATCTATCATCTCGACAATAGGCTTCTTTCTGGTTTTCCTTCTTTATGTATTTTCTAAATTAAAGAGTGAATCTTCCTGATCCTTTGAGGGATTTTTACAAAAGATTTTACAAATCTTTTCCAGCATTTCTGGATCTTCAAATTCATGCTTTCTATTGGCTCTTTCGACATCTATATTTAACATTTTAATATTTCCCTCCAGCTCTCATCTTTTTTCATACAGAGAATTCTCTCTTCCTCTTTGTAGAGTTATCTACATTTGTCTCCACATTTTTGTTACCTTCAATTTCCAGCTGTAAGTGGCTCTTATGCATACAATTTAAACATTTTTTCTCCCCGAGGTCACATCTATTTCACTTGATCCAAAACATATTCTTCTCTGCTTTCTTTCACTCCTTCCCACTGGCCAAATTCTCAAAGAATCATCAACACACAGACTTTGTAGCTGCTAATTTTCTAGCCTCTCCTTCATTCTGACTTCTGCACTTTTCAATCAAACAAACAGCTCTTGTTCACATCACTGCTTCCTTCATGTTTCTAAATGCAATAAATTCTTTCGCTTATTTTCCTTTTTCCTAAGCTGTTAGAAAATTTTAACACTCTTGACCCTATTCTTATTTCTGAGTCATCTTTATTTACCTTTCACCAAATCATACCTTTTAGTATTTCCTCTTTTCTCTGCTAGCTATTCTCCTTTACACTGATTATTTACTTTTGTCATTATTCAAAATTTCATCCTAGCCCATCTATTATATTTATTCTCAATAAATTCTCTATTCATACACAACCTATATAACTAATCTTCTAAGCTACATTTTTGGTTCAGAATTATTGTCTGAGCAAAGCTCTTCATATCTAGCTGACAAGTAGACATCCCTACTAGGTTATATCAAAAACATTTTAAACACTGTATATCATCTATTTTTCCCCTTATTCATGATTTCAGTGTATTTCCTGAGAATGAGGACAATGTTATTATGTAACCACAAAACATATAATAAAATCAGACCATTTAACCTTAGGACAAATACCCACAAACCTTGTGATATGGTTAGGCTTTGTGTCCCCACCCAAATCTCATCTTGAATTACAATTCTTAAAATCCCCATAATCCCCATATGTCAAGGGAGAGACCAGGTGGAGGTAACTGAATCATGGGGGTGGTTACCCTCCTGCTGTTCTTGTGATAGCTAGGGAGTTCTCGTGAAATCTGATGATTTTATAAGCGGCTCTTCTCCCCGTTGCTTGGCACTTCTCCTTCCTGCCACCTTGTGAAGAAGATGCCTTGTTTCCCCTTGGTCTTCCACCATGATTGTAAGTTTCCTGAGGCCTCCCCAGCCATCCTGAAAAGAGTCAAACCCTTCTCCTTTATCTTGGGCAGTTGTTTACAGCAGTATGAAAAGGGACTAATACACCTTGAAATTTACAACCTGTATTTAAATTTCATTAATTGTCCAAATAAAATTCTTTAAAATTATTTATATTCCTAACCCAGCATGGATTAACTTATTGATTGCATTAAATTAAGAGATATTGTTAGTCATATAACCTGAAACATTTCCTAATAATTTCCTTGGTTTTTGATATTAATGCAGTTAAAGAATACAAAGCAGCTACTTTGTAGAATTACTTTCAATTTAGATTTGTGCGATATTTCCTTATGATTAAATTCGGACAAATTTTATTAGACATATCACTGAAGTAATGTGTGCATGCAAAGTGAGTCTCATTGGAAGATACAGAATGTTAATTTGTTTCAATATTGGAGATTTGGGTTTAATAAGTTGGATAAGGTTGTATATACCCAGTTGCACCATTATAAAGATATTTTAAGTTCGTAAGTCAATTTTACACATATGTTTTGTGATCTCTACCTTGGCAAAATAGCATCTACTAGATTTTGTATTCATTTATATATTTCATCTTCTATATGTATGTCATACTATGATCTTCCAGCTCCATTGTTTCTGATGATAAATTGGCTATCATCTGGGTTAGCGAGTACAGCTGCACTGATCAAGCTACTTAACTGTATCAAGAGGCTGCTTTTCCATTCAATGTCCCTAAGAAAATGTTTATTCTACTGTTGCATTTCATTTGCCTCCTATCTTTTCTTTACTAAGATCAGTTTATTTTCAGCATCAGCCTCATAAGCCTATTTATGTCTTTCATATTTTCCTTTATGAGCTTTTATTCTCAAAATATTTATTAATGTTTCCCTCTTCTGTTTTCCATAAGAGGAGATTTTGAAATATATGCCCATACAAAAGAATGGTCAATATATATTTTTGACCTTAAATAATAAGATACAGATGAGTAGCAACCCTATTATATTATCTTATGAAAAATAAAAATATAAAAAAATATATTTACATATATTATATAAATATTATGTAACATTTATATATAATATTTAATAGTTGTATAATAATTAACTATTATATATTTAGATATCACTCAATATATAACAGTTAATCATTTATATTAAGGAAATGGTGAAGGATGAGGAATTATAGAATAGAAGAAAGTGAAGGAGGGAGGAAGGATGAAAAATATCTAAATTCATTGTACTGGCTGAAAAAAGTATATAGTGTTCATGCAAAAAAAAAATCCTTATTTAATGTATGTATTCTTTCTATTTCCTTTTATAAACATATTTGCATAAAAATCCAGTGTAATTCATATTTAAATATCAGCAATAGTTAAATTATATAAAACATATTTTATTTATTTCTAAATTGTCACTTATAGTCTTCTATTATTTGTGTCAGCAATTAAAAAAATTTCAATACACAATTATTGAGTGGCCTTTGTTCAATCAATTCCTAGTTTAACACTTTTGATATGATTTCAAGTGAATTTTTTGAGACAGGGTCTAGTTTTTTCACGCAGGCTGGAGTGCAGTGGTGCCATCACAGCTCACTGCAACCTTGAGCTCTTGGGCTCAAGCATATCTCTCACCTCAGCCTCCTGACTACCTACAGGTGGGTGCCACCATGCTAGACTTTTAAATTTTTTTGCAGAGACGGAGTCTCTCTGTGTTGTGCATGCTGGTCTCAAAGTCCTTGTCTCAAACGATCCTCCTGCCTTGGGCTCCCAAATCATGGGGATTACAGGCGTGAGCCACTGCCCGGCCTGAATGCAACTGTTTAACTTCATTTTAAATTTCTTTTAGATTATATGTAGAATTGAGATGTATTTGTCTATATTATTTTATATACTATAACTCTGATTAAATGATTTATTTTACTGAGTAATTGCTTCTACATGCCTTAGAATTTTGTGTGTGTAAACGTCTATGTCATCTGTTATCAAATACAATTGTATTTTTTTTCCAATCTTGAGACCGTTAAAGATTTTCTTATTTTCTGTGCTGTCTTGTACTAATAATCCTTTGTTGAACAGAACGGTAAGAGCAGGCATCCTTTATTTGCTTCTGATCTTAGGAAAAAAACTGTTTAATATTTCACCCTTTTAAATTATTTATTTATTTATTTATTTATTATTATTTTTTGAGACAGAGTTTTGCTCTTGTCGCCCAGGCTGGAGTGCAATGGCGCGATCTCGGCTCACTGCAAGCTGCACCTCTAGGGTTCAAGCGATTCTCCTGCCTCAGCCTCCTGAAGTAGCTGGGATTACAGGCACCCGCCACCACGCCCAGCTAATTTTTTTGTATTTTTAGTTGAGACGGGGTTTCACCATGTTGGTCAGGCTGGTCTTGAACTACTGACCTCAGGTGATCCACCTACCTTGGCCTCCCAAAGTGCTGGGATTACAGGCGTGGGCTCTTAATTATAATGTTAGCAGTAGGTTTTCCATAGATAACTCTTACTGGAAGAGTAAGAGTTTTCTAGTTTTCTATGATAAATCTCAGCAAAAGCTTTCTTGGCATCTATTTCTAAAAACCCCTGTATTTTCTTCTTTCTTCTGTTAATATAGTGATAGTCTATTTTCTGGATATTAGAATAAATCTTTTCTAATCAACGCTCATTCCCACCCCTATTATGGTACAATCATCATTTTCCTGTCGTATTAGATTTGATTTGATGGTATTTAATTTTTTTGTTATAGATACTGTTCTGTAATTGCAATGACATTTGGGGGCATCATAAGTCTTCTTGCAAGGTGTTCCTTCTTGTCCTATTTTTTGATAAAGGTTGCTGATCTACCCAGCTGCCCTTGTCTCTTACAGGCCAGAGCACTCATTCCATGGGCAGATGGTGCAGGCAGCTGGAGCTCTCGGCTGAGCCCCTCTCCAGCAATTTTCTTAGCCTGAAGAAGCCACCTTTCCCAAGACCTGTCACAACTAGTGCGATACTCAGGCATTTGAAGTATAGTATCTATGGCTGTTGAGGGCAATCCATACAGTAGACAAATGCTTTGAAAGCCTGAAAGAGAGTAATCATTTAGGGGCTCCATTTACAGCCAGTGATCCACCTGTTGTCATATGACTAGTCTAGCATGTCTCCAAGCTGAAGAGTAGTAAAAGTTGATGATTCAGCCCAGAGGTGAATTACAAGAGTAGCAAAGATGCAGAAAAAGTTTAATTCTTAACAAAAAGAGCTCCCAGAGATCCATAAAACTGATTTCTTTTAGGAATATCCTATTCATTTTCTTTAAAGCAGTTCTGCCTCTAAAATCCAGACCAAATTGGTGCTAGGAAGGGTTTTGTGGAAGGAAACCTTAAAAACTGATATTTGAGTGGCACAGTGTGACCCACGCCTGTAATCCCAGCACTTCGAGAGGTCAAGGCAGGTGGACTGCTTGAGCTCAGGAGTTTGAGACCAGCCTGGGCAACATGGCAAAACTCTGTCTGTAGAAAAAAATAGTTAAAAATGAGGTGAGCATGGTGGCACATGTCTGTAGTTCATGGTACTTGGGAGGCTGAGGCGGGAGGATGGCTTGAGCCTAGGAGGTGGAGGTTGCAGTGAACCGAGACTGTGCCACTGCACACCAGCCTGGACAACAGAGCCAGACCCTGTCTCAAAAACAACAAAATGATTTTTGAATTGGTTCTTAGATGTCTGGAATTTGTTAAATGATCTGAGTAGATTAAAGGCCATTAAAGAGCACTTTTTCCATTGATAAAGGGCACACTAGGAGCACGTCATACAGTCGCGAAATAGTCACTTAATTTTATCAACTATAGATATAATGACATCAAATTATTAAAAGTAAAACATTTTAGGTGACAATGTAGTTGTCACAGAATACTTTAATGAAAATAAGAAATATTATATAATTTATTAGTCGTTATTTCTTGTAAGAGAGGTCAGTTAAAAAATTTTCATCTCAGATCTTTGTCATCAATTCAATGTCCAAGTAAGAGACCAGAAAATTCTGTAATTAAAAAGAAACCCTGTCTCCTCCAGCCTTATGGTCAAAATTTGTAAAAATGAAATGCCAAATCCAATATTCTCAGTGGTTGAATTAAACACAAACAATTCACAATCTGTTATGTTAAAATTAGAACATTGGCTGGCTGGGAAGGAATAAGACCTTTAATATGAAGACAGAGATACAAAGGCAGATTCCACTAAATCTGGGAATCTGGAATCCCTAAATGCTATCAAGTCTCCTTTATGAATAGAAGAGCCCTGTCTTTTCCAGGATTGAGGAAATCATCCACTTCTTTTTTTTTTTTTTTTTTTTTTTTTTTTTGAGATGGAGTCTGGCTCTGTCGCCCAGGCTGGAGTGCAGTGGTGGGATCTCGGTTCACTGCAAGCTCCGCCCCGCAGGCTCACGCCATTCTCCTGCCTCAGCCTCCTGAGTAGCTGGGACCATAGGCGCCCGCCACTAGGCCCAGCTAATTTTTTTGTATTTTTAGTAGAGACGGGTTTTCACCGTGTTAGCCAGGATGGTCTCTATCTGCTGACCTCGTGATCCGCCCGTCTCGGCCTCCCAAAGTGCTGGGATTACAGGCGTGAGCCACTGCGCCCGGCCAGAAATCATCCACTCTTGAATGAAGAAATTGCAATCACCACCACTACTCTAGTTGCCTTTCCAGGAAAATCTGATTCTCTTAAGGCCCCATCTTCACCATTTCTCATTGCTTCCTAAAACTCCATTAAATTTCACACATAACCCAGAGGGTGAGGTATGTGTGACCTCTTAGCATGTGTGAAAAACACTAAATGAAATGTCTGTCAATATTATTGATAGAAATCTGGGGAACATTTATGAAAATGGATCCTAAAATTGTTGGTCTGTGGTTAAAGAAATGTAATGAAATAGGAAGAAATTATTGAGATACAAGCTTACTAGGCAGGGGTTCTGGGTACACTGGTTTAGTTAAAGATTCTGAGAGTGGTTATCATGGCTAGTTTGTTCAGTTGCCTGAAACTTGAATCCTAAAAATGCTCAAATGCCAGTCTTAGTATGTTGCAGAGGAAAATCCAGAGACTCATGAAGATTGGATTGCTAGACTAGACTTACTGTGTAAGATTTATTCATCCACACCCTAAATTCATCCCTCAGGCTGTTCATATGACATTTCCCCCATGAAGGCTGAGAGAGGTATACTCCTGGCAAGAGGCCCGGTATCCCTGAGGAATTCTAAGGTGACTCAAGTGTAAATAAGAACTGGTATTGGGAACTGCTGCCATCAAAGTAGGTTCTTTAAATTCTGTGGGGTTGATTGATTCTGGGGTTGCAAGGGCCAAGAAGTGACACTTTGTCACCTATGGCAAGGTTGGCACAGCTACTCCAATGGGAATTGGGCCCACAGCCATGAAAAGCCAGTTCACTCTGGCTGGTTGGAACTCCCTAGTATCCCAGTCCTATGTGATCTCTGGACTCTGTTCAACTGCGAGCAACCTGGTTATTATTCACTTGCTTTATAAAATGTTCACATGATGCCTGCATGGCTTCATATTTACACAAACAGAATCCAAGTGGCCCTATGTGGATTTCTTTCCAAATTCTAGCCACAGCAGCTTCTTGAACTCTGATCTCTGTCTCTTTACTCTGGAAAAAGGCAGCGCTCCTTTTGCAATAACCCTCCCTGAACTATGACCGAGACAGCCACTCCAAGGCACAGATGCAAGGCAACCCAAGATATTACCTTATTTGTTTGCCTTCCTTCAGGGACTATGGTGCTACACTGATAACTATCCAGTGTCTTAAGCAGTTGACACATATATCTGTCCAGTGTTTGAATTGTTTATGGAAGGCAATATATGACCCAATTATTCCACCATGGCCATAAGCCGTACTGTCCATTTGGCCCTGGACTTTCTTTTTTCCTTCCTTCCTTTCTTTCTTCCTTTTTTCCTTCCTTCCTCCTTCTTTCCTTTCTTCCTATTTTCCTTCCTTCCTCATTCTTTCCTTCCTTTCTTCCTTCCTTCCCAATTTCTCTGCTGAAGTTTATTGACTCTTCTCTGATTAAGATAGCATTTTACTTATCTGAACATATTTTTCTGTAATTCCTTGAATTCCTTTCAAATCGTAGTCTTCTAAATCCAGGATCTAGGCTATCTTGGGTTCAAATGGACTGTTTTGTAACTATACAGAGAGAACATTTTTCTCATCTTTGCTTTGTCTGGTGTTTTGTTTTGTTGTCAGATATATTTCTTAGTGGATGATACAAAGTAAAGTACTTAGATACTATTATCTTTCTCAGAAGTTGATTCTAAATAAATTTGCAGATTATCAAATAAGAAAATGCACTCATTTATTCCTCCTTATGTAGTACATATTTAATCTGTATTCACATATATCTTTAAACACTATACATTTTAAAAATCAGTACATATGTTTTATAGCTTTGTTTTTTATATTTATTTTAAAACATAATATAATTTAAATGTTTAATTATTAAACAGTACTAATTCTATATATCCTATGGGAGTAAAAGATAATTTAAATCTACATTTATTATGCTCAACTCAGTAGAGAATATTTTAAAAGCATAGGATTAAAAATTTTCCTGGATAGGGCATTATTATTTCTAAACATTGACATGACAAGGAACTTGTTATATTTGTAAATATTTGGCAAATTATAAATCACTATTGCCGAGTCTTAATGCACATAGAAAATGAGGATAAATTGAGAAAACTGACTTTCAAATTTTTATCATCAACTTTGGCTTTAATCATCATTTTCTCTTCTTTAGGCTTAATTTCTTATTTAATTTTTTGGCTAAATTAACAACAACAACAACAACAAAAAAAAACAGTTGGGGAAGTTTTCTTATTGGCCGCAAAATATATTTGTATCTTTTCCCTCCAACTTGAGAAAAAGCGTGCAAAACATACCTCATGTTTTCAGTAAGGCCTAAGTCAGACTTTGCCTACCCTTTTCCTTTGAGCTCTATTGCTCCTGAATTTTATTCTGGTCTTCCAAGGAATGAGAAGTGGGACATGGCTTTAGGCTCTTTCAAAAATATCAGCCATATGGAAGTAACAAGAATCAAGAAGCTACAGGGAAACATTCTTTTTAAGAAGAGAAAGCTTTTACTTCCTTATTCTGAAAGCATTTCCTTATAATTTTGGCAAAATATTATGCATCTAATTACTTAAATTTGCAGGTAACCCCTATGGGGCTCTGCATGGATAAGGACCAATCTTGAACTTGTTCTCACTGCTTGAACGTTAAGGCCAGTGAAGATCAGGAAGAGCTTATTGAGTTAAAGCACATGGTTGAGGCCCCAAATTATGACTGCAAATTTTTGCTGTGCCTCTTCTGTTCACATATCTCTTCTTGTATTATTGATGCTTTTCCACGCCAATAATTTACACAAACTAAGTGGAATTTATGGATCTATACTGTGGAATAAATCAAACAGGATTTACTATTAGCTAATATAAATAAAACATTTGATTATTAATTTACATTTGAACTTATATGTCTCATTCATCATAGTATGCTACACAGAGGCTAAAATCATTTCTTGTACACAGTAGGTAATAACTGCATGCTTATCGCAGGATTTCAATAAAATGGGCCACTGATACTAGAAAACAGATTCAAATTTCATTTAGTAAAGAGGATGCATTTTTATATAAAATGATACCTTCCTATAATTTTTCTTGAACTAGAATAAATTAAAACGACACAAACAAGAATCTGAAACTGGTAATTGAAGTTGATAACCAGATGAAATAAATAGTATTTATTTTGTGCTCAATATTCTCTGAAATTCTATCGTAGGGACTTTGGGATACTGCTTTTATATTTAGAAGGTTAATTTGACAGTGTTATCAAGTTAGATATCATTGAACAAAAATGAAATTTTATAATGTGAAGCAAGATGTTTTATAAAGCTTTAAATATAGTTTTTCATAACTGTTGCATAAGATTTGAGCAAATGTAAACTGATAAAAATGGAAGCAGAATATCTTACCATTCTTCCTAGGCATTAAATAACATTAAGTTCTGAATAATACAGATAAAGGATTTTAACTTTATTTCAACTTCTATACATGGATTTCCAAGCCAGCAGTCAAAAAAAGCCCTCATATTTTTTAACCTGAAACCTGAAACCATGGAATGTATCATCCCAGATTTATTTAAATTTTTTACATTCTTCTAAAATTCAAACTTGTGAAATGTACTTTTCAGACTTGCTCACCCTTAGGTCGTCTGCCTGTAAGCACTGATAATGGAACTTTTTCCCTCTCCTATACATCACTTTTCTAGTCATTATTCCATTTTTTTCCCCTGACCAATCTGAGTTCCTCCACTTTCAGGCTAATCCTGATCCTTGTAGTGATCAAGACTTCCTCTTCATTGCTCTTCTTTTGTGGACAAGATCCTTCTTCCCCACATAAGTCATAAATGGATCCCATTTTACATACAGTAGATCATAGTAAAACTCACTTAGAGCATGTGCTCTGAGTTCTTTCTTCCTTGGTTTAAATCCTATCTTGAACAATTACTCCTGTTTGGGCTATTTGTTAATTATTTAAACTTGTTAAATCTCATTTGTTTTTTCATTACTAAAAGAGAATTTACATTATAGGGCTACCAAACAATCGATAAGATTAAAAGGCAATTAGATTCATATTTGGAATACAATGATCCCTCAAAAGCCATTAACAATTATAATAATTAAGAAATAAACATATATTTTATATCTATTTTATTAAGAAAGTGAAGTTTCTACTGTTAAAAATATTACCTATGAGTTCTCTAGGCATTTCTGAAAATTGTTGAAAACTTTCATCATAAAACATTAACATTTTATATTCCAACTAAAAATCAAAGTGCAATTATCAAGATTTAACATAGGCATCATGTTAAACAACAGTTACTATGTTTTCCTTACTGTCATACTAGTCCAAGTGTATTTTTTGAGTAGACAAGGACAGAGGTTTTAAACTTTGTAAGTTTTCTTTTATGTCTTCACCTCTCATAAGGCACATACTATATGAGAGCAAATATTCACTAGCGCTAATAAAAAGTTGTCTTCAAGCAACAAATAAGTCCACTTCATTATTTAAATGAAGTATTTAAAAAATTATAGGTTTTAGAAGCAGTTACATTAAATTCAATGAGAAAATTCTAGGATGTATCAAGCAAAAATTCAACGTTTACAAATAAGACACCAACTTAACTAGTTTCTATGGATAGTGCATATTTTTTCTTTGAAAATTCAATATGACAGACACATTCAAATTTAGCTTGAACTTCTCTCCTGAACTCTAGACTAAAGTATCCAATTCTGCATTCAACCTTTTCACTTGAATGTTCAGTGAGCCACACAAATGTCACATGCCTCATCTCATTTCTGAGTATTCCCTCTGGCCATTGTTCAAGCTACTGGTTAGATCATATCCGACTTACGTCATTCTTTCACACACCACATCCTAATCAAATCATGTCTGCAAATCCTCCCATTTTCACTCAGAGCGAAACTCCAACTCCATGCAATTATCCCTGTGTTCCTCCATGATATGCCCTTAATTCCTTACGTCGCTACCTTCCACTGTCCTACCACACTGTCGTGGCCACTCCATGCATCCTGGTTACACCCGCAACAGATATTTTTCTACTTCAAGATCTTTGCATTTGTCTTCTCTTCCTGCACTCTTCCTGGTCAGTACTCTCCATGACTTCGTGCCTCACATTTGTTTTCCTTTGTCCAAATATTACCTATTCAATGACTTCTTCTTGATCAACCAGTTAAAATTTTAAGCCCAATTAGAAATTTATCACCTTCATACTTGATTATCCTCATATCACTTGGCAATATCTGATTGTTTTAAAATTATTTGTTTATTGTCTATCTTGTCATTAGAATTTTAAAAAGAAAGAAAAGAGATGCTTTGTTTGTTTTATTGGCTGCTATATACACTGTGGCTGGATACTTAATAAATAGTTAAGTGAATAATTATCAATTATTTGCAGATGAGAGGATACAGACACATATAAAAATTCCAGTAGTTATCTTCTTTTGAGCGTCCAGAAAGAAAGGAAAGGTGTCCTGTGAAGTTAGCATTTTTGAATAAGACAAGTATTTCCTACAAGTGCAAGAGTGTAAGTTTCTCTTTCTGTCTTTCCTCTCATTATCATTTTAGGATGGGAAGTTCTAAAGAGGTTTATTACCTAAATTAGATAACGTCTGTGTGTGTGTCTGCACACACCTGTGTGTGAGTGTGTGTCTGCCTGTGTGTGAGAGAAAGTGCATGCAAATGTGTATGTGCGTGTGGCTCATTTATTTCAATGGAAAAATTGCTCAGCCATTAACTTTATGGTGTCAGTATACAAATCACCTATGAATTGTTTGGTATATCATACTCATGAAATACTTTTTAAAGTAATTATAGATTTTAGGCTTTATAAATCACACAAGATGGCTCCAAGATTGTTCATTGTTGCACAATCCATCTCCAACTTTCCACTTTCTTGAACAGATAATCATAGTCAATTGCCTCATTCCTTATTTTCTCCTTCATTTCTGTTTCTTCCACTCCCTTCCCTCCGTCTTTCCCTTCCTTCTTTTTTGTCTTATTCTCCTTCTCTAATCTAACAATATTCATTTGAAAACTACCAAGTATTTCTACAAAAGCACATAAAAAGGAATAAAATAATTTAATCATTGTTTCAACCTTCTCATACTTTTCTTGATCAAGATGTAACGGGATATTCAACAATTTAATATTTTAGCTAAAGTTGAAATAATTTTTTGCACTTAACGATTAGATTGGATTTTTCATCTACAACTAATTAAAGCCTAAATTAGATTTAAAAAGAATCTAGAGGAATATTTCTTCACTGTGATTCAGGATGATGTATTCTTGTTTTAAGCTGGCATACAGAAAAGATGGTATTCCTTTAAACTGACAGTGTGAATGTGAGCTAAAGAGACAAAAAGTATTCACATTAAGCTTGCGGAGAAAGAGTAATCCAAAGAGTTTCACTGAAAGCAGACAAGAAACTATCTACTGACTAACTGGTTTATATGATTTTCACAATTTGAATGTTGTGACCAAAATACTGAATATTTTAGTATTTACTGTTACAAAGGAAATATGTAACAATTAAGTTTGACTTTCAAATACATTTTTGTGTTTACATTTAAAACATAAGGAAAAATTAGATTTTATATTTAATTCTTCATAAGTCTATCATTAAGAATATAAGGCACAAATTAATAGCTAATTGCAGACTACCAATTTCTAAAGCCAAAGAAAATAAGAAAAACAGATTTTCTAACTTAAAATAAATTTTAAAAAGTTAAAGGAGGAGATGGAGGCATGTGTTTACATATTTGGACAAAGACTTACAATGATATATGTCTTTCTATGATATAAGCTACAATAATTACAGATGGTTAACTCCAAAACCAAAAATAAATGATTATGCAAAGTACAATTGTCTCTCAGTATCCAAGGGAATTTATTTCTAAGACCCTCTGCAGATAATCTGATGATACTCAAGTCCTTTTATAAAACGGCATGGTATTCCTGTGTACATCCTCCTGTATACTTTAAATCATCTCTAGATTACCTATAATATGTAATAAAATGTAAATGCCATGCAAATAGTTGGTACACTGTATTATTTAGGGAATAATAGCAAGGAAAAATAGTATCTACATGTTCAGTATAGACATGACCATCATAAGCCTAACTACATTTTCTATCCACAATTAGTTGAATCTTTGATGTGGAATCTGTGGATATGAAGGGCCAACTGTATTACAAGGAGTAAATAATTATTTTTCTCTAAAGACAACACTACCTTCCCATAATCCACTTATAAATATGTTTTTTTTTATTTAATGCTACATAACTTTTCAGGTCTCAATTGTCTTGTTAGAAGTAAAATAGAATTTTGCTATTCTTGCTGAATAGATGGAATAATGCGTTTCAGAATAAGGTATCATAAAACTAAGGTAATAAAATTACTAGGTATACTACTAATACAACAAAGCAATATAAACTACGAATGGTTGGTTTACTTTCCCAAAAGAAATCACAGTATCACATGTGGATTTACAAAAATTTTTAAATGTTTCCCTTCCATAATTGAAATTGTGTGTGTGTGTGTGTGTGTTTGTGTGTGTGTTTGTGTGTGTGTATAACTTTTTTCCTCTTGGGGACATAATTATCATAAAGCCAACTCTGAAAGCATTTTTTCTAGTGTTTCACCTGCCACACCATAAGCTCTATCAGTGAGCCAAAAATAAATAACCTAAACCTTTTATAATAGCTGTCACTAGAAAGCTAAAAAAAGTCACCATTCATCTTACTCATAGTCATTTTACCCTTTAGCAGATGTGTTCTTTGAAAAAATTTATTGGCCTTATGAATAAAGATTAGCACTACTCTGTTCAACTCTGTTGGGAAGAATATTATTCTACTGTAAATGGACACACCATTCAGTGAAATGAATGTTTAAAAAGGGAAAAAGCATATTCTTTGAACTAAGCTTTCTGAATACAATGTGGAATTGGCTTTCTCAGGGATATTTAATGAATATGTAATATTCATCACCATTCACATCTGTAAATATGTGCATAAAAGAGAATTAAATTTTCAATTATAATGTTATACTGAGCAACTCATAACTGAATTTAATAACATTTATAGTTACAAAGATATTTATATGCATATTATTTGTTTTAATATTTATTTTTCAGTTACAATAGTTTCTCAACACCCATACATATTTACACATGTATGACTCATAAAGAATTATAAACAGCTCCCCTTCTTTTAATTCCAAGAATAAAGGTATATGTTGAAACATAAAATTGTAATTGTTTTTGGAATATTAAGTATACTGTATCCTCATCACTCAACTACATTTATTTTGAAAGTCATTAGTCATTTACAATTTCATATGTAAACTGGGTGGCTCGGGTAACCAGGAGAGTGTTCATCTCCACTGTTTAGCCCCTTCTCTTCTGTAGACATTCAATAGTGTGGCAAAGAAGTGAACTCCTGTAAGGATATGTGTACCATTTTAATTGCATATGCATAAAAATAATTAAATACATTTAGTATATGATCACGTAAATATGTGTACTTCCCCATTAAAAATATATTAATAATTTTAAGTTTTTAACAATCACCAATTAGGAAATGCTAATTTATGTATAACATGATGCACACATTTTGTAAATAGGTTTTCAGACCAAGGTTTTTAGCTTAAAAGCTAGAGACAATTGAAAGAAGGAAAATAATCTACCTTCGGCTTTCTTTGTCTGTGAGCATTAAATAACATGGAAAAAACAGAAAACATTTGATTTTCCAATATCTGCTTCATTCTTTTATGATGAGTAAGAGAGGTGAATTTTTTTCTTGAAGTATTTTATAGCCAAAAAAAGACTTGTAACTGATTCTAATTAACGTTCATGCCAAGGACAGTGAACTGAACTGAAAACACACAAGTTCCTGACCTGGCTAAAAGGGTAAGGTGTCTTAGATGGCTTCCCAGGGATTGTGGAGCATGAAAAACTGTGTAATCTGCTAGTTTCTCTCTCTCTAATAGAGATATGCATTGGAGTTATACGCTAGGACATCGAACAAGTTTTAGGTCTTTCCCTTACAATTGCACTTCAGATGTTAATAGAGTTAATAAGGGAAATTGCTTTACTGTATGTTTAAATATTTTAAAAAGCATTACAGTGAGATAAAGTTACTTTTCTCTGTAGAAGATGTATGAGTTAGCCACAAAAATAATATAACTTTTTTCAATTTGGAACCATGTTACCCAATTAAACAATACTTCATATAGAGCTTGAGGTATTTCGACTTCAGCACAGAGTTTGTTTTCACGTGAGAAGGTTCCTGAAAGTTTGTAAACACTTCAAGGTCTTTTTCAAGGTCTTCATGCATCACATCAATTACCTGTAATTTTTTATCTGTAACTTATTATATCTGAGGCTAATTTGCATTACTCTACATTTGTCAACGTTAAATTTCATTTGCCACATGTCAGCCTATTTAAGCAGCAAATTCAAAATGTATTGTAATACATTAGATGTAATTTGAGCATCACTATTTAATAATTTTCCCCCATCTCCAAATTGAAATGTCCAAGCATGTCAAGAAAAAGCTGTCAAATTTCCTTTATTACACTAAAACGAAAAAATGGGAGGAAAAAAATATAATTTGTATCAGAATGCCTTTGATTGAAAATATTTGTGCTTGTAGATTTAAAAAAAACTAGCCACACTATCATTTCGTTGAACAGTGGTTTGTAGCTCTCCCTGAAGAGGTCCTTCACATCCCTCGTAAGTTGGATTCCTAGGTATTTTATTCTCATTGGAGCAATTGTGAATAGGAAGACATTCAGGCAGCCAACAGAAACATGAAAAAAAAATGCTCATCATCACTGGTCATCAGAGAAATGCAAATCAAAACCACAATGAGATACCATCTTATGCCAGTTAGAAAGGTGATCATTAAAAAGTCAGGCAACAACAGATGCTGGAGAGGATATGGAGAAATAGGAATGCTTTTACACTGTTGGTGGGAGTGTAATGTAGTTCAACCATTGTGGAAGACAGTGTGGTGGTTCCTCAAGGATCTAGAAGTAGAAATACAATTTGACCCAGCCATCCCATTACTGGGTATATACCCAAAGGATTATAAATCATGCTACTATAAAGACACATGCACACATATGTTTACTGCAGCACTATTCACAATAGCAAAGACTTGAAACCAACCCAAATGTCCATCAATGATAGATTGGATTAAGAAAACGTGGCACATATACACCATGGAATTCTATGCAGCCGTAAAAAGGGATGAGTTCATGTCCTTTGTAGGGACATGGATGAAGGTGGAAACCATCATTCTCAGCAAACTATCAGAAGGACAGAAAACCAAACACCGCATGTTCTCACTCATAGATGGGAATTGAACAAGGAGAACACATGGACACAGGGCGGGGAACATCACACACCGGGGCCTGCCGGGCGGTGGGGGGTTGGCAGAGGGATAGCATCAGGAGAAATATCTAATGTAAATGACAAGTTGAGGGGTACAGCAAACCAACATGGCACATGTACACCTGTGTAACAAATCTGCATGTTGTGCACATATACCCTAGAACTTAAAGCATAATAATAATAATAAACCAGCCACACTTGTTTTTTATTTTAAGTTTCAGTTTCAATTTGGCAACATTATTTTTAAGATACCAGGTCTGAGGAGAAATCACAAGCAGTTAATATTTACTGGTAACATTAAAGAAATTGGTAAAATAACAATTGACAAGTTTGAAGTATTAAGCCTACAAATAAATAGAATAAATTATCATTAGTATCAGTAAATTTTTACATTTAAAGCTTTTTTCAATTACACTTAAGTAAATCAAGTAATTTGCTATTAAAGGAAAATATAAACATAGCCATTGAGAAAAAAATATAACAAAATTAAAGAAAAATACAAATCAGGAAGATTTGATTTTATGCAGCTAAAGTCTTAAAAAAATCACTAATATTTATAAAGCTGCTTTCAATATTTGCAGATTTTAAGGAGTAAGATTTCCAAATAATTGGAAAATGAACTCATAACATATCATGCCTATGTGAATATCCTGATTGCAGTTTAAAGCTATTTTTAAATGTAAAATATTTATAGAAGAATATGTCATTGTCTTACTGCAGGAGGAGCCAGTATTGATAGAATGTTCTTGGAATGAGTCTGAGCTAATACATTTAAAAGATTAAGAAAATCTATAAAAATATGTCATCATTTTGGAAGAATTGCCAAGTAACCAGAGTTATTCTCAAATAAAGTACATGCACTCAATATAAATTTTCTGAAGCTTAGTTGTGTATTTTAGGGATTATTAAATTTTGATCAGAGGTGAATAAAAACATATTATAGCAATATATATCTTCCCAAAAGAATTGAAAGCAGGAACTTGAACAGATATTTTTTACACCCATGTTCATAGCAGCATTATCCACAATAGCCAAAAGGTAGGAGCAAACCAAATGTATATCGGCAAATGAATGGATATACTATAAATATATGTAAATGAATATTATGAATACAAGAATACTATTTAGCCCTAAAAAGGGAGAGAATTCTGACACTTCCTACATGGATGAACCTTGAAGACAATATGCTAAGTGAAATAAGCCAGTAAGAAAAGGAAAATGCTGCATGATTCCACTTAAATGAGGAAATGAGACGAAACAAATTCATAGAGACAGACAGTAAAACGTCAGATGCCAGTTACTGGGAATATGGTGGAATTGAGAGTTGTTGAATAGGTACAGAGTTTCAGTTTTGTATGATAAAGAAAGTTCTAGTGGTGGACAGCGATGATGGTTGCACAGCAAAGTGAATATACTTCATGCCACTGAACTGTACATTTAAAACAAATTAAAATGGCAAAGTTGAGGTCATGTATATTTTGCCACAAATGAAAATATATATAATCTATCTATATCTATATTTAATAGTTTTATCAGTTTACTTTATGGTAGCTTAATATTTGAGTATTGTACTGTTAGATATGCTATGTATTTCATATTATTAGGTTGGTGCAAAAGTAATTCGCGTTTTTCGCATTGTTGAAATTTGCTGCTTGATACTGGAATACCTTCTTAAGCAAATGTGGTTATGTTATATATCATTTCTCGCTTTATATTTTTGCTAATTACTTATTACTTGCTGTTTATTTTATATTTACTTTAGGCTATGGAAACAATGATAGACAATACCCAAATGTGAACAATTTTCTTATTAGAGTTCAAAATGGGTCGTAAAGCAGCAGAGACAAGTCGCAATATCAACAACACATGTGGCCCAGAAACTGCAAATGAATGTACAGTGCAGTGGTGGTTCTAGAAGTTTTGCAGAGGAGACAAGAGCCTTGAAGATAAGGAGCATAGTGGCTGGCCATCAGAAGTTGACAATGACCAACTGAGAGCAATCATCGAAGCTGATCCTCTTACAACTACATGAGAAGTTACCGAAGAATTCAACACTGACCATTCTATGCTCGATCAGCATTTAAAGCAGATTGGAAAGGTGGAAAAGCTCAGTAAGTGGGCACCTCATGAGCTGAGCAAAAATTTAAAAAATGGTCATTTTGAAGCATCAAAGTCTTCTCTTATCATCTATTCCCAACTTCAGGACAATATATATACATATGTATACATAGTTAAGGAGAAAAAATGATCTAAGAATATCAATGAAGATGTCACAAATGAGCATCATTTTGTATGTAGTCAATTTATTGAAATCTGAAGTATTCAATATATAATATTAAAAATGTACATTTGGAAAAAGCAAAGAATATAGATGCTTGCCTCATGACCTATATAAAAATACACTTAGTATATTAAATAATCCTATGTTTAATAGTTATGTTTAAGAAACAGTATGACGTATATGCAATTACTATCACACAATTGGTGGTAAAAATAAAAGGAGAGAAAATATGTAGGAAACAATACTATTAAATCATGAATTTAATTTGGTCCAACATACAGTTTGTATTTATCAACAAACCATGAATATTCTTTTATATTTTTATGGATGGTAAATATACTATGTTTATTTTAGCTCAATGTAATAAGATTTATTTGTGCACTGAAAAATATCTAGCAAACAAATACTTATTTACTAGAACATTCTTTTCTCCTAAAGCAGATTATCTAGTAAGTTCCAATGAAATGTTTAGCTGTCATTTGTCTCATTCTATTTTTTTCTCTATCACTTCTTCTTTTCTTATTTTTAAGTTTTAAAATGTCACTATGTTTCCCTTCTTTTCTCTTTTCTTACTTTTTTTCTCTCTCATGACAGCATTATGCAATTATGCTATTGATAATCATAAAGTTGAGGAACAAGAGAAGTTGGTCCACATAGAAACAAAGTGAGCAATATTCTGAGTATTTGTACAATAAACTAAATATTTCTTTAAAGCAATGGAAGAACTTGTTTTACTCAGTGACAGTGATTACACACACACACACACATACACACACACACTCCTCTCTGTCTCGCTCTCTTTTTCTCTCTCTCAAAGCAATACTGTATAGATACATGTTACTTTTTATAGTATGCTAGTGATTTTATTGCAGTTAGCACAGCACCCGAATGACATACACTGGGAATAAACAGCCTCCACAAGCTGCTTAAAGACATCATTAAGTTTTTCACTTTTTACAATGAAGTTTCAATTTCTCGTGTGATTTCTAGGCACACATGTTGACTAAAGTTTTGGAAATGGACATGAATCTTGGTCCCCATACTTTTCAGAAGCTATAAAAGGGAGTTTTCTTGTACACTCAATCCCATGGAATTTTCCCACCGCACTGTGGGCTTCCAACGTGGCTACATCAGGAGGTGGATATATATGGTAGATACCTTTTTAAAGAGAATTTGTATTCAGATGAGATTCACTTAACATAAAAGTATTTATTTTAAAGCCTACAATTCAGTGGCATGTAGTACATTTGACATGTGTTTGACAAACAAATCTATCAAGCTCCAAACTATTTTAATAGTCCCAAAATAAAATTATATTTTCATTAAGCTGTCTCTCCCCACTTCTCCCTCCTCTTAGTCCCTGGAAACCATTAGTGTGCTTTCTCTCATGGATTTACCTATTATGAATATTTTGAATAAATAAAATCACACAATATGTGACCTTTTGGATGTGTGTTCTTGTTCATTTAGCATTATGTTTTTGAGGTTCATACACATCATAGCATGTATCAGTAATTCACTCCATTTTATAACTGAATAACTTTCTCTTGTATGTTTATAACACAATTTGTTAATCCATTGATCTGTTAGTGGATGTTTGGACTGTTTCTACCTTTTCACTATTGTGAATGGTGCTGTTATGAGCATTCCTATACAAGTATTTGTTTGACTCCCTGCTTTAAATTCTTTGAGTTACATAACAAGGAGCAAAATTGCTGAGTCATGTGGAAATTGCATGCTTAACTTTTGTGGAGCTATCGAAACCTTTTCCACTGTGGCTGAACCATCAGACATTCCCACCAGCAATGTGTAAGGAGCTAATTTCTGCACATCCTCACCAACAATTGTTTTTTTCTTTGTTAAAAAGTTGTAACAGTCCTAGTGAGTATAAAATGGTTTCCCATTCTGGCTTTTATTTGAATTTTCCCGATGACTGCTGATGTTGCATATACTTTCATGTGCTTATTTGCCATTTGTATATCTCTCAGAGAAACATTTATTCAAGTCTTTTTCCATTTTTTATTGAAAAGTTTGTCTTTTTGTTGATGAGTTATAAGAGTTATTTATATATTTTGGTACTAGATCCTTTTCAAATACGTGATTTGCAAATGTTTTCTATTATTCTATGTTATCTACTCTCTTTCTTAATAATGCCATTTGATGTATACACATTTTAAATTTTGATGAATTCAACATATTCATTTATTTATTTTGTTTCTCATGCTTTTGGTGTAATATCCAAAAATTCATCATCAAATCCAAGATTTCAAAAATATACTTCAACGTTTTCATCCAAGAGTTTTATAGCTTTAGCTCTTTTATGTAGGCAGTTGATCCATTTTGAGTTAATTTTTTGTGTATTGTGAGAGATAGGGGTCCAATATCATTCATTTGCATGTGGATATTCAGGTGCCTGTGTGCAAACGTCTGTTGAAGACAGTTATTTTCTCGCTGAATTGATTTGGGACCTTGTAAAAATAAATTGGTCATAGATGTATGGATTTATTTTTGGACTGTCAATTCTATACTATTGATCTGTAAATCTATCCTTGTGCCAGTACAACACAGGTCTGATTAATTTATCTTTGCAATGAGTTTCAAAATCAGGAAGTGTGTTTCCTCCAACTTGTTCTTCTTTTTCAATAATATTTTTGTGGTTCAGTGCCCATTGAAGTTCCATATAAATTTGGCAATTACTATTTCCATTTCTAAAAATAAAAAGACATTAGAAATTCGATAGAGATTGCATTAAATCTGTAAATCATTAGGGTACTATTGCCGTTTTTAACACTATTAAGTCATCCAATTAGGTCTTCTTTAATTTATTTCAGGATTTTTTTAGCTTTCAGTGTGCCAGTCCTTAACCTCCTTGGTTAAATTTATTCCCAGGTATTTTATTCCTTCTAATGCTATTGTAAATGCAGTACTGTTTTCTTAATTTGTTTTCAGATTGTTCACTGCTAGTATTTCAAACAAAATAAATTTTTATGTGTCAATCTTGTATTCTGTAACTTGTTGAATTTGGTTAGCTTTAATTTTTTTTTTAGAATTATGCATCTGTTTATTTTTAGACTTACTTGGAGATTATTTGGACAATCATCCTTTAGGGAACTACAAGACAGGTCAAAACAAACTTTTTCTTGTTTTGAGAACAAGGTATGTATTGCTGTCCTGGCACCAGAAAACTGCACTAGGAACTGGGGCTGCAATTTCCACAGGCCCTGCTGAGCTGGGACATGAGGGATAATAGGCTGTAAGCAAAAATGAACTCTCTAACCAAAGTTTAGCAGCTCATTTCATTAAGCATTCCTCTCATGGGTGTCAGTGTTTGCTTTGATTCCAGAATTCCCAAAACTTGACTCTGTCCATTTTCGTCAACTTAATGGTTGCTTTAATGGACGAACAGATTATCGGAGCTTCCTACTCTGACATGCCCATGATGTTAGGGCTCATGGCAGATATCTTTTTAGTGGAAGAATTTTCTGATCTCAGTTGCCGTACTATTTTTCTTTATTTCCTCAAAGAGATCAATCCATATATTTCCCCAGAGTAGATTTAAAACAAAAATCTTCATTTCTCTTTTCTACCATGTTATTAAGGCACTTCATCCCAATGGTCACAAAGAGATATGATCTTTAAAATTAACTACATCAGCTAATATCACAGTTTCTTAAGCAGATTCTCTTTTCCGGGTTATGATTCACATTGACATTTGCTTTAGAATTCTCTGATGATAGTTGGATAGGTGCTACTCAGAGGCTTTAACTCCTAGCTAGTGGCAGAAGTTGAGTTGGGCTTACTATAACTTCAAATGTATTTTTAATGTTGCAGTAAGTTTTCTAAAATAAATGCTATGTTTAATTATGTTATATCACAAACAAAACTTTACCTCAAGTTCTATTCATAATATATCTCTAAGTCTATGTATATGTTGAAATAACAGATTTAGTAACTTAAAATATAGGAAATGACATACATTGAAGGCTATGGAGTTTCATAAGACTTTATAAACTTTATATGTTTACTATTTGAATTATCAAAAAATGTATCAGAAATAAAGCTTTCATATCTATCATATCAGATTATAAGGAAACATATAGTATTTCTGAATTTTTTTAAAAAGTTGTGTTCTAGATTCAAATCTCACCTTAATCTAGATTGATGGAATCTCTCTATTATCAGATCACATCTACATAAAGTTAGGCATTTTCACTTAAGTCACTTAACTCATTCTGATTAATGCCATTCTTCCTCAATCCTATGCAAGGATCCATGTGAGAGACAGGTTCTTGAGCATACAGCCTGTTATCCCTGCTGCCTAGCACAGTGCCTAACACATACATAGGCAAAGAGTTAGAAGGTTCAATGAAGGAAGAAAATTTGTGATCATATTTCTTTTTTCTTTTTTTAATTTTTTTGAGGCAGGGCCTTGCTCTGTTGCCCAGGCTAGAGTGCAGCGGCATCATCTCGGCTCACTGCAAACTCCACCTCCGGAGTTCAAGCAATTCTCACACATCAGCCTCCCAAGTAGCTGGGATTACTTACAGGTGTGTGCCACTAGGCCCAGCTAATTTTTATATTTTTAGTAGGGACGGGTTTCACTATGTTGGCCAGACTGGTCTCGAAATCCTGACCTCAGGTGATCCACTCTCCTCAGCCTCCCAAAGTGCTGGGATTACAGGCATGATCCACCATGCCTGGCCTTATATTTATTTACTAATATAATGGGGAGCAGACATTATTTAGTACTTAGTAACGTCAGCCACCCATCTGCATTCCAGTGCAACACTAAAAATCCCAGCTCTCAGCATGTTAGGTGTCAAAGGGTTCTAACTCTTTGAGATGGTTTTATTATCAAGAATTAATAGAAGAGAATATGTCAGGTGTAGAAGAACAATTTAGGGTACAGAAGCCACCCATTTACCGATGTTTTAAAAAGTTTTACTACGGATATTTTCAAAGGTACACAAAATAGAGTGATCATTTAATTAACTGCTATGAACTCATCATCCACTTATAAACTCATCACCCACTTTCAAATATGTGAAAAATTTGCTGATTCCCCGTTTCATTTGTTTGCTTTTGTTTTGTTTTGTTTTTTAATTTTGTTTGTTTTGCTTTTTACTGGAGATTATGAAACAAGTTTGAGACATAACAGTATTCTCTACATGAACCATACATTATGTATTCATAACACATAAGGACATTTTATCAACAAAATGAAAGTAACATTTGAACACCTGAAAGCTAATAGCAATTCATCGACATAACAAGCAATTTTTACTCAAATGTTCTTTATTGTCTCAAAGTGATTTCTGTACAGTCGATTTAGTTAAATTGGGATTCAAACAAGATCCCCACTACTTTGATCAATATATATCCTAAAAATCCGTAAATCTTCTCTCCCTTTTTATGGTTTTTGTATTCTTGAAAAATTAGGTCATATGCCCCATGGAATCTCTCACATTTTTTGTTTGGTTTATTGCATTCTCACAGTGCCAATTCAAGACAAATGACATATTTCACTATCTTCTACATTTGCTATAAACTGATAGTTGGATTTCAGAATTGCTTTCCTTTCAATATAGCATATTAAACTGCAACATATCAGAAATCATGAGATGTCTCTTGTCCCGGTCTTACTGATGGTATGATTAGTCAATGGATGTGGGAACTGTGAGCTTGATGTATATTGGTCTGATGGATTTAGCAATCACTTAGGACCTTGACTAGATGGACTATTTCATTTGTTATAATTGAGTGATTTTATAATTATAGTTTTATCATGTTGTTATTTCTTCACTTATAACTGGACTTTTTCTACAAAGCCAGCTTTCCCTACCCACTATCTAATAACCCCAAAATAAAGAGTATAAGTAAAGGGTTGAATAAACATTTGATTCTATTAATATCTTTTTATTTACCAGTTTCCAAAATAGTAAATCTGAGCCCACTACGAAAGTAAAAATTAATTATCTTAATACCATTATAAACGGACGGTTTCTCATATATTTTGTGTTTTCTGATAAATTGCAGTTAATATTTTAATTTTTTGTTCAAAATGCCTTATTTTACACCAACAAGAGGTGCTTCAAATTATCTCCTATTTCCTTATTCTAGCACCTATGGTGTTTGACATGTCCTTGTTGCAGGCCTGACAATATGTTTTAGATTTACGTATTTCTTCCCCTGATTTTCAAGAGGCTGCTTTGTTCTTTGTGGTAAATAATATTTAGAGGCAAACACGTTGGTGCCAGGAGTTCCTGAATGCAGCCAGACTCCTACCTCATAGGAATTTCAGATAAAATGTAGATCTAAACTCAAATGCTTCACATCAAAGATTCAAGAAGATAAATAAGAATATTTTATGACATTAAGGTAGGCAAACATGTCTTAAAGAGGAACAAGAAGGATAGAGCTTAAAGAATGAGATTTATAGAACAGACTACTTTATTTTGTTATTTTATTATTATTATACTTTAAGTTTTAGGGTACATGTGCACAATGTGCAGGTTAGTTACATATGTATACATGTGCCATGCTGGTGTGCTGCACCCATTAACTCATCATTTAGCATTAGGTATATCTCCTAAAGCTATCCCTCTCCCCTCCCCCCACCCCACAACAGTCCCCAGAGTGTGATGTTCCCCTTCCTGTGTCCATGTATTCTCATTGTTCAATTCCCACCTATGAGTGAGAATATGCGGTGTTTGGTTTTTTGTTCTTGCGATATTTACTGAGAATGATGATTTCCAGTTTCATCCATGTCCCTACAAAAGACATGAACTCATCATTTTTTATGGCTGCATAGTATTCCATGGTGTATATGTGCCACATTTTCTTAATCCAGTCTATCATTGTTGGACATTTGGGTTGGTTCCAAGTCTTTGCTATTGTCAATAGTGCCGCAATAAACATACGTGTGCATGTGTCTTTATAGCAGCATGATTTATAGTCCTTTGGGTATATACCCAGTAACGGGATGGCTGGGTCAAATTGTATTTCTAGTTCTAGATCCCTGAGGAATCGCCACACTGACTTCCACAATGGTTGAACTAGTTTACAGTCCCACCAACAGTGGAAAAGTGTTCCTATTTCTCCACATCCTCTCCAGCACCTGTTGTTTCCTGACTTTTTAATGATTGCTATTCTAACTGGTGTGAGATGGTATCTCATTGTGGTTTTGATTTGCATTTCTCTGATAGCCAGTGATGGTAGCATGTTTTCATGTGTTTTTTGGCTGCACAAATGTCTTCTTTTGAGAAGTGTCTATTCACGTCCTTCACCCACTTTTTGATGGGGTTGTTTTTTTCTTGTAAATTTGTTTGAGTTCACTGTAGATTCTGGATATTAGCCCTCTGTCAGATGAGTAGGTTGCAAAAATTTTCTCCCATTTTGTAGGTTGCCTGTTCACTCTGATGGTAGTTTCTTTTGCTGTGCAGAAGCTCTTTAGTTTAATTAGATCCCATTTGTCAATTTTGGCTTTGGTTGCCATTGCTTTTGGTGTTTTAGACATGAAGTCCTTGCCCATGCCTATGTCCTGAATGGTAATGCCTAGGTTTTCTTCTTGGGTTTTTATGGTTTTAGGTCTAACGTTTAAGTCTTTAATCCATCTTGAATTAATTTTTGTATAAGGTATAAGAAAGGAATTCAGTTTCAGCTTTCTCCATATGGCTAGCCAGTTTTCCCAGCACCATTTATTAAATACGGAATCCTTTCCCCATTGCTTGTTTTTCTCAGGTTTGTCAAAGATCAGACAGTTGTAGATATGCGGCGTTATTTCTGAGGGCTCTGTTCTGTTCCATTGATCTATATCTCTGTTTTGGTACCAATACCATTCTGTTTTGGTTACTGTAGCCTTGTAGTGTAGTTTGAAGTCAGGTAGCGTGATGCCTCCAGCTTTGTTCTTTTGGCTTAGGATTGACTTGGTGATGCAGGCTCTTTTTTGGTGCCATAAGAAGTTTAAAGTAGTTTTTTCCAATTCTGTGAAGAAAGTCATTGGTAGCTTGATGGGGATGGCATTGAATCTATAAATTACCTCGGGCAGTATGGCCATTTTCACGATATTGATTCTTCCTACCCATGAGCATGGAATGTTCTTCCATTTGTTTGTATCCTCTTTTATTTCACTGAGCAGTGGTTTGTAGTTCTCCTTGAAGAGGTCCTTCACGTCCCTTGTAAGTTGGATTCCTAGGTATTTTATTATCTTTGCAGCAACTGTGAATGGGAGTTCACTCATGATTTGGCTCTCTGTTTGTTATTTGTGTATAAGAATGCTTGTGATTTTTGTACATTGTTTTTGTATCCTGAGACTTTGCTGAAGTTGCTTATCAGCTTAAGGAGATTTGGGGCTGAGACAATGGGGTTTTCTAGATATACAGTCATGTCATCTGCAAACAGGGACAATTTGACTTCCTCTTTTCCTAACTGAATACTGAATAGATCAATAACAGGCTCTGAAATTGTGGCAATAATCAATAGCTTACCAACCAAAGAGAGTCCAGGACCAGATGGATTCACAGCGGAATTCTACCAGAGGCACAAGGAGGAACTGGTACCATTCCTTCTGAAATTATTCCAATCAATAGAAAAAGAGGGGATCCTCCCTAACTCATTTTATGAGGTCAGCATCATCCTGATACCAAAGCCGGGCAGAGACACAACCAAAAAAGAGAATTTTAGACCAATATCCTTGATGAACATTGATGCAAAAATCCTCAATAAAATACTGGCAAACCAAATCCAGCAGCACATCAAAAAGCTTATTCACCATGATCAAGTGGGCTTCATCCCTGGGATGCAAGGCTAGTTCAATATACACAAATCAATAAATGTAATCCAGCATATAAACAGAACCAAAGACAAAAACCACATGATTATCTCAATAGATGCAGAAAAGGCGTCTGACAAAATTCAACAACCCTTCATGCTAAAAACTCTCAATAAATTAGGTATTGATGGGACGTATCTCAAAATAATAAGAGCTATCTATGACAAACCCACAGTCAATATCATACTGAATGGGCAAAAACTGGAAGCATTCCCTTTGAAAACTGGCACAAGACAGGGATGCCTTCTCTCACCACTCGTATTCAACACAGTGTTGGAAGTTCTGGCCAGGGCAATTAGGCAGGAGAAGGAAAATGGACTACTTTAAAATGCCAAACCTGTCTTCATCTAAAGACACAATAAAAGGATTGAAATTACACGGCTTACAATAGGAAAAGATATTCCCTGTTCCATATGACTGTCAAAAGGATTGTATCCAGATTGTATACATAATTCCAATAAATCAATCTGAATAATATAGACAAAAAATAGAACATGGATGAAGGGTTTGAAGAGCATGTGATATAAGAATGCATATTATATATATATTTATATTCATATATATTTATTTTTATATGAGTATAGTGAATAAGCCTGTGATGAGAATAAAAAAATTATTAGTCATCAGAGAAATGCAAATTTTCAAAAAACATGAAAGACAACTATAGATCCAACCAGAATAGCTAACATTAAGAAGACTGATAATGCCACATTAGTAAAAATGAGGTGCCACACAATCTTTTATATTCTATTGGTGTGAGCATATATTGGTACATGAGTTTCAAAATGGTTTCATATTATCTTACAAAGCACCTATCTGTTGAACTAGAATGAATTCCTGGGAACACATTCAACAGAAATATACATGCATGAGAAGACATGTACTAGGATGTTGACACCAGCATTATTCATATGCAGAAACAATCCTGATGTTCACCAATGCCAGGATGGACAGTGTTTTATACTCTTGCAATAGACTAAAATATAGCAATGACATTCTATCAAGTATGAATACATACATCAACACAAATGAAATTCTCAAACATAACATTTAAGGAGAAACACTAAGCACAATAACAGACACTGTATATAGAATACTAAATGCCAAAGTAACATGATGATGGAAGTGAAGGTTGGAGGTGGGGGTCATGTTAGAAGGCACATGAGGAACATGTCTGGGAGATGTCTATGTTCTGTTTCATCGTTTCAGTGGTCATAATTCTTCTAGATGTGGTATTTTATTTTGCCTATTCATTTGCTATTTGTTATGTCCTTAAATTTTAAAAAATACTTTGTCTATAGTTAAATTTGTATTTTTCTTTGTCACCATTATTTAAAAAATAAGTGCTATCATTCATTCAGCTGTATCTTAGTTTTATAGATTTTTATTTTACCATAAATGTAATACTTTTATATAAATACTAATAAATCGATAAAGAAGTCAAGATAGCATACTTGTTCCCTGCCCCCTAATTCTTTTGTTGCTTCTTAGTAAAATATTTTGTACTTTGTCCATTATATAATGCAATTAAATATTTACATAAATTCATGTTCCCTTGCTTTTCTACAAAGAGATGATATAATGTTCCATTCAACATCTTGGATTTTGTGGTTGTTTTTTGTTATTGTTTTTATTTTTTACTTTGAAATACAGCTTGGAAGATTAGTCCCAGACTGTATATAAAAGACATCATAATTTCTACATGCCACTGGAGGATTCTACCTGACTAATGTACCATAATTTATTGAGCTGGGCATGATTAATGAACATTTGTAAATTTGTTTGATATGCCTACAGATTTTATGAAATCTGATCAATAGGAAATATATGATATCTTGTGGAATTTCTAGAAAATATTAATAACAATGAGAAAATAATTCATCTGAACATGTAAGACACAGCTAAAATACTTCTCGAGAAAATTTTCAGATATAAATATTTATATCAAATAAACTTTATAATCATACAAAAGTTTAAATATTAGGAAAAACATAAATACAACTAAAAGTATTGAAAGCTTAAATTAATCAGTATAAATGCAGTAATCGTGAGTTACAAAGTCAAAAAATGTTTATTATATATATATTTACAAATATTCATTAGTAAAATTGTCTCTTCTATACAATCTTTTCTGATTTTTCACGTCAATGGCATGCTAGCTTCAAACAAGTATTTGGAAACATTTCTTTGTACCCACTATGTTATGAAAGAGTATAAGTAGAATTAAAACCTAATTCATAAATGCTTCTCATAAAATTATGTGTATCTTTACATAATTCATAAAACTTCCTGGAAATTACACGGATCTTTACATAATTCATAAAACTTCCTGTAAACTATGTGGATGTGATGCTTTTATTTGGTTTGCTTTGATTTGCAGACTATTATGAAATTTGCTTTATGGAAATTATTTTTTAAAGCTTTCTCATTCTATTGGGATTCATTTTGAAATGTAATATATTCATACCACAGTGTTATTTCACCTATGTATTCACATGAATTTGCATACCCTTGTTCAACGAAGTATCTAATGATCCCCTCTGCTTTTTTTTTGTGGCGGGGGGGTTATTTCCCCCTTACCAGTTCTTTGGTGTGTGTATATTTGCAGGATTTTTGCCCCTTTCTCAAAATTTTTTTAAACGTTAGGAAATAATATGTTTATTTTGTTAATTTTTGGAGTCATTTATTCGTAATTAGTTCAAATTAATATTTTCTTTTTGTTCATAATATTAAATTACTCAATCATCTAAAGACCTAAAAAACAGCCGTCAAAAACAAAACAAAACAATAGAATATACTCGTGTTCTTTTCTTTAAAGTGACTTTGGGCTGGGTGTGGTGACTCACGCCTATAATCTAAGCACTTTGGGAAGCCAAGGCGGGCATGTTACCTGAGGTCAGGAGATCAAGACCAGCCTGGCCAACATGGTAACACCTTGTCTCCAACAAAAATACGAAAAAATTAGCTGGGCTTGGTGGTGCATGCCCATAGTCCCAACTACTCAGGAGGTTGAGGCAGAAGAATCGCTTGAACCTGGGAGGTGGAGGTTGCAGTGAGCCAAGATCGTGCCACTGCACTCCAGCCTGGGCAACAGAGTGAGGCTCCGTCTCAAAAATAAATAAACAAACAAATAAATGAAGCGACTTTGTTTTGTCTTCAATGGTCACATTTTTTGCACTTCAATATCAACTATATTTTTCTTTTTTGTCTTAACATTGGCCATTTATGGGGTTTTTTTTAGAGTTTTATGGTATGTCTTTTCAAAAATACATTTATGTCTTCCTTAGTTTTAGAAATTTTAATATAATCATTTACTACTTTTTATATTTTTTTGTTTTCTTATTTTACATTGATCATCATATCTTACATATATATATATTTTCTTTTGAGTCCTTTACATATTTTTCTTTACTTCAAAACATTTTATTTGACCTTTTTCCTTTCAACCTCATTTTCTCTTACTGCAGTATTTATGGTTTGTTCATTTTAGGTTCACATAAAATACTAATTCTTTAAAAATACCTTATTTTTTTCTGTGCATTTTCAGCTCATTTTTATATCCTTATTTTCTCAGGTCATATAATATTTGAGCTTTCTTCATTCTGATTTATGCTATTTTTATAGCTCCTACCACTGTTTCAAATGTTCATCTTATATTGAAATAGTATCATTTTTACTTTTCAAGACAGCATTTATTAAATTAGATGGGCGTAGGGAAATACCCAGCAATCAAAAGAGTATTTGGATTGATATTGGATCTGATACTGTTACTTGGTGACTTTAAACATCAGTGATGCTCCCCAGTTGTAGTAAACGTTTCTCAAGGCCAAGGGATCAAGAAGTTATTGGCCTAAGTACATCTTCAAGTAAGTTCAATGAGTCTTCAGACCTAATTTATGTTTATTTGCCACATTCTCAAGCATAATTAGGGCAGATATGCCTAGACGCTGACTAAACACTCCAATTGATTCACAAAAAGTAGATGACATTTTGGTAAGAAGAGCAAAATTCAACCTTCCCCCATGCAATTTTTCCCAATTTCCAGGGAGAAGACACTACAGTAGAATCAGTATTACATCGAGTGGAAATGCAGAGATTAGTGGAACATTGATTACTTAGAGATTGCAAGCTTTCTAATCCTCCTACTATCCCTGCTCAAGTCGCCTGCATAACTGCTAAGAAACCCAGACGGTTATTGTAAAATAAGACAGGACTACCACGTATTTAACTAAGTGGTAGCTCTTATTGCAGACAGCATGTCATGTCAAGTATCTCTACGTTTTGGTATTTGACAATTGATATGTAGTTACTGATCTGGAAAAATGCCTTCTTTCCCATCAGAAGTTCTAAATTGGCCGGGTACGGTGGCTCACACTTGACAAAAATTAGCCCAGCATGGTGGTACGTGCCTGTAGTCACAGCTACTCCAGAGACTGAGACAAGAGAATCACTTGAACCAGGAAGGTGGAGGTTGCAATGAGCCGAGATCATACCACTGCACTCCAGCCTGGGTGACACAGTATGACTGTCTCAAAAAGAGAGTTCTTAATCAATTTTCATTTTCTTGGAATGGACAGTTTTACCTAGGATATCCAAACACCTCTGTTTGCCTGGGACTCAGGGTTTCCATGACATAGAACTTTCAGTCCTAAAACCAGGAATATCTTGGACAAGCTGAAACAGTTATCCTAGCTGTACTCATTGGTGACCTTGATGAGTTATTTTAATTCTCATGTTTTCTGTAATAATATATTCTTTTTTTAAAAACTTGATTGTCATTCTATAACTAATGCACAATAAAGTTGGATACTGTAGGGGCTCTCAGGCAAGACCCAGTAAGAAAGTCACAGTGAAGATCCTCAAGTGTTTCTGAGCAAGACCATGTCTTCTGTGGCATAGAACTACTTGTGATGAAAAACAGTTGAGGTCATGCTTCTTGGCATTACTAATAACTGTGCAGCTAACAATGGGTCACCAAGTGTCTACACTCATCCATCATTTGCTGAATGTGGTTATAGACAACAACTCAGATGCTTTGAGGAGATGGAACTTAAACACTGTATGAGGGGAAAGGTATATTTGATGTGAAACCTGGGCAATTCCAGAAGTTACAAGAAAGCTACATGAAAAGGAAGCATACAGAATGACATCTATCAGTTTTGTATTGATATTTCTAACCCTGCTGGCATCTGTGGCATTATGGTAGTTCCTACAGTGTACTGAGAGAGGAAAGTTTGTATCAGGTATGATTCACAGATGCATGGATGTCATTTTTTTGTGTTAGCAAAATCATGAACTGATTCTGCACTACGGCTTAACTCATGAGTGGCTCTAAATAATAAAAGGGAAATAACTCTTCCTGAGAAATGTTCCAAGCTGTGAACATGATTACCGACACTGTTATCAAGAGACATGATCTGAGATAAGAATATAACTGGTATTGTGACCTATGAAGAACTATTTTGTTGTGACTTTAAAAGAGTAAGATTTGAAAAACGAGGGACACTGATGTCAGAGAAAGAGGTGTGTGGATAAACATACGGGAGTGTACAGGGAATGGAAAGGTCACATCAATGCCCAGTCTCCTAGGAGGCATTCAGTTACCAGATTTTCTAGGTGAGTCCATGGTGGATGTCATTCAGAGCTTTCTTTGGCTTCCAATGCTGTGTCAAGGGCCCATGCATGACGTGGCCATGGTAGCTACAGTGAATGTTATTCAAGGGAGTAGCAGCACAGACGTCCTTTCAGGAAGAGCCATCTAACCAATGTGAATGCTATATCCCAATAGCAGTAGTGATCACCCTGAGACCTGAAAGGGCACCGTCCCTGAGGGAGACCATCTTACCACTTAATGCTGGATTGATCACAGCACACTTTTTTTTTCCACATGGAAAGGGGGAACTTACAGTAAATGGTAGCCAATATTTTGGATCCTGCAAATAGTTCCACTGAAAAATAAACTCATTTTAGGTTAACATATTCCACAATTGGCACATGGCTGTGTGCTGAGACTACAGCATTGGAATGCATCAAACATGGTACATATAAGATCAATGTACTGAATGTGCCAGAGTGAAAGCATCATGAAGTCCTGGCATGCTATCCTCCAGCATGTGGTGTATGTGCTGAACCAAAGGGTAAGTATGCTGCTATAATCCCAAGATTTTTATTAATATTTTAGCTAAACTATACAGAACAGAAAACAAAGATGGAGGAAAGTATTGACCCCTTTCACCACTGCTCCTATCAACTTATTGCAAATGTGTTTTCATCCCTTCACCCTAGACTTTGGTGAGTTGTATATTCTGGGTATGAATGCTTCTACAAAGGGACACAATGAGTGTTTGGCTGTACCTAAAGTTATGATTCCCACATAGACGATTCTAGGAACTCATATTGGCAGACTAACAGGCAAAGGAAAAAGGTACCACGGTGGTACAGAAATCAGTATTGAACATTATGAGGAACTAGGGCTTCTGCTTCAAAATGAGGCAAGGGAGAGGATCTGGTATGAGGAGCATATTAGAACATGTCTTGGTGTCTCCATGCTTGGTGATGATCACAATATTTGCTGACCAACGATTACATAAACAAATCTCAGCCATCTTTGGGAGAAAGGTCTAGTTCACTCACACAGGAAAGCATCCCAGAACAGCAGCAGGTCAGCCATGGTGGTGGAGGAAGGAGTTAGATGTTGGTCATTGGTTATAATTTCTGGGCCAATTGCAACAATGCAGACTATAGTTTGTCCCAACAACCATTCTCCCCCTTTTTTCTTTCAGTTGTTGAGACTAGCACTGATTCAAAGAGCTAGAGAGAGAGTAGACTTAGAAAGCATAAACGGACACGAACAGTGCAGGGTGGGAGGTACAGAGGAGAGTTTACAGCAGCAAACACCACGTTCCTTTAACCCCACTGATTCTGGCACAACTATGCTTGATAAGGCCCTCCACTTCTGTCCTCTCTTCAAGCATGCATTGTAGCTTTTTAACTGTTATAATTTTGTTGAAGATGCAGAATGTTGCTCAGCTGCATATTTGCAACATGAAAGTTCACGGCAGTAAAGGCAGCTGGAGGTACCCCTCAACCAAGGATGGCAGAAAATGATGAATACATACTCACCTCCTTTCTCTAGAGGAACAATTTTGAGACAATTTTTCCACAGTTCCTCAGAGACTTTCGAATGGGATTGAATTCCAGTTGCCCACAGTGGATATCAGGGTAGTAATACACTCTTTGATTGGCTTTTCTGCCCCACTATCTTATTTCTCTATACTCTTGTTTCTAGGACTTGAAGTGCCGCCTGAAGAGACAACTTGCATCCAAGTCTTTGTTCCTTGTATTCTTTCACATTACCCCAAACCAAGTCAAGGTTTTTTACATATCATTCCCTCTCTAAGAAATTTCTTCATCCTTTTTTTCTCCAACTGGCTTCATCACAGCTTAAATGATACTTCTTCAAAAAATCTTTCCAAAAAATAGTACCACAGAATCCTGAAACATTGCTCCACATTTTTTTTTTGCTTAAAAAAAAAGAGAAAACCTAACTTAAAAAGTATTTTCTGTTAAGAATGTTTAAAAATGTTTGTGTTTTGATTTCCCTATATCTTAAACTGCTTGTATAATATATTGTAACGCTCTATGAAATTTATTAAATAAGTGACTAAATGTGAGTGAAGGAACAAATATTTTAGACATATACAATATGTGTGGATCCACGTATTAGTTAATATTTACAAAAATATACAATGCTTATTTTTACAGTGTTATCTTACTCATAGATATTTTATATCCATGAATATGAATATACAGCATCATTTCAGTAGCTTCATTGAATGGCAGTGTATAAACATATAAAAATGCACTTACCTAAGTCATATCTTCAATTCCCAGCTTACTAAAAAATTGTAATGTTCTCAATATTTTATGTAATAGAGTGCTGAGAAAAAAATAGTATACGTGCATTTTGTGTAATTGTATGCCTTACAATAAAGTACTTAATAAAGAATTGCTGAAATTAATAGTGTTCATAGTTTAATCACACATTAATGATTTCCAAAAAAGAATTCAATAAAATTACTTAATAAAGTAAAATGGTACATATTCAAATGTGCTGGTTGAATACAATACAGTTATATTGTTGTTGGTTGTCTCAAAATGTGTTTTTCAATTCAAATTAGGATTCAAGCAGGTTATACAAAGAATAGTCAATTCTTAAACCTCTTTCATTCAAAATTATTTTTTTTCTGCAAACATACACACACAAACACACAGACACACACAGTTGATTTGCTAGATAAGTTGGGGACATTTTTCCATTACATTGTCTCACATTTTTACCTGGCTGATTGCTATCTCAGGTCATCCATTTAGTTCTTTTTCTATACTTTTAAGTCTTCTATCTTTCATAATCCTAGTGGCTGATTTAGATTCAGAATGGTTTAATTCAGTACAGAATAGCTCAAGCTGGTGTGGACTATTTTCCATTCCATCAGTTAGGTGTGCAATAATGTCTTACTATTGTTATTTGATTCCAATGCTATGATGATTATTGGATTCAGATCATGTCAGTCTGATTCCCTCAATAGAAAATTCCCCATATAATTATATCTAAATGTTTTGTACCTAATCTTTGAGGATCATCATACAGATTTATGTTTCATTATTCATTGGGAAAATGGTGAATTTTCAATATTCTTAATCCTTTAAAATTTTTTGGAAATAGTCTATCTAGAAATCTTTCCCTAACCAAATACCTAGCTATTGAGAAGACGATATATACATAAAGACATGATAGATTCTTTAATATTTTATTTATCAATTCTCAAGTAATGAGCTGGCAACTTAATGACTTTCAAAATAAGTAATGAGGTTGATAATATACCATGACTTGATCACTATGAAGTCATTATAATCTTCAGATAAACATATATCTGAGTGAACCCATTTCCCTTCATTTTTCTGAGGTTCAAATTTGCCATCATAGGACGATGGGAAACCCTTTAGGTGGGCTCTTGTGTGCTTTTAAGATGACCTATTAATCTATGTTCCCTTTCTTAATATTTTGCTCTGTAAGATGTTCCAGGATGATATGCCTCCCCATGAGAAAGTATGTTTTCAAACACCAGAAATATTTCAGCAGAAGATATTACCATGTAATTGATTTTGGTGAGAGCACTCACTTATCATTAAGTGTTGTTCTAGATGATCTGTAAAAAAATTTGAAACTGAAATTCAAAGATTTTTAAATAAAAACATATTTCATAGTAAATAAAAATATGTTCCAAGTGCTTTTTCTAAATATCCGAGAGGAGAACTGGAAACAGACATTACTCCAAAGAGCCTTGGCTTTTATTACGTAGAATATAAACTGGAATTAATAATCTGATCACTAGTGATGCCCATTGCTATTGCTTATATTTGCTTTTAAATGCATTTAGTGAACAGGATTAGAAAACTGATATTCTATGAGTTCACAAATTCAATTCAAAATTTCTAATTTAAGATTACAGGTTTTTTGTTTCAGGTTCCTTGATTTCATATATCTTTTATTTTTATACAGAAAATCTTGATGTTACTATTATCACTGTAGTTATTTACTTTTTAAAATATATATAATAATGATTTCAGAGTAACAATAAACCTATTGAGTATATTTGAAAGTTTAATATTTGTATCTGAGTTCTTTGCCCATTTTTAAATCGGGTCATTTTGTTTAAATTAAGTTTAGGAGTTCCTTATATATGTTAGGAATTCCAGCAGGTATATCAAAAGATGCTCAACATTGTGAACCCTCAGGGAAATGCAAATCAAAATGATGATGAGATGTCTGTCACCTCACACCTTAGATTCTTTTATGATGCCAATTATTTTAAAAGAAATATAACAAGTGCTGTTAAGGTTGTGGAGATATTTAACTTTGTATACTGTTGGTGGGAATGTAAAGTAGTGCAGCTACTATGGAAAACACTACCAAATGTTCCTCAATACTGTAGAAATGGAATTAACATATGATCCAGCAATCCCACTTTATGGTATATACTTAAAAGAACTGAAATCAGAATCTTGAAGAGTATCTACACTGCCACTGTTTATTGTGGCTTTATTTACAAAAGCCAAGATAGGGAGCCACTAAATATCCATAAACATATGAGTGTATTAAAAACCAGTGTTGTATATACATATAATGAAATAGTATTTAGCCTTTAAAAAGAATGAAATCCTACCATTTTGACAACATTAATAAGCCTGAAAAACATTTTGCTAAGTTAAATGAATGAGCCCCAGAAGGACACAAACTGCATGGTTCCTGCTATATGAGGATTCCAAAATACTCCGCTCTGCAGAAGCAGACAATAGAATGATGGTCACCAGAGGATGTTTATAAAGAATACAGGGATTTTTTCTTCAACGACTATGAAGTTACAGTTACATTACATAAGTAAGTTCCAGAGATCTTCTATACAACATAAGGCCTATTGTTAAAAATAAGATTTTTGTGTGCTTAAAAAAATTAAAAAATTAAGAAGGTAGCTATCATTTTAAGTGTTCTTACTGAAAACAAACAACAAACAAAGGGAAACCAGAAAACCTTCAGAGGTGATGGTTCTGTTTATTATCTTGATTGCGGCAATGGTAAGGTATGTATGCATGTGTTCAAACTCATCAAATTGCATGCATTAAGTATGTGCAGTTTTTCATGTACCAATTATATTTTGATAAATCATGTATCAATTACATTTTGATAATTTTGATAAATTACATTTTGATAAAGCATCAATTTGTGTGTGTGTGCGTGTGTGTGTACGTATATACATACATATATGCATATATATATATATATAGAGAGAGAGAGAGAGAGAGAGGGAGAGAGAGAGAGAGAGAGAGACTTAGAATTCCACAGGGAATTACATCAAACATGTTCTGTTTAAAGTCCGTTGAATAAATTGCTTTCACTGTGTGTTTAAGTACAAACTTATTACAAGGTTAGATAATTTCTTTCAATTTTCTTTTAAACTACATATATTTATTTATTTTGAAACAGTGAAGAGTACGAAATATTACTTTTATTTATGTATTTATTTTGAAACAGAGGCTGGCTGTCACCCAGGCTGGAGTGCAGTGGCGCGACCTTGGGTCACCGCAAACTCCGCCTCCTGGGTTCAAGCTATTCTCCCAACTCAGCCTCCTGAGTAGCTGGGATTAAAGGTGCCCACCACTACGACCAGCTAATTTTGTATTTTTAGTAGAGATGGGGTTTCACCATGTTGCCAGGCTAGCCTCAAACTCCTGACCTCAATTGATCCACCCGCCTCGGCCTCCCAAAGTGCTGGGATTACAGGCGTGAGCCACCACGCCCAGTCATTATAGAAGTAAATCACAGTAAATTAGGAACATTTAGTAGATCTAGTTTATTAAAATATGCCAGGAATAAATTAATTTCAAAGAGAATAGTAATATTGAATGGAATATAATGCTGTTCCCTTTTGTTTAGTGCAAGCAATAGCTAATCTGATGTCATAAAAATATATCGAATGAAGAAGGAGAAATAAGAAAAAGGTAAACTGATTATTTAGAGTATTAAATAATTGATATATACACATTATATTTTACACATAAGCTTGTTATACAATATTTCCCTTTGGGTGGCTATTTGTTGCATGATATTTCAAATTTCAAAGAAATATTCACTCATAGGTACTACTAAATGTACCTGAAACAGCAGTTCACCTTCAAGGCAAAGACTTTTCATTTTGGAGCGTTAAGTGGTGCAGTAATGTCACAGACTTCTAGGAGTAAAGAAATCAATCAGTATCTTGGTTATATAGCAGAGGCACCCTGGGATTTATCTGACAAGTGATGAGATCTCAGCCATTTTTCCTGCTATTCCTCTGCAACTCTATTTAAACTCTTCAATAGGAAATCTGGCCAAATGCAGCAAAAAGAAGAGAAAGAGTAAGAAAAAAATAGAAGTCAAATGCTAAAAAATAAAAGTAACAATGCACGTGAACTCTCTGACCTTAAATAAAAGGGGGAAAATGTACAAAGTATGGTGCTGAACAAAGCCTCACTGAAATAAAGAAAAAGTTTTGGTTTTGCTTTCTGTGCACGCTGCTTAATATATCACATTTTACTATAGATACTATTTTTCGATATGTTCTTTATTTCACTGAAAGTTTATGTCCATAATCAGCTTCACCAAATGTTCTGCAGAATTTCCAAATCAACTAGGTATTACCCAAGAATAATCTAGTCATATATAAATTATATACTGTACTTGAAGATTTTGGAAATAAAATAAAATACATGCTCCAAAAAACTTACAAAGAATTAGAATTTTCAAAATATTAGACCAAGAACTATATTGAGAAAAATATTTACTCTCTTAATTTACCTTTCTTTAGCCAGGTGTAATTAACATTATACTATTTTGAAAATATTCAATATATTTTCAAGTTCTGTGAAATATGCAAAACGTTTAACATTTGAAAATATCTAATATCAGCACTATATTAAAATATGTATTCTTATACAGTAAGTCTTTGGTCAAAAAGATATGAGATCAAGTTGTAATAAAGAACAAGGAAATAAAGGTAATGATTTTTTTCTTTTTCATTGAGATACATTACTTACAGTATAAGGCACAGATCTTAATTGTAAAATTCAATACATTTTACTTACTTATATACCATGGCACCACAAGTCAAATGATGAAAATATTTCAAGCTTCCCAAAATACAGTTCCATACGTTTTCTGATCAACAGCCTCTCGATCATTCCATTACTGGTAAACATTGTTGGGATTTGTTTCACCATATGTAAGTATTGCCTGTTTTTGAATATCATATAAATGGAAACAATACTATGTAAAATACATCCATAGTATTGTATCAAACTTAAAATTCCTTAAGTTTCTTTATTATAAATAACAACTCTGGCTTCCTATTGGTCTTTACATAAAACGCTTTATTGAGATACAATTGGCATATGTTCCACCGTACAGTTTGGTAAGTGTTGACACATGAATACTGCTGTGGAACACTCACCAAAACCAAGGTGATGAACATGTTGATCACTCCCAAGAGTTTCATTTGCCTCCTTGTAATCATTTTTTGTCATTCTCCCAGACCGGCCTTCCTTCGTGTTAAATTTGGCCTAATGCTGCCTCTGTACTTTGAGCTCCTAAATAGCAAACTGCAGTCCAATTTAAGAGTATATTCTTGTAACAAATATCTGAGTCTCAGCCAATCACAGGCTGCCAACTGATCAGACCATGTCCATATAAGGCAAATGCAGAGCTGTCAAGTTGTTTCTAGGTATCGCTTTTTTCTTCTGTCTGTAAATATGGCTTGTCCACATTGCTGGGTGGAGATAGCTGAACCTCTCTTGGTTCTAAGGGATACCCAATTACCCAATTTATCATTCTTTGCTCAAGTAAGCTCTGCTAAATTTAATTTGTTAAAAGTATTTCTTTGGCCAGGCGCGGTGGCTCGTGCCTGTTATCCCAGCACTTTGGGAGGCCGAAGCAGGGGGATCACGAGGTCAGGAGATCCAGACCATCCTGGCTAACACGGTGAAAAACGTCTCTACTAAAAAAATACAAAAAAAATTAGCCAGGCATGGTGGTGGGTGCCTATAGTTCCAGCTACTACTCAGGAGGCTGAGGCAGGAGAACGGTTGAACCCTGGAGGCGGAGCTTGCAGTGAGCTGATATCGCGCCACTGCACTCCAGCCTGGGCGACAGAGTAAGACTCCATCTCAAAACAGACAAACAAAAAGTATTTATTTTAACACTAGGAAATCACTATCTGCTTCCTGGTATTATGGATAACTTTGCATTTTCTAGTATCTTACATAATTTAATCATACAGAATATCTACTTTTTGGGTATAGCATCAACGCTCAGTATCATTACTTTGAGCTTCATACTTGCTGTTGTATTTATCCATAGTTTGTTACTTTTTATTATTGAGAAGTATTTCAATATTTTCATATACAAATAATTGTTTACTCATTCCCCTACTGATGGACATTTGGGTTGCATTAAGTTTTTGACTATTGCAAATAAAGCTGCTTTGAATATTCACATACATGTTTCACAAGGACGTATGCATTAATTTCTCCTGGGTAAACACCCAGGACTGGAATGACTGGGGCATAAGGAGATACACACACACACACACACACACACACACACACACACACACACACATTTACTATATATGCATGTAGTTATTAACCAACTGCCTGTTTTCCAAGTGATTTTAATTTATATGCTCCTAATGAGTAATGAGATGGGTATTAACTGATAAACTTATTCACCATATACATATCTTTTTGTTTGAGAAGTCTGTTAAATACTTTGCCATCTTTAACTCCGTTGTTTGTATTCAAGTTATTGATTTGTGAGTGTTCTTTATGTAGTTTAGATTCATATACTTTGTCAGAAATACATTTCTGTTTGTGGATGGACTTTTCATTGTTTAAAAGTATCCTTTGAAAATAAAAAGGTTTTAATTTTTATTAAGCACAGTTTTTTATTACATAGTCAATGCCTCTCATTATCTACTTAAGAATTCTTATCTTAACCAAGCCCATGTACTTTTTGACACCAATATGTCTTCTCTCATAGAGTCTATTTAAACTTCTGCCCACTTTTTATTGTTTTCTTATTTGTTTTCTTATTCTTAACTTTTGAAAGATTTTCATGTATTCTGAACGTCAGTCTTTTATAATTTCTCTAACAGCATCTTACTGTGATCATGGTTGTACAACTCTGTGAATATAAGAACCAATGAATTGTACTATTTAATTTGGTGAATTTTATGGTGTGTAAATTATGTCTTAATAAAACTGTTTAAAACCCTATTCATTTTCTTAGCAGCATCTTCCAAAGAGCAGAAGTTCTTAATTTAAATGCAGTAAAAGTTCTCTTTTTTTAGCTGATCATACTTTTGTTGTCATATTTAAGAAATGTTTGCTTAATCCAAGATCACTGGAAATTTATTCTTTTCTTTTTCTACAAGTTTTATGATCGTATTTATTTATGTATTTAAATCAATAAAATTGTATGTATTTACTTTGCACAACATGATGCTTTAAGATATATATACATTGTGAAATGTTAAGTCTAGCTAATTAACGTATGCATCACCTCACATAGTTATCATTTTTGTGGTGAGCACACTTTACATCCACTATCTTAGCATTTTTAAGAATAGCATATATTATTAACTATAGTCCCATGTTGTATAATGGATCTCTTGAACTTATTCATCCATCTAACTGAAATGTGTAAATTTACATTAAGGTCTGTGATCTAGGTTTAGCTTATTTTGTATATAGTGTGCGGGTATAAATTACACTTCATTTTTTTCTGCATGTGGACACACAATTGTTCCATCACATGTTGAAAGTTTATTTTTATTGACTAAATTGCCTTCGCACTTCTATTAAAAATCAATCAAACATGTGTAAGTGAGTCCAATTCTATATTTTCTATTTTGACCCACTAATAAGTTTGACTGGGAATTGAATACAAGCTATGAGGGAGAAAGTACAGAATCTTAACTACCAGACTACAAGGTAGAGTGACAACACTAAAATATTAGAATATTTCCACACCACCACCACACTGTCTTGATGTGTAGCTGACTTAAGAAACCTTGAATCAGGTACTGCAATGCCTTAAACTTTGTTCATTTTCAAAGCTGATTTGGCTGCTAGAACCTTTGCATTCCAATGTAATATGTAGAATCACTTTGTCAATTTATCCCAAAACAATCCTGCAAAGTGTTTATTGAGGTTACAATAAACCTATACTTCATTCTGGAGAGAATTTATATCCTAACAAAATAGAGTCTTGCAATAAATAAACCCATTACATCTTTCTTTTATTTAGACTTTGTTCAGTGCTCCTCATCAATACCATGTATTTCAGTATTTAGGCCTGTGCATCTTTCTCCAGATTCATCTGTATTTTATATTTTGTGCTATTATATATGATTTTGTCTTTAATTTCATTGTATGTTTGTTGTGAATACAGTGAAATGCATTGAATTTGTGTGTTGATCTTGTAACTGAAAAACTTCCTAGACTTGCTTAGTTCAGGTACAGGTTTAAAGATTTCATAGGATTTTTTTTGCCAACTATGTTGAGATATAATTCACATATCATAAATTGTAAGAATTCAGATTTTTTGAGTAATTTTGGCAGCTTGTATTATTCAAGAAATTTATCAACTTCATCTATTATCAAGGCTTCTCAACCTTGGCCAGCACTACTGCCATTTTGGACAGTAGTGGCGAAGAGAGGGTGGGGAGGAAAGTCACTCCTGGGTGAGAATGTTGCTTTAAGTTGTCAGATTTACTAGCATAATTTTTTTTAAATAAAAGTTTCTTATTATCCTATGTGTGTTCTATATGTTTATCTTTATCTGTGTCCATACACATATGTATATTTTGTACTGATGCCACCTCTCTCATTCCTGAAACATAAGTTAAGTTACGGGCAATTCTGTCATCTCCCTTGGTAGGCTTTTGAGCCTGACTGCCAGAGTGTAGATTATTTGAGCCCCTTTCACCAGCCACCCATGGCAAGTCACCTGCACCCTTCCTGTGCTCTGGAGGTTACTTGCTTCTTGCCTAGGGAATTCAGGCTGGCTCTGGCCTTACCAAACCTGCACATTTCTCTAGCAGCCAATGGGCTGCAACTATAATTTCTGCAAAGAGGCCTGAACTCCATTCTCAGGAAATGAACCCACTTCCAAAATTCTCTTTTTTGTGTGTTCTCTCCCTCAGCCCATATGGTATCATGTAGAATCTTCATATGCCTTATAGTCATTCTTTTACCAGAATAAATAATAATTTTATGTGTTACACGTCCCCTGTTTTAATCTTTTAGTGGTGTCTATCTCTTGTGTGGATGCAGATTAACATAGAATTGCAACTGCTGCCAGTGAATTAAGAGGTTTGTGAATTATGAGAATTTCATTTTGGATTTTGCAAACACATGCTCTGCCAAACCTGGTGTGAGCCTAGAGTACTTTTCCCTCCAATCCTTTGGGTGATGCTTTACCCAGCTCAGAAAGTTTCCTCCCAAACATGTGCTGATCGGTACTCAACTGAAAACCCAATACAGACACAGCTGATTTACTGAAAGCACTCTATACTTTGCCCTGTGAACTCACCTTGGCCTCCCTGAACTCCCCGTTCCATCTGCTAAAATCAGGGAAAATGCCAGGCTGTGCCTGGGTTCCCCTCCCTGCCGCTCAGGGAGGCCGGACACTTTCTTCACGCTGTAATCTGTGGCCAGCGCAAGGCTCACCTTGTTGGTATCCCATCTCTTGGGGATCATTCTTCTTCATTAACTGATACTTCTCTTTTAGATGCTGGTTCCTGATTATGTATTTCTCTTTCTAAGATCACATCTCAGGATCATATTGTTACTCATGCAAACATTAACATAAACATGCCAGCTCCACTGTCAGATGGAATTAACTCCTGAACAATGCCCATCACAATGCTTTGTCAATTAAGGGCATCTGTTTAGAATTCTATAAACAACTTTCATCAGCACACAACCTTCTTCAGGTTCTCACTCTAATTCCCGAACTCGTCATAGTCGAAAGGAAACTGCATTGTATCCTTAAATCTTCTCAGAGTGAAATTACTTTTGCATTTGTTAGGCTTTTATGCTATATTCTCTTTTAAAATATGATTTCTGCCTGATAGGACAAAAACAGTCTATGTCTTGAAAATCTCAGAAAAATTATGTGGTTTCTCAAGATTTGAGCTGTAAAATTTAGCAGGTAATATTTAGCATGTTTTCCTATTTGTTCCTCCTCTCCCACCGTAAAGTTCTGGACACTTATCAGCTATTAAGGAACAGAGTGGAGGAAAACACACGGGGTCACCAGCGTTCAGATCAGCTTGAATAAACCACAGTTTCTGTATCATGGCCCTTTGCTTTGAAGCCCTTAGAGACTTACCTTTGTCAGATCCTACAGATTACTGAGCCCAGAGGATAAATATAAGTTAATTAAAAAATATGCCCACTAGGGTTGGTAAGAGAGTGACAGCTTGTTACAAACAAAGACAAAAGCAACTGTTGCATAAACAGGGAGTCTTTAAAAACAATTAATTCATTCACATCTTTTGGTAAAACAATTGAAAAGAAGTCAAAAGCAAGAACTTCTTTATTGATTTACTCAAAGAAATATCTGACTAGGATGACTAGAAAGACTCATTGCTGTTATGATTTGCACATTTTCTCTTCATGGACTGACATACCTTTGAATTGGAAAGTCGCCACATGAGGATATGGTGAGAAGAAAAGGAACTAGTTTTTTTTTAATTTAATGTTTATTGTTATCAGGCTGAGATATACAAAGTCCATTATTACTCCAGACACATACATACAGACACACACACACACACACACACACACACACACACGCACTTACCTTTAATACTTCATAATAGGGGCAATTTTGAGTTGGCACCTGAATCTCAAACTCCAAAAGTGTGATGCTTCTATGTATCACATTGGTTACCTGTTACTATGTAACCAATTACCCTAAAATTAGCAGCTTAAAACAGTACGCATCTATTTTATAGTTTTTCTAGAATCTAGGCATAGCTTAACGAGGTTGTCTGCTTGTGAGTCTCTCAAAAGGCTATGATCAGATTATCCTCCAGGGTAAGGGTCTCTTATGAAGGCTCAACTAAAAGATCTCTTCCACCAGTTTTGGTAAGACTCATTTCTGAAGGACTGATGGACTGAGGACCTTATCTCCCCACTGCCTCCAGGCCAGAGCCCACCCACAATTTCTTGCCATGTGGATCTCTCCAACTTGACAATGTGGTTCATCAAATCCAGCAAGAGAAAGAGTCAGTGAACAAGATGGAAATCACAATCTTAGGTAACCTAATCACATCTGCTACCTTCCACCAACTTTGCTTTATTCTGTTTCTAAGAAGAAAGTCTCTAAGTAAAGCCAATTGAAGGACTGAATATACAAACAATGACTAGTTCATATACAAAAGTAGAGAATCTGACTCCCAATATGCAGCAACCAGGAAAACAGCCCCCTTTCTCACCGCAGGGAGAAGAAATGTCTTTGAGGTAATGCATAAGTTAATGAGCTGTCTTAGCCATTTCACAATGTATACATGTGTCAAAACATGTTGGACACCACAAATACATACAATTTTATTTGTCAACGGAAAACAAAACAGGAAGCCAGCCTGTTATAAATGAGACTTGTGGGAAGCCAGTTTGCTGTCTTTAGTGACAATTCAGAAAGCTAAACAATAACTTTTGTAACAATTGGTTCAAAATGACCAGAACTTTAAAAACTCAGTTTCTCTAATTTTTGTCCCATTTCCTAACTTAGGATCAACCAGAGAAAGACAAATATACACCCGTAACCAATCCCATAGGGTGTCCCACTTCCAGGTAGCTGGCCTGCAGCTTCTTCATGCCAGTCGCCTCCAATCAGGGCAAGCTTGAAGCTGTCCTCTTTTTCACTATAAAGCTCTCGCACTTCTCTGCCTGCCTTTGAATCCCTGCCAACATCCAAGTAATGTTGGCTGACTCTCTTGCTATGCAAGCACAGGATAAACGGCCTTTGTTTTTCCCATTTGGTTGGTCTTTGTATATATTTTTTTGCCACATTCGAAGGGAAGAGGTGTTACACAAGGGTGTCACACAAGGATGTGTGGGTCATGCAGGCCACCTTAGACATCTGAGTACCACAGTGCTTAAGCAGACATTGTAAGCATTCATCCTCCCACAGCTGTTTTTCTTTGCTTCTGCTGATTCTGGTCAGTAATGTTTCTGAATGACACATTCCATCTTCGGACGTTTTTTAAAAAAATATGCTGGTGATTTTATTTATCATCCCACTTAAGGTCTGTATGAGTGCCTTCCCGATGTACAATGAGATGAGAGCTTTGCTATTAGTTCCTAAGTTTCAACTCCCACATCTACTTTTACTCTGAGCCCCTCTCAACACCGACTATGGCACTTTCACCAAATGTCTCCTAAAAGCAAGTTTTCCTGTTTATTTTCATCAATTGTCTGACTAAAGAACTGTTCCATAATTGAGGGATTTGATCACTTGGACTCTTGTCAATTTTTTTCTTCCATATTGAACTTGGACTCTAACAGAAAATTTATCTGAAAAATGTAAATATATTTTTAGGTTTAAGTAAACACATAACAATAAGTTATGGAAATGGTACCCTTCAAAACAGAAAGTTGAATATGAGCTTGAATCATTAATATGTTTGGCTGTTTATAATTCTTATAGACATCGATCTCATCCCTCTCTAGTAAGAAACTCATTATTCATCCTCATACCAATCAGTTAACATTTGCCCAGCAAAACACCAAATAGTGACTCCTTGTACATAAGTCATCATTCTTTTTTCTTATATATGACTTGACTAGAGTACAAGTGCCCTTCTAAACAGCGAGATGACTGTCTTTTAGCCAGGTCACTCTCCAGTCGAATTGGAATATAAGGTATAGAGAAAAAGAATGCGGGTAGTAAGACTGCCAAAATCTAGATCCACAAACAGAAATGCTTTCAAGAATGTATAAAATAAAAGACTAAGAAAGGTATGGAATAAAAAGATTCCAGCAAATGTGTCCCACGCAAGATTACCGTATATCTGAAAGTTATTTTTGAATTTTTGTAAGTTCTTGTCAAAATCAGAGAAAATTTGGACATAAATGTTTGGGTTCAGGGTTCTAACAAAATAATGCCTGTTTTTCCATATTGAGTTCATAAAGGATTGAAAAACAAGCAAATGAATCAGAGGAGTGGGAAAAAAAAACAGCCTATTTAGTAAAATTCGAGAACAGGATGTTTGATTCCAAGGCTATTCCCTTGAAACCCGCCTGGGAGGTCAGCTGATATCTCCTTCGAAGAGGCAGATAAATTCCTGCTCTGTGGTGGAGAGAAGGTGGGAGTGTGCATTCTAGATAGGCATCTGGATCATGAACTGAGAGGGAAAGGAGTGTTGATAAAAGAATATGTTAGCCTGTTCATTTTCTTCTTCTAATTTCATGTATCAGGCAACTGGTTCTTTTCAGTGGTGAGGAAAAAATGGGCAGGAGAGACTGAAGTGGGACTTCAAGGAGGTGCCCTCATGGAGACTCGATACCATGAACATGTGTTCTCCACAATCATAGGCATCTTCACGTGGAGTTCACACATGTGCTCCCTGAACCAGCATGTTTTGAATCCTTACTCTACAATAGCCACTTGACACTCATCACAAAGATGAGTAATATAGTCATTGCCCTCAAGTAACTTAAATTCTGTAGAGGAATATAAACAAGCCGACATTGTAGATTGTGATAAATGCCATTATTACGATTAATTCAGGACAATGTAGCAGTAAAAATAAATTGTATTTAAAGTATTTTTCTATGGAGGGTCATGTTCATGTACTAGTTAGTGGGAGGCATCTGGTCCTACTCTGATAATTCTAGGAATTTTGGTATAGTTTGATATTGAGATATAATACAGGAGAGAGAAGAGATAAATTGAACTGAATTAAAAACCAGCCTTCTATTTCAAGTAATGAAATTCACGTTTTCCTAAAAACAACGGAAGTACCTTAAATCATTTCAGCCATGTAAACAACATTATTAGATTTGTGTTCTTAGGAATGTCATACTGGCCCGAGTGTGTTAAAATAAATCAGATGAGAAAGGTCAAAAGGCACTAATATCATTATGAAATTTGCCCAAGCAATTCAAGTACAAAATCATAAAGGACTGAACTATGGTAGTAGCAACAGGAATGAGAAATGTGGCTAGATGTAGTTAACATGAACTTTTATTCTGCCAGGTATTTTTGAAGTTATTTTTTGTTGTCACTTTTGTTTACTAGGCCACCATTCTTTGCTGGTTCACTGTACTATATGTTATTTGTGCAAATAAAAGAACTTTCCTTTCTTGGTACAGGGATGGCCCCAAGTCCCCATATTGTTGAATCATTGAAATCAACCCCCTTGGCAACTATAGCTTGTCATATGTGTGGGCGTATATTCCAGGAGAAGCCAATTAGTGTCTTTATCATTGACATAAGAATATTGAGACAGAGGAGAAATGACAGGTAATTTGAACCCCGAAGAATGAAAAGAATAAGAAATCTTGTGTTGCTAAATATCAAGGCATATGGAGTATTTTATAAACAGATACAATCTGCCATATAAACATAGAAGTCAATAGTAAAATGAGAATGATAATATAGTCTCCATACAGTTGGACTTTGCAAAAGTTACACCAAACGCAAAACAAAACAAATAATAGCCCCACACAACATGTAAGATTTCACTGCATGAAATCTTTAAATGCACACATTACTGTGGCTCAAAAATACCCATTAGAATACTAAAAATAAAATACATCATTAGAAATAATAAAAGGAAGATTAGAAGCACAGATAAACTTCATCTTGAATATATTTTTTAAGATCTCTTAAAGGTTAATCAGAAAAGATAAAAATCTCCCCAGAAAAATGTGAACATGAGCAGAAGACATGATCATTCACAAATAAGAAATGTTCCAACTAAAAAGTAGGCAAAGCATCTGAACGGATTACTCCAAAAAACACATACAAACGGCCAAAAAAGTATATTTTAAAAGCTGAGCATCACTAATCATCAAGGAAATGCAAATCAAAACCATAATGAGATAGCATCTTCCCCCAGTTAGAATGGCTATTATCAATAAGACAAAAAAAATAACCAACACTGGTGAGGATGTGAAGAAAAGGAAACTCTTATACACCGTTGGTGGGAATGTAAATTAGTACAGCCATTATGAAAAACAGTATAAAGATTTCTCAAAAAACTGAAAACAGCACTTTGGGAGGCCGAGGCGAGCAGATCACGAGGTCAGGAGATCGAGACCTTCCTGGCTAACATGGTGAAACCCCACCTCTACTAAAAACAGAAAAATTAGCTGGGCGTGGTGGCGGGTACCTGTAGTCCCAGCTACTCCGGAGGCTGAGGCAGGACAATGGCGTGAACCCGGGAGGCGGAGCTTGCAGTGAGCAGAGATTGAGCCACTGCACTCCAGCCTGGGCGACAGAGCAAGACTCCGTTTCAAAACAAAAAAGAAAGTAGAACTACTATATGATCTAGCAATCCTGCTACTGTTTATCCAAAGAAAAGGAAATCAGGACATTGAGGAGCCATCTACACCCCCCATTTACTACATCATTATTCACAATAGCCATGATATTAAATCAACCTGTGTGTATATCAACAGATGAATGGATATAGAAAATGTAGTACATATACACAATGGACTATAATTAGCCATAAAAGAATGAAATCCACATTGTGCTATGTCATTCACAGCAACTTGGATGAGCCCAGAGGACATTAAGTAAAATAAGTCAGGCATAGGAACACAAATACGGCATGTTCTCGCTCATACATGGGAGCTGAAAAAAAAAAAATTAGCACATAGAAGTAGGGAGTACAATTGTGGGTTATTAGAAGCTGGGAAGCATAGCAGGAAGGGGAGGATGGGGAGCAGTTGGTTAATGGATGCGAAGTTAAAGCTAGATGGAAAGAATGAGTTCTCGTGTTGCATAGCACTGTAGGGTGTTGATAGTTAACATACTTTATTATATGTTTTCAAATAGCTAGAAGAGAGGATTTTGAATGTTCCAAACACAATGAAATGATCAATGTTTGAAGTGATGCATATACTAATTTCTCTGATTTGAAAATTAAACATTTTATAATTTTATACATGTATCAAAATAATACTATCTCATAAATATGTACAGGTGTTACATGTCAACCAAAAGTAAAAGAAAAAAGCAAAATATTGAATTTCATTAGAAAGGAAAGACTGCTAAATAAATGTAAAAATTAATGAGACATTTTGTGCATGAAGAAAGTAAAAAGTATATGTGGAAAAAATAACTAATAATCAGAATTAAAAGAATGGGCAAATAGTAGGAATCTAAATTGGCATAAATATTTTGAAGAATGAAATGTTAAGAATTCACCAACTGTTAGGAATTCATTCAACACATTTTGAAAACTCAAAATTTGGCATGTGTTTCAATTAATGTACTTTTCAAAGAAATTATGTGTAAAAAGTTAAAATAAGATTTTCTTTATAGAGAGGTATACTGTTGCAGTACATTAGTATCAAATTACAGTCAACACAAAGGTAAAGTTTTCTTCCATAAAATGAGATTCATTTAGTTAATTAAATATGATATATTGGGATATTTTCTGTATAATATAAAGTAGAGATACTTTTGGAAAGACATATTTTGTGAAATATTTACTTCTTGATATTATTCATACTCATATATCCTGTTCAGGAAATGCTAGTGAGTGGACCCATAATATATAAATTTCATCAACAGTTTCACCCTTCTTAATGATAATGAAAGGCCTGATAATTAAAGCAGCTAAAATATATCAGCAATAATATAGCATACACAAAGACATCACTGTTTCCTAAATTGCAGTATTTGAGCTAAAATCTAGCCAAAGGAACTTGGGTTTGATGGGTGCTCTGTTTCTGTGGCATCCTTTTTTCTTCATTTTCTCCTGCTTGTTTCATGTTGCCTGACTATTTAGTAAGACTATTTCAGATTTTTAAAAGAGGCATGTCCAGAGAGCCCTGATGGATGAGGGTGTGCTGCAATGATACCTGGGGAAGAAATGAGGAACACAGCCCTGATGCAGCAGCTGCACAGCCAGGGCTCAGGAAAGTAAATACTTGTGTGGATACAGCAGCAGCTAGAACTGCCTTGTGACACAAATGCAATTGTAATAATTTCACTTTTGAAGCCCACATTTGCTGCTTCTTAATGTAGAAATTTGCCATACTATGTATCTCTCTGACACAGAATTGCAACTGATGCCCCAGAATTAAGAGATTTGTGAATTATGAGAATTTCATTTTCGATTTTGGGAACACGTGCTCTGCCAAACCGGTGTGAGCTTAGAGTACTTTCCCCTCTAATCCTTTGGGTGATGTTTACTCAGCTTAGATAGTTTCCTCCCACATGTGTGCTGATCACTCATCAACTGAAAACCCGACACAGACACTGCAGACTTACAAATATTCCAACATAACTTTCAGTTGTAAAGTTGTCTAGAGTGGTGCACATTTCTGGCATGTTTTTATACCAATGACAGAAATCAATTCAGAGTTACTGGAAAATCATAACTGCAGAAAAGACTGTACACTCATCAGGTGAAGTCTGAGAGTTACCTAAGTCCTCATGTTAACCAGTTTTGCAACAGGAAAATCTGACACACTAAAAGGTGGAGTGACGAGTTAATATTATCAACCAGTAGCAAATTCACCTACTTTGTTCAGGTCATGTTGTAGAGAGGCTCTTAGTTACAAGTTCTGCTGATTTCCTTTTACATTGTATAAAACACATGTGCCTTATCATATAATATGCAAATTGCATTCTTAATGTAGAATTACAAAAACATGTGTTGCAATAGTGTTTATCTCAAAGTGCTCTAGTTTGTGAAAAACCTGCAGAAATGACCCCCTAACACTCACAGGAATACTACTTGAACGTTTACATTAAATCTTCTAGAAAAAAAGAACAGATGATAAACTAGACAATAAAGATATTTAAGGAAAGAATAACTTAAAGCACTATCCATATATATGTGTATATATATGTATATATATGTGTGTGTGTATATATACATATTCACATATAGGAATAATGAAGAAAATTGCACATAATGATTTAAGTTATAAACTTGCCTATTTTATTGTGGATTTGTATTGTGGATGTTCAACAAAAGGTCAAGAGTCCATGTATTAGTTATTGCTGTGTGGCAACCTTGGAGTCTTAGTGGTTTATGACAATACTTTTGTGTTTTACTCACAGGTCTCCATTGTCTGGAGTTTGCCTAATCATGTCTGAGCTCAGCTCTGCCTGCTTACCAACTGTGGGTTGGGGCCAGGTCTGCTCCCTCTGTGTCTTCGTGGTACTTGACACAGTGACTCTCCAGGGCTTGTTCTTCTCATAGCAGATAGTAGAAGTGCAAGAGGGAAAGCAAAGTAACATAAACATATTTAAATCTACTACTTTGTTTATGTTATGTCTCTTCATAATACATTGGTTAGAGAAAACTGCATATACAAGCTCTGCTTTCCTGGTATACGCCAAAATTAAATGACGAGAAAGCAAAGAATTAGGAACAACCATGTCATCTACCACATGAGAATATCTGGAGTGGTAGGAGTTCTGGTGATTTTATTCTTGCGTCTTGTTTTTAAGGGAATTTTGATTAGTAAGTTTCACAAGATTGAAAAATATTAAGGAGTTGAGCTACATCCCAATCCATATCATTCTGTTCCACAAATTCAGGCATTTTTAGAGTATGGTGTTGATTATATTTAATTCAGGCATTTTTAGAGTATGGTGTTGATTATATTTAATTCAGGCATTTTTAGAGTATGGTGTTGATTATATTTAATTCAGGCATTTTTAGAGTATGGTGTTGATTATATTTAATTCAGGCATTTTTAGAGTATGGTGTTGATTATATTTAATTCAGGCATTTTTAGAGTATGGTGTTGATTATATTTAATTCAGGCATTTTTAGAGTATGGTGTTGATTATATTTAATTCAGGCATTTTTAGAGTATGGTGTTGATTATATTTAATTCAGGCATTTTTAGAGTATGGTGTTGATTATATTTAATTCAGGCATTTTTAGAGTATGGTGTTGATTATATTTAGTACTCCTTAGCATCTTACCTTTTAGTTCAAATACCAAGGTTGTAAGAGACTGAGAAGACACTTAAATCACCCCAAAAATGCTTTAAATTACTCCATTATAAATTCTTAAGTGTCAATTCAGCTTTTATTTGAGAGGTAAGAGACTACACCTATATTTTTTTCTTACATATCTCCTAACGTGAAGTGATAAGCCATCACATCCACTTCTGTATATTAGCGGCATTATGCAGCATTAGCAATCCTTGTGAATAGAGTCAAATGAATCTAGAGTCCATGGTTTATTACACTGCTCAGATGCCTTAACAGCTCTATACTATGAAGTGCACAGAATAAGAATGCTAATGCTTACTCCAAATTGTTTTTGTGAAGAGTTTATGAGATCTCTTATGCCAAGTAGCTGACACAAAACACACTTAATTGATATTTTTAATATTAAACCCAAATTCTCTTTGACATTTAGGGAAGTCATAAAAGCTGAAATTCAAAATTATCTTGCTCATATAATTTTATATTTATACTTTTGCTGCTGAATATCATAATACTACCCATACAGAATTCAATGCTAAAACTAAAAAAAGAGCACTCCTTCCAGGGTGAAAATTTATATATTTATATAGATTATATTGAATATTATATATTCATGTTTAGAAAAATACAAGACAATCAACATCTGATTAATGGACATCTATGCCAAATGTTCAAAAATATATATTTTAAAAATACTACACTCAAGTGACTCAAAATCAAAACCGAGAAAGAAGAATTTTGAGTCGATTATATCTCTTAATGAAAATTAGTCACCTTTTTTAAACAAAAGGGGAAAAAATGATGTCTTATTAAAAACAAACTATTGGGGTAAAAATGTTCAATTAGTATAATTAGAACACAAAAATCAAAATGAAACAAATCCCTGAAATTATATATCCAATAAATAATAGATAATTTTCTGAGCATTCGACCAGGTAGTTCATTAACATAAAGAAGAACATGTAACTTGTGTATGATTAACTTTTTCAATTTTAAAATAAGTTTAGTACAAACCATATGTTTGCATTGCATTGATAAACAGCATACAATTGTCCTTTTTGGTTAGTGCATTTTTGGTTGTACATAGGATAGTTGCATCATGTTAGGAGAAACTATTACTTATCTTTATTTGCATTTAGTGGAAAACTCAGATGAGTGGACTGGACACTCAACACCGACACAATGAAAATTTCAGTTTTAAAATGAATTAGTTGTCTGCATTGGCATTTCTTTCAGTTGATGAAATTCCAAGTTTTTTAATGAATTAAAGCTACATTTGCCTGAAGAAACCAGTGAAGCTACTGGCTAATTAGAAAATAATTATGTGCAAGGTAGGTTAAGAAGACACTTATGCAATGATGTTGCTGTTTGAGCACCAATATTGTTTCTACCAAATTTGTGTCCTGTAGATAAGAGCATGCAGAAGGATTTCTATTCACCAAAAACAACATAGAAGCATGGCAAATAATACGGTGAAATTTAATAGGGAATGCCCATGTCAGTGTATCCTGGAATTCCATAAAGAGTAGCATCACATAGAAAATGCATGTGAACATATTCTCCATGGAGAGCCATGCCTCAAAAGAAAAATAGCAGCTATTCATCATGATGCAAGGCTTCAAAAATCATTAATGATCGTGAAAGTCGGCCAGCTGTCATGGACAACCTTCACACAATTGCTTATAATCTATTCCTATAATATACTTTTTCACATGTTGAATTTTCTTTTTAGCCTTTTTTTAGTTTTTATCTTTTTTATTTTTCTTTTCTTAGTTTTTTTGTCCCACTATTTTAAATTGGCTACATTATATTTTATAACTCACTATGCTATGCATTTCATCTTTGCCTTATTTCTATACTGGATGCACAAATTGTGTAAAGACTTTTAGAGAGTTCTAATTTGTTTTATGCATTTTTTTGCATAATGTGGACTTTGTGTGTGAGCATTGTATATATATGTATTAAGGCATTGAAACTTACTCAATAAATGAAGAAATGTCTTTGTACATCCGCATTTGTGACAGATAAACTTTTTGAGATCTCAACTCTTTGGATGATTGCATATGCAGTGGAGACCCATTGCAGTTTTTGATCAATCTTGTCAAAAAACAGGTTGTCCACCATGGTACTTCAGATATGACAAAGTTATAAAGCTGGGTGCACACAATTGTCAACCACAGTGATATTTACACATTTTTCTTTTTGACCTATTTCTTTATGAATAGAGTTCAAAATAACAGTTATCTGCTCATAACTGTTATACCAGTGTGACTCATTAATATACCTAAGTGTTTATGCTTGCAGAGATACGTATGGTTATTATTGCCTGTTTTATTGTGTAAAGGGGATTATGAAGTGTTCTGCCATGTCTTTATATGTTTGTTAAATAAATCTTTAAAAATGTAAATGTTTTTGAATAATTTTTAAAATAATTTTTTCCAGAATTATATTTTGGGGATTTTCATCTCTCAGGATTTCAACATTTGGGACTATGGCATTTGAGATTTTGTCCTTCAGGATTATAATTGGCTTTCTTTTTAATGTTTCAATACTGGTAGAGCAATATGTCTTCTAGTTCGTTTTATCTTTCCTAATTGCCTGGCAATGATTAGTCTTCAAAATTTATGATGTTTTCAACTATTTTTAATTATATAATTTTCATGGTAATTTATTTAAATTTAGGAAAAATGCTTAAAATATTTCATCATTGAAATGAAAATATTATTATTTATGCATTTTTTCACCCTGTGAACATTTTCCTATGATTATGTATGTTGCCCATTTGTTTTGCTAACTTTATTTTTATTTACACTGTAGTTATTATTGTGAATGGGATTTTTATTATTGACCTATGTTTATTATACATGAGAAGGTTATAGATTTAGAGCATTATATTTTGTAAAAATACTAATTACCGCATGTTTCCATGTTTATATTTTATTGATTTGCCATCATTTTAAAATACAGCCATGCCTCATTGTGTTCTGCTTCATTTTATTGCACTTTGCAGATAAGTGCATTTTTTACTAATTGAAGGTTTATAGCAACCCTGGATACAGCATGTCTATGGGCAGCATTTTTCCAACAGCAGGTGCTCTCTCCACATCTCGGTATCACATTTTCCTAATTATCACAAGATTTTAATATTTTTACTATTATTTTATCTGTTATGCTGATCTGTGATCAATGATCACTGATGTTACTATTGTAATTATTTTGGGACCTAATGAACCATGCCCACATAACATGGCAAACTTCAATGATAACTGTTGTTGTGTTCTGACTGCTCCACAGACCGACCATTTTCTGGTCTGTCTACCTCACCTCAAGCCTCCCTATTCCTTAAGACACAACAATATTCTAGTTAAGCCAATTAGTAACTCTACAATGGCCTCTACGTATTCGAATGAAAGGAAGCAGGACTCTCACTTTAAATCAAATGCTAGAAATGATTTGGGAGGAAGGCATTTTCAAAGCCAAAATAGGCTGTAAGCTAGACCTCTTGCACCAAACAGCTAACCAAGTTGTGAATGCAAAGGAAAACTTCATGAAGAAAATGAAAAGTGCTACTTCAGTTAACACACAAAGAAAAAACCATCTTATTGCTGATATTGAAAGTTTTAATGGCTTGGTTAGAAAAATCAAACCAGACATAACATTCCTTCAAACCAATGCCTAATCCAGATCAAGGCTCTTTTGAAGTCTATGAAGGCTGAGAAAGGTCAGCAAACTGCAGAAGAAAAGTTTGCAGCTAGCAGAGGTTGGTTCATGCAGTTTAAGGAAAGGATGGGTAAGTGCAAAATGAAGCTACAAGCGTTGATATAGAAGCAGCAGCAAGTTATCCAGAAAATCTAGCTAAGAGCATTGATGAGCGTGGCTCCATAAAACAACAGGTTTTCAATGTGGACAAAACAGCTTTCTCTTGGAAAAGACACCACTAGGACTTTCATAGATAGAACGGAGAAGTGAATGGCTGGCTTCAACGCTTCAAAGGCCAGGCTGACTCTTGTTAGGGGCTAATGCAGCTGGTGACTTTAAATGGAAGCCAATACTCATTTACCATTCTAAAAATCATAAGGCCTTTAAGAATTTCCCAAATCTTCTCTGCCTATGCTCTATAAATGGAACAACAAAAGCTGGATGATACCACATCTGTTTATAGCATGGTTTTCTGAATATTTTTAAGGCCATTGTTAAGACCTACTATTTAGAGGAAAAAAAAAGATTATTTACAAAATATTACTACTCATTGGCAATGCATCATGTCATCCAAGAGCCCTAATGGAAATATACAAGAAGATTACTGTTGCCTTAATTCCTGCAAAAACAACAACCATCCTGTAGCCCATGGATCAATGAGAAATTTCATCTTCCAAGTCTTATTATTTATGAAATACATTTTGTAAGGCTATAGCTGCGATTGATAGTGATCCCTCTGATGGGTCTTGGCAAAACAAATTGAAAACCTTCTATAAAACCCAGACAAGTGGCCAAGAAACATATGAAAACAATGCTCAACATCACTGATCATCAGAAAAATGCAAATCAAAACCACGGTGAGATACCATCTCATACTAGTTAGAATGGCTTTTATTAAAAAGTCAAAACATAGCAGATGTTGGCAAGGCTGCAGAGAAAAGGGAATGATTATACACTGTTGATGGGAATGTAAATTAGTTCAGCCACTGTGGAAAGCAGTTTGGAGGTTTCTCAAAGAGTTTAAAAAAGAACTACGATTCTGCCCAGCAATCCCATTGCTGAGTATATACCCAAGGAAAAACAAATCATTATACCAAAAAGACACATGCATACATATGTTCACTGCAGTACTATTCACAATAGCAAAGACATGAACTCAACCTAGGATTGGTCATATACACTATGGAACACTATGCAGCCATAAAAAAGAATGACATCATGTCCTTTGCAGCAACATGGATGCAGTGACAGACCCATATCCCAAGCAAATTAATGCATAAACAGAAAACCAAATACTGTGTGTTCTCACTTATAAATGGGAGCTAAATATTGGGTACACATGGACATAAAGATGGTGACAATAAACACTAGGAATTTATTGAGGTGCGGGAGAGGAAGGGAGCCAAGGTTTGAAAAACTATTGATTGAGTAATATGCCCATTACCTGGGTGATGGGATCAATTTTACCCTAAACTGCATCACACAATACACCCATGTAACAAACCTGCACATCTACCCATTAAATCTAGACTAAAAGTTGGATTTTTTTAAAAAATGAAAATCTACACCATGAATCTAAAGTAGAACTTTTTTAAAAAAGGAAAAATATATCCTTAAAAAAAAGAGTTTACCATTCTAGATGCCATATCAACATAAACAGGAGTTTGGAAGAAGCTGATTCCAACCCTCGTGTATGACTTTGAGAGGTCTAATATTTCAGTGGAGGAAGTAACTTCAGGTGTGGTGGAAGTAGCAAGAAAACTGGAATTAGAAGTTGAGACTAAAGATGTGATGGAACTACTGAGTCTTATGATAAAGATTTAATAGATGAAATGTTGCTTCTTATGGATAAGCAAAGAAAGTGATTACTTGAGAATAAATCTACCCCTGGTGAAGACACTGTAAACATTGTTGAAATTATAACTAAAAAATGATTATTACATAAACTTAGTTGATAAAGCAGTAGCAGGGTTTCAGAGGATTGACTACAATTTTGAAAGAAGTCTTTTGTGGGTAAAATGCTATTAAACAGCATCACATGCTACAGAGGAATCTTTCGTGAAAGGAAGAGCCAAACAATGCAGCAAACTTCCTAGTTATCTTATGATAAGATATTGCCACAGCCACCCGAGCTTTCAGCAACTACCACCCTGATTGGTCAGCAACCACCAACATTGAGGCAAGACCCTCAGCTAGCAAAAGGATTACAACTCTCTGGAGGCTCAGATGATTATCAGCATTACTTAGCAATAAACAATTTTTAATTAAGGCATGCAAATTGCTTTTAGAAATAATGTCATTGCACACTTCAAAGACAGAAGTATAGTGTAAACAATACTTTTGTATGAACAGAAAAACCAAAAAAAACGTAACTCACAGTAAAGTTTGTGGGGTTTTTTTTGTTTTTTGTTTTTTTGTTTTTTTTTTGGACAGAGTTTGCTCTGCTGCCCAGGCTAGAACAGGGGCATGATCTTGGCTCACTACAACCTCCACCTCCTGGGTTCAAGCAATTCTCCTGCCTCAACCTCCCGAGTAGTTGGGACCATAAGCATGCACCACCATGCCCGGCTAATTTTTGTATTTTCAGTAGAGACACTGTTTCATCATGTTAGCCAGGCTGATCTTGAACTCCTGACATCAGATGATCTGCCCACCTCAGCCTCCCAAAGTGCTGAGATTACAGGCGTGAGCCACCACACCAGGCCACTGTAATGTATTTTTAATTAAGGTACATACATTGGTTTTCAAACCAAATTCTATTGCACACAATAGACTACAGGGTAGTGTAAACATGACTTTTATATGCACCGAGGAACCAACAACTTCCTGTGACTCTCTTTACTGCAATATTCGCTTCATTGTGTTCAAACCCATAACATTTCCAAGGTACTCCTGTATGTGTTATATTTATTTTTTGTCATTCATATGTCTACTTGAATTGGTGAGAAATTTCATAACACCATTAAAGGTTTTACAAAGACCAGGAAACCTCCATCTTCCTCCTGCTCCTGTATCTGCATGCTTCTCACGGCTCAACATTAAGCCTTCTGCACTTTGGCCTGCACTCCCAGCTTGCTAAGAAAGTATTCCTCAGTTCACATGTTAGTGGATTACTTTGTCAGAAAGACCTTTTTGGCACCAGTAAAAATTTTTATATATTTCTTATTTTGACCAGTTGACATTATAAGATATATTTAGTTAATTTTGTAGTTCTAAACCATTTCTATCATTCTTTATCTTAAAAGAATAAGTCCTATTTGTTTGGGTGTATTATTCATGTGATGTTTTACTTGATTCTATGTGTTAATGTTTTATTTACAACTTTGTATCAATATTTATAAGTAAAATATTCTCTATGTGCTCTCCTTGCCAGCACAGCACTGCTTTATAAATATATTGAGAAGCTATCTTTTTCCTGTGTGCTGTTGAACTACGCAAACACCATGGGAGTTATCGATTTCATTTAATTTGCAAGAATTTACTCATAAAACCATCTGATTATGGCGAATTTCAGAGGAGAAGCTGTTTGAAAGAGTTATTTTTATTTTTAACAGATCTCGATCTACTTATATTTTCTATATATCTTTGATCCATTTTCCTTAAAATTCATGTCTTTTTGTGCATTTATTAGGAAGCTAATATTTTGCTATCCATTCTTTATTAAAGAGTATTTACTTTGCTTTTTTAAATCAATAATTTATTGAACACAAGTCAAGTGCCAGTCACTCTGCTGAATGCCGAGCACTGAGTGCTGACTATGGAAAATAAGGTCTGTGCCTTCGTGGCATGTACATTGTAGACCATCAAGAAAAACGGGAAAAAGCAAATGCAGAGCAAAGGAAAGCCAGCAGTGATGGAGAATCATTGCAGAATGCTCTATTGGGAAGGACGGCCAGGGACACTTCTCCAATTAGGTGATATTTTACCCAACCACTAAGAATAGGTGAAGAAAAACATCAAAGGAAAAGGAATAATATGTACATTTTCAATGAAAAAGGTTGAGATTTTTATTAATCGAAGAAAATTCTAATCAATCCATAAATAGTCTTGAGTGACAAGGACAATGTGAACAGCTCATCAATAAAGGGCCTCTGTTATTTGACTACCTCTTACACGTTGAACGTTCCAGGTTTCCTTAACCTCCAAGTCCCATAATCACACCTTTTAAACAAGACATGATTCATTCATACTCCAGTTCCAGAGTTAAAAGTATGTATTCAAGCATTTAGCTCCGTCTTACTGTCCTTCAGCTTTCCTGTGAATACCCCGACTATGATAAGTTTTAAACCATACTGGTTATAGCAGACCAAGTATTGCATTACTTTCCTCACTTTTTTATTCAACTTACATTTCTCATGAGCAGACAGGATGAAGTCTCAGGAAACATACTACAGTGTCAATATACTGTTAGATGCACAGTGATACATGTTTCCATTGATGATCTTACAGCTTAACATCATCATGCTGGTGCCCCTGCTGCTATTCTACCTTCATTACCTGGCCAGGCAATTAGTTCAAAGTAGACATTGAAAATTGAAACACGACTGTTTTTAGAACACCTAATTTTCTCGTGAATTTCTACAATATCAATCAAATTCAATGCCTTAAGTAGTAAAAACTGCCAAACAAGATTACTTTTTCATTGAAGCATTTTCTTAAAATACACATCTCTAGATGCCATGTTTTTTTCCCTTCTTACAATTAATTTATGTACATTGGGGATCTTTATGGTAGGGATTCTGTAGGCTTTTACATTATTTGAAATCCTTCAAACTCTTTCTGTACTGAATTTGTTCATATGGGTTTGTTCAATTTTCTGCTTTTTCTTCAGTGCTATTACATTTGACACATGTTGAGAGAGCTATGTATATGTGTGTGTGTGTGTGTGTGTGTGTGTGTGTGTGTGTGGATTGAATGTAGTATCAGTGAGAAAAGGGCCTTAAGACCATTTTTAGAAGCATCAACTCTTTTCTATAGAAAATAGATTCACAACCAACTTAGGACACACTAAACCATTATCCTTTATATTGTTCTTGGAGCTCAAGGCAAATTATACTTAGTGTGACGGTAAATGTTATCCCTCCTGATAAGCAATAATTTATTAATAAACCCAACAGGATTTTACCATCACAGGTGACTACGCTAATGAGTCAGGTAGCTAGTCATTAAATGTGAACACATTTTTCCACTTCTAATGAAATAGAAGGAGCAAGTGAAAACCAATGTAGCAATCACTGGGAAAAAGCACTGCCTTTATAAGCCTTTGATGTCAATTATGAAATACAAAAAAGGAGCAGGTGCAAAGAGTTGTTTTGCCCAGTTACTCATGCATATCCAGTGCTATTCACACTTCCATTTACTCGATGGAGTTGTTGATTATTGCATTCTTGCTTGGATGGGAGGAACACGACAATCTCAGAACAGTGTCCTGGGAACAGAGACTAACAGCAGGTGGAGGCAGCCAACTCCTGTCACATTGGATGTCATCAGTGCCAAAAATTTTAACAAAGAATTATTTGTGACTAATTTATTTTCTAGAGAGACTCTTTTATTATCTTTTCTCTGTCTTGCAATGAAGTCTTTTATTAATTATCTTTTCTCTGTCTTGCAATGAAGTGCAAGTGTTTGAAGATGGCCTTGAGAACTGTTTGCAATTAATTAAAATATACTTTACTCCAGAGTGGTTTTTTTCTACCTGCTTGAAGCCAGATGTCATTATAAAAGAGCCACATGTGAGGAGCTGTGTTCCAGATTCAAAATCATCAAAAATCTATCTTCTCTGTTTACGTAAGAAATAAGAAGAGCTTTTTTCTTTAATAAATCAGAATTAAAGATACATTGTTACATTTATAGTTTGAGGAATTTTAAAATATTTGTGTCTGAGGTAGGAAAGAGTTTATGAAGTAGACAGATAGGTACTTTTAAAAGTAGGACTATATTTATAATAAAAGTATATATTTGTTTATAATAAAAGCCATCTTCTTTGAAAACTTAATTTTATTTCTGTTGAGGTTTATTCTATTAACTTCTTTGTCCATAAAAAGGATATGCTTATCATACTTGTACCTTATATTTCATTCTATGGGAAAAGTCTATTAGGTGGAGCCAAGCATATTCGCACAACAAATGTAGTTATATAACTCTCCAACATATGGTTATTTTTTATCAAAATAAATTTGAATTCAGGCAATTAAATATTTTTTAGTCTTCATTACTCACTGAAAAGTACGTTCACATTTTGCCATTATTTCTCACCTTTTCTCTTTATACTTTTCACTGTGTTCTTCGACATAGGGACGGTGAACTTGATAGAGATAGGAAGAAGATTTCTAAAGTTGTCATTCAGAGAAATGATGAATATACTCTTGAGTGACCGAATGTGGCTCAACTTTGGTTCAGAGCTACTTTACAATCTACCTGTATCATAAACAGAGGATTTTATCATCACATATAAAATACTGCCTTAACAAGGTTCACTTGGAATAATTTACTCAAGAGATGGCGAGAGCTCAAGGCAGGGTCTTGGCTTCTGGGAAGGTGGAAAAGAGACAGTCGAGAAGGGATGTTGAGATGATCTGATAGACTGAGCAAGTGGTTTACGATAATTATTATCTCATTGTTGGGTGACAGAGTGGATAAAAATGACACTTAGGAAATGTTAGACAAGAGGGAAATGCCCGTTGCAGAGATGGTGTGGAGAAGATGAGACAATTTTAAAACAGTGGACTCATTTTGGAACATATTTTTTCTATATCATAAGACAACCAAAGATGTCCAGCAGGAATTTACATTGCATATCACTTTTCTAGTTGTGTTTTTTTTATCAGATATTTTTCAGATTTTCTCCCTCCCCCTGCTCCTCTGAAAATGTCATCAGGACCCCCTGCTGATGGTCCTAGGAGAAAAGTATGGCAGCCATGTGTCCTCCAAGTCCCTGCTCTTCTCAAGGGGCTGCATCACAGCTCTGCTGCGAGGGCTGGTGCTTGTGCAGTCTGTATTCTGAAATGTCCTGTCTGGATGTTGGGGGTCATGTGTAGGCACTAGAGCTAGGCATTGAGAACAGTCGCCTTGCCACCCTGTACCCCACGGCAGCCCAGTCAGCATCCTCCAACAAGTCCCTGACCTTCTAGTCTATAGAATCTGTGCCCATGGGGACCTCTTGTCGTGTGTGTAGTGACAAGTGCTATCTCTGTTCAGGGACCTCAATGTCCTCCCTTTCATCCTCCTGCACAACTTCTTCTACCCTCTCGTGCCAAGCTGGATATGTTAATTAGCAGTTGATGGAGTTTGAGAGTCCCTTTTCTTTTCCAGAACAAAGCCTATGTTTCAAACTTTACTACTATTATTTATTAAAATTCAAGAAAATTATTTGTGAAATTTTAAGCTAATCACTGAATTTTATATGGGTTCCAGGGGATGCCCACTCATTGTCTGAGAAAAAGATTCTTGGAGGTAAATGCTGCTGAAGAACATGTTTACAGGGGAAAATAAAAGTATATATATGAAATATATCTAATCACCATCCTTATTTTACACCAAGAAATATGGAATACATTGTCTATCTTAAGGACTTTAAACTGCATTTGGGTTCGTAAGACTTAAAAAAAAACTGGATGGATGAGACCACAAGCTACTTCTTGCAGATGATACTATACAGCTGTAGACAATGAAGCATGTGCTACAGATATTCAAGATGGAGGCTGCATTTCTTATTTCTGCTGTAAAAAATTAGCACAACTTTAGTGGCTAGAACAAAATGAATTTGTTATCTTATAATTCTGGAGGTCAGAAATGTGAAATCAGTTTTATTGGACTAATGTCAGGATGTTGGCAGGGCTGATTCCCTCTGGAAGCTCTAGGGAAAAATTCATTGCCTTGCCTTTTTCTAGCATCTAGAGGTTGCCCACATTCTTTGGCTCACGGTCTCGTCCTACAACTTCAAAACCAGATGCATAGCATAACTCTCTGTTCTCACTTCCGTTTTCATCCTAACATCTTCTCTTTCCAACTCTGCTTCTTCTGCCTTCTTTGCATAAGGAAACTTATGATAACAACAGACCCACACAAATAATCCAGGATAATCACACTACCTCAAAATTATTCATTTCATCAACTGCAAAGTCCCATTTATCCTGTAAATAACATATTCATAGGTTCCAGGACATAGATAGCTTTACGTGGAGTGAGCATTACTCACCAAAGTCCAGATTCATGGACATTTTTAATATTTGAAAAAACATTTATTTTTCTTGCCAACTAGTAATTTTTGCTTTTACTGTAAGTAATTTTAATGTTTGACATTAAAATTTGCCCAAGATAATTTTCAAGAAAATAGAATCAACCTATTTATATTTTTGGCTCATTTATCTATTATATTTGAAATTTGATTTTTGATTAGTAGGTGCTCTATGCATTTTGAATTCTAACCCATAGTTTGTCATGTTGGTTGCAAATAACTTTCCCCACTCTGGTCTGTAAATTTATAGTATCTTTGTACAGCATCTTTTTAAAAGTGTAATATGGTAAACTTTTTATGATTGTCACCCCCTCCTCAAATTTTAATAACTCATTTCAATATTTGAAACCTCACTTTTGGCTGCCACAGTGCTAGGGATTTCAAGCACATTATCCCTGTTTATCACTGTAGAAACTACGTGGAGCATATCCTATCCTCAGATGAGTCTCTGAATCACCCAGTGGTTACACAATTTGCTCAAGATCACAGAGGCAGGAAGTAAAGCAGTTGTGAATTAAGGCAGAATTCAGAAAATTAGTTGCTTAACTAAGATGACTTTAGTTTATTAACTTTCTCATAATGAGAAGTCCATTAGAAGTCAGCTACAGCTGTATGAATCCACACAGGACCATGAACACAATGGCCCTTGGCTTTCCACTCTCAGCCTTGGGGTGGGGCTCAAACCTTCATGACTTGAGCGTGGCAGCTGCCCCTCCACTACTCTGTGCATGGGAACAAGACCTTTGAGTCAGCCTCTCCCTGAGTCAATAAATTTTCCCCAAATTCTTAAGCATTAATAAATTATTTCCATATGCCTTATTGGGAAGGAATGTTTTTATTGCTGCTGCTATTGCTGTTGGTTGGTTGATTTTTTTAAACTGGTACTTCGCTGTTACCAGTAACAGAAGAGTTTAGTAACACAAAGGAGGATATGGAACATGCAACAGCCTGAAAAAATCAATTCCAGATTTTTACAATTACAGAGATTTTGTTCCCTTACACTGTAAAGCTGAAGAGTTGATAAACCCCCTTTAATTTAAAACTTAGAAAATATTCATTGTCAAACTGATCAGAGTTGTAAGTTTACTTTCTCACACCTATGTAGTTTTGCACTTATTTCCAAATTTCTAATTTGCTTTTCCCAGTCATTTAATTGCTTCCAACCATACTACATCTGCATGTAATTAATATAAAAAATGAAGTTTGAAAAATTAAGTAAATTGAAATAAATTCGATACATTAAAGTCACCTTAACTCACCTCCACAGCCACAAAGCTTCTCTAGAGCTGTAAACAATTAAAAATTGCCTCTCACCACTCTATCATCTGTTCAGGAAATTATAGGTCAGGGTATCCTTTTGTTCTTTACATTAAAATATCAGATTCCTTAGGGGTTCATTACTGTCCCATCTTTTTCCCTAGGTAATCTCCTAGGAATACATTCCCACAATTAAATTCTAAGAATATGCTAATAGAATACTAATTCATTTGAAGCCTCTTCCTCTAACTTTCATGAGTCATACTTCCACCACCTCACTGATATGAACATTCAGATGTTTTATACGCTTACCCGATTTGTGAGGTCCAACTCTGAAATCCTGATGATACACCCCAAATGATGCTTCCAGTTTCCACGCACATTTTTTTCAAGTAAATATCCAGGTATGTTTACTGATACCTCCCTCTCCATCAATGGTCACATTTAATTCATCACCACCTTTATTTAATCCAGTCTACTGGGCAATAACTTGAGGCTCTATGGCAAGACTGGTAAGGTTCCATACACTTGTGCTTCTTTCAAAACCTTTGTAAACTCTGCATTTCAGATACTGAGTTTTAGAGGCTTTAGCATATAGACACACACGTGCCCACAGATCTGCATGTGCACATGAGGACTCTCAAGCAGGGACCCTCATAATTCTTCAGAGTTTCCATGAGAACTACTGCCTTTGTGCTAAGTCCCATCTCATCTTTGCCAAACATGCTACAAAGTGGCTGTCACTCAAACAGTGGCTCTCTGCAAAGCCAGTGCAGTCAGCCTCAGACTCCTAAGGTCAGTGATTCCTGACCCAAAGCACGGGGAGAAGTTAGTGCACTTCTCTGAGGTCCATCCCTTGTTACCAAAACATCAGGGGTTTGGTCTAGGCCTTTCTGCTTCCCACACAGAAAGCCAATCACTGAGACAACCATTATTGCCAAGGAAGAAGACTTTAATCAGGTGCTGTAGCCAAGTAGATGGGAGATTATCCTGAAATCCATCTCCCCGATGGACTAAAATTAGAGGTTTATGTAGCAGAAAATAACTACATGCAGGAAAACAGAAATTAGGAAGGGGTTAGGAGAAGGAGTTGGTCAACAGGAAGCAGATGATCACTTTGGCAGCCATGATGGGTGAGGGTTCTGACATCTCATTGTCCAAAGGCAGTGATCTGGTGAGTTTCCTTGCTATTATCTGGGAGGGCTTCTGGTTGGTAACTTACCTGAGAAAGTAACTCAGATAAGACAAATGTAACTTTTAAAACTAGAAGGGTTAATTTCTATGCTTATTCAAAAGACACTATAAACATCAGTTCTATGGGACAATTGGCTCTACTTCACCCTCAACAAAGGCCTATCATGCTTGTGGCCTCAGCAGCTATATGATGTTTTTATAGAGATGAGTCTGATCTGTTGTGTGGCTTTTCTAGTTCTACCTGGGGGTGTCGGTGGATCCCAGGTTACTCCTTATCTTGGAGAGGAAGAACAGCCTCATTATAAAAATATTAACTTACACTTTCCTCTGTTAACCTATTTTTAGTGTTTATGGTATACCTCAACATTACTTGAATAGATGATATAAATTAAGTTTTTATGTCATACTTTAAAGGGTAAATTATTCTAAAAATAAATACTAAAATTTTTATCTTTTACAAAAAAGTTACTATAAATACATTTAAAACTAGTTTATTTAAAAATACAGTGAATGACTACTAGTGCTAAAATGTTTTCAATACATTAATTTTTCTTAGGAAATACCGGAATCTTTCTCATTTTTTTTTAGTAAATTATATGTCATACCATGAATTTGATATGTATTGTGTCATACCATGAATATTGATATGTATTGTCATGAAGCATATCTCAATGGCTCAAGAAAATGATTTAAATCAGATAGAATTTATTTTTGTCTTTTTTAAGTGTCAATTAGTAGATATATACATAAATCTGTGAAAATAGATTTTGAAAGTCTAACATGACTTATATGTTTATGAAGTAATATAATTCTGAACTGGTACTGAAATTTAAATTTCTCATATAATGCTAAACAGAATATGCATTCTTTTCTAGCTCCTTAAGGATTAGATTAGGAGAATCTTGCTTAAATTACCTTTCTCACACAGATCAGTAAACTATAATGTTAACTTCTGCAACATAAGCTTGGAAATTATAAGAAACTCATCACAAAGTTGTAAAAATTACAAGAAATAAAACCTTAAAAACTTCAAACACAGTACACTGTAGTAGGTCAATAAATGTTTCTGTTCATATTGACATGCCCAAAAAGGAAGAGGAAGAAGATAGCAATATCCTTGTGCTGTGCTTAAGTGAAGAAGCCTAAAAGTGGGTCACAGGAGCAAAGAATAAAAGAAATGAAACACACACACACACACACACACACACACACACACACTCACACTCATGCAAACCACTGGGTTAGTCTATTCTGCATTGCTATAAAGGAATAGCCAGAGGCTGGGTGATTTATAAATAAAATAATTTTATTTGGCTCAAGGTTCTCCAAGTTGTACAAGCACGGTACCAGCATCTACTCAGCTTCTGGTGGGGCCTCAGGAAGCTTTTAGTCATGGTAGAAGGGAAGGGGAGCTGGTGTGTCACGTGGCGAGAGAGGGAACAAGTGAGAGAGGGAAGGAGGTACCAGGCTGTATTTAACAACCAACTCTCAAGTGAACTCAGAGCAAGAACTAACTCATCACCGTGGGGAGGGCACCAGACCCTTCATGAGCCAAACGCCTCCCTCCAGATCCCTTTCAACACTGGGGATCACATTTCGCCATGAGATTTGGAGGGGACAAACATCCAACCCATATCACGCACACACATACAATATGTTACATTTTATTCCTAAGCTTCCCAATCCTAACCTACCAGCTCATTTCCAGAAATCACCTTGAAAATTGCTCTTTTACCAACTAAATCAATTATTGACAATTAATTATATTTGTAAAAAAAAGGCAAGATAAATGTAGACATTTCTCAGTTACATTAAAATATCTATGAGTTAAAATGTAATTTTAAAACTTGAGTAAAATCTAGAATTCATGGGGAAAATGGTTGTTTTTTTCAAAAGGGAAGGAGCTAAAGGGAAAAAATATGTTTTTTTATAGAAATAAAGATATCCTTTTATAAAATTTAATTCCTTAGACCCTATTTTGTGTTACCATGTAATTTTTGTTAATATTACAATTTTTAAATTTCTTTCAGGACTTAAATGTCACGTCATGCTCTAGAAAGACATAAATGTCATGACACTCTCTCGAAAAGTGAGTTCACATAATATGTAAAAATTAACATGCAGCAGAGCTGTTTAATTTTATGTTGCTGGCATAACAAATATACTGTTTATTTTCCTTTCCATTGTTGATTTAAAATATTTAATCAGTTATTCTCTTATGAATGCTACAGCTCGTATCACCTTTGGATGCTTTGAAATCACATAATAACTGTTACTTGGCTTTCACCTTACTATTAAAGCAAAAGATGGCCCAGAACTGGCCCTTTCCAGAGAGAGTGGTGTCCCCAGCCACCTTCTGTCAAATATATTACTTTCCAATCCATGATAAAGGAGAGAGAATGGCAAAGACAGTAATATTGGGAGAGACAGAATATATTAGTCTTGATCTTGAACATACCAGAGAGATACCTGTTCACCTCGTGGTCAGGAAGATAGCCCTAGCTCATCCTATGGTACACTCTCACTGTACTATATATCAGAATTCTAAATTATATAAAAAAAAGTTCATGCCATACAGAGGGAGAAAGCCTACAGTGTCCTCATTTCTTTTAATCCCATCTTTCCCAGGGGATTTTAGCTGACTCTAAGCTCTAGAGTCATGTTCACTCACAGATGTATTCTTATTCAACAATAACAAGAGGTGGGGCAGCCCTGGAGCAGATATTTGACCATTAATTCTATTATGTCTCAGAAAAATGTTGGCTATTTTTTAAATTGCCAACCTGTTCCTTTCTCAAAAGGAAAAGAAGCATCAGAAATGTATCTTTTTTTATCATCTTGCTGTACTTGTTGTGTACTCTTGTAAATTTATTACAGAAAATAAGAACAATTTCACTGCTGATTACAACAGGAATGCGTAATGTTACCACTTTCTCCATTTTTCTGTCTACACGCTAACAGAGTGGTTTTGTGAATAAAGGCAAGAGGAAGTGCAGGTAGACTGTCTTGGGAGTTACAGGATTAATACATGGTACATGCCAGTCCCCTTCTCTCTGTGAGCTAAAAGCATCTTGTGTTCTTCCACCTACAGAACTGGGTTAAAAGATACTCTCCTGACAAAGTCAAGGATGCATATAAAATCTCACTGTTCATATAAAATAACTCTTCTACATAATTCACATTTTTCTTCACAATATTAAATAAATATTAACCTTTACATATGGTGGATGGTATTATACTTCTTCACCTTTTAAATATTTGATTTTGTTCCATCTACAACACTCCTGAGAATACATTATTAATGAAAATTGCAGCCAAAAATTTCTTAGAAATTATTCTATAATCTCTATAACATTTTGCTGCATATTAGGATTAAGTCATAAAACAGATTTTTATGAGAAATTTATTTTGTGAGGCACAGTTTTTTAATGCTGTTCCATAATCATTTTAGGGTGATATTTTTCAAGACACAGACTTTCTGAAACTCAGCCATCTACAAGCTTTCCAGACTACCAGGACACAGTGAAAATAGTAAGGAACACTCGTCTCTTCTTTGCAGCAAACTGGCAAAGGCAAAAGGCAGCCAATGCAGAAGAACAATGAATTCTCAACTCTCTTGGGTGTTTTTAGGAATCTAGACAAGAATCTGTTGAAGAACTACCTAGTAAGAATTCACTGCTGCACCTGAACACTTGCTCTGAGTATAGGTACAACTTACTTCTGTGGGTTGTAGGAACCTGATGGACAGATGCAAGCTAGCCCAAGATTTCAGTCACTGTTGCTGCTAAGGACAGCCTCCTATGGAGCTGTCCTAAAAAAAATAACTCTGTGTAGATTTCAGGACCTCCAACATTTCATTGTAGAATGTTTCTAGGTAGTTTGCAGATTTTAGTAAGCTTCCTAGAGGAACAGCACACTCAAGAGTGCACTCACAACAGCAAGAATGTTCTGTCTTTGAAAAATAATCTCAGGAAACTCAGAAATTTCAAATTTTGCTACTCAAGCTTGCAGTAACTTTTGTCATTGGTCATTTTCTGTCACTAATTACCAAGGCTTATGAGACAGGAGGCAGGTAGAGGCTGGTTAGGCAGATGGAGAGGGAGGGTCTGGGAAGAGACAACACTTGCAAGACCGCACCTGCATTGCCCGTTATGTAGCATGCCCCATAATGCTAAGTTGGAACCCCTTTCTATACAACGTTAATAAGCAGTTTTACATTTCTAACCAGATATAACTTGTTTTGTAGCTAGCAGGAGGAAATATGACTAAGAACTTCCTTTTATACCAAGATCTCTGCTTAAAAGGGACTTTCCAGCCACCCACACAGGTGCAGACAAGGATGAAGGGTGTCCTAAAATTACCCTGAACTCATTATAATGCCATTAGCATTGTGGTTTTAGCTACCCCCCATGGTTTTTGCTTAGGCACTCATGAGTAACCAAGATGGAGTCACTATGGACAACCCCAGGCATGCACAGTTACAACAACACTGGGGGGAATTTTACCCTCCAATTAAGGCAGAACCCACAGAAGACTTCCTTGTTTCCGCCACATAAAAGACCCAGAATTCAGCCCCATGTTTGGCAACTCTGTTTGGGTCCCCTCTCACTGCTGAGAGCTTTTCTGTCACTTAGTAAATCCTACTTTGCCTTACTCACTCTCTGGTGTCTGCATGCCTTGTTCTTCTTGGTTGTGGGACAAGAACTCAGACTTCACTCAACTAAGGAGTAAGGAGGCTGCAACACTTAGATTTAACGCAATGTCTTAATACATTGTTACCAAACTCCAACTATACTGGAAGGAAAAATTTTTTTAAATGTATTTGTGTTTTTGTTTGGCTTGATTTAAGTTTTCTTATTGTTGTAGTTATCAATTCTTACAACATTTTAATAAATATTTGTTTTCCTAAAACATTAAGAATTTAGCTCGGTGTTTATAATGATATATGGTTAATCTTTCTCTATATCTGGGTATTTTATAAAGATTCTACATATAATGTTAATATATTTGGGCACTTATCACATTACTATAACAGCATGCTAAGTTGGAACCTTTCTATACAATGTTAATAAGCAGTTTTACATTTCTAACCACATATAACTTGAATCTGAAACACTTCAGCTGATTTTTTTATTTTGTACCAGAACATCAGTCCATTATCTGTTGTTTTATATAATATTTGTGTGTGCATTATAGAAAAATTCTATATAATACAATGTATTTGTATTGTAGAAAATGTCTGTTTCTTTCATATTTTATACATCTGTAGAATAAGTCTATCTTGACTTTTACCTCCATTACTTTTTGTGATAAAATATTTATGTTCTCAATATATTAAACTATTTTTCATTATAAAATTAGCTTTATTTAAAATTTTCTAGCTAGATATGATTTTTAAGCTATGAATACCTGAAAATATTAGAAAAAGTCTTCCATGAAAAGTGACTGCAAAAAATGCAAAACTACAAATTGTAGTTTGCATAAAACTTGCCAAAATAAACCCAGCTAATAGGTATACACCAAAATAAGTATTAATAAAAATAAATGGCTTCAATATCATACTACAAAATTGGGAAAGATTAGAAAAAATAGATAAAATTTAAAAACAAAAGCATTAAAAATATTAACACATAACATTTCTTCTTGAGAGAGTTGAGAAATTTGTTAGAAAATGGTAATATTTGGTAAAAATAAACCTTCTTAATTTGGAAATACAAGTTGGACAGAAGGCTCAAAGAATGCTAAGAGAAAATGTTGTATATTTAAGTAATAGACTCTTTTCTGTAAGTGGATAAGTTAAAGTTACCATGTACATACTATAATGACACCTGTTTTTCCCTTGTCTGGAAAAATTTAAATTTAATCCTAGTTACAGGAAACATCTAAACAGAGGGAGCACTTCTTAAATGTGTGAGAGATATCTACAAGTCAGCCCACTGTAGTTCTTCATGGTTTTGAAAATATTTAGGAAAGATACACAGTGACTAAGTTTTTTGATGCCCCCATCTGCCTGAATCATATCAACAACACATTAGATAATATAATCTACCTACCAAAAAAGTTTGATATAGTGCACAAGAATATAGACAAAATAACTAAGGAAAGTCTATCAAAATATTGTGAAGCAAAGTGTGGATGAATATTAAATGTTTTAAAAATATGTTAATCATGGGAAAATTGGACATAAAATGCTTTTAAAATGTCATTTAAAATAGCCCATAAAAGAAATAAATGAAGAGGATGAGGCAGGAGAATCTTTTGAACCTGGGAAGCAGAAGTTGCAGTGAGCCGAGATTGTGCCACTGCACTCCAGCTTGGGAAACAGAGCTAAACTCCGTCTCTAAAAATAAATAAATAAATGAATACTTTTTGAATAATACTTATTCCATCAAATTGAAAATAGTCAAAATATCCATCTTTTTGTCAAGGAAAATAATGGAGGCACAGATTTTAAGAAGAAAGTGATTCCATGGGAGAAAGGAAACTGGAATGGATTTTTAAAATATAAGTGCTCACATACATAATTACAAAGAAATGCCAAAAATTAGACTGAAAGTAATAAAGATGAAAAGAAAAAAATACACTGGTAAAAACCAGGACAGCGACATGGAAATTTGAATTGAGAAAAAAAAGATTCCACAATGCAAAGGAGAAGAACAAGAGGTTAAGTTGATTAGATACAGGAGCTGGGTGTGTGACTATTAATGGTAAAGAGCCAGCATGTGGAATTCTGATCTTCTTAAAGGAGAGAGTACAGTGCGTTTAACGGAAATATATTTTTAAATATAGGAAAGTCTGTCTGATTACAGAAGACCTAAATCTGTAGATCGAAAGGATACACAATACATACCAATGAAGTTATTTGTATTTAACTGTCTGTGAAACATACATTGATTAAGTAATTGGATTTTGACAATAAAATAAAAACTAGTTTGGTTTTGAGAAAGAATTTTCCTGTCACTAGGAGGCTGGCCTCAGTCCTACCTCAGCAACAGAGTTGCTGGCAGATAATGGAGCAGCATCCACTAAAACAATTCTGAGGGAGGAGCAAATGGGCCAGGAAATCGAGACCCTTTGAGTAATCCACCTTGACAAAGCAAAAGTCCTGGGGTTACCAAATCCATTTGCCATCACAGAGTGTACCACAGTGTATTTTTTTCTCAAAAATTTGTTACTTATAAGCTAGGGTAAATAGCAACATGACTTTGAATATCATATTCTAATAATGCCAACATTTATATCCTTATATTAGAATTTTCTGATCGCCAGGCTTGTACATCCAATTGGCTATTGGGATTTGGATACTTCAAGACATCCCAAACTTAATATTTACAAACAGAACTAGATGTTTTCTTTCTAAATCCTACACATGCCTAGCCCATTCCATAAATAACACCCATCTTACTGCTCAGTCAGGCAACCCAGGCGTCATCCCTTGTGAGGGATGCAGTAAATCCATGAGTCCTTCACATGCTGCACTGAATCCATTAATATTCCACCTTCTCCGCCTCCAACACTCTTGCCAAACCCTCCATGTGTTTCCATGGTCACCTCTCAGTCTATGCCCTCATTGTTCTTGGTTGCAGCATCACAATTGGTTCCAACTGCTCTTCCTCCATCCACCCCATACCACTATAATATGCAAAATAATAAATTATTTGAAGAAATATAAATCTCATATTTGAATTAAACTACTTAATGCCTTACAAAATTTTCATCTCAAGGTAAGAGGGAGAAATAACCAAAACGTCTTATCATGACTTTTTTTTTTTTTTTTTTTCAGACAGAGTCTCACACTGTCGCCCAGACTGGAGTGCCATGGCGCAATCTCAGCTCACTGCAACCTCCGCCTCCTGGGTTCAAGTGATTCTCCTGCCTCAGCCTCCCGAGTAGCTGGGACTACAGGTGCCCATCACCAGGCCCAGCTAATTTTTGTATTTTTAGTAGAGATGGGGTTTCACCATGTTGGCTAGGATGGTCTCAATCTCTTGACCTCGTAATCTGCCCTCCTCAGCCTCCGAAAGTGCTGGGATTACAGGCGTGAGCCACCGCACCCGGCCTACAGTGGCTTTAAAGAATTATAAGATCTGGATTGTTTCTGTTGTTCAATTTCATTCCTTACCACCTTCCTCCTTGCCAGCTATGCCATAGCCACTCTTGTACTCATTCTGTCCCTTGCTCTCTCCAATCTATTCTCCACACAGCAATATGAATTATGTCAAGGAATTATCTGTTTAAATCCTTTCTAAGACTTCACTTGCTCTGAGAATGGAATGTAATTCCGTTATAACTGTCCATAAGCAGTGTGTCAGCCCAACTTAGCATCCTAACCAGACCATTTTTTAAAACTGAAAGGAAGTGTTATCAATATTTAAACCAGGACATCAGGCATAAAAGTGAATTTTCCTGAGCATGTTAGGTATATGCTTTTCCTATACTGCAGGTCATTTTATAAGTTATAATCATGGTTTACATCTTGTATTCCTATACTGATTATTTCTGGGAGGATCCTAAAACACTATAATTTATTTAAATTCAATGTGTATATTAACTTCCAAACTCTTCATTTCATTTAAATCTTCTTTATTGAACTTCAGATATACTTTCCATTGGTATGTTAAGAATTTAATGGTTCTAAAATCAATTAATATTCTATTGTACTTAAGATGTTATAGGCATACTTCTGCTTATTATTTTAATAACCTAACCTTTAGTATCCTAAGTAAGCCTTATGGACTCTTGAGAAAATATTTAGGTTGGCTGAACCTTGCAAGCATTAAAAAAAAAAAAAAGCAGTTTCTGGTTATCTGACAAATGGAAACAGAAGCATTCACAGATAATTGTGCCTATTTGATGTATAGAATGCATATGTAATCATCTGATGACAGGTTTTTGAAACTTGGCTCTACTATGACCACTGGAAATAGGTATGTAAATTATTTCAACCATACAACATGTAAGCAAGTTTGAATAATTATTTCCTATAAACTAGTTTCAAGGTGAATTACTGAGAAATTTCCACATGTAAAAATGTAGAAAAAACTTTAAAGGTAGCATAGTTCCACATTTTTTTCCGAAGAGTGGTTCAATTTCTCTCATCTCGATGCATTATTTTTAGCACATGCTCCATTTCTTTCTGTGTTAACTCATTTAAAAACAATATGTCACTTACTCTGAAACAAAAGTAAGCACCCAACCCCCACAAAAAAAAAAGTTGATATCATTTTACTGGAGTTTTGAAAGCACTTGTTTATGCAGAATTGTGAGGCTTTGCAGTGGGTAACAATTATCTTCCAAAGTGGGTAAAAAACTACCGCATATAAATATATTGCAGCTTAAAATTTCATCTCTTGGATGCTGGTAAAGAAAGAAGTAAAACTAAGGAAACAAATAAACCAATATTACATCCTGCTGCAGTCCTCTCAGTGGGCTGTATGATATTTCTTCATGAATAAAGATGGAGTAAACCACATTTGTAGCATAATAACAAAAGGTAATTAGTGTCATCTATTCACCACTGTTAGAATTTGACTAGAGCAATTTGATTACGTTTATCACATTCTAAACTTTGAGTAAGTTTTTCAGCTCTGTAATGCAGTTAGTGGTGAAGTGTGCAGAATAAAAGTCAGCTTCCCAGTATGATTGATGAGCAACGACTCAGAGGGATGGAACTGAAAAAAAGGAAAGGAAAAAAAGAGTAGGAAATTGTAATATAGATACTGCCTATTGGTTTTTAAGTAAATTTCATCTAAACCAGTTTGAATCTGTGGCAAAACTTACATAAAAGTAGCAGTACTTCTTTCCAAACAAATACAAAATCGAATGTGTGTGTGTGGAAGAAGGTTTCCATGTCCATACAGATGGAAAGGAAATAATATTTATGAGAAATGCATTACTAGACTTTGTTAAAACAGCAAATTAATTTCTCATTTTTAATTTAGAATCATTTAAGATAATATGTTTTAACATATATTAGTAATATATTAATTGAAACATGTAAAGCAAAAAGTCTCCATAGTGTTTAAGATACTAAATTATGAATGAATAAGTACTATTTCAGTCTCACATATTAACATTTTCTGGTTAAAAATTCTACTAACTTAGGTATTTTGTGTTTATTTTTAGCTCCCCCACTAGCATACATATAGTTCAGAAATATTTTGTGAATCAACTAAGAGTTAGATGCGGAGCTAGTCCCAGGAAAACCAGGAGCTCAGGGTCATTTACGGGAATTCAAAGATAGGAGGACATGGAAAATTTTGACAGGAGAGACATCTGAAGCCATAAGACTGTTGGGATAAAGCCACCAAAGCCTAGATAAAGTATGGAATAAACAACAGAGTAAGCGGGGACAGGGGAGAGATCACTGACTCTGGAAGAAAAGTAGCCCTGAATCAGAATCAGTAATGAGATTATGGAGATGACCTCCTGTGTCAGTTACGTGCCAACACTGTCCCAAGGATGCACTGGAAAGAAACCAGCACCCTGGATTCAAGGGACTTACGATTTCAGGAGAATATACAATAAGCAAAAAAAAAAAAAAGAAAAAAAAAAGAAAAAAAAATTTAAAAAAAAAGCACATTTTGTTTTATGAAAGAAGGCAAGGCATGCCACAGAGATGAAAAAAACAGCACTAAAGTAGCTTCTTCGAGTTCTCCTTTTTAAGAAGGATTTGTTGAGGCAAACACTGGAATGAACTGAAGGAATTAGGAATGTAGAAATCCAGGAGAAGAGCATTCCAGGCAAAAGAAATAGCCAATGCAAGGACACCAAAAATTCCCTTTGGCCTCCTTTCACTCAGTCTTGCCTTTCTTGTAGATGATCAATCTTGTGATTGCTATGACCATAGCCAAGTTCTATTTGTTCTTCAATTTCATATAAATGGGATAACGTGGCACATTTTCTTTTGTGCCTACCTTCTGCACTATGATAATGTTACAATGATTCATATATATTTTTCATGTTTTGGGATGTTGAGTGATATTTAATTGAATGACTCTACAGCAAGTTATTCCTTCTTAAATGGAGGGTTATACAAAAAAGAACACAAAGCTGCTATGAAAGACATGTTTGCACAAGTATGACATGAAGCTGCATAACTATACAGATGTTTTGTGGACATTTGTTTTTGTTGCTCATATACACAATGGCCGAACTTCTAGGTCATAAGGAAGGCACATGTTTAATTTTATAACAAAATGACAGATGGGTTTCAAAAGTGGATGCATGATTTTATACTCCCAGAAACAATTTATACATAGCTCCACATCTTCACCAACATTTGATGTTCTCAGTCCTCATATATGTGTATATGTGTGTGTATACTACATACACACTGTGTTTAAATTAATAAACACTTTTTTAAAGTATGTTTAGGTTCACAGCAAAACTAAATGGAAACAATAGCAATTTCCCATACACACCCATCCCCCAAAACACACACAATCTGCCCCACTATCCACATCCTGAACCTTGATGGCATATTTGTGGCAACTCATGAAACAACACTGACACATCGTTATCATCCAAAATCCTTAATGTACCTTAGAGTTTGCTCTTCGTGATCTACATTCTATGGGTTTTGGCAAAGGTATAATGACATGTATCAACCACTGTAGTTACAAACAGAATAGTTTCACTGCCCTAAAATCCTTTGTGCTTCACCTGTTCATCTCTCCCTCCCCATTAATTCCTTGCAACCACTGATCCTTCTACTGTCTCCATAGTTTTACCTTTTCCAGAATATCATATAATTAAAATCATTCAGTAGATTTTCAGATTGGCTTATTTTACCCAGGAACATGCACTTGACGTTCTTCTATGTGTTTTTGTAGCTGGTAGCTAATTTCTTTTTATCACTAATATTTGATTGCATGAATGTACCACAGTTTGGTTCCATTCACCTTTTCAAGGACATCTTGATTGTTACCACATTTAGGCAGTTATGAATAAAGCTGATATAAATATCCATATATAGATTTTTGCCTGGACATACGTTTTCAGTTTATTTAGGAATATAGAAAAGAGTGTGAATTCTGGTCATATCATAAGGGTATGTTTAGTTTTATAAATAACTGCATAAGTGTCCTCCAAGGTGGTTGTGCTATTTTGTAGTCTGACAATCAATGAGAGTCCTGTTGCTCCATATCCTTGCCAGCATATGGTGGTGTCAGTGTTTTGGATTTAGGCCATTCTAATAGGTGAGTAATCATATCCCACTGTCATTTTAATTTGCAATTCCTTAATGACATATGATGTTGAACATATTTTCATATGCTTACTTACTATCTATATATCTTCATTGGTGAGGTGTCTATCCAGGTCTTTTGCCATTTAACTGTGTTGCTTGTCTTCTTGTTTAGTTTTAAGTGATCTTTGTATGTTTTGGATGACAGTGCTTTCTTAGATGTGTCTTTTGCAATGATATTCTCTCAATCTGTGGCTCATCTTCTAATTCACTAGACATTGCCTTTCACAGGGCAGAAGTTTTTAATTTTAATAAAGTCCCACTTATCAATTGTTTCTTTCATAGATCATACACTTTGTGTTGTATCTAAAAAGCCAAAATCATACATAAAATACCCAGGTTTTCTTATGTTATCTTCACAAGTTTTAGAGTTCTGCATACTGTATTTCTGTTTATGATTTATTTTGAGTTAATTTTTGTGAAAGGTGTAAGTCCTGTGTCCAGATTCATTTTTTTCCTTGTGGATATTCAGTTGTTCCAGCACCATTTGGCAAAAAGTCTTCTTTTGCTCTATGTATTTCCTTTGCTTATTTGTCAGTCAGTTGACTATACTTACGCAGGTCTATGTCTGGGCTCCCTATTCTGTTTCATTGATCTATTTGTCTGTTGTTTTGCCAACACCATACTGTCTTGATTATTTAAGCTTTCTGGTAGGTCTTCAGGTCACGTTGTTTCAGGCCTCTGACTTTGTTTTTCTTCTTTTCTTCTTCAATATTGAATAGGCTATTCTGGGTCTTTTTTCTTTTTTTTTTTTTGAGACGGAGTCTCGCTCTGTTGCCCAGGCTGGAGTACAGTGGCACGATCTCGGCTCACTGCAAGCTCCGCCTCCCAGGTTCACACCATTCTCCTGCCTCAGCCTCCCGAGTAGCTGAGACTACAGGCGCCCACCACCACGCCCGGCTAATTGCTTCTATTTTTAGTAGAGACGGGGTTTCACCCTGTTAGCCAGGATGGTCTCGCTCTCCTGACCTCGTGATCCACCTGCCTCGGCCTCCCAAAGTGCTGGGATTACAGGAGTGAGCCACCGCGCCTGGCCCATTCTGGGTCTTTTATCTTTCCATACAAACATTAGAATCAGTTTGTTGATATACAAAATAATAATGATAATAATAATAATAATAACCTACTGGTATTTAATTGGGATTGTGTTTAATGTATAGATACAGTTGGGAAAAACTGAGCTCTTGACCTTATTGAGTCTTTCTGTCTATGAAAATTGAGTATTTTATTTTATTTATTTATTTGCTCCGTTCAATCAGATTTTGTAATTTCCCTCAGATACATCTTGTATATATTTTGTTAGATCTACACAAAGGGGTTTCATTTTATTAGGTGGAATGTCAATGTTAATGCCTTTTTAATTTTAAATTTTACTTCTTCATTTTTGGTGTATAGGAAAGTTATTGACTTTCACATATTAATCTTTGTATAACTGCTACAACATTCCTATAATTGTTTAATAGTTCCAGGAGCTTCTATTTGGCCAATTCTCTTGGATTTTCTATGTAGGGAATGTTTTTATCTGAGAACAAAGACAGTTTTATTTCTTCCTTTCCTATCTGTATATCATTAATTTCCTTGTCTCTTCTTACTGCATTATCTAGGGATTATTTCCCGCCATTCCAAGTTTGCTTAAACTTTGAATGCTTGTGTATGTAAATGAGTATTGAATTTTGTCAAATGTTTTTCTGCATGTAATGACATGATCTTATGGTTGTTCTTCAAACTGTTGATGTAAAGGCTTAAGCTAATTGACTTCTGAATGTTGAAAAAGCTTTGAATACCTGGGATAAGTCCCATTGGCTGTGGTGTATAGTTATTTTTATACATTGTTGGATTCAACTTGCTAATATCTTATTGATAGTTTTACATTTATATTTATGATATATATTGATCTGTAATTTTATTTTCTTGTAATGACTTTGATTTTGGTATTGGGGTAATGCTGGCCTCGTAAAATGAGTTAGAAAGTATTTCCTCTGTTTCTGTCTTTTGTAAAAGATTGTAAAAAAAAAAAAGGTATAATTTCTTCTTTAAACATTTGGGAAAATTCACTGGTGAACTGATCTGGGCATTGTGTTTTATGTTTTGGAAGGTTATTAACAATTGATTCAAATTCTTTTATAAATTGGTCTCTTCATAGTATCTTTTTCTTCTTATATGAGTTTAGGTAGATTGCGTCTTTGAAGGAATGAGTCCATTTCATCTAGGTTATAAAATTTGTGAGTGTATGTTTTTTTCTTGTAAATTTGTTTGAGTTCATTGTAGATTCTGGATATTAGCCCTTTGTCAGATGAGTAGGTTGCAAAAATTTTCTCCCAATTGTAGGTTGCCTGTTCACTCTGATGGTAGTTTCTTTTGCTGTGCAGAAGCTCTTTAGTTTAATTAGATCCCATTTGTCAATTTTGGCTTTTGTTGCCATTGCTTTTGGTGTTTTAGACATGAAGTCTTTGCCCATGCCTATGTCCTGAATGGTAATGCCTAGGTTTTCTTCTAGGGTTTTTATGGTTTTAGGTCTAACATTTAAGTCTTTAATCCATCTTGAATTAATTTTTGTATAAGGTGTAAGGAAGGGATCCAGTTTTAGCTTTCTACATATGGCTAGCCAGTTTTCCCAGCACCATTTATTAAATAGGGAATCCTTTCCCCATTGCTTGTTTTTCTCAGGTTTGTCAAAGATCAGATAGCTGTAGATATATGGCATTATTTCTGAGGGCTCTGTTCTGTTCCATTGATCTATACCTCTGTTTTGGTACCAGTACCATGCTGTTTTGGTTACTGTAGCCTTGTCGTATAGTTTGAAGTCAGGTAGCGTGATGCCTCCAGCTTTGTTCTTTTGGCTTAGGATTGACTTGGGAATGCGGGCTCTTTTTTGGTTCCATATGAACTTTAAAGTAGTTTTTTTCCAATTCTGTGAAGAAAGTCATTGGTAGCTTGATGGGGATGGCACTGAATCTATAAATTACCTTGGGCAGTATGGCCATTTTCACGATATTGATTCTTCCTACCCATGAGCATGGAATGTTCTTCCATTTGTTTTTATCCTCTTTTATTTCATTAAACAACCCCATCAAAAAGTGGACACTTCTCAAAAGAAGACATTTATGCAGCCAAAAGACACATGAAAAAATGCTCATCATCACTGGCCATCAGAGAAATGCAAATCAAAACCACAATGAGATACCATTTCACACCAGTTAGCATGGCAATCATTAAAAAGTCAGGAAACAACAGGTGCTGGAGAGGATGTGGAGAAATAGGAACACTTTTACACTGCTGGTGGGACTGTAAACTAGTTCAACCATTGTGGAACTCAGTGTGGCGATTCCTCAGGGATCTAGAACTAGAAATACAATTTGACCCAGCCATCCCATTACTGGGTATATACCCAAAGGACTATAAATCATGCTGCTATAAAGACACATGCACACGTATGTTTATTGTGGCACTATTCACAATAGCAAAGACTTGGAACCAACCCAAATGTCCATCAATGACAGACTGGATTAAGAAAATGTGGCACATATACACCATGGAATACTATGCAGCCATAAAAAATGATGAGTTCATGTCCTTTGTAGGGACATGGATGAAATTGGAAATCATCATTCTCAGTAAACTATCGCCAAGGACAAAAAACCAAACACCGCATGTTCTCACTCATAGATGGGAATTGAACAATGAGAACACATGGACACAGGAAGGGGAACATCACACTCTAGGGACTGTTGTGGGGTGGGGGTGGGGGGGAGGGATAGCATTAGGAGATGTACCTAATGCTAAATGACGAGTTAATGGGTGCAGCACACCAGCATAGCACAGGTATACATATGTAACTAACCTGCACATTGTGCACATGTATCCCAAAACTTAAAGTATAATAATAATTAAAAAAAAGAAACTTAAAAAAAATTGTGAAAGTAAAGTTGTTCCCAATATTTATTTATTATCCTCTTCATGTCCATGGGATGCATAGAGAGACACTTCTTTCATTTCTGATATTAGGAATTTGTATCTTCTCTCTTGTCTTAGCTAGCATGGCTAGATGTTTATAAATTTTATATATTTTTAGGAAAATTAGCTTTTAGTTATGCTGATTTTCTCTACTGATGTCCTATTTTCAGTTTTACTGATCTCTGCTCTAATTCTTGTTTTCTGCTTACATTGGACTTAATCTGCTCTTCTTGAAAGTGTTTTTAATTCTTGCTATTCTAGTTGATATGAAGTGGTATCTCACAATGATTTTAATCTTTATTTCCCTCATAACGAATGGGGTTTAACCTTCTTTTAATATATACATTCTCATTTGTGATGTGTCTCTTTAAATATTTTTGTTTTTTGGTGGCAGATTGTTTACATTTTTGTTGTTAATTTGTAGCAGTTATTCATATATCCTAGATGCATTATCGTTAAGATATGTTTGGTGAAATTTACTTAGAATCTCTAGTTTGGCTGTTAATTTTCCTATTTATGTATATTGAAGAATAAAGATTATAAATTTGGATCAATTCTAAGTTATCGTTTTTTATGATATTTTTTCATGGCATGTAAAGAAGTCTTTTCCTACCCCCAAATCATAAATACATATTTTTCTATGCTTCCTAGAAATGTAATAGTTTGGGATTTCTGTATAGGTCTATTATCCACAGTAATTTTTTATATTATATGAAGTTATGTTTGAGGTTTATTTTTATACATATATTCAGTTGTTGCAGCATTATGTTTCCAATTACATTTCCTCATCTTCAAAAATTAATTAACTGATACACGTGGAAGAGGCATAGCAGAAGTGCCACGATTCCACTTTCTCGGCCACGTTGCTAACATATTAGCAACTTCCTGTTTCTGTTCTTTAGAATACTCACTCGCAGAACCCTGAGCTGTCACAGAAGCAGCCCAGGAACCTTGGTGACCAACCATGTGGGAAGGGAGAGTGGCCCATCTGAGCCCAGCCAACTGACATTTCTAAACAGGCACTAGGCTTGTGAACGAAGCCATCTTGGAGCCTCAAGCTGCATACCATCAAGTATGCACCACTTTGTGGTGACAAAACATGGGGCAGAAGAATTGCTCACCTGGTCCCTGGCGACATTCCTGGACTACATATTAGTGAAATAGAATCAGCTTTGTTTGTTTTAAGTCACTAACATTCAAAGTAGTTTGTAATGCAACAGTAGATAACTAGAATATAATTTGGTGCTTAGAATTTAGGTGCTGATGTAAGACATGCAGCTTTGGCATTTGGATTGGAAAACAGAAGTTAAAAGGATACAAGAAAACTGTCTGTGAATAACAATTATTTTAGGCTACAGATAAGGACAACCTAGTTTTGCACTGACAGAATAATTAGCAAAAATTCACCCTACATAATGTGAAAAATACAAAGTGCACCCAGTGAATTCACGGGCTCCACTAGGGAAATTCCAGAAAGCACCATGTGGCTTCTACTAATTGCCTAATAAAATATGAAGATAGGGAGATAAATCAGAAAATCACCATTTAACAATGACCCTTGTAATCATAGATTGAGACAAGAATCATCAATGATGCTAAAAGTGATGACTGAGTTTGATTAGATTCAGAACAATTTCATATTTTAAAAATATCTCCACACAAAATACATACTACAGGCACATCATTATTATGTAATACTTTCAACATTATTGTTAATATATTCTTTACAGTGAAAAAATGTCAGACACCATCTTAAATGACATTTTTCTAACTCCCTGGGATAAATCCATATTGTATGCCTCCCAATACCATGCACTGAGAGGACTGCATTATTATGTTTGTGGTTTTATGGCTTAAGTGCATAAGTCATGAATTATCACCGTAACCCTGCAATGTATCTTGGACCTAAAAATGATATTTTTAAGTAAATTGGTGAAATAAGTTTGGTTCTGTGTATTAAATGGTAATAGGGGAGTAATATTCCTTTACTGAAGTTAAAGTTGACCTCTGAATAGAAACAGAATGTCCTTGTTCTTATACACACTAATGTATTGAGAGAAAAGGGGTAACTCATCAGCAAGTTACATGCAAGTTATAAAGTAGCTATGTGTGCTATTTCTGCAACTTTTCTACATATTTAAAAGTAGTTAAAAATTAAAACCTTATCAAAAAAAGAAATAATACTTCTGGCTAGAAGATTGTCGGCACAGAGATGGAGAAACTCTGGATCTATATGTGCTAATTTTTGTAGACTTTGTTTTTCTCTAATAATAACCATCTAGAGTATTTTTCATTCAGTCAGCACTTGTGGACCTCTGTAGAGTTCAGTTAACACCTGTAATCTCCCCGTGTTGCTAATTAAAAATATTGATAACAAAATACCACATTTTAGTATACATTTGCTGATATAACCTCTAGAATACTCAGAGTTGGATTTTGATTTAACTAGGAATCCTGGAGCTGTGAGATAATGTGGAAAATACATACATTTTTAATATGTGCTATTTACCTTGATTCTGTAAGGCCTGATTTTCAATACCGAAGGATCATCTTTATTGACAGAAATCTGAATTCAAGGGACATGGAGGATGCCTATCTAAATCATTTTACTTAGATTATTAGGAGTGAGAGATTTTTATTTATCATCAATTTCTCATAACTGCTTTACTTTCTAGTACCAGGTGTTCTAGATGTATTTTGTGTTTTTCCAACCCAAGCCTAAGGATAAGCCATTTCTTCAAATAGATCTGGTTCTTTTTGTAGGGAATGATACTTATAAACCAAGATTTGGATGGTAATTATACCCATTACTTCTAGGGTTTTGTTGTTTCTAGCTGCCCTACGCTGCCTTTGTTAAGAAACATAAATATAAATATACAAATACATATACATATAAGCAGAAAAATGCATCTAGGTAATTGTATATATATAGACTAGATACAATCCAAATCTAGTTTAAACACCGTGAGTGTGGACTAATACCTCCAACTAAAATCCAACACAATGCTACAGAAAATGAGCCCTTCTCATTTTCATATTTATACCTGTTTTTTCCAACTGTGAGAAGACTGGCATGAATTATTCTCAAATGCATTTACTTGTGTTTTCCACCTCCTCTGAATTTAACTAAACTTCCAGCTGTGCCAATCTAAAACTTGGCCCTGAATAAGGAAAAGGGGGAGGGTAATGTGAAAGAGACTAGAAAACGTAGAATAGATGAAGCTGAAAAGAGAATGGATCTAAAACATGGTCCAGAAGATTGTGAAGAGCGGAGACTCGAGTCAAATGCCTTTATACTAGAGATCACACAGTATTCCCAAAGTTGCCTCTAATGCCAAGTATGTCATAAGGAACGCACTTTATTTCTCTGGACTTCGTTTTCCCCATTTGCACATTGAGGAATATGAACTGGAAGACAATTCAGGTCTTGTTTTGCTGTAAGAATCTAAGCTTGGGCATTTTATTTTAACCACATCTGTCCAAGTGTGTAGAACTAAACATGACAGAATGTCCATTAATTCTGTAAATATTTTCAAATTTGACAATAGTGTCCTCTGGTTTTCCTAATTATTCTTCCTGTGATGGAAAGCAGAAAACACTTTGATGAAAAGTAATATTTAAATTTAAAATTGAACTGGACTAGCCTGGATTTTATTATATGAATGTACCTTTTTTCTGGGATATCTTAAGGAGAGATGCAGAAAAGCGGGGATGAAGGCAATTTGAACATTGCAAGGCCTTTAATTCAATGAGCTCATTTCCTCCTGATATTTGGCTGTGACTTCTACCTAACCATTTGCACATCTCTTCATGAAACAGCAACCATAACACATGATATAGAATATGAGCATGGCAAAGCGGAGCCATTCGTAATGGCAAAGAACACCTGTATTCAATTTTTTCTCATCTCATATATTTTTATATATTATATAATCCACATTTAAGTATACATATTTTAAGTCATTTTACAAGCTCTTTGACTTCAGCATTAAAAGAGTATTCTAATTGACAGTGACCAAAAACACCTAAGATCTCCTTTACATAAGATATCAAGCTTTCCATGCACAAAGCTTATAAAATAAATGGATTTAATCTTTAAAAAATAATAATTCCTGCTCTTGCAAGAAGTCCAAGTGTGTTGATAATGAAGAAATGAGGGGCTTACATAGTTCAAACAGACACACGTGGAAAGTAAATCCTGCTGAGAGTATCTAGAAAAATGCAAATGGCGACAGAAGATGATTTCCTTTTGACTCTCTTAGACTCATCTTTTAATAAGCCAGTATTTCTTCTTGCCAACCACAAGGGTAAGAGAAACATTTACTCTTTTCAGCCATTCCCACTATACTTTCTCAGACCATTTAGAAAATAGCTCTATGGGGAACTTACACAATAATGTTCTAGTGCTTGAAGAGAGACATTTGCCAGTGCTGGCATTTCTGGGCATGATATCAAATTGCACTGTGTTGGTGGGCATAGAAGCTTTCTCCAGCTGACAGCAGTAGTAAATCATGATGCCTGCCCAGAGAAGTAAATCTTTGGAAATATTTTGAACTGTGTCAGGTGCTTCTCTGAAATCTTTGTGGCATTACAGTAATGAGAGCACTAAAAATCAGGTATACATACACACACATTTTTATATAAAATATCAGCCAATCATCTGTTTAGAGAGTCCACAGGTCCTGTGTTTACAAAATGAGGCAGACTTATCCCAAAGGCTTAAAATGTTTCCTTTACAAAGGAATAAACATTCCGTGGCTTTGCTGGTTATGACAACTACAAAATTTCTACAAACTAGCCTATCTCTCTGTTTTGCTATTTTGTTATGTTAATCGGTATCAGTGCAGACAAAAAAAGTCAACCATACCTCAAAAATAATCATGGCAATATATAATCTAGGTATATGCATATTTACGCAGAATATATCTGATTTTTTATGGTGGTTGTTTGTTTCTATGTCCGATAGCATTTATATTATCCATTGCATATTTATTGAGCATCTATTAAATGTTAATTGATCCAGGAAATTTTCAAGATACGCTATGTAAAGTTTCCTTCTTCAAACATCATAAATTGTAAGCATTAAAATTAGGTACATAATGTTAACTCACGGCATGAATAACTTAGTACAAATAAGAAATTATCAAGAGTAAAGTAAAATTTTTATAAACATTCTTAGATCTCAAAGCCCATTTTTAGAAATGGAAATAACATGATTTAGTTCTCATTTCATGTCAGAGATGCAGAGCTAGAAAGAGCATTGTATTCACACTTATGGCAAGAAAAATGCTGGCCAAACTATAAACTTATAACTTCTCTGAGCCTATTGGAGTGCTAATGTCTCAAGACAAATTACTAGGGTAATTTTTGGAGAAAGATAGGTAGTTACAGAGAAAAGTTAAGTATAAATTTGGTTACTTGGGACAAATCTTGACAGACCTTGTATGTTATAGATTGAATTTTGTACCCAAGAAATCCATATATTGAAGCCACAAGTCCCAGCAACTCAGAATATAAACTTATTTGGAAAAAGAGTAATTTTTTTTTTTTTGAGATGGAGTCTCGCTCTGTCACCCAGGCTGGAGTGCAGTGGCGTGATCTCGGCTCACTGCAAGCTTCGCCTCCCGAGTTCACGCCATTCTCCTGCCTCAGCCTCCTGAGTAGCTGGGACTACAGGCGCCCACCACCACGCCCAGCTAATTTTTTGTATTTTTTAGTAGAGACGAGGTTTCACTGTGTTAGGCAGGATGGTCTCAATCTCCTGACCTCGTGATCTGCCCACCTCGGCCTCCCAAAGTGTTGGGATTACAGGCGTGAGCCACCGAGCCTGGCCATATATATGATTATTTAAGATGAGGTCATAATGGAGTAAGGTGGACCCCTAATCTGTATGAATTGTGTTCTTATAAAAATAAAACTAATTTGAGCGCACACACAGGAGAATACCATGTGAAGATTGAGGGGTATGCTGTCACAAGCTAAAGACTTCCAAAGATTTCCAGCAAACCACCAGAATCTCAGAGAAGAGTATGGAACACACATTTCCTGGAGATCCTCGGATAAAAACAATTCCAAAGACACCTTGCTGTCAGACTTTTGGCCTGCAGAACTGTAAGAAAATAAATGTCTGCTGCTATAATGACCCGGTCTGTGAGTTTTGTTTTGTTTTTTGTCCTTTTGTTTTTTTTCTGCTGAGGTAAACTAGTACACTATATGCTATGGTCTGAATGCTCCCCAAAGTCATGTGTTGAAACTTAATATTTGCTGTAGTGGTATTAACAGGTGGAGTCTTTGGGGACGTGATTAGGTCATTAGCCTCTGCTTTATGAAAGGGTTTGTACCATATACAAGCACTGAAGGGAACTCACTTTAGCACCTTTTGTCCCTTTTGTCCTTCGCATCTTCTGCCATGTGAGGTTAAAGCACTTGTTCCTTTGGCCCCTCTGCCTTCCACCGGAAGAAGACAGCATTGATGGAGCAGGTTCTCACCAGACCACAGGCATGCCATGCCTTGGTCTGGGACTTCCCAGCCTTCAGAACCTTGAGAAATAAATTTCTGGTCTTTAAAAATTGTTTAGCCTCAGGTATTTTGTTATAGCAGAGCAAATGGACAAATTGCTGTAAGCCGAATGTGGGGTAGTGTGAGAGTGTGAACCTCCTGGGATTCGTGGGTACCAAAGTGTTCTCGTGATCATGCAGCCCTTTCCACCATGAGTACAAACAGCAGCTCACTAAGAAGGTTCTCGACAAAAGTGCTTGAGGGGAGGACACTGTGGAAAACTTCTCTGAGTGTTGGGCAGGGTGAGAGGGGGAGAAAAGCAGCCCCTGCTGAAACTTCTCCCAAGATCGATGTGCTCTTTTCCATTCACAAAAAAAGAGAAAATTTGTAACATTAAAAACTGCTGCCTTTAGGCATGAGCAGAAACTCACTGGGGCTGCTGGAAGGGGATAGGAAGATCAAAACTTCACACCCGGAAGATGGGCAGGAATACGTGCTAGGCCCAACACTGAAGCTGGAGTACGAAGACGAGCATTTGGGAAGCTGACACACCTGAGAACCAATACACACACTTGAGAACCCAGGTAGACACACACACATACACACACACACACACACATCCGAGACCCAGGTATGCAATGGCTGCCTAAGACTGAGCCTTAATCAGAAAATCAGAGGATGACCTCTGTCCCCAGCCCACATCACCACAGTCAGAAGATTTTGAAGAGACACATTCTCTCTAGACAGTAGTGCACAGGCTGACAGGGGTGGGAGGAAGAGCCAAGTGGGGAGAAGAAATTGAAAGAAAGAAACTCTCCGGAAAAACCAGGACAGACAGTACCACTTAAAAACAATGCATCATTGGAAAAATATGACATTCAATGCCTGTGGCCAATCTAATGATAACTTCATTCCCAGCACAACTTCTGACTATATTAACACAAACCCCTACACTAAAGTGATACCCAATAAGAAAATATATTCACTTCACTACCTGCTCTCCTGCGCTACTTTTCTGGCTTTCAATAACTACCAAAAAAAAAAAAAAAAAAAAAAAATGCCTACCAAAAGGCAAAAACAATCTAAAGAGACAACGCAATGATCAGAATCAGACTCAGATGTGACACAGATGTTGAAACTATCAGGTAGGAAATTTTAAATATTTATAATTAAACATTAGAAATTCTAATGGACAAGCAAGACATCATCACTGATTAGATAGGTGATTTCAGCAGAGATAAAGAAACTTTAAGAAAGCATCAAATGGAAATGCTAGAAAGTATAGAGTAATGGAAATGAAGTGTTCCTCTGAGGGATTATTTAGTAAGTTTGACAACATAAAAGACTCAGTGAATTTGAAAGTAAGTCAGTAGAAATCACCCAAACTGAAACTGAAAGGAAAGAAGGTGGGTAGAGAAATTAGAGGAATTTAAGAAGTGTAGGGTAAAAGTGCTGTGTAACCTGTGCAAAACATCACAGAAGGAAGAGTGAGGAGAGGGAATGAGACAGAAAACATATCTGAAGAAATAATAGTTGAGAATTTTTTAAATTATAACAGACCCCAAAACACATATCCAAGCAGCCTAAAGGAAACCAAGCAGACTAAATACCAAAAACAAAAAATGCAAAAACCAAACACACATATACGACCAAACATCCACACAGGCATATACTATTCAAAATGCTGGCAAAAAGTGACTTTACTGTACAGAAACCCGACAGCACTTAGCCAGGTGATTAAGGTGAACATTGGCTGTAAAAGTCTTGGTGATATCATGCACCTCCTGATCTGACATGGTAAGAAGAGTACTTCATCTCTAAGGTATTTATCACCAAAACCCCTAACTCCAGGGTAATCATGAGACAACACTAGATGCACTCATATTGAGAAATATGTTACAAAACTCACAGACCCCAACTTCTCAAGACTGCCAATGTCATGGAAGCAAGGAAAAACTGAGAAACTGCCACAATTAGAGAAGACTAAGAAGACACGTAGGCATATAGAAGAAGGCAAATAGATGCAATATGAATTCCAGGATTGGATGCGGGAAGAGAAATGACATCAGTTAAAAACTTGTGAAATCAGAACAAAGCCCTTTGTTTCATAGTAATATTACAGTAATATTGATTTCTTAATTTTGATAAGTACACCCTGGTTATGCAAAACGTTAACATTAGTGAAATCTGAATATAGGGTCTCTAGAAACTCTGTGAACTATCTTTGGAATGTTTCTATAAATATAACCTTATTTAAAAAAAATGGCTGGACTTTGAAATACTTGAACAACAATTAAAAAAGCCACACATTTTGACAGACAGTACATTTGAGATTCAGTGTACAAATTGAATATAGTTTCTGTTTTCAGGTAGGGAGAAATCTTGAGAATACATCCAAGGTTTATTGGGGAATATTGAATGTGTGAGTCTTGAAAGCATACTTTAACATTGGTTTGAAATATGTGTGCGTGTATATATGTGTGTGTGTGTGTGTGTGTGTGTGTGTGTGTGTGTGTGTGTGAGAGAGAGAGATATGTGCGTGTATATATACATACATACAGTAGAAACAAGGTAAGGTAGAAGAAAATGTCATTTAGTATGAAGTCAGAAGTCTTATTATGTATAAACCAGAAGAAGCAAATTAAAGTTGTAATCAAGTATTTTAAAAAATTGAACAAATACAAATTTACAGAGCCAATAAATTGGTATTCAGGCCAAAATTTAGACTGTTATATTCTGCATTTATATAAATGCTTTAAGTCATAAGAGTTAACCCCCCAAACATCTCTGTCTACATTTTTCTCAACCACAGTAAGATATGCTTTTAATATAATATCAAACAGAGGAAAACTTGGTTTTTGTTTTTGGAGTTTTTTTCCCCTGTTAAAACAACCACGTCCTACCCTCTCATGTATTACTGCTCTATCTGGAATCTACTGTACAAAGCAGACAGGGAAGAGATGTTAAATAACCTTTAAATTTTCAAGAATTTGATTGACCTTAAGCTATGTTTATCTTCATGGAAGAAGAGACTCTGAGGCCTTTTTTCCTTACATAAACAGAATACATTTTTTTTCTCAAATTTTATAAAATACACACACATTTTTCACATTCTCGTACCACTGACAGCCTGTTCCTAATTGAACCAGTTTTAGTTTTGCAGTTTGGTTTTGCAGAATGATGACAGATATCAAATGTTCCCTCTGAACTCATGTTTCAAAATTTTCTCTAATAATTTGTTAAATAGATTTTACTGACATATTTATTACTAAATTTTGTCCTTTGTAAAGATTCCATCAAAACTTAAAATACGATCAACTTTGAAACTTGTTAAAAAATAATTTTTTCTATGTAATTTTTTGATTTTCCTTAGGGCTTTCTTAGGCTTTCTCTTAATTGGGCACTGTTAAACATGCTGAATTTGCAGCATTCAAAAGTAAAGTACATTTGAACAAACAATTAAAATACCATAGAATCCCTGAGTATAAAATCTGTCTTGACACGTCCTAATCAATGAAGTTCAGCTTTCAGAATATTTGGTAGAAATCTTGTACTCTCCAGTTTACTGTCACCACTTACAGTCATAGATAAGTTTGGAAACCAGATGGTCAGATTAAGATAACATGCTAAAAGATTCAGGTAATAGCTGACCTACATCAAACACACAAATGCACAAATACTGTACTTTATGCATACCCACTACAGATACTAAAACTCAATTTTCTTCTGACCACTCTAAGCATACTGACATCAGCTTGTAATGATTTGCAGAGGTCTTGACAGCAAAACTATAATATTCAATAAGATAAAGGGAAAGAAAATGTTATCATATTTAATTTGTATACTTTTTCATACATTGTATTAAACAACCCTTTTACCTGCCCCTCAATCACCTGGCTTCTTTATCCCTCTCTTTATGCTTGCTTTGGTTTAAGAAAAAGAAAAAAGAGTCATAGGAAGAAAGAAATAAGAAAGATGTTTGAACAAAAAAACATAGAAACTGGTATGAAAAATAAAGAAAGTAATGTAATTTCACATTAGTTAGGAGAAAACAGAAGTGGCAGAACCATTTTCCAAGAATATAGTAAATGTAAGAAGGCTTCTCTCATTTTAGAACTGTTTTTAGAGGCTCTGAGATCAATTATTATCCTACAGATACAGTACATTCCTGATCATTGAGAGCAAGTGTCTTCATTTTCATTGTCATGTGCTTTTCAACCAGCTGAGAGCCAACAAATTTAGAAATAACTGTCAGATAATTTTTTATTAAAGTTTTTATGAACCTTTTTCAAATATTATCAAAGTCTTTACTTATACTTTTAAGGCTACAAAAAACTCCATGAATTATTTTTAACAATGAAGAATTATTTCAGGAATGCTAAAAACCTAGGAGGGCACAAGAAAATGCCTTATTCTCTATAATTCTAAACTCTATTTCTTCCAAGAAGACTGAACATGGCTAGGCTTAAAGCAAACAAAATTTTAATAATTGTGTTTATACAAACAGCCAAAACTGAAGTTATTTTTCCTCCTTTTTCAGAAAATATTTATACTTGTTAAATTTTTATAATTTATAATATGCTATATTTATATATAATTTTTATATATAAATATACATATATAAATATATATTTATATATAAATAATAAAATATATAATTTATAAATATTTATACTTGTTAAAAAGTAATCTTGAATCCCTTTTTTTTAAAATAATTTGGAATCCAGCTATTTCTCTTGAGAGGCAATGCAGAAATTGAAAAGGTAAGTCTATAAGCTTTGGAATAAGTTAGCACTCTATAAAGAACTCCTTAAAATTTAATAGACATACACAGTAGGCACATCATTTTACATATGATATGTGTTTCCTCATCATATCAGGAATAATTAGCCCAATCCTCAAGATTCTTGTACATGTATCCAGTACGCCTTGCTATGTCAAGGCGTTTAATTCTCTTTCTGTTTAAATTCTCTTTCACATGAAATATTGCTAAGTATCTTTACAGTTAAATCTTTATTTTAAATATCACTATGCCAAGGTAATTGATTTATTACCACTATTAAGAAATGTTATTGACAAATTAACCTCCAGCACACCCTCTATGTGGTCACTTTCAGCCTATAATCAAGTGCAGGAGGCTACAGAAGCCGAATAATGCCTCACTCATCATGTCACAGGATTCTACAGAGGGGCTTATTCTTGCCATTTTTAAAAATTCATATAACAAATAAATTACTGACTGAATGAAGAAATATAAAATGATTATAAAGCAGAATGTGAGAGAGTTCACCTTTTTCTCCCAGTTTTAAGGTACTCTGACTTGTTCAAAGTTTTGTGTAAACTAGGCAACTTTCAAGCCAGGATCTACTGAGATGAATGTTACTGAAAATTGTCCCCACTTTTGCTTTCTACCAACTCATGGCTTCAGATACTTCTTGGAGGAAATAGACCAAAGATTTCTAAGGTTTACATGAAATCAGTTTGGGTGAAATCAATCGCAAGGGTCTTTGACGTCTTCTCCCTTAGGAGACTCAAGATGAAAAAAGATCACAACACTCCAGCCTGTACTTCATTATGCTTCAAAGAGGCCCATGGCAATCCTTCTAAAATTTATACAGACTAATTCAAAAACATTATTTCTATTTTATCACCTATTTCACTATGGATTCTTTCCAACCATCTACTGTCTGAAATACAGGTTAAAAAAAAAAAAAGCTAGATTACTCAGCAGAGTCTTTAATATCAAAAGTTAGCAGTCAGGAAGATTAACTGACACAAACTTTCTAACCCCAGACAAAATATAAAGTTTAAAGGCGCAAGTGGACTTATTTTGCTCCAAAGACATGGCTCAACACACACACACACAAATACAGAAACATACACATACGTAAAATGCCCAGATGTAGGCAGAACTAGTGTGGCGTTAGGGGTGGCATTTAGAAATAGATTATGTAACTGTGTGGTATACGTTTTGGTATTTTGTGGTCAATAATAGTCATGGTCAAAAATGGGTCAAATATGGTCAAACTCCAAAACATTGGGACAATGCATTTCCTGGCATGGGTAGGCACAGAAAAACTCCACTTTTACCCTCTTAGGGTCCCAGCTGGGTCTGAGGATTAAACGACAAAAAATAGACTAATAGGAGAAAAGCATAAGTTTTATGTGGCATGGGAGCCCTCATAAAGAAACGACCCACAGAAGTAGTTAGAGTCAGTTACTCATATAGTGAATTGGACAAGGAGTAGCAAGTTGCAAAGAAGCAACTAAATTATGCAGGGAGGCTTTACAAATAAGAGTTATTCAAACAAAGTCTATATAGTATTCTCTCAGTTTCAATTTCTCATCTTTGAAAATAATGATGTTGGATTTATGTAGTACTGGAGGGCATCTTTTGTGTGGGAATTTCATCCTCTTTCTCTTAAAAACAGCACAAGATAAAAGTGATCATTTTGCACCTGCTGCTTTCCAGGTGCCTTTAACTTAAATAGCCAACATGCCAGAGTACTATATTTTAACCCCATCACATCTGTGTACATTTCTTTGCACCACAACAATAAAATCCTCCGTTACTGCCAATAAGTTTGGTTCTGGAGTTGTTTTCAGGAGCTCAAGCACCTTAAGGTTCCGCAGCTTTTGTCACAGTATCCTGGTCCTTCTCCTGGGAAAACACCATTCTCATAGGGAACTCATCGTGCTCTCTTTTGCTTAACGCTCAGTGCAATTGCTAATTGGTGAGATAATCATATGAACTGGTGCTTTAAGACTGATCAAAGTGTTTTTCTGATCTTTATGGATGTATTTATTTCGGTCTGTTTCTCAGACGCAGCCACCTGTGAGTCAACTAAAAGAGTAAAATTGCACAAAATTTTATGCCTCTGAATTTACTGGGGAGTGGACAAGGGGAAGGAAGTAATACAAAATTATTTTCTTCCTTCAACGACACAACTAAAATGTTTACCCAGATGCTTTACCTTAGAAACTAATAGGCTTCAGTGGGCTCACTGTCATATTGATCACAATTTTATTTTCAACCACTGCTTGAAGAAATTTGATAAAAATAACCTAGCAAGAAGTGTTTCTCTCAGCTATCTTTAAATGCCCTTTGATTCTGGACAGATTTTGAGTATGAGCCAAGTATGTGAATAGTACTTAAAGTCTCAATTAGTCACGCTCTTGGAAATTTTAGCTTTTACTGCTATCCAGAGTCAATGAAAGCAGGTCTGTTCTCTTGCCTACACAGAGATATCAACAGATAAAATAGGATTATATTTTAAGACAGCTTATATCCTGCCTTAATTTAATGTGATAAAGATTTTAAAACACTCTAGATGAGTTGAGTAAATTTCCTTCACAAAAGAGATATAAATAACCTCCTTTAAATGACTGTGATCAATTTATTAACACAAAGCCAAAATTGCAGCAAAAATGTCATTTTCAGTATTTACAAGCATGAAAAATGCAGAATATAAAATAAAACTATCACATTTTATATACTTAGTGCAGAATTCACCCAACGAATGAAGACTTGTTGCACCTAATTAGTGCCTTTGCTTAGGTTGTGATACCTTGTCCAGCTACTTCCCTTAGCAGACAGGCCAGAAGCCACATTGCTCAGGATCACACCGCCTGCAGGCGCAGAGCTGTGCTTGTACAGGACTGTGGTGTGTTACTGCTAACATTTTTGTTAGCAAAGGCCTACATCCTCCCTAGTCTGCTGTATTGCGTGAACTCTGGGGATGCAATCAGGGTTTGTACAGGAGCAGATAGAGCTCGCACTGCTCCGGAGTAGACCCCTCACTGTGCTGTCCCTAGAGCTCCTGTGGCCAGCTAGTGGAAATGGGCAATCTTTTCATTTTAGAAGAAATCATCATACTTCTCACAATATTCTATCAGTCCTACCTCCTGCTTGTTTGATTTTCCAAGGCATGAAAATCTGTGTTAATTAGCAACATGGAATACCAAGATAGTATGTTCTTATCAGAAACACTTTCAATTGTTAACTCTATGGATTCTATTTTATCATAAAATATTCCAGTTAGGATATGCATTTCTGTATTCCACAGTTCACAAAGTCCTAAGTTAGATCATTTCATATAAAGAAAAATGCTGCACAAATCAACTATGTTTCCTTTTGCAGTGACCTATCATTCAAAATAAAAAAAGGATTTCATTGGAAGAAATCAGAATGGTAACATTTCCTAGCACGAAATAAAAATAACTAGAAATTAAATAACTGTCCTATATTTCATCTTTTATTTCATCAACTTGTTTCTTTTGAACAATAACTAGTTGAGGATTATTTCCAATTAGTTATATTTTCCCAAACAACGATGGATACAACAAAATCTAGCTTCAGCAAAATATTGAAGCTTTGAACCAAAAACTTCAACTGACCTGGGTTGCACTGTTATTATAAATTACAACTACAATTTTTAATAAATTTAGTATTTAAATTTCAAATAATTACCCAGAATATGATTTCTTGCTGAATCTATATCATTTAATCATGTTGTTAAAAATCACAACTGAATTTTGCCCACAAAAAGTACAGTAACCTTTGTCTGCAAATGGCAGTGTCTTAACTTGTCTTCTCCTGTTGATACAGAATAAGGATGAAAAAATGGTTTTAATTTGCATTCTTTTGTTCCTGGCTCCTTCAGCTCCAAACATGATATTAGTTAGTCAGTGCTTTCAGTATTTCATAATGAATTATTAGTGCATATGTGCATTAGAGCAATGTTAGCATTTTTCCAGGAGAAGAATGTAAAAGTAAAAAAGTATGCCTCTCATTGAGAGACCTGAAAGAGCGCTTTGCAAATTATGTGACCCACAATATTAAATTGATGCATATACAATATGCATCAATTAGAAGATTTTCTTGCTTTTCTCAAGTGGTTATTAATATTGAAAAGCATCAACATTAGTATTTTATTGCCACCAAACATGTGAAGCAATCTCTGTCATTGGTAAAATTACGTATTGCCCATCATATTTTTTAATATTTGGATTATTTTCTAATTAATTTAACACCAAAGACTTATGGCAATAATTAGATATTTATATTTAAAAATATATTTAACTTCTTACCTTTTCCCCATTGAGAGGTGACAGCTTGCTGGCAGTCCTCGCAGCCCTCGCTCGCTCTTGGCGCCTCCTCGGCCTCGGCATCCGCTCTGGCCATGCTCAGGGAGCCCTTCAGCCCACCACTGCGCTGTGGGGGCCCCTCTCTGGGCTGGTTGAGGCCGGAGCCAGCTCCCTCAGCTTGCCGGGAGGTGTGGAGGGAGAGGCTCGGGCGGGAACACGGGCTGCGCGCAGCGCTTGCGGGCCAGCTAGAGTTCCGGATGGGCGTGGGCTTGCCGGGCCCTGCACTCTGAGCGGACGGCCGGCCCGCCGGCCCCAGGCAGTGAGGGGCTTAGCGCGCAGGCCAGCAGCTGCGGAGGGTGCGTCGTGTCCCCCAGCAGTGCCGGCCCACCGGCGCTGCAATGGATTTCTCGCCGGGCCTTAGCTGCCTTCCGGCGGGCGCAGGGCTCGGGACCTGCAGCCCGCCATACCTGAGTCCCTCCCCCGCCTCGCCGTGGGCTCCTGCGCGCGGGAGCCTACCCGACGAGCGCCGCCCCCTTCTCCGCGGCGCAGGGTCCCATCAACCGCCCAAGGGCTGAGGAGTGCAGGCGCAGGGCGCGGGACGGGCAAGCAGCTCCACCTGCTGCCCCGGTGCAGGATCCACTGGGTGAAGCCAGCTGGGCTCCTGAGTCTAGTGGGGACTTGGAGAACCTTTATGTCTAGCTAACGGTTTGTAAATACACCAATCAGCACTCTGTATCTAGCTAATCTAGTGGGGAAGTGGAGAACCTTTCTGTCTAGCTAAGGAATTATGAATACACCAATCGGCACTCTGTATCTAGCTCAAGGTTTGTAAATGCACCAATCAGCACTCTCTGTCTAGCTCAGGGTTTGTACATACACCAATCAGCACTCTGTATCTAGCTAATCTAGTGGGGAGGTGGAGAACTTTTGTGTCTAGCTCAGGGATTGGAAACGCATCAATCAGCACACTGTCAAAAAGGGCCAATCAGCTCTCTGTAAAACAGACCAATCGGCTCTCTGTAAAATGGACCAATCAGCAGGATGTGGGTGGGGCCAGATAAGGGAATAAAAGTGGGCTCTCTCAGCTAGCAGCGGCAACTCGCTGGGGTGTGCTTCCAGTTGGTGGACGCTTTGTGCTCTGCTTCCAGTTGGTGGAAGCTTTGTGCTTTGAGTGTTTGAAGTACATCTTGCTGCTGTTCACTCTAGGTCCACACTTCCTTTGTGAGTTGTAACACTCACGGTGAAGGTCTGCAGCTTCACTCCTGAAGCCAGTGAGACCAGGAACCCACCAGAAGGAAGAAACTGTGAACACATCTGAACCTCAGAAGGAACAAACTCCTGACACGCCACCTTTAAGAACTGTAACACTCACCGCAAGGGTCCCCAGCTTAATTCTTGAAGTCAGTGAGACCAAGAGCCCACCAATTCCGGACACACCATGATTAGCTATATGGATCTGAAAAGCCTTTTAGCCCTTTTAAATCTGTTTTTTTACCTGTGTCTGCATGGGGAATAATGACAGACTCTTTCTTGATGATTACGTGTGTTATGTGTGTCTTAATCTACGACTTTTAAGAACAAAAGACCTTTCCCCTGTACCCACACTGCTTACAATCTGGGGAATTCTGAACATGTGCAAAATGTTAGTATTATATATACCAATGTTGAGCTGTTCAGTAAATAGATACTGGTTGAATAGCTACTAGGTGCTAGCGATGTCAATAAATAAGATGGAGACCACTGACCTTGGCGCTAGTACATTATGGCAGGACAAGGGGACAATAATCAACATCCAGAATACATGCACAAACGATGCATGACACTAGAATATGATCCATGTGTGAGAAAGTAGGCAAAGGAAAGAAAGATTGTGATTGTGGGTGTTAGGTAGGCAGGAAATACCATCAGGAAAGCAGTCACTGAGAAGGAGATATTTGAACAAAATACCTGAAGGTGGTGAGGGAATTTATGCAACGAATAGCTGGGAGGCTGGCACTGTAGGCAGGGAAACACCTGGAACAAAGCCCTACGGCAAGGTTGGTCCTGGCCCAGGAACGATGTGAAATCAGTGAAGATGCAGAACAGTTGGCGGAAAGGAGAAGCAGGGGTTGAGGACAGAGGTGACTTGGCTGCAGTTGCAAGGAGCCTAGCAAAGCATGGTTACAACTTTGACTGCTCCTGAATTGGAACAGAGAGCCACCAGAGGATTTTACACAGAGGAGGAGTCTGATCTGTTTTACGTTTTGAGCCTCAGTCTACTGGACTGAGAGCACAAGGTAGAGAGGCAAGAGGAGAAGCAGGAAGGCCTCTGAAGTATTTTGGTAATCCACATTTTTTTTATTTATCCTGCACTTAATTCCTAGTTGACTATGAGAAAGTTAAAATATTCGTATTGTAGCTCATTCATGATCTCTGAAGAGAAAAAGTGATTGTGTTCTTAAATAATAATGTCTTAAATAGAAGTTAATGAGAAACAATGCTCCTAATTAAAGTAGAAGGTGATTCAAAATTATTTTGGGAGAGAGAAGAAAATCACAAAACTGAAGTGTTTTAGATAAATGAGAAATTATTATAAACATGTACTCTGTATAAGTAAAAATATACCAGTGTGTTTTAGACCCTGACTTAAATAAAAGTTTCAGGGACACTTTCAATTTATTTTCTTTAAATGATCTAAAATAAACCGCAATGAGCAAACTAAGATGTGTGTATATAGGTTCAATATGGTTTATCCAGTAGTTATTATTAAACATTTTAAAAACAAATTAGAGTTAAACAGCAATCACTAAGTGCCTACTAACAAACCATTTCATGAAAATGATACTTAGCCTCAAGGGCAGCTTTCATATTTGTATGACAAAGGCAGACGGAGAAAATGGAGCTGACCTTCACACTCCTGCGTCCACCATCATTAGATATGTGACCACTGAGCAGGCGTCTGAAACTTGAAGGAGGTGGTACTTTTTATCTCAGGGAAATTCCCAGAAAACGGCTCACACGTGACTTCTCAACACTCATATTTCCAAGAGAAGTAAAAATCTGGTTGGTGAGACACAGCACCCAGCACAGTCCATCCCCTGTGCATTTTGGATCAACTTCCTTTAGTAAGACATCCCAACTGGGAACATCTTCTCCAAGATTCTATTTGGTTTCCTTTCTTGGAGAAATTTACAACAGAAAGGTTAGAGAGAAAACATACAGCCCACGTACTCCAAATAACAACTTAGGTGAATCGGTGGGCTGGATGGAGGGCTGGTATGGAGCTCCACGCTGGCTTCACTCATGTGTTGGACACTTTGGCAGAAATGTCTGGAAAGATGGGGTGTGAGGATGCTCTCACACAGGATGCAAATCTGTGGCTTCTCCGGTATGGTGGGTCCAGTATCACAGGAGTGTTCTAAGAAACCCAGGTGGAAACTTCAACCTCCTTATGATCTAACTTCAGAAGTTCCAGAATGTCAATTCTGCCACATTCTATTGGTCAAGCAACAGGCTAAGTCCATCTCAGATTCAAGGGGGAGGAAAATGAAAGTTGACCGTTCAATGGGAAGAATAACAAAGTGTGTGTGGCCATATTTAATATACCACAGTCTGGCCACAGATGATTTACATTTCCCATACCAGCAAACTACCCTCATCTTCTCCACATCTCTCAAAAGTCTCAGCCCAGAATATAGACTTCAAGTCTGGGACTATGGTGTGTAAATAAGATCCATGTGGTCCTTCACAAACAACTCCACAAGCATAGTCTAGTTTCTGTCTATTTGGAAACCTGCGAATTGACAAGTTATATTCCCCACACATGTCCAAAATGCAATGCACAGATGGGTATAGGATCATTGTAACAAATATCCTCTATCAAAAAGGGAAAAATCACAAGGGATATAGCCACCAGTTACCTATGGGGGTCAGTAGTTCCTGCATTAGGGCTCAGCCCTGTCATTGGGAATAATTCATTGCTGCATTTGGTTCTTGCTCCTGTCATCCTTCCTTTTCAATAAGACAAACAAAACAACAGTATTCTTAATTGATCAGGCTCTTCAGTTGGCTTCCTTCCTATGGAAATTTTGGGGTACAAATGGCTGTTTCTTTTGAACTCCATCTGCCCTTTTCAGACCAACCTGTTATTAATGCTGAAACTGTGTGCTTCATTGATACATTTGTTTCTATTTAACTAAAGGTAGTGAATACCTTTAAAACCTAAACTGCTTTTAGGTAAGAGAATAGGAACAGTGAGAAAATACCTTTAGGATTACTAGAATCCATTTGGTCTATTTTTAAAATTTTATGAGGCATGCATGGGCTTAAGACTCTTAGAAGCCCTATTAGGTCTTTCTGAGGTATCAACAAAGGGTCTTACAAATAGATCCTTGGGATCTGTATCTGAGGCCATTTATGACTTTGATAAACTTTTTTTTTTTTTCAGAAAGAAAATGAGGATGAGAAACAGTTTTATTTTCAAACCTAGCATGTCTTCACTTCTTTATATTTCCTCTAAATTCTCCATAAAACCTGTACAATTCTTTCTCAGGCTGATCTCTGTGCCCTCATATTTTATGACAGACAGCTAAAAGAAACCATTTGACACTGTCTGCCTCTTTCTTGGAAATATTCCCAGCCAAATCATAAGACACCTTTTCTATTTACCCTACCGCTGATGGTGGTCATTGGCCAAACTTCCCAACAGTATAAAATAGGTTCCATTTTTCTCCAGCCTTCAATAACATTTGCACAGTCTCCTTTATTTCGTCCCCAACAGTCCCATTAAGTCCATCCAGATTCCACCATGAGCCCTGTTGAGCATCTTTCAGCTTCTGTTTGCCTCTTGATCCCAATGTCAATGATGTTGTGTTATTTTTATCGTTGCTGTATTCCACTTCTGGGTATCATATTCTGTTCTAGATATTTATTGATAACAAACCATCACAAAATTAACCAGCTCAAAATAGCTGACTTATTATATCTCATGCATTTATGAGGCAGGTTTTGAGCAGGTCTCAGCTGGACAAATCTTCTGTTTGATATGGAAATTCACTAGGGTCACATGCCAATATTTTTTTAGCTGGTCCAAAGAGTTGGCATAAAGGTCATAGTTTCAGTGTACCTGCAACCTCCTGGTGCAGGACATTTTTGTTGCGGGTGTTTATCTCCAAGCTGATGCCTCCACTGCAGCTCAAAAATGCTATGCTTTTCCTATAACATCTTGGTCATCTCCAGGTGGTGTGTTATCTGAAAGCACCTGTGCCACTTTTTTTTTTTTTTGCTGTCATCAAGGTTTCTCAGTCACATGCAATAGTAATAGTCCAAAAGCTGTTTTTGTTTGTTTGTTTGCTTGTTTGTTTTAATGCAGTAAACTTAATCCAGAACCCTGTTTACTTTGAAATTCTCCTAATTAGACTTGCCATCAACTCCACCTGGAATCTTTTCCAACCAGATGTATCTTTAGTGTACCGTAAGATCTATCTGGTTATATGGTCTACATGGCTGAGCTGATTTTCTACTGCAACTTGGACTTGTTGCAGACATTTTTCCTTTTTTGTCCTCTCACAAAAGCGGTAACTTTGTCTATAACCTCATAAATGGGTCAAAAAATATTGGCAAGTGTAGAATATGTTGTCCCATCACTTAAATTGGCTTATCAAGAATTGTTCTTTCTTAATAATCAGATGAAGTTACTTGTCCTTTATTTAGAGAGAAGGTTTTTACATGCACCAGACTCCTGAACTACTACTAATAAATTCATGAATACAACAGGCCCCATGAAATCCGTAAGGTTTTTCTCCCACTCTCTGGAGCTCGTTTGTTGTTTCAAAGCCATCAACACATTTGTGTCACTTCTTGATCTTGGGTTCCTATTTGCTTGGTGTCTTTGACAGAGTGGATCATTGTGAGATCTTCTAGTGGACTCCCCCATACAGATCATCTGTCCATTATCCAACATCATTTTCTGCCACGTTCATTCACCATCCACATAATTCATTTTGATATCATCTCCTGGCTCTTACTGGTACCTGTTGGCTAGGTCCTGAAGCTTCGTCAGTATATAATTAATTTCTTCCCAACGCTTTATTGGTCTGTTGGCCATGAAGAAAGTTCTCGGTAGGTCCTGAGTGGGACACAGATGGTCTTTCAAGGCAGAGACAGTTTGATTGTCTTCAAGCAGGGCTGGCATAGAGATGGCAGGTCATGAGCATTTAAGGAGGGATGAGCTTTTGTATAGGCCCGACAGATTCTGGGAAATCTGTGGTTTCAATGTTTTAGGATGTATCAACTCAGATATTCTTAAAACTTTCTATGTGTTACTCCTTCCCAACCCAGGATCCTTATCTAGACATAGGAATTTTCTGGAGTTGAGAATTGTACCTTCTCAAATCTTAGTGCTAAAGGTAATTCAAACATGAGATGTACAAGATATATACATGGAAAACTATAAAACTTTACTGAAACTAAAGTATAACTGAATAAAGGAAAAGATATATCTAATTTAGGATTATATAATGAAAGACTCAATATTGATAAAATGTCAATTCTACTCAAATATATCTATAGATAGATGGATAGATATCTGTTTTTGATAGAAATTTACAAAATAATCCTAATATTTGTATGGAAATGACCTAAAATAACTAATAACCAAAACAATTGTAAAATTCAAAAAAAATGGATAGTTAAAATGATCTTATTTCAAGACGCAATCAAACAACACTCATCAAGAGCTTGTGGTATTGAAATAAAGTTAGTTCATAGATAAACAAAACTGAATACAGTTTCCGCATGTATTTATACATATGTGAACAATGAGTTTTAGACAAACTGCAGTGCAATATGTTAGAGAAATAAAACGACATTAAGTGCATGTTGCATAAAAACTGGACATTTATGAGCATAACATGAATTTTGATCCATACATCATACCTACATAAATAAACTCAAAGAAGATCATAAACCTAAATTTAAAATTTAGAACAATGATTTAAAAAAAAAAAACCTATGGCCTTGGGTTAGACAAATATGTTGTAAGTATAACACCAAAAGCATGGTTCTTAACAGAAAAGACGTAGCAAATTAGACTTCATCAAAACTAAAAACTTTGGCTCTTCAAAATAAAATAAAAAATCCTGCCAGAGACTGGCAGAGATATTTGCAATACATATATGTGACAAAGATGAACCCATAATGTGTAAAATTCCATCATAAGCAAGCAAACAACCCAATTATCAAACAGGAAAGAGATTTGAATAGATATTTTTCCAAATATATAAAGATAACATATGTCTTGACTTCATTAGTAATTACAGGAAGGAAAATAAAAACCACAATGAGATGTCAGTAAATCTGCATTAGAATATCTATAATTAAAAAAACAGACCATACCAAATATTAGTGAGGATATGGAAGAACTGAAAGCCATACCCTGCTGGTGAGAATGTAAAATGTCATGAACTACAGAAAACACGTGGACAATTTCTTTTACAATAAATAAATAAATAAATAAATAAATAAATAAATAAATAAATAAAACTAAACACGTGACTGTCATGAAAGAGCCACTCCAGGAACATGAGTCTAAGAATAGTGACAGGACATGGCACACAAAGACCTGTGCAGAAATGTTCAATGCATCTTTATTTGTAATAACCTGTAAACAATAAATAACAAACAAAAAGCGAGCGGATAAACAGATTATGATACACCTAGACAATAGAATACTATGGAGCAATAAAAATGATTGAATTAAATTATTGTTATACAAAATGTGAAAGAATCTCAAAATAATATGCTCCATAAAAGATGCAAAACAAAAATATATAAGTTGTATGATTCCATTTAAAGAAAACTGTTAAGATGGAAATTAATCTGTAGTGGCATATGTTTATTTCTAAAAGTGAATTGAAGAAAGGGAAAAGCATGGACTATATACAAGAACAGAAGAAAACAAATTTGCGTGATGAATATTTCCATTTGCTTAATTACAATGATGCTTTCACTGGGGTGTGTGTGTGTGTGTGTGTGTGTATGTTTGTGTGTGTTTGTGTGTGTGTGTAATGTCAATTGTATCTCCATACATTTGTTTAAAACTTAAAATATCAGAAGCCAAAAAAACACTATCTGGATGAATCGTCCTATGTTTTTCACCAAAAAGTTTACACTTGTCTCTTCAATACCTAATTCAAATGATATCTTTTTGAGAGATTCATATTAACTGATTTTTCTGATACATTCTACTTAATTTTCATGGAAACAATTATCTCTTCTTGCATTCATAGTTAATAAACTTATAAAATATTCAGCTCAACTTCAAAATAGCAACAAAGTCAGCCAACAGAATCAGGTTTTGAATAAACACAACTGAACCTTCGTAAGCATATAACTCAACTGTTATGTTTAATAATATATACACATTCTAGAGAGTCATCTACATGCTATAAGAAGTCAGCCTTTCTTAGGCATCAGTAAGCATATTTTACATGCAGATTGATGACAGACCAGCAAGAAATTTGAATGGAATGTAATTGGGAAATGTTCTATTATACTATGGTTCATAGTCTAATTAAATATAGACAATATTTTCATTAAAACATTGACTTAGCTTTTATGAGGCAACACTTGCTCCTATTGCTCATTAATCATTTTCGCCTTTTTTTAAATTATGAAAACTAATTCATCACAGTCATCCAGTGTTCAAAGAAAATGCTAGGTTGTCTCTAATATGTATGCATTCCACAGTTATTATTTAGAACCCTTATTCAGTCCATTTTTAAAAACCTGTAATATCACACATGGAATTGGAAATGAGGGCAGTACAACACTCTATTTTTAACATATTTCAAATCATAAGGAAGAACCATGTACATTAAAATAAATTTTTGAAAGCCAGATCACTTCCTGAATCACTAAATTCCTTGAAAATACAGCTATGCTTTGCACAAATTAATGTTAATGATTAATTCCCTTAAATGAGTAGGCTGCATTGAAAAGGAGCAAGAAAATAATTTAAAAATTACCCATATGCCTTAAATAAAAATGCATATTTCTGTGCTTTTCTACCATTTCCAGTTTTCCAATAAAAGAGTTGCCAGGGGAACCTCACACTAAACAAAAACTGCTGTCAAATGTCATCATTACAGTGAGCTAACATTATCCTTGGGATTCCTCTCTTGGAGGCTCTATTCATTATTTTCTAAATCTGTAAAGCTATCATTTCCAGGGTTTCTTTTGAGTACTGACATAAAAAGAAACAATCATAATTTGTAAGATTGTCAGGGGAAAATACTCTTCCCCTCCCAAAAAGTGCCGTTCTCAAAGAAGGGAAAGATTACAGTGTGCATCACCCGTCATTCCCTCATGTGGAAATATGTATTGTTGCTTATCAGTTGCTTTCAAAAGAAAAGAAAACATTTCGAAACTGAGTTCAAGAAACCTTTTTCATAACTGTGGGACAGCATTACCTATTGATCTATAACAAAGGAAAAGATTCAAGATGGAATTTTTTTTCCTCATTTTATTACTCGCTTCTGTGGGTTGAATTGTATCTGTGAAAAACGCTGAGTCCACAGGAAAGTACAAATTGCCCCTCTAATAAAAACTCAGAGCTGGAAAGCAATCCAACATGGCCCTAAAGAAAAGCTTGGAACAAGGAAAAAGAAGAGTCAAGCAAGAGTATGTCATTTGCTATCTTTGATCTAATAGTCTGTAACTCCCAAGTTGGATATATATAAATGGAGAAAGTGTGAAAGCTAGTGGAGGAATTTAGAGAAGCCATTGTTGGGACACAGACTTTGAAGTCAGACTCAAAGTTCACGCTGTCAGGTTTATATTTTCTAGATCACTTTATCTGAATGTCTGTAAATGTAACTTTTCTTTGCATAACTTTTTTTTTTAATTTCAAAAATGAGGATAAAAGGGTTGCTGGACAGTAATCTCCCTAGGGAATAATATAGTGACTCCAAGCTGAAAACTAGGAAATGTTTAATAACTGGTAGATGCTACTAATATTATTAACATCATTGCCAAAATTTACATTAGACAGAAAAAAGGATTACTCCAAGTAATCCCTTTAAATTTTAATTGAATAATTTAAAAATGCTAAAATATTTTAAGCAATAATGTCACCATACTAATTTATGCAATTAGACTATTCTGTAGCAAAGTACTTGAAGTGATAGTCAATGCATGTAAAACTGAATGCTGTCTTGCAAGGAAATATCATCTCATTGGAAATGTGGATACAATTATGCAGGATCAGTACATTAAAATGTTCATTGGATCATCTCTCTTTATTACTTATAATAAAAGATTTTAGTGCAGAAAAACTTCAGATTATAGAAAATTATAATAAAGCTAAAATTATTTTTCTCCATCAAGATACCTCGTAAGTCTTACCATTGCCTGGTCTTCCAGTGTGGTCACTATTAACTCAAATATTGAGGTGTAATAGCTCAGCAATCTGCATCGGGAGGGGATTCTCAGGTTTTCTATGTTGTACTTGAAAATGAATTTTTTGTTAAACTTCTGCGGTTTTGATAAGATCATTTTTAAGTGAGAACATTGCAAAAACAGAAATGACAGAACTGGGAATTGTGAGAATCTTTCTTCAGAAAACAACCATAAGCTACAGGAAAATCAAATAGAATGCTAGACATACAAAGTGAGAGAGCAACAGGAAACAGTGGTAGGAGGGTAGGTTAGCTCCAGTCTATCAACACTGCAGATCTAAGTTCAAATAATACTTAAGATAACACCAAAATTCAGTTCTTTCTTCTAAGAGGTTTGGAAATAGATATAAACATATAAAACTGACTTATATTTTTAACATTTCTCTGTGTATTTAAATTCAGGCTATCCATAACTAAAATAAAAGTTTGCCAAAGAGTAATGAGAGAACACTTTATTATATCATGACTCCTGTTTGTATACATGTAAATAATTTTTCTTACTATACATAAAAAATGCAAAACCAAGTCACACAAAATGATTGATATATTAGTGTGTATAGTTCCAATTGTAATTTAATTGATAAAAATTTTTCTTAGTACTAAAATCATGTATATAGTGGTTTTACTAGTAGTGGTAGTGATCGCACCATTTTCCTTGATCCCTCATCTGGTTTGTCAGTAACACACTTTTAACCTGAAGTAGTGGCTCCGCTATTTCTAGCTGGCCAGGGGCCCATCCACTTCTCTGTTCTTATCAAAATTAAGGGCTAATCTGAACAAAAAATTGCTTAAAATTTTCAACATGGGAATTTTTAATTTCTTCCACTTTCATATTGTTTAAAACGTCAATTTATTTGCGTATCATAAGACTTTCCCAGATTAAAAGTATTGTATTTTCCTGTTCTATTTTGCAAGACAGATATATGATTATCACTATCCAGGGTACAATATAGGCCACTAATTTTCTTTTTTATTATTGTTTGTTTCCTTTCACCCATAATAAGATAAAGGCTGGGGTTTTTGTTCATTTTGTTTCCTGCTGTTCCCCAACACCTGAATCGGTGACTGACACCTAGCAGGTGATAGATAAATGGCTGCTGGATGAATACATTCCTTCAGCAGCACTCAGGCAAATGCGTTTGACACCCAGTTAGCACAAAAAAAATCCAGTTAGGATGGAAATGCAGATGGTGAGTTTTATTGATGACACTGACCTGTGAGCCACTTAATGAATTGTGACGCTGTAGAGAGGACATGATATCTGGTGTGGCTTGTCCTGAATACCAGTGTTACTGACTTGTTTGGCTGCAATTGCCCTCAAAATTGCCTTCAGAAGCAGCAGAGTCAATACCTTCCTTATGAGTACAACACTGTCCCCTTTTCCTCATGTCTCACATTTTGCTTCTGGTTTAAGAATCAAGAAATTTTTGAGTGTTAGAAATGTACAAGTGTCCGAGAATCTGAGCAGTGCATGCGTACACAATGCTTCCCTCTCCCCAACAATGATTCTGGTGTCTGTATTTCTATTATTACTAAAGGTGCCCTAATTTAGGTCTGATTCATATTTTTCCTAGATGATTGCAATAAACATTTTAACTTATATTTTATTATCTATCTGAAGACACTTTTCAAAATATTCCATATATAAATATATTTTTCAAGTTTTAATATATTAGTATCGTTATATCAATATATTTTTAATAATTAGTTGTGCTTACAGAATAGCTCTATTTGACCTTGCTATTTTATAATTTTAATATTGTTCTCTATTTTTTATTCTATACAGAGTGATTAGACAACTGGTCATTTTTTATTATAAAATTCTACTAGAAAATATTATCTCTTTCAAAATATTGAACATAACTGATATGGTTTGGCTGTGTCCCCACCCAAATCTCAACTTGAATTGTAGTTCCCATAATCTGCACATGTCGTGGAAGGGACTCAGTGGGAAGTCACTGAATCAGGGGAGCAGGTCTTTCCTGTGCTGTTCTTATGATAGTGATGGTTTTATGAAGGGGAATTCCCTACACAAACTCTCTTGCCTGCCACCATGTAAGATGTGCCTTTGCTTCTTCTTTGCCTTCCACCATGATTGTGAGGCCTCCTCAGCCATGCTGACCTGTCAGTCCATTAAACTTCTTTCCTTTGTAAATTACCCAGTCTCAGGTATGTCTTTATTGGCAGCATGAGAACAGACTAATACAATAACATATTCCATAAAGACTTTTTAAAAATAAAGATAGATAAGCCCAATATTAATTAGAAATAGATACAAGTAGATATGTATGTTATCTTTGGTTAAAGAATGTTAATGTGTATAATGGTAAAGACAGAATAACCTAAGGGCAACAGTGTTAACTCTGTGCAATCCAGTACTGCCGTATGTCAAAACACAGCATACATTATGAAGGAAAAGTTTAAAAATGTGGGCAAGATGAGGTGTTACATTTTCTGGGCTTTTCCTAGAAGCACATGATACATATTTATATATTTACATACATATATATACAAAATAAAAGAAATTCATGAAAGGAACGTAGAAAAAGTAAAACTCAGAATTATGCAATAGCATCGAAAGAAGAGTACCTGGTCATTTTCTTTAAGCATTGTTTCTCTCTAATCATTAAGAAACATACCAAAATTAACTGGAGGTAGCTGTATTCTCTAAATCCTGATTTGCTATCAGTAATTTACACTAGAAAAACAAATGATGCCCAAATATAAAAGACATTTTAATCTTTTATTTTATTAGGTTTTCATTTCACTGTTTTGATTTCTCTTATTATCCTAATCTCTCTTAAAAAATCTTAGTTTATTCTTATTTATGTTTATCAATTAGTTTACTTTAGGATTATTCTTTCTGTTTTCTTTCTCTAAACCAATACATACTAGATGGCAGGGCCCATGAATTCAAAAGAAGCTCACCTCACCCCATCAATTTATTACATTGCTATATCATAGCAACTGAAAGATGTATGCAATAAAATAAGGAAATTCGAGTATTTGGGAATCGCTAACCAAAAGACTTCAAAAAATAATTTCCACAAATGGAAATTAAAAGGATAATTATAATCAATTTATTATCCAATTTGCTTATGTAATCCACAGGAAGATGTTCCTGAAAAACTGCATCTTGGCCAATGGAAAATGCCATAGCACAGCTACGGTATCTTGGCATTTTCCAGTGGGTTACTATTTTCTGCTTAGACTTTGATATATATTTTTGCCTCTAATGTCACAGGTTGGGGGGTGGGGAGAGAATAAATAAATAAAACAAAATTCAAGACCGGAAAAATTCACTTGACAAAGAATAGTAAGATTAAACAGATGTCTGCAGAGCCAAAGGGAAACTCAGTCCTTTCCAGGTTAACAAGAGGCAGTGTGTGGTAGAACCCATTGGCCATCCAGTAAACCCTCAGTACACTTAAAGTAAACAAATATTATTGTTTAAATAAGCATCAACCTTTAAGGAGTTGAAATCGAAAACTCACAAAAAGTCCAGATCAGAACGGCACAAAATTAGAATACACACTTAACAAACTGTGACTACTGGGAAAGACAAGGAAATAAGGATCTATATGGAATCTGAAAATAACAATTCTGTGTTTTCATCAGATTCTTCAGGAGGAAACCCTGCACTTTTTAAACATTTTCAATTTTAATTTTTGTGGGCACATAGTAGGTGCAGATATTTATGAAGTATATGAAATGTTCTGATACAGGCATGGAATGTGTAATAATCCTATCATGGGGAATGGGGTACTCATTCCCTCAAGCCTTTACCCTTTGTGTTTCAAACAATTCAATTACACTCTCTTAGTTATTTTAACAGGTACAATCAAATTATTATGGACTATAGTCACCCTATTGTGCTATCAAATACTAGGTCTTATTCATTCTTTCCAACTTTTTTTGTTCCCATTACCCATGCCCAGATCATCTTGCTTTCTTTTTAAAACATCCTCAAAGAACAGCTCAAGGTGGTATTCAACATCAGTTCGCTAACATTTGGGTCCTACTAACAGTAATGATGACTGTGAATTCCATGGTATGAATAATCATGTGAGCAGAACGGCTCCATGCATTCTTTTCTAACAGTACTATATGTGTGTGTTTATATCTTATGTGCGTCATATTCATATGCAGAAAAAAGTAAATTGTATTTTAATTCTGATTTTCCATCATTTTCAAAATCAACATTTTTAAGAAATAATAGGAGGACAAATGCAGTACATTTCTGTGCTTCTGATTAAAATAAAATGTATAAGGACAAGAAAGAATATCTTCTATAACCCTGATTTTAAAATGTAAAAGTATTAAAGATACTTGCATTTATTTGCAATGCAAATACTATCCATGCTGTTAATGCCTTACTCCACAAGTTATTTCTGCAAAATGACTAAATTTTAAAATTGTTTTTAAAGTTTAATAATAAACATTGAGTTATATAAAAACAGTTCCTATGGTATAGAATCTTTTAAATGCTCATATATTCATGGTTTAAATTTCAACTTGTAAGAGAATGAATGGAAGATGTCAAGATGACTAGCTATCCTAACTAGTCAGGACATGATTCTGAGTCAAGCTAAGCCTTCTTATAAATTCCAAACACATAATGTTTAACCATATAAAATATGGCTAACACGTTTTTTCTTTATTGCATTTATTTCAGAAGGTAGCCATGAATTTTTCTAAATGTTTAGAGTTCTCTGAAGGAAACACACACTTTAAAAAGGTTTATTTTTCAAGCCATTGTTATTTCAAGTGAGTTAAATGCCAATTTTGGTTGAGAAAATATAGCTATAAATACAAAAAGGCATATAAAGCCATACTCAAAAGCCAGACAAACTATATTAAGTCCAAAATATTATCAATTTTATTCTTTTGAATATGTTTCCGAATATGATTTGTTCAAAGATTATTTTCTTGTTGAAACCCAATTTCTATTTAGACAGAGAAAAAGTTCTTATGGAGAATACAATACAGCAAAATTGCTTTAAATTATACCTACTTGTACAATGGTATTTTGCTAGGAAAAATCAATGGCAGCAACCAATTCTTTACAATAGTTTCATTGACTATTACCTCCTGGTCTGAAATTTTCTTTTTCTAAAGTTAAAGGAAAAGAACACTTGTATTTTGTTTATATTGTTTGACCAACTACCAGCTTCAATTAAAATTCTTAGCTGGAAACACTCACTCTAAGGTCAAGGAAATCAAAATAAGATATTACTTATCCTACTCTAAAGTAATAGCTGGAGCTACTGGAATTACTTTGGTACCTTAATAGCTGACACATTTATATTCTGTTATTATTGTCATTCATGCATATGCAAAATTTGGAAAAAAATAAATAAAACATATTTTGTTTATTTATTTAGTGATTTAAATGAATTGTGTTGAGAAATATATTTGCTCAGAGTTTTCTTTTTAATTCTCAGGCAGACTCAATACATCATCTCAGTTTTTAACCTCTAAAGTGATAATTTTCATTATTAATTCAAAAATATATATTGGATTCTGGTGCTGTTCTGGGCAATGGTGAAACCATGTTGAATTACAGAACAGTTAAACAAATAGATTTGGCGTCTTTAGTTATAAAACTTATAATTCATATAATTATGAAATTTATAATTTCATCATTGTAAAGCAGCCAATTAAACAATTTTACAAATAAATATAAGATGGAAACTCTGAGAATATTATCACAGAAAGTTATGCTGTGCTATAAGGCCATACAATGAGACTATTTGGACTGAAGATTAGAAAGACTGGGAGGAAATTTCTCTGAGAAAGTGATGATGAGGGTGCTGACTGTTGGACAAAAAGCAGGAGGTAACGAAGCAAGTAGTATGTTATCTGCTTCAGGAATACAGAGTATAGGGCACACAGTTGCTAAAGAAGGGCCAGTGAGCATAAAGAGGGTAGGTTTGGCTATGGTGTGAGAAAACAATGAAGAGTCCCTAGAACCAGTAAGCCAACACCAGCCACAATAATATTTTGATCCTTAGTCCAGAGCAATAGTAATTACAAGACAGTTTTTGACATAATCAGGCCTGCATTTTGAAAAAGGCATCACTATGGCCGTGCAGAAAACAATAGGTATCAGTCATCTGCCCCATAGTGCTACGGCTTCCTCGACGGGCATTCATTCAGGCCAACAGGTGACACATCCAGTCTCTGCTACTTCCCAACTTGGACTAAAAGTTGTCCAGGAAGTCTGATTTCCCACACTGCTTCAAAAAGTGACCCATGATGCATTTTGGAATTACAGGGGATTTAAATCCACATGGAGAAAAATTTGGTCAAGGGAAAGTAGGAACAGAAGGCAGCTGAAGTCACCAATTCCCTGTTTTCTCTCTTTCATGTGCTACTCACAGATACTATTTCAAGCCTGTGCAGCAACCACTAGCAGGTAAATCTCTGTCAAGTGACCTGTGCTTCTGTGGGCTTGTTTAGGAGCCAAGCTTATCACAGCAATATCAGGCTCACATGGCTTCCCAGCGCTCCCTAACTCACCTCCTTCCCTCTCAACTTCATATTTGTTTTGCATCCCCAAAATGAAGTATGATTTCATCCTTGAGACAAACTCTGCCTTCCAGAAAAGATGAAAGTTATAAATGTTTTTATAAACTGAAATCAACAACACTCAAGATAAATTGCATATGGAAATCAACAGAGAGAAAGCTTAAGTGACGGGGAGGACAAAGATGACATAACAGACAGAGATAATGCTGGGCAGGACTGGCTTGTGGAACGTAGTATGAATAATGTCTTGGACATGCTGAATTGAGTGGGATGGAAACATGTATTTGGAGTCTGGCAGATAGGCTGTGGCAGGAGACACAGAAGTGTGCACCTGCATATATTCACTGAATGCAGCCCTCGTGCCTGGTGTCCCTGCTTAGGATGACGCAGGAAAATATCCCAAAGCAGTCAGCAAGGTGTTCCAACTTGCACTGATTGAATAAAGCCTGATGCTGCTGCACATTGTTCAGCACCAAAAGAAAAAGATAACTAGATCCATTAAGTAATTAAAGTGAAATCAAATAAATAAAGATAAAGAAGTGGTGTCAAAGTAAAGAACTAACAATTGTGAAATTTAGATGAAGGATATAGGGGTGTCTGTGCTTTCATTCTTCCAGCATTTCTCCAAGTTTATTTTATTTAATAAAAATGGAAAGAGAATGTAGTTAACCTCAGAGCTTACTATTCTACTATTAATTAAGAAGTGCACTAAAAATGACATGTTTTTTATATATATACACACACATAGACATATATATAAACACGTAGACATATATGTGTGTACATATATATGTATGTATATATGTATGTATGTATATAAATACGTACATACAAAACTGCTTTCACTAGGCTGATTTTAGACATATATATGTGTGTGTACATATATATGTATGTATATATGTATGTACGTATATACATATATATGTACACACACATATGTCTAAAATCAGCCTAGTGAAAGCAGTTTTGTTAAAGAGATGGTGATCACTTTGAGTGTGTGGAAGAATATGTGAAAAATGAGGAAAAACAGACATTATAGAAAAGTCTTTAGAAAAAGTTGGTTATAGTATTTACAAAAATGCCTTTAAAAAACTAACAAATATTATAGTAATAATTCAATGTTAACAAAAATATTGCTAGACATCATGGAAAAGATAAATTGAAGTTGTAACCTAATATATAAAATTTTTAAATCCATGAAATATTTTTGTATAGTTGTCAATAATAGCCACCCTGTCCAAAAAAGATAGAAAAGGTACATCATTCATATTGTATAATCCCACTATACAATGCATATCAGACAAATCTTTTAGCAAAGTTACAAAAGCCTAATATATTTAAAAATAAAATTAATTATATGTTAGAAGACTTACGGTTAGAGTATCCGAAAGGACAATAGTTTTAGAGAAGAATATGGTTAAGAACCTTCATATTAATAGACCTCAGAACTAGCTGTTTAAAAGACAGGTCTATTCTAATAAAGATACCACTTTCAACTGGTGCCTGGTCAATGTCTAATCACATATTTTAATAGCTACTTAGTGAGTAAAATAATACAAAATGTCTTGTGAGATTTGGGAATCGGTCGTTGTAGTAAATGAAAAACTTGCACTTCATTACATTTCACTGAAATGAAATGGCATTTAGAAAACCTGTCAAAATTAATATAAAAGGCATTGCCTTGTTCCAGTTATGATTTTGCTTGATAAAAATTTAATCCTTATAATCAAAGTTATTTTTACCCAAATCATTCAAACAAGTTATTTTGAGCAATGAAACATCACATACTTGCTAATAGTAACTATGACAGTTTAAAAGATGAGTGTCTAAGTACTCCTTCCCAATCAGGCAATGAAACCAAAGAGGAAAATTGAGGTGAAACCTTGTCTATCAAAGCCATTATATTTTAAATACAACATAAAACATCTAACGAGGAATTTATCATCTGAAAACTTGTATTATAAACTTTCTTGTCTCTCCACTCAATGTTTACTGTGTGAATCAAGAGTTTAGAATTCTTTAGATGCAATTAGCATATGACTTTACCTACAGTTTTTACCAGGTTAAACCTTGTCTGTCTCCCATAACATCTTGCATAAGCATTAGTGCAAAGGGGAGCCTTTTAGTATCCAAAATTATTTAAACTAATAACCTCTCACTCATTGACCAAAGACTCTAATTTACAATAAATATAAATCAATACCTACATAAACCAGAAGTAAAATTCTAACCACCCCACCAGCCATCTGAATGGACCCCTTCTCTTGCCCAAGAAAATTCCAAAGTTAATTTGAAAAATATAACTGTTGGATACTGGGCTTACTACCTGGGTGATGAAATAATATGTACAACAAACTTCGGTGACACATGTTTATCTATGTAACAAACCTTCACATGTACCCCTAAACCTAAAATAAAATTTAAAAAAAGAAAAAGAAGAAACGAATTCAGGCCATGAGGGAAGCAGATATTGGACATGCTTCATTATAACCGCTTCCCTTTGGGAATTCAGGAAAAGTCGACCAGCATTAACATCAACAAAGGTCTCAAGTCTGATAAACATCTACAATTCATTCTCTCTGAAGCCTGTTACTTGGAGGCTTCATCTGCACGATAAAACCTTGGTCTCCACAACCCTTTATCATAACCCAGACATTCCATTCTATTGATAATAACTCAATCAATTGTCAATCAGAAAAATTTAACTCTACCTATGACCCAGAAGCCCTCACTTTTGAGTTGTCCTGCCCTTCCAGATAAAACCAATGCAAATCTTACATGTATTGATTGATGCATTGTGTGTAAAAGCAAAAGCTGTATCCTGACCACCTTGGACACATGTCGTCTGGACCTCCTGAGGCTATAGCATAAAGCCATCCTTAACTTTGGCAAATAAATTTTCTAAATTGGTTGAGACCTGTCTCTGAAAATTTTGGGTTCACACCTATACTGTGTTTATTAGCTCATTAGTATATTTGGGCTATAACTTTATTTGTAAAAACCATACATTCTACCCATAGCAATTGTGTCAAATTTGAAAATGTTCCTCTCATAGTTTCTTATACAAGGAGCATAATTAATGGCCTAGCTACTGTGCTCAAATCCATGACTGCCTTCACATCAAGGTCATGCTTTGCATGAACTGTTCTCTAACCAGTGATTGAGCAGACCACGTAAGGAAGGCAAACCCTTTCCTGTAAAACAGAAGATTCCTCGAACATGGAACTTTGGCTCAAGGACTCTCCATAGCCTTGCCAATATTTTATTAGAACTATCCTACAACCTACAATCCCACTTTCCTGCATAGAAGTCTGACCAGCATCGTGGTCTGACAGCTAATGTAGCCTACTCTACTTCCCTCCTTGTTTCATTTCCTAGGGCAATACCCCAATATATTTCTTGCAAGTTTAATTCCATCTTGGTGTATGCTTCTCGAAGGACCTGTACTGATGTTGCACTTGTGATTTAGAATAGCATCGTGAACATTTTTGTAACTTAGAATCTTAGACCTACAAATCTTTTTAGAGATTATTCCATTTTACACAGGCAAGGAGAAAAAAAGAAGCCTGGAGAGGGTGAATAAATTTTCCAAGTATGTATAGTTATTGAGAAAATCCAGGACTAACTGTACTAATTGACTCTTTTTTTTTTTTTTTTTTTTTTTGAGACGGAGTCTCGCTCTGTCGCCCAGGCTGGAGTGCAGTGGCGGGATCTCGGCTCACTGCAAGCTCCGCCTCCCGGGTTCACGCCATTCTCCTGCCTCAGCCTCCCAAGTAGCTGGGACTACAGGCGCCCGCCACTACGCCCGGCTAATTTTTTGTATTTTTAGTAGAGACGGGGTTTCACCGTTTTAGCCGGGATGGTCTCGATCTCCTGACCTCGTGATCCGCCCGCCTCGGCCTCCCAAAGTGCTGGGATTACAGGCGTGAGCCACCGCGCCCGGCCACTAATTGACTCTTTATTTTATTTCAAATCTGGTAACAACCTACTACTGGAAGGGAAAGATAAATTGTGTCCTAAAGCTAAGAGTGATGTCCATGTCATCTCTGGAAAGAAAACCCACTGTCATTATTATAGCATTAGGGATTGCTTTAAGCATTCCTGTAACCAGGTTACTAAGATGTCATTGCCCAAAGGACTTCATGAAGAAACTCCATGGAGACTTTTCTTAGGGACTCTATTCCTTCTCACTTAGACCCTAAATAATGGAACCTTATTTTGTCTTAACACCCTGAATGTATTCGTCACAAGAACTGTTTTACTTCAACACACTCATTTAAATACAATCATTAAATGTAACATTTACTCATAAAGGCAGTTTTCAAATGAATACTTTTATTACTTCCCATAAATAAATATTGTAATAAAACCAACATTAGACTTCTAAAAACAATTACACCACTACAAACCTGCCTATATCGACATTCATTCACTATTTCCTCCTTGACTCCAACAAAAAAATAAGAAGCTGACTTCACCTTAACTGTTTTTCCCTCTGGTGTTCAATATTCATTTTAAAGTCTAATCCTCCTTTCAAAGACAAAACTCAACAGAACAAAGACAGAAATAACTCAGTTTTCTGGAAACTAGCTACTTTTCTCTATGATATACGCTGTCTTATTTTCAACAGTCTTCAGAGGAACACATTTTTATGTGTTTTACAAAGCCCTTCACTCAGTTTTATTCATGAGAATTGCAAAAAAAATCCATTTAATTAAAATATCCATGCTTTCTGGATAAGAACCATATATTGTGTAAAATAAAATTAGAATATATATATATGTATACATATATGTGTATATATATATACATATATATATGTATATATATATACATATATATATATGTATATATATATATATATATGATACGTGTCAAAGAATATCACTAATGTCCCATAATAAGAATAGGTAAGTTTGCTTATAATAAGAGGACTAAATTTTATCCTGCAAAAACTAACTTCTTTTTTTGAAGTTTAACTTAATTGCCAATCATTTCTTAGATATAAAATGGAAAAATAAGGAACCACTGAAAGGAGCCATAATATTACATGAAACATAGTATACATTCTGCCAAACTATAATACTTTAAATAAATACATAATTATAAAAAGAAATTATAGTTCTTAGGGCTAATATGCAGGTTAGTAAGTTTGAACCTAGAAATGGCTGTAAATAATACTAAATGCATAACTTTGCACTAAATTGAAAACACATATCCATCTAATATTTTCCTAATAATTTTGCCTAACTTTTCCCTAATAAGCTCCTTCCTAATTTTTTATTTAATAGAAAACAAAGGAACATATGGGTTACTGAGCATTTACTGGGTATCACACACTGAAGTGTGGCTATAGGTTATTTAGCTTAATTCACACAAATGTCCTATGAGATAGATAATATCGTATTCATTAACAGATAAAGAAAACAGTTCTCAAAGAATTTAAATACCTTGGTCAAGTTCATGCAGTTCCTTTCTTGTGGAGTTTAGATTTAAACGCATACATTTCTGACTATATACATATTTGTCCCAATTTAACACTGATTCTAAAATTGCATTCTAATGACGTACTATTGTTCTTCTAAGAGTTCTGAGAATTTTTTTTAATTTTATGCTTTATATAATATAAAACTCTTTAAGCATATTCTGAATCATGGAAATGACCACCAAATACCTTAGTCCTGATACATTAATCTAGTCCTTGTGTTTGCACCTGTGTTCATGATCACAGTGAGCCAGCTGATTCTAGATCACGTATCTTAGCTAAACTGAAAATAACGTAACAGCATTTAGTGGTCAAGTGATCATTTCACATCAGGAAAACATTAAGTGAGTAATGTTAAATTTGCAGGAGAAGAAAGACACCTGTTCATCATAAGAAACAACTACAAGAATGATGACAGCAATTTTCACGTTTGATAGAGGAATTTATTATTATTATGAAATTCATCCATGCTGTGTATTAATAGTTAATTCTTTTTTTATTGCTGATTTGTATTTCATTGTATGAATATGTTGGTGGTGGCGAATCTGTAGGTGTCTGCAACAACTTCAATTCTTACCTCCTCAAAAGAAAGAATTCGACTGAGGGGCATATGGCAGACAAAGAGACCGACCACAGCAAGTTTTAGAGCTGGAGAGAGCGTTTAGTTAAAAACTTTAGCAAGGCGCGGTGGCTCCTCACACCTGTAATCCCAGCACTTTGGGAGGGTGAGGCGGGTGGATCACTTGAAGTCAGGACTTTGAGACCAGCCTGGACAACGTGGTGAAACCCTGTTTCTACTAAAACAAACAAACAAACAAACAAACAAAAAACAACATTAGCTGGACATGGTGGCTCACACCTGAAATCTCAGCTACTTGGAAGGCTGAGGCAGGAGAATCGCTTGAACCTGGGAAGCAGAAGTTGCAGTGAGTTGAGATCGCACCACTGCACTTCAGCCTAGGCAACAGAGCAAATCTCTGTCTAAAAAAAAAAAAGCTTTAGAATGTAAAGAAAGCACATACACTTGGAAGAGGGCCAAGTGGTCAAGTTGAAAATTAAATGCGTGGCTTGACCTTTTGACTTGGGGTTTTATGAGTTGGTATACTTCTGGGGTCTTGCTTCCCTTCTTCCCTGATTCTTCCCTTGGGGCCAGCTGCTCACATGCACAGTGGCCTGCTAGCACTTAGGAGGTGAGCATGCACAGAGTGTTGAGTGGAGCTCACTTGAGGTCTTCTTTCCCTTTACCCGCAGAATGTCCCTGGGAGGTCATACACCAGTTGATCTCTGCCATTTTGCCTCTTAATACACTTGCTGGAGCCCACTCACCCAACTACAGAGATCTTATCAGGAAGCTGCTGATCACCAGCTTCAGGTGTTTCTAATCTCTTGGGAAACTGCCTTTCCCTGGCACGGGCTGCAAACAATTATCATTCTAGAGAGACAGTGTAACAACTGGCTGACCATCGCCTGATGGTCAGCTGACATTCCTGGTGTGGTGGGGTGGGGCCCTCTCCCTGCCCTGCTCATGCCTGACTAGCTGCCTACTGTACCGAATATACTACTTTGTTTATTCATTCATTTAATGGTGGGCATTTGGATTGTTTAAAGTTTAGAATTATTACAAACAAAGCTACTATGAACATTAATATATGAGTCTTGGTGTGGAAATGATGCTTTGTTCAGATCTTACTGATTGCCTTTACAGTAAGCTTGGGGAAACGCCTTTTTTCCCCCATATGATGTTCTGTGCTTTCAGTCTCATTTTCCTAGATAAAGTCATTCTTCAATGGTGTCATTTTCTCCTCTTGGAGACATTTCAAAATGTTGAACACTAGTGTACAAAGCTCTAGAGACAAGCCTATTGCCCATTTTCTTTTCATTCCCAGATCTAGGAAACTCTCTATTCTGATGGAAAACAGGCAAACAAACCTTCCAAGCTACTCTGTTTCTATGCGACGCCTGTCTTTCTCAAAGAGAGGCTTTGGGAAACAAAACAAAACAAAAGCGTCACCTGTGGGTGAGGACTACAGACGAGGCTACCAGTTTGAAGAGAACAGAAGACAAATAAAAAGAAAGAAAAAAAAACTGTAGAAATTTATGTCAAATATTAATTTGGCAATATTGGAGTAGAAGTTTTAAGAACAAGCAGTTTGTACCTAGTTTTATATGTGAGCTTTGGTTTGTTTTTTCAGTTAGAAGCAATTCATCAATTACTTTTAAATTTATTAAAATTTAAATTTATTTAAGAATCATCTCAAAGTATTACAGGAATTCTAATGGTTATAATTCTTACGTTCTTTTTTTTTTTTTTTTTTTTTTTTTTTGAGACCGAGTCTCGCTTTATCACCAGGCTGGAGTGCAGTGGCGTGATCTCAGCTCACTGCAACCTCCTACTCCCTGGTTCGAGCGATTCTCCTGCCTCAGCCTCCCGAGTAGCTGGGATTACAGGCATGCACCACCATGCTCAGCTAATTTTTTTTTTATTTTTAGTAGAGATGGGGGTTTCACCATGTTGCCCAGGATGGTCTTGATCTCCGGACCTCATGATCCGCCCACCTTTGCCTCCCAAAGTGCTGGGATTACAGGCGTGAGCCACAATGCCTGGCCAATTCTTACATTCTTAAGCAAAGCTTTGTCAATCAAGGAATTTATAATCTGGGGTTAGTATAAATATATGCCTTGTCTAAGGGTACTTGCAGAGAGATTATAACATATGTATTTCATTGCTTTAATTGATATAGCTCAGGATAGTGTGAGTCAGTGCTTTTAGCTGATTAACAACAAGGAAATGCTACGCCGTCTGAAGATAGTCTTGTGAGTTCCAGGCTATTATGATATGGCCGTTCTTGTATCTTTAGTATTACCTCCTGGACTTGCTCCGGAATAAGTGGTCATTCCTGAAAGCGGAAGAATAAATTCATTTTTTCACTTTTCAAGGTTTTAAAATATACTTTTGTATGTCTGTTATTTGACTTGGAAATTGTCTCTCTTACTTAAATTTGCTAATAAACAGGGCAGAAAGGATAATTTTGACCTTTTAAATAAATCATATGGTAATTTGGAGCTGGGGATTATCCCTTATAGAAGCAAAATGTCTTATCTGGGATACCATCTTCCTTCCTTCTCATCCGGATTCCAATTTGCAGAGAGTTTTAAGCTTTCGGCTTTCCTCCGATCCTCTGTGTTCTTTTATCCCTATTTCTCATGGTGATGCCAAGCTGCATAGCAGGTGGTTTATGTAGGCTCAAGACTTTTCAAAAGAGCAGTTATCACATTTTTCAACAGCTCAGGTAGTATGAATTTGCTTTTCTCACAGTACCTTTTTTTTTTTAAATGTACATTTTTGCCAACTGTAAATGGAACTCAAACCCCTGGGAGTTTGATCTCATTTCTAGGTTTGGAATCTACATTACTCAAGCGTGTTTGAAATATGCACAAATCATTTTCTCTATAGTTCTGGGATGTCCAAGAGGCTCCAAAACAAGATGATTGCCAGGAACAGAGAAGTATCTTAATATTTTATTCCTTAATATTTTATTCCTTCCCATTGTATTAGTCATATCTGTCCCACAGCCTTAGATAATTTTCAGTACCTCAGAATACATGTCATTTTTTTTAATGATTTTCTTTGTTAAATCTATTTTAAAACTCTACTAAAAGAAAACCTAAGGTTATTCCTCTAAATTTTTACACAAAAAAACCTCGCAATGTGTTAACAATAGCATTCTCTATTTCATCCAGTGTTTATTAATTTTTAAAATTATGATTATTTTCAAAAATAAATTGACACATTCAAATATCTTTCATTAAATCTTCACAAACAAATAAGTCTTAAGATAAATACTATTTGTGTTGTCCACAGGACTGGAGAGGTACTATCTGCAAAAATACTTCTCTACATAAAAGCAAAGTCACTGGCAAATATTGCCAAGATCAATGCTTTCAGAATTTTTAAAACTAACCAAAGTATTGCAAAATATTAACGAAAAGCTCACAAAAATCTGGGGATCATTTATTAAAGAAAAGACGACTGAGTCTTACTGAGAGAGAGAGCTTTGCTGGCAGTTTGGTTTGCCCTGTTTCCATCACAGACTCCCCAACTTAGTGGTAGCATTGAAAACCATCAGCCTCCACAATCACAGTGAAATCATCAGCCTTGCAGCCACCTGAAGGGGACAGAACAGGGTTGGAGTCCTTCAAAGCCCCATTCCCAGTTAATTGTCATAATATGACCTGAGGGCAGCTTCCTAGAAAATCCTACTCACAGGCTTCTCTTTATTTGACTTGACTCAGAGCTTAGCCATTGTTTGTGAAGAGCCTTTACCCAGGGGCTTTGGAGAAAATAATCAGTAGCAATTGTTTGGCATCAAGGCTGTCTGAGGCTGTGTGTGTCACCTCTTATTCCATGACCCAGGCGCTAGTTATTTTAAAAATATACGTTTTATTTGTTTTACTTTTATATTCTCCTTTTTAGTTGATCAATATATGTTTTCAAATTATGGATATTATAAAAAAACTTTATAAATAACATTGATTTTATTTGTAATAAAAATGAGGAAATGTGCATGCTTAATGTTTTAATCTTCAAATTATTTTAAAGACTGCTTTTTTATTAAATGTTATAGATGTACTTAATTATTGTTCCATACTTATAATCTTAGTCTTTACATTAACCAGTATTTATGCTATTTTCATTTTACATGTTACCTTTTTCAATAATTACTTTGTTTCTTTTATTTCCTATTAAGTCGTGTCCATCACCAATTAATCTATGCCACAATTTTTTTGCTGTTGAAATCTTTAATGTCATGTACAATTTGGTTACCTGGAGGACTTCCTTGAATTATGAGGTTTTCCATTAATAAGAAAATTTTTTAAACTTTCATATTCTAAAAACAAATACTTTTAACGTAAAGTGTTTTTTCTTTTTTTTTTTTCTTTTTTTGAGACGGAGTCTCACTGTCGTCTGGGCTGGAGTGCAGTGGTGTGATCTCAGCTCACTGCAACCTCTTTCTCCCAGGTTCAAGGGATTATCCTGCCTCGGCCTCCCTAGTAACTGGGATTACAGTTGCCTGTCACCATGTCCAGCTAATTTTTTGTATTTGTAGTAGAGACAGGGTTTCACCATCTTGGCCAGAATGGTCTCAAACTCCTGACCTCATGATTCGCCCGCCTCGGCCTCCCAAAGTGTGGGATTACAGGCGTGAGCCACCGTGCCTGGCCAGTGTAAAGATTTGAAAAGTTAGTATGCACACAGAAAATCCCTAAACATAGGTGTGCCACCAAATTAAATAAACTCATCCATTTAACATCCTTACCTCCTTCCAAAGTAATCACACTACTGAAATCTGAAAGAGAAGATGAACTTTTGTTTATTACTGAGCTTCACTGAAGTGGAGAGAATGTACTCTTTCATATCTGACTGATTTTATTCCATGATGAGTTTACAGGGTTCACCCATGTGTTGCTTTACCATTGTTTCATTCTTACAGCTATGTAGTTTAAGTAAAAGTTTTTCCAATTTGATTTATAGACTTGATGTAATTCGAACCCAAATCTCACGATGGTTTTTGGTAGTTAACAATCTCATTCTAATACTAACAGGATGTATGAAATGAAAATAAAAGGTAATCTTGAAATAAAATCTAGAAAACTTACAATATTTTAACACTTGTGATAAAGCCATGGTATTCATGAATATAAGGTAATAGTTTGAAGACAGCCAGGAGGACCAAAGGAACCCAATAGGGAGTCCAGAAATAGACATCTGATTTTTGCCAAAGATTGCATGATAGCCCGGTGGGGAAAAGATGGCATTTTTAATAAACAATACTGGGTAATGGGTTAAGTGAATATCCACATGCAAAAAAAAAAATTTATCTTTTCACATGGTGAACAGAAACTTACATTTTAAATGTCTAGGACAATCAATAGGCTTTGATATAAATGTGAAATGTAAAACAAAAAAATTGGGGGAGAAAACATAAGAAAATATGATCATAATTTGGGGTAGGTAAATATTTCTAATCCTAATGTATGCAATGATACCTCAGAACTTTATTCTGTATATAATCATTTTAATGAACAACGAATGATTTAATGACAAATGTTTTCCTTCAACCTTAAACTATATTTAATATCTTAGAGAAATCTTAGGTGAGCTTCCTTTTTCAATCTGTTCTTTTTATGTTTGACAACTAAGAGGATTATTTCCTTATGCCCGGATTATAAAACAAAAATCAGCAGTAGCATTTCTCTCAAAATACTGATTAAATCCTATCAATAAAATACTCTATTTCTAATACCCGACAGCAAGAAAAACAAGACAACAAACAATAAGTCATGATAAAACCCAACATTAAATATATAAAATAAAGGGATAAAATATGTGCAGTAAACCATTAAAGCTTTTAGCAAAACAAAAAAAATACAGAAATATCCTTCAAGGAGAGACAAGGCAACATTTTTTGTCTCTCTTTGACTCCCTGGAAACACTTTTGATGAGCTAATATCCCAAAAATGCTCATTACTGTTTCTAAATTTGGAATTTCAGACATAAATATACTTTTACTTTATGTCCTACCTTGCCTAAAGGATTTAAACATGCCTACTAGGATGATATGAATTAAATATGGGATATTAATAAATTTATATTCATTATCTATCCCTAATGAAAGCATAAGTATCAGGAATCCACATTAAATTATTGAATGAAATGCAATTTATTTTAAATTGTACAGACTTATTCCAATAGCAGAAGTATTAATTTTTGTTTTTACATATAATTTCAAAAGAAATAAACAAGATTATAACTGTGTCCAACTGAGTTATCTCTCTCACTGATATTGCATACTTTCAAGACACAAAAAAAGAGATTACCAAATTGTAGTTCAGAAGGAAAGATAGAAATATTTTTTAGGTAAGTCTTCAGGAGAGTCAATAAATATTATTTGACCATATATGTGAATTAATAGAGGAGTCTGACAGAGTTATTCACTTCATTAATAAAAATGTAGAAAGATATAGGAAAAATATAAAATGTATGCAAATATGTCATGGTAAACATGGCAAAATAAAAAGTAAAAATAAGTAAGACATAAAAAAATGAAGAAAACAGACAAGTGAAAAAGATAAGGGAGGTAGGAAAATACGATGAAGAATCCATTCAGGATGAATATGAACCTAAAATAAATTAAATTTTCAAGTGTTTAATGTTGTGAAAATAAATAATATCAAGAATTAAATAAATATTATCTCATAGCTGTATTGTAATAAACATAATAAAAAGATAATTTTAGAGCTAATGAAATTAACAAACGTCCAAAAAACATTTTACAAATAAAAATTAATAGAAATGATAACTGCCAAATAGACATAGCTAAGTTTTAATTACTGAAATAGAGCAAATTTTCAATATAATCTCAGTGAAGGTAGAGAAAAGACAAAACAATTAATGACATTGTGGAAAAGATAATAGTTAATGGAAGACAAAGAAAAGTGAATCAGGGCACAGGTCCTGTTTTTTATGTAACAGACAAAAAATGAAGAAGAAAAAGATTTACATATAAAGCAAATAAAAGTGTCTGGAATGGAAATAATGAATACATCTACATAGATTTAATAGGAATGCCACATATCAAAAAAGAAACAAGAGTAGTTAAGTACTCAACACTTAAACATATTCTGGTTAAAGTATGAAAACTGTAGAATAAAAACATAGCTCCTTAGTGTCTTTATCAGCTCAAGTTGTCATGGCAAAATGCCATAGACTGGGTGGGTTAAACAAAATTGATTTATTTCTTATATCTTTGAAGGCTGAGAAGTTCAAGATCAAGGTGCTGGCAGATTTTGTTTCTAGTGAAGATTTTCTTCCTGGCTTTCAAACAGCCTCCTTGAAGCAATACACGGAAGCAGAGAGAGCCTCTTCCTCTTCTTACCAAGACATAAATCCTATTTGGAAGCCCTTACCCAGGTAACCTCATCTATCCCTAATTAAGTCCCAAAGGCCCCATCACATTGTGAATTAGGGCTTCAACATATGAATTTTGGGTGGGGACGGGAGAACAGAAGGACACAATTCAGCTCATAGCATTCAGTTACTCAGGCAGAAAAAGGGGTTATCTACTAGGGAGGAAACACTCAGGTTGGCTTTTGATGTGTTCAAGGTAAAAATCCAGTATCTCAAGACATGAAGCAAAGTTTCTATACTTCAATTTAAAGTGAGAATTGAGAAAATGCTATAGCTCAGTTATTATTAGAACATAAACACAGGAGCAAAACATTCATAGAAATACAAAAACCTGGAATTTGGGTTTGGTGGATGCTCCATTTTGTGGTATCAATTTTTCTTCATTTGCTCCTATTTGTTTCATGTTGGCTGACTATTTGGTGGGAATATTTCAGATTTTAAAAAAAGAGATGTGTCCAGAGAACTCGGAATGATGAGGGTGTGCTGCAATGATACTTGCAGAAGAAATGAGAAACACAGCCCACGTCAAGTTCACATAGATTTTCTTCTGTTTTCTTCTAGAAGTTTTATCATTTCTAAATGCATACTACACTTAGATATAGATCTATTTTGAGTTACTTTTTTTGTATAATGTGTGAGTTCTGTGTCCAGGTAAATTGTTTTGCATATGAGCATCCAATTGTTCCAGCATCATTGTTTGAAAGGACTACCCTCTATTGCCTTGCCTATGTGCCTTTGTCAAAAATCAGTTGATTACATTTGTGAAGGTGTATTTATGGGCTGCATGTTCTGTTCCATCTATCTATGTGCTATCATTTTGACAATATCGTCTTGTGTGATTACTGTAACCTTTACACCAAGTCTTAAAATTAGGTAGTTCAAGTCCTCCAACTTCATTCATCTTCTTCAATATTGCATTGGTTGTTCCAGGTTTTTTGACTTTCAACATACAGTTTTTAATCAGGTTGCCAACAGTAAAAAATCCTGGCTTTTGTTTTGTTTACCAGGATTTTTAATGGGTTGTATCATAGTATCCTTTTTACAAGGATGTGTGTGTTGAATCCTTTCCAGAGCTCATTGCCAAGAGTAAATTTTGCTTCTTTTCAGGACATGGAATGTCTTTCAATAAAAGCTATGCAGGATAAGTTAACTCCTTTTTAATATTGGCATCAAGGAAGCAAATAAATTAATCATATTTAGAAATAAATGTCATTTATTATTTTTGTATAGTTGTTAATTTGATTTTTATTTTAACACTCAAACCTGCATACAGATTTAAAGGTATATATTCGTATATATTGCAGGCCTATTAGTAGTAGGTAAAATATAAATTGTAACTAAAACTAGAACCTGGATAAACATAAATGTGCAAAGATAGAATAAAAATAGAAATTTAAATCAAAATATCAATTAAAATGTTATCACATTTTGGTTCAGTGAAATCTTATATTTTGCATCAATTTGCTCTTCATGTTAAAAATAATAGTTACTCAATGAGAACACATGGATACGGGAATGGGAAAAACATACACTGGGGCCTGTAGGCGGGTGGAGTGGGGGAAGGAGAGCATTAGGAAAAATAGCTCATGCATGCTGGGCTTAATACCTAGGTGATGGGTTGATAGGTGCAGCAAACTTCCATGGCATACATTTACCTGTGTAACAAACCTGTACATTCTGCACAAGTACCCCGAAACTTAAATTTAAAAAAATAATAATAACAGTTACTCTTTCATATAGTTTGCTTTACTTTTGTTTCAAGTGATTCTCTAATAGAACTGGAGCACATGACATAAGTAAATGCAAACTCCATTATATTCCTCAAAAGAAGAGTGTAAGAGCAAGATCATTTGCAATATTTTCAGTTAGTGGAGATGAAGGTTTTATTACAGCTAGAATTCAAATTTATAATTTAAAAAAATCTTTGGAAATGCATTGAGGCATTATCGTGGAAAAAAATACAATGAGCCCCAATTTACTTAGATTTTTTGAGTAGATGAACATTTGCAGAACAGAGAATGTGAAGATGGATTAACAACACTACAGTTATACTATTTCTCCACGTTGTACACAGAACTTCCCTAGTATAGTGGTTTCTCTTAGAACTCAATGGCAGAAAGGTCTACTCTGTTTTTAAATGGTTAAACTACTTTCTCTGGTATACCTTTTGTAGTTCATGAAAAATATATTACATAGGATGCTGGCTCTTTCCTTTGTACATAAATAGCACTTGTCATCAATGCCCTTCAGCAAGAACAAACAACAACTGTTGAAAAAGAAGTGTGCTTAAGAGATATTACGTATATAAAAGAGTCTTAAAACTAAGAGTAGAACACAGAAATCTTACAAAGTTTTTTACTTTGTTCATAAAGTATATTACTCTTTTTTTTGTACTCAAATGTGTTTGTGGCCTTGTCACAAAACTAAAATAGTAACTCCAAAAATGGTTTACCCCCAGAATCCATTTGTAAGTTCAAAATATCATCCACCGATTATCTCCAGGAATCTCACCTACACCTCATGTTTAGTGAGTGAACTTATAATTACTCTTTAAGGCCCACATTGAACCTTTGGGAAGGGTTCCTGCTAAACTCTAAGTACATTTGAGATTCTAGTGTGCTGCACTTTTAAATTATACACTTCTACATTGCCATCTAGCTCTAGACTCTAAGCAGTTTGATAAAAGTGTACATATGATCAGCATCTTTTTTTTTAACCAAAACAAACATATTACTTATCACTACAAAGTAGTAAAAGGTATGAGGACACAAGGTGTTTTGTTACTTGTGTGGCTTCTGGACCATGCAGATCATTAAACTGAAATAAGAATTCTCATATATAAAATTTGAAATAAAAGTTCTCATTTATAAAATTATCTATATAGTTACATTTTCCACATCTACTACATAAAGTACTTTGACCTTACTTCAAATTCCAGTCTATTGATTTGTCTCCTGAAATAATTTTTAGTCATTAATATTCTCCTTTCTTTATTGTATTAGTTTGTTCTCACACTGCTAATAAAGACATACCCAGGACTGGGTAATTTATAAAGGAAAGAGGTTTAATGGACTCACAGTTCCACATGACTGGGAAGGCCTCACAATTATGGTGGAAGGCAAATGAGGAGCAAAGTCACATCTTACATGGCAGCAGGCAAGAGAGCTAGTGCAGGGGAACTCCCATTTATAAAACCATCAAATCTCACTAGACTTATTCACTACCATGAGAACAGTATGGGGAAAACCACCCCCATGATTCAATTATCTCCACCTGGCCCCACCCTTTACATGTAGGGATTATTACAATTCAGGGTGAGATTTGGGTGAAGACTCAGCCAAACCATAACATCTACCTTCTTTCCTTTCTGGAATGATTCATGGTTTTTTATTCAATTATCTCCTATTAATGTCCTAAAATTTCCTGCCTCTTGGTCTTTGTTCCTAACTGGGTCAGCTCAGATCTTCCACAAAGCAGAAGCTGAGCCTGAATTGGAATTAGATGTAAGAGGGCTCCTCAGGGTGAAGAAAAATGGGGGTGGCCACAGGCAGGGAAATTCTCTATGCCAAGGTGCTCTTGTGATGCCTGTGGGAGGAGAAAGCAAAGGAAGGAGAGAGCAGAAAACAAAGACTCAGGATCAGGGCAGCTTTGACAAAACCTGGGCCCAGGCAGGCCAACAAGAAATCCCAAACCAAAGATTGCTGTAAGAGTGACTCCCATGGGCAGCCCGGCCCAGCTCCAGTGACTTCGCCACGTTCTGTCATGGCCTTGGCATAAAGGCTGTGCTGAATCCCAAAGGTGCCTCAGCAGAAGGTGGGCACCCACACTGTTCGCCATAGATTGTTCTGAAGAGATCTGAGTACTGGATCTCTACAGCTGCTCCCATCCACCCCTCCCCACCAGACCTGATGCCCCACCCACTTGCAAAAGAACACACCCTTCATAGTTCCTGTGGGTCCCTCTTCATAGTTCCTATGGGTCTCTTCATAGCGTAAAATAAAGAAGAGAGAGACTATTGGGACAAAATTCAGTTTCCCTCAGTGTCGCAAACCATATTCAATATCTCCCTCCTCCATGACATATTTTTAACTCCCTTCACCCTTGCTATTAGCTCTTGGTGACTTCCCAGGTAGAGTGACCCAAATTTGGGCTTTCTACACATGTTAATTGAGTTAAAATTGGTTAGGGAGAAACTGAACTGACTAAGTGAACCAGCTACTTAGATTTCCAAATGCATGCCTCACGCCCTTGGAGTCCCAGTGTCCAGGAGGCAACCAGAGCTGTCCTTGAGTAGACCACTTGCCTGTCCACTGATGAGGAAGTACCCTCATGTGGTCCCTCATGGGGAACCACAATTCTTAACCCTGTAGAGTCCAGAGTTAGACGGACAGGAAGCACAAGGCGTGGAAGTGATGGCGAGTGAGCTACCACACCCCACACCTTGGTTCCTTGGGTTCCATGGGTTTTGGCTTCCAAACCCAAGTATTTTTATTATGGAAAATCAATATGTATTCCATTAGATGCATGGGGAATCCAGAATTTTTTAAATTATATTAAAACTGAGTGCATAGAAGTTAATATAGCTCAGGGGAATGTGATTAAACCTAAGTTGGTCCTGTCCACTAGCTTGGGGTACCAGAAGTCACAAATCGTTGCTGGATAGAAACGTCTTCTACTTATTTATCCAAGATTTTCACAAATTAAGAGAAAATCAATACAAATTTCTAATTTATTATAAATCAAGTATGAAACAAGCTTACAGTGTGTGAGAGTCAGTAGAAAAAACAAACAATATATTTTAATTATAGAACATATCAAGGACAATACAAATGGGCTTTGTTAGAGATAGACTATGAAATAACTACCTATGCAATATTCAAAAGCTTAAATTACAAATAAAAAAGAGATTATGAAAATGGTGTTGTATATTTCACATTCACTAATGATCCCCACAATTACTGATGCTCTTTCTCTGTTCTCTTCTATTTTATTTCTGGAAGACCCAATTAACTAGATTTTTATTTGGTATTGAGTCTCTGTGGTATCCTTGACAGCGAACTACAGAAGATTTTTTTTTTCTCTGAATGTACATGAATCTAGTTTCATTTCTTTCCATCCCTAAAATAAAAATTTACTACATATGTGTTACTTTCTTTCTTTCTCTTTCTCAGCCTTAGGTAAAATATTTTTGAATGTGTAATGAGCCCTTTTTCCCCTTTTATCCTCTGTTAAGGCTAGCAATAAGCATCTTTATAAAACTCTCTAGGTTAATAAAGATAACAATAATCAAATCTTCTGAATTAAAAAAAGAACAAAATGGAAAAAAATGAACACCACATATAAATGGGAGGAAGAAAATGAATAAATAAGTACTATAACTCATAGTGGAGCATGTAAATAAAGACACTAAACTACTGGGTGCAGAAAAGGTATGAGCATTTAAAAATTAACATTATTGAGACGGTGATTGTTAGAAGTTATGAAATAATCTTGGTTTAGTTGTCTAGTATATTTTTTGTCTAATTAGTATATCTTAAGCTCTTGTCATCTCAAGATGTTTCTAGACTATAGTGCCTGATATCGAGCTATCCTTCTATAATTTTTCACAGAAAAGGTATGCTTTCAAGAGGTTATGTCAAAAATTTATTTTTGGCATAAAACCAGATATTAGTAATTATATGGTATGGGATAACTCTTGACCTCAGATAATCAATTGCACAAGTTCTATTATGATCTTACAACCTTAAGTCCACTGAAATTACTGTAATTAATGTACAAAAATATTCATATAAATGTATTCATATTGTGGTATGATGGCTTCTGAATAAACTTGAGATACCTGAAGCTAGTTTACCTGACTCTTTTCAGGTTTACCTCTATATTTCAAACAAACTAGAAAAGATGCATGTTTATTGAGAGGGCATGGATAAAATAGAAGCATGTGGAAATGGGTTATTCATTTATCTAGAGTTTTACTCCTGGCTACAAAATAGGATACTCATATGGTCCTGGTGCTCTTTGAGACTGAATGTAGAGAGTGATGGATTATGGTGTTAATGACTTATCTTCTGCTATTACTTGGCTGTGCTGGGCATGCATTTTCTGCGATAGCTGAAAAAAAAAAGCCAGGGGTTAAGGGGAAGTGGAATAAAGCTGATTTCAACTCAAACATCATCAGAACAATAAAAGCTTGACCCACTTTGTGCAACACATAGGCCTTCTCTAAAAACAAACTCAGCTTTCTCCCACTCCTAGGACCACCACCAAACTCCTGTGTTGAAAACACCAATTACTTCTTGACAGTTCCATTGCTCCTGAAGTTGTTACATCAAAAGAACCTTTCTATCATAGGCTTATTCCTGCCTAAGAGCCAGGCATCATGTTAAAACCTAATTCTTATTGGCTCAGCTACTTTTTCTTACATGGGAAGTCAAAGTTTGGTAATATGTATAAAAGTATTTCTCTGTTCACATGATAATAATCAGCACACATTTACATTGTATTATTGTACTCTATATCTAATTGTAATCACATGTATTTTCATTTTCTCTGAAAAAGAAATTTTATTTTAGTATTTTATAGTAAATTGTACATACTTTGACTGAAACCTGCTTTACTATTTTTATTTATCAAAAAGAACTAAAGAAGGCTGATAGAGAAGAAAACAATTTTTAAATCTAATATATACCCTTAAATATAAAGAAATATTTAAATACATCAAAAGAAGCACTTACATTTTCTTTCCAGATACTTTGAAAAACTCTTTTTTCTTTATTATTACCAAACATTAAGTGCTATTTGTTCAAATGACAATGTCTAATTTGGGAATATTAAAAAGTAAAATAAAACAATAACATACCGGAAAGTACTAGCACAGCTGGAAAATGTCACTGTTATTCTCCTTTGCAAAACAGCCTTTTCATATTTCCTGTGGATATGCTATGATTGTTGCATCTGTAATGCTAACCAACCATTTAATAACACATCACAGGAAAATGTAAGCCTCGTACTAGGCTAAATATGGGTTGAAATTGTTACTATGAAACCACGTACTTAACAATGGACTCAAAGCTAGAAACAATCAGGAACACGAGGACATACTAAAAAGGAATAAATAAAAATGAAAAATAACAAGATAATTATTTTCTCAATTTCTAAGAAGAGTATTGATGAAAAATAAAAGGCCATATTATTGACTATTCACATCATAAAATTATAGCAGATTAAAAAATGAAAGCTCCTTGCTAATAGAGATCAAATTCTATGGGGATATACACACTTACGTATTTACATGTGTGTATGTTTGTGTGTGTTTGTGTGTGTTGTGTGCGTGTCTGTATTCTTTCTTAGGTGATGCTTTTAGATTAACATAAAAATTTTTTTTGTACTACCACAAAGGGCTTCGCTGTCAGACTCACATAAAACTAGTCTTATTAGATAACAAAATTTACTCATGAAGGTTAAGACAGTGAAGCAATAAACGCTGAGTTCACTGGCTGTAGCTTTCTGAAGTCTCTTTTTCTGAGTGAGAAGATAAATCACATAATGCAGAGATGGATACAAGGAAGCCACTTAGTTTTGGGGTCCTTTTTTTGTAACTTGACAGCCATATTGCTATAAATTCCATATAATATGTTCTTTCTTCTGACAATTGTACCTCATAAATCCAGACATTTCAAATTTATTTATAATAATCAATCCAGATTGAACAGGAATGACTTTCCTAAAGCATTTTTAAATGAGTACAGACCAGCACATAAACTCCTCACAGTTATATTCCAGCCAGTGAATTCCAACTGCATGTTTCCAGGAGATCTGGTTAGGGTCTGTGAACGCAAGTTCTCTTAAAAGGAATTTGGAGGAAAGACTTTACTCCAGTGTGGAAGAAAGACATTACTCCAGTGAGCAGTTTGCAAACCAGGGAGATGCAGGCTCTGGTGTAAAACAAAGATGCTGTCTAGAGAACAAAATGAAGACAAATTTTACAGCAAACATTTCCTTCCAGGTTCCCAGTCAGGTCTGTTTATGCAAATGGAGGATGGAAACTTGCTTAGTTCTGATTGGTTTACACAGATGAGTTCTGATTGGTCAATACAGCTGATCTCTGATGGGCTGAGGCAGGTGAGCTATGATTGGTTGGTTCAGGAGAGCTATGAAAGTTCCAAAGATTAAAAGGTATGGGTTTTCAGGGACCTCAGAGTACATGCGTGACCCTCTAGTCAGCAAATGGTCACTTGGCTCTACAATGGCCGCTGGGCTCTGAGAGGTCACTCAGTATTCATCTTGAAGGGTTGATTCTTTCAGATTCACAGGTTATAAAAGAGCACAGGCATATCTGAACCAGTATTTTACAGACCCACTGCCAACCCTTCCCTTCCCATATTTCAAGGTAAATTAGTGTCACAAACTTATCGCAACAATGAGGTTTTATATTAAATCTAAAGCAAATTTACAACTTACCATGTTATTTATTTTAAGGTTGAGTGGTTGGACATATAATCACAGGAATAATCAAAGTCCAAATGTGATTCATAAAAATTTTCTCTATGAAATTTGGATTTCTAACTCAGCCATTTAAAAAAAAGAAAGAAAAAAATGGTAAGAAATATTTAGCTAAAATAATACTCTACATGTAGCAGAAAATCTTATGGTTAATATATAAATGTGGCTATTTGAGACTTTGAATGTATGTTTCTATTGCAGCAAATACAGGAAATTATCCACAAGTCCTTCCTCTTCACACAACAAACAATATTTCTACTAAAATACATAAAAGAACAGTATTTCATCTGTAACAGAAAAACCAAACTAAGGTCTCCTTATATTTGGCAAGGAAAACATTCTTTGGGTGTTAACCTTGGCTCTTGACACTTGACAACTTCCTACAGATGTCATCCATGTAGAAGGTGATTGAGTTAATTAGTTGCAAAAAGAAGGGAAAATTAAATTAAGCAGAGTTGAAATATTAATCAAAGGTATACTAAAAAGTTGGTATGTTAGTGTTATCCACTCTATATAGATATGTTCAGGTGATGTTTTTTCATATACCATTGACTTTTTTTGTGTTTGTTTACTCTGCCATGTTCCAGGATGCCAGGATGCAATATTCTTTCAGGCTTCTTGATAACACTAGTTCTAATTATTCAGTAATCTAAAAAATTATCCATAGTAGAAGCATATATGCTTTATTTGGGGTTGAAGGGTTGGACATATATGCTTTTCTGTGGATAATTATATTTATTTGGGTACATTGAAAGTATTTAACACAAATTAGTGTATAGTACTAGCAAGTGAAGCGGATCTTCATTGTTCAGTCACATTTTAAATTTAGAAGTGATAGGTGAAATTAATCTTTATTAGTTTGAAATATAATTCTTGTTGTAAATAGAAAATAATTGTTTTAATTTTACATTAAGTCTTTTGAAAAGAGCACCTTCAATTCTGGAAAAAAAAGCTTCAGCACTAATTTTTTTCTTAGCTAACCACCTCTTAATCTTATTGGTACAGCTTTCTTATAAATATGTTAATTTAATTAATAATGCTATCATCATTTTTGCTTGCTGGGAGTAGAATGTGTCCTTTTAGTCAGCTTTGCAACATATCTGCTTGGTGATATTTTTAATCTTCCAGTTTAATTCTCAGGGAATAATTGTATCTCCCTTTATTCATTTATATTTTTAAAAAGTAAACTACCAAATACACATGTCAATTTTGATGAAGGAAACCCACATGCTGCTAAAATCTAGATCAGTGCTTCTAAAGCAAAAGTGATTCAGCTTCCCAAAGATATTGGTAATGTCTGGAGAGTCTGGCTGTCACACTGGGGATGGGAGGCGGTCGTATGCTGCTTACGTCTAGTGGATAGGGCCCAGGGATGCAGTTAAACATCTTAAAACACACAGCAAAGTCCCTCACGTGAAAGAATTACCCAGTCCAAGCTAACAATAGTGTTGAGGTTAAGTTATACTAATGCAAATAAGGGAAGGCAGGCTACTTTAGACAACATAGAAGAAGACCTCTCTGAGGACGTGATAAATGCAAAAGATGAATAGCAATAATAGCATGAAATGAACTTGGATGTCTAAAAGATAAGATCATCCAGGGCCTCGGCTATGCTGAAAATTCTCATTTAAATCTAATGGGAATTGGAAATCCTTGAAGGGTTTTAAAGCGTGAAGTAATATGATTAAGTTTACATTTTTAAAGTCTTGCAATATGGACTATGGTTGTAATGTAACAAGAGCTAAAACAAAGCCAGAGCTTATCCTAATAATAAACTATGTGATTCATGTAGGTATCTTGACATACAGCAGTGGTGTAGACATGAAACAAAGTGGAAATTGTTATAAATATTTATAAGGAAAACAACAAGATTTAGCAATAGATTTGAATATAATGTTTAGAGAAAAAAAATTAAGAATCACCTCCTAGGTTTTTGTTTATTTAATGAATTTGAAAAAAAAATTGAAAAGAAGACATAGTGCCTTTTATTGAGTTGGAGCACAATGGGGGAGAAGAGGTATAAGGAGATGTACTTAAAGCAAGTTATATTGGCAATGCTTATCAAATATAGAAGGTAAATTTTGAAAAGACAGTGGAAAATGCTAGTCTGAATCTCAGAGAAGAAATTGGTCCTGGAGAACTTTCTAGAACATGGACAACATGTTTCAAATGTAAGAATGGATGTGATCACATAAGACAAAGTCAGAAGAAAAAGAGATGTCTGTAATGGAGCCCTTAGAATTGTTAGCATTTATAGTCTGTAGAGAAAATTAAAGTAGAGAAAGTTCCGAGCATTGAAACAATATCCAGGAAACTGTGGCCTCCAAAGTAATCAAACAAACAAATAAAATGAGAATTTTGTGAAATAGAGTGGTAGGCCTTGTGAAGTATTGTTGAGGGCCTAAGTAAATATAAGACTCATTCCACAGAAAAAAAAATAAGTATGTGTTGCATTTGAAAATGGAATAACAATAGAAATTGTTAATAACTTTGGCATGAAACATTTTGGTCAGCAATGACAGAAACCAAACATGATTGGAGCAATGTGGTCTCCAAGCAATTTTATTATTGAGATAAATTTTTGAAAACTAGGAGACTATAAAAAGATTATTACCTAATAGGTTGTTGCAGATAGAAATGTTCAAAAGAGAGAAAAACTTTGCTGTTACAGAATATATATATATAGTAACAATCTATGAATTCCTAGAGCACTTGAAGTATTCTGTTTGAGACCAGTTCAGACTGGAAGGACATGATCTTGAGAAAAAATCTCCTATTGTAACAGGAGGGAAAAGATGTTTGATGGTGAAAGTGCATTTGCAGGTTTGATGATGAATGAAACAGAGGTTTCTACTCATTATGAAGTATGAGTGTACCCAAGTGGGTGACATCTTCTTGCTTAGGGTATGGGCAATCATAAATCCATGCTAAATACAAGCCTCCTGTATTTCTTCCTGCAGGATTTCTACAAATTACAAGACAGTAAATACAAATTTCTAATTTATAATCATGAAACACAAAAGAAAAAAGTCTATAATATATAGAAGTCAGTGGAAAGAACAAACAATATATTCTCACTATAGAACATACCAAGAAGTACAGAAATGGAATTTGTTATACATTTTTAATAAATAATTATATATCCAATATTTAAAAATTAACATACAGAAAATCAGTTGGCTGTAAATATGAGGATTTATTTCTGTGTTCTCTCTTCTGTCCCATTGGTCTATGTTTCTATTTTTATACCAATACCGTGTTGTTTTGGTTAGTATAGCCTTGAAATATAATTTGAAATCTGCTAGTGTGACACCTGCAACTTTGTTTTTTTGCTCAAGATTATTTTGGCTATTTTTGCTCTTGTTGGTTTCATACAAATTTTAGAATTTTTTTCCCATTTCTATGAAGAATAGCGTAGGCATTTTGATAGGAATTGCACTGAATCTGTGTATTTCTTTGGGCAGTATGGTGATTTTAATGATATAAACTGACCCATTCCGTAAGTACAGGATGTCTTTCCATTTCTGTGTGTCCTCTTCAATGTATTTCCTCAGTATTTTGAAGTTTTCTTGGTAGAGATCTTTCACATTATTTTTTTGATGTATTCCTAGGTATTTTGTTTTTGTAGCTATTTTAAATGGAATTGACTTCTTGGTTTGAGTACCAAGAACATACACTGGGGAAAGAACCCCCTCTTTAATAAATTGTACTGGGAAAATTGGATATTTATATGCAGAAAAATAAAACTGGATCAGTCTCACATCACGTACAAAAGTCAACTCCAAATGGATGAAAGACTTACCTGTAGTATCCAAAACTATAAAACTACTAGAAGAAAACTTACGGAAAACACTTCAAGGCATTGGTATCGGTGAAGATTTTATGGCTAAGATCTCAAAAGCATAGACAACTGTAACAAAAATAGACAAATGGGACTATAGTAAACTAAAAAGCTTCCATATAACAAAGGAAACAATCAACAAAGTGAAGAGACAACCTGTTGAATGTGAGAAAATATTTGCAAACTATTCATATGACAAGGGACTAATATCCAGAACACACAAGTAACTACACTCAAAAATGAATAAATAATCCTATTAAAAAGTGGGGAAAGGACATGAACAGACATTTCTTAAAGAAGACATAAAAATGGCCAACAGATGTGTAAGAAAATGTTCAACATCACTAATTATCAGAGAAATGCAAATCAAAACCACAAAGAAATATTATTTTACCCTAGTAAGTTTGGCTTTTAATAAAGAGACAAAATAATAGATGCTGTTGAGGATATGGAGAAAAGGGAACTCATATACACTGTTGGTGGGAATGTAAATAAGTATAATCACTATGGAAAGCAGTGTGAAGATTTCTCAAAAAACTAAAAATAGATCTGCCATATAATCTAACAATCCCACTACTAGGTATTTATCCAAAATAAAAGAAGTCAGTATATCAAAGTGGCACCTGTACTTGCATGTTTATTTCAGCACTATTCATGATAACGAAGATGTGAAATCAACCTAAGTGTTCATCAACAAACAAATGAATAAAGACAATGTGGTATATACACACAATGGAATACTATTTGGCCATAGAAATGTCATTATGCCACTGCGAGCAACATGGATAGAACTGGAGGTCATTACGTTAAGTGAAATAGCCCAGGCACTGAAATACAAATACTTCATGTTCTCACTCACATGTGAGAGCTTAAAAACTTATTGTATACACATTTTATGCATGTAACAAATACTCACATGTACCCTATAAATATGTAAAATATTATCTCAGTAAAACAAAATTTAAAAAGATCAATTTTTTAATTAAAAATATTAATAAAAAATTAAAATATTGAAAATCACAAAAGAAGAGAAATGAGATTTTGAAAAGTATCAGGTTTATATGAACACAAAAAATAGTAATTTAAAAAATGAAAATAATGATTAGGAGACTGATAATTTGATTTGAAGAAACTCTCAGAATATTTCAGAATGAGTAAAGCAATAAAGTAAGATTATGGATAAAATGGTTAGAATTCAGAGGCTTAACATAGAGTGCGAATCAATAATATAGATTGGAAGAGAGGCACTGTTTGAAGACATAATGACTAAAACTTTTTTAGAACCAATGAAAAACAAGACTATCGGTGAGGAAGTATAATGGATTTCAAGTAGAATAGACTTTAAAAAAGTCATATGCAAGAAACCTTGCATTAAAATTCTGGAATGGCCAAAGATATAAAGAAGGCCTTAAAAGTAGTAAGAGAAAAATATCCTCTAAAAAGTGGTTTCTAGTACACTTCTTGGTGGCAACAGTAAGATCCAAAACACAGAGTAATAATATTTTCCACGTCTTGGAGATAAGCAACTGTTGATTTAGAATTGCTCATCCAGAGAAATTGTCTTTTAAAAATGGAAGATGAAATAAAGACAATCCCAAAGATCAAAAACTGGAAGAATTTAACATTGTTCTATTTTCACCAAAGGAATTTAAGTAAGATATACTTTGCCATGAATGAACATATCACCAGAACAAATGCCTGAGATGCAAGAATGCTGAAAAATATGATGCATCACATAGTAAATATAAATACACGTTTACCATAATAGTAGACAATACTGTTGCTCTACTTTTTGTGATGAAAAAGGACATATATAAAATGAAAAAGTACATATATAAACTGTTAGAAAAAAATAACATGTATACTTGCAAAATATGATAGGAATTAGTGTTTCAGGGATTTATGTTATTCTGGGGAGGAAATGAGATATTCATTAAAGTTAAACAATGTCAAATATATATGGCAATATTTCATGAGTAACCACTAAAAGAAAAAGTATAGCTTTCAGAAATCTGAAATTGTAGATAAAAAAAATAGTGGAGAAAACTAACGAAGCAAAAGATCAACTAATACAAAAAATGCAAAGGAAAGAAGGAAAATTATGATAGATAAGAATCATAAATAATGCCTTAGGAATTAACACAAACCATCACAATCATAAGAGACACAAAATGTACCACCTAGCTCCCCTGCAAAGAAAGACTCGCTGACCAGCTGTGAGGAGTGTGGTAAACAGACACAGTACCCACTAGCTTTCAGTTTATTCCTGCCTGGCATGAACTACAGAGCGCTACCAACCCAAAGCAACACGTTTCTTGCGCTGCCCACATCTGATGTCTGTGAGAGACAAATGCGGAAAAGCTCAGCCATTTTGCTTGTCTCCAGAGATGCCTGTCAGATTGGCTGAGGATGGTGGAGTCTGCATAACAGACTTCCTCCTTTTTTTCAAAGGAGAGGAGAGCCCACACTGCAGCCGTTGGTACCTGACAGGGTCTGAGAAACAGGATAGAAGAGGCTTTGGAGCTAGATCATGAGTGGCCAGTTTGTAATGAGGAGCTCCATCACTGCAAGTAGATGGGACACATAACTACGCTGGAATGAAGGGGTGGTCCCATTGTTAAAACCTTACCGGGAATGAAGGGGTGGTCCCCTTGTTAAAACCTTACCCTGGAATGAAGGAGTGATCCCATTGTTAAAACCTTACCCTGGAATGAAGGGGTGGTCCCATTGTTAAAACCTTACCCTGGAATGAAGGGGTGGTCCCATTGTTAAAACCTTACCAATGGTGAATTGGGAGAACCTTTCTGTAGAAATGAATGCACTAGCAGGATTTTTAAATTGAAGAAGGAAATAGTAGGTATAAGATAATGGGATTTGGTGCCTCTTACTAATCATCACTGATGCCCTTCGTAAAGACAAAGAAAGGCTGAAGGTAAATTACAGAAATAGAAAAGCAGTTTTGAAAACCAGAGGGATGTTTTGTTGCAAAGAGTGCTCATCTCCTGCGAGGGCACGGCAAAGAAAGCCAAGGGTAAATTCCAGTATTTAATAATCCTAGTGACTGAACACAAAGAACAGTGAAATCCCTGCCAAAGCAATTTTTATAGCAAATCTAGGGCTCTGGTTGTAAAAAACTGGGATGAAGACATAGGAGATGGAGATACCTGGGCAGATGCCCCCAATTATCTGGGCAGATGGCCCCTGAATGTTTTCAGACTACAAAAATGGTCCACACTTCTCTAAAAAGTCACCATTCTGGTTTCTGTAAAAGCCATTTGAACACTGGTATAAATACAGACGGATCCGAGGTCAAATTCAAGCAAACTCACACACCAGTTGCTGCTGACATTCAGATCTGACACCTTGGCTACAGCAGAAATAATATGGCCTCAGGTACAGAATATGTAGTCATTGAGATAATAAATATATTCTGTTTACTTCATTCTGAAAAGTGAGTTAGAAATAGTTTGCATAGGCTGGGTGTGGTGGCTCATGCCTGTATCCCAATATTTTGGGAGGCCAAGGCAGGCAGATCACTTGAGCTCAGGAATTCAAGACCAGCCTGGGCAACATGGCAAAACCTCATCTGTACAGAAAAAAATTAGCTGGGCATGGTGGCATGTACCTTATGGTTCCAGCTACTCGGGAGGCTGAAGTGGGGGAGGATTGCTTGAGCCTAGGAGGCGGAGGTTTTAGTGAGCCGAGATCGGGCCACTGCACTCCCACTTGGATGACAGATTGAGACCCCTTCTCCCCACCCACAAATAAATAAATAAATAAATAAACAAATAAATAAATAAATAAATAGTTTTTATAGCCATGGAATGGACAATCATACACATTTACAGTTGTGCCCACATGATATCCTGTCACCATAGCTAAGAAAGAAAGTCTCGTGTGTAGTTTTTTGTCCATTCCCTATCTATGAAAACGCCTTCTGACCCACTTTCCAGATGAAGACAGAGCAACAACAACAAAACAGTGAGGCAGTACGTTGATTCTAATATGTGGAGCGAATTAGGAAAACAAGACACAGCTGGCATGCTAGAGCTGTTGGTGAGAGACGTGTGTTCTACATGGTGGAAATTAAACTGTACAAAGATTCAAAGGCTGAACACATCCATAAAATTTGGGGGGCTCCGGTGATCAGGCATTTGCTGGAATGTAGTTCCAAAGTAAAATAAAAACTACTGCGCTTTACTTCTCCCACCACAAGAAAAAGAAATATTTCTTCGTGCTTTGGGGATAAGATATAACACATCTAGGAATACTTTGACAGCCTAAATGCCAAGTTTTGTGAAAGAAAGCCAGGTTTGAGTGAGGCCCAAAGCAGCAGGTGACAAAGGAAATAAATTGGAAATTTGTTACATTAAGAGATCAAGAATGATCTCCAAATGTGTAAATGAAACAACAGACTTTAAAATAACTCATGAGTCAAAGGAGAAATCACAAGAGGAACTTTAAGGTAGTTACAATTGGTTAAATTAAAAACACAGCACATCGAAAATGTTTACGCAGCTAAAATAGCGCCTACAGGGAAATGTATAGAACCATATGCTTATATTAGACAGTAGGAAAGATCTCACATCAGTGTTGCAAGCTTCGCTCTTCAGATAATAGAATTTGAAGAGCAAATTAAATACAAACAGCATATGTAAGAAAGCAATGAAGGTAGAAGCTGAAATCAATAACATTGATAACAAATATATGATAAAAGTAAATAAATACAAAAGTTGGTTGTTAGAAAATATATTTTAATACTTTGACAAACTTTTAGCAAGAGCCTTTTTAGAAAAACAGAGAGAAGACAACATTTACAAATATCAGAAATGCAAAAGGAAATCTCACTCTAGATTTTACCAACACTCAAAGGTGAATAAAGAAATATTATGAATAATTCTAGGCACAAAAATTTGAACACTTATATGGCCATAAAGTGGGTCAATTTATCAAAATCTACAAATTACCAAAACTTGACTAAGATGAAATATATAAGTTGAATAGTCTTAGAACTAGTAATAATATTGAATTCATCAGATAAAGTCTTCCAAAAACTGAATCTCCAGGCCTGCAAGATTTCACTCGCAAATCCCAATGAATTTTACATAACCTCTTCCAAGCAGTAGGAAACTGAATACTTCCCAACTCATTTAACGAAGTCGGAATTATTCTGTCTATTAGGCAGACTTCTCTAGAAAAACAGAATCAGGAGGATATATAAAGATACATAGAAGGGATTTATTATAGGAGTTGTCTTATATGCTGTGAAGGCTGAGATGCTCCATGGTATGCCCACTACAAGGGGGAGAACCAGGAAGCCAGCAGTGTATTTCAGTCAAAGATGGAAAGCCTGGGACCCAGGAGCTCCGACACTTAAGTGTAGGAAAAGAAGGATGTGCCAGCTCAAGAAGACAGAGAGGATTTGCTCTTTCTGCATCTTTTTTTTTTTTTTATTTGGCCCTCTGTGGATTGGATTATGCTCTTCCACATTGGTGAAAGTCAAACTTCTTTATTTGGTCTCCCAATTCAAATACTAAATTTTTCCAGAAACACCCTCACAGACACACCCAGAAATCATGTTTACCAGCTCTCTGAGCATCCTTTAGCCCTCTCAAATTGACATATATAATTACTTATCACATTCTGATTCTAAAATCAGAAGAAAAAAAGAAAAAAGAAAAACCATGGCTTAATATCCTTCATGAACACAGAAAAAGCTCAATGAAATAATAGCAAATCAAATCCATCAATATTTAAGAAAATATTATATTACAATCAATGAAGTTTCCCCTCAGAAATGCAGGTTTATTTAATACTAAAAAATTAATCAATTTAATCCATCCTACCAATAAAGTCCACATGATCTTATTAATTGATCCAAAAATGACATTTAAAATATTCAACATCTATTAGTTATAAAATTTCCCAGCAGATAAGTATAAAAGAGAAATTCCTCAATCTAATAAAGGGCATCACCCCAAAAAAACTATAGCTAATCTAATTTAATAGCGATGACTGAATTGCTTTTCCCAAAGTATAAGACGAAGATAAGATTATTCACTCTCATCACTCCTATTCAAGTCAGTACAGAATTCTGAGGTAGTGCAGTAAGCCATAAAAATAAAAGATGTATTCATTATAAAGAAAGAATTAAAACTGTCCCTATTCACAGCAGACATGACTATTTTTATGTAAAAAAATCCCAAGAAATGTATAAAAATTCTGCTAGAACTAATGTGAGTTTAGCAAGGTTACAGAATACAAGGTCAGTGCACAAAAATCAATTCTACATTCATATATTAGAAATAAGCCATTAAAACATGATTTTTAAAGGCAATATCACTTACAGTTACTCCAAAAAGAAGGAATAATTTTCCATATATCCAATGAAACATGTACAGGATCTGTATTCCAAAAAAACTACAAAACACTCAGGAAAGAAATCAAAAAATTTACATGTAACTGGAGAGAACTGAAGTGTTCACGAATTGAAAGATTCAACATAGAAACTATACAGATACTTTTCAAGGTGATACATTTAATTCAATTCCAAACATAATTCCAGCAGATTTTTTTTAACTGTACAGAAGTAATTTCTAAATTGTAATGGGCAGGCAAAGAAATTAGGATACCCAAAATAATTTTAAAATAAGAATTAATCTGAGGAGTCACATCACCCAATATCAAGACATACTATGAAGCTATTGTAATCAAGACAGTGTGATATTGGTGAAGGCAGAATTGAATAGATTCTATTCAATAGAACAGAATAGGGTCCAAAAATAGACTCACACAAATATAGCACATAGCTTTTTGGCAAATTTACAAAGACATTTCAGTGGAGAATAGATTGACTTTTCAGCCTATGGGTTAGAAAAAAATTGGACCTTTATCTACAAAAAATAATAATGATAACTTCAAGCTTAATGTCATAACTTATACAAAAAATACCTCAAAATGGACTAATAATCTAAAAGGAAAATCATATAACTTTTAGAAAAAGAAAGCATATAAAAAAACACTGTGGCCTTAAATTAGCCAAAATGTTGTTAAATGTGACACCAAATGTGTGATCTAAAAAGGGAAAAAATATTAATGGGACTTCATCAAAATTAAAAACCTTTGGTTTATAAAAGACATTATTATGAAACTGAAAACATGAGCTACAGATTGAGAGAAAGTGTTTGCACATCACGTATCCTAAAGAGTATTTGTATGAAAATATACACTCAAAAATCAGTGGTGTGAAAAAAACAGTATTAAAATATGGCCAAAAGACAAACAGACCTTTCAACAAAGAGGATATAGATGACAAATAAGAAAATGCAAATTAAAATCATGATGGGATGCCACTCCAAGCCCACTAAACGCCCAAAATAACAACAAATTTGAACTGCCAACAAAAATGTAGCACAAAAGGAGTTTTCAGGTAGTATTTGTCAGAATGAAGAGTATTGCAGTCACTGTGGAAAACCGTTGTTGTGCAGGTTCTGATAACAGACATATACTGTATTACCATGTAAGTCAGCGATACAACTCCCAGGCATATTTCCAAATAAATTTAAAACATATTCACACAAAAACTTGTTTACAACAGCTCCATTCATATTCACCAAATCTGAAAGCAACCCAAACGCCCTTCAACATGTGCTGCATCCATCTAGTGGAATACAGGTAGGTATCCCATTCATAGAGTGGAATACTACTTAGCAATCCGTGAGAACGGTTCATGGATCCATGCAGCACGGATGCATCTCATAGAGATTATGATGAGTGAATGAATCCAATTATAAAAGGTTGCATATTTCATCCTTCCATGTGGACGACATTCTCAAAAAACAAAACTATAGGAACGGAAAACAAACGAGAGGTTGCCAAGAGGCTAGGATTGTGACAACAAATTCAAAGGAGTACTAGAGCTGTTCCGAATCCTCATTCTGGGGATAGTTGCAGGAATCTATACTTGTTTTAATATTGACAAAACTGGACACATAAGGGGTCAATTTTACTCTATGTTACTTTTAAAAAGTAAAATGAAGTACTTTTTATAAGTGGAATCATGCAGTGTTTGTTCTGTGGCTAGTTTATTTTACTTAGCATATTGTCCTCAGAGTTACTGCAGGTTGTTACATGTGTCAGGATTTCCTTATTGTTTAAAGTTGAATGATATTCTATTGCATATAAATGCCATATTTTCTTTATCCATTCATTTGGTTAGTAAATAAATGCCATATTTGCTTTATTCATTCGTTTGGAGTGTAGAATGGTGGTTCCAAGAAGGTGAGGAGATTTCTGCATTAGCCCCTTGCTATTCAGCATGTAGGAAGTTTCAGTTCTGCAAGATACATGATTTCTGGAGATGTGCTGTATAACATCGTGTCTACAGCTAATGATACTGTTTTGTATACGTAACAGGCGTGCAACACAACAGTGTGCTGTTAATCTAGGAGACTCATCTAGGTTGCATGTGTAACTAATACCCATGCTTATCTATTGCTAAGCAGCAGCATTCCACTGTATGGATACAGCACAGTGTTAAGAGGGTAGATCTCATGTTTAGTGTTTTTACCACGATTAAAAAATAAATAAATACAATGAAAATCCTTAATGCGTGATAAACTCACTGTTCAGATTGCATTGGGCGCATCAGAACAAGACCAATTTATCTTTATTCTTACTGAACAATCAGAAGAGTAAGATTTAGAGAACTTCAACCATTCGCCCAAGTTATAAAACTGGTACAGAGCTAGATGATTTGCCGGTGATGAACTTTTGAGCTTCTTCTCATTTTCCTCTTTTCTTGCACTCAGGAGACTCTGATTCTTTCAGGACCTCCCCTATTCTACATTCCAGCTCCTCTTTCACTTCATGCTTCATGAGATTTCAATGCCCAGTAGATCAACAATTCCCTGAATTTCCCCCACCCTGATCCCGATTTACATATTCTCATAGCTCTCTAAATTTTCCATTCATATACTTGCCCAAATTACAATGTAGGTATTAGGTATATTAATTGTTGAATACCTGTTATCCCCACAATAATGTAAACTCATTAAAGATTGTCTGGGATTATTTCAGCATCCCCAGGATCTAGCTTGACATTTACTTGATACAAGGTACTCTACAGAAATATTTTTGATTTAGTTGAATTGAATTTTATTTCCAAATAAGAAGACTTTTATATTATTAAACACGATGCTGCATTAGGATTATTCCAGTAGTCCAAGATTTTGCAAAAATGACTGGCAGTTAATTTATATCTGCATGATTTAAAATTCCAAACCAATGAATGGTTAATTCTCCTAAATATACACAGTGTTTTTCCCCCAAAAGACATTTGACTTACATTCTAGACTGAAGAAACTACCGTGTTTTGGAAAACAACACTCTTAAAATTGTCACAACTATGCGTGTTACTCTGTGTGATGTTTTCCTCAGAAATATGCATCATTTTGTTTTACAATAATTTTATCACTTTATTTATACATGTTCATCTTTAGCAAAGTGAACAGCAATTATTAATTGTGTAGATATCCCAATTCTAGAACATACAATCAGTAATTAAATCACCATATCTTATCTTAATAAATAAATTATAATGAAAAGTGTGTAATGCATATTTTTGCCTTAATTTTAAATATTTCTCTGGGTTAATTATTAGATATAAATTCCTCTTAAAAATTGTAAATATTTTTAATTACAGTATGTTGATATAGATTACCAAGAGACCTACAAGGAAAGTTTATCAGAATATATTCACTCCAGATATTTGCCTGGTCTGTAGATCCATGAAACACAGCAATTCAATATGTACAAATAAAGAAATTTATATTAGTTTAAGTATCTTAGGAATACTGATAAGGTTGAATAAGTTCTGATTTTATATGGGAAATAATGTCAGTTTCTAAACATTATCACTTGTTTTTCTCATACAGACTGAAGCGACATGTATAATTGTGTTAATCAGTGTTTTCCAGAGAATCAGAGCCAACAGGCTGTGTACATATCTATAGAGATTTATTTTTTAAGGAAATGGTGAATGCAATTAAGGAGTCTGGCAAATCTGAAATATGTAGTTCAAGTCCAAAGGTCATCCAAGACAGAGCAGATGATGTAATTCAAGTTTGAAAGCAGCCTGCTAGCAGAGTTCCCTCTTGCTCAGGGAATGGCAGGCTTTTGTTTTATTCAGGCCTTCAACTGATTGGATGGGGCCCACACACATTATGGAGAGCAAGCTACTCTAAATCCACCTATGTAAACGTTAATCACATCAAAAAACACCCTCCCAGAGACATTCAAAATATTGTCTGGCCACATATCCTGACACCATGTCCCAGCCAAGTTGACACATAAAATTAACCATCCCAACAATATAATATTAGTGAGTCAATATCTAAACTTAATGGATTGTTTGCATTAGAAGTCATTTTTATGTTCATAAGTGCTCAAAAGCAAAACAATGATATCTAACTTTCAGTCACTGAATAAAAAAATGCATTTTAAATGGAATATATGATAACACAGTGCTGATGGTAATTTTAGTCTTTAAAAGTATTTAGGAAAGTGCATTTTTTTTGGAAGCTGCAATAAACATTGCAATGTTTGATTCTATTACCTGATACTGACAAATTGAAACCAAAAACTAACGTATGAAAACTAGTTTCAGGAAGTCTGTGTCTTTGGAAAATTTTGAACATGAAAAACATTTTGATCTGCACTGTTTTTTCCACCATTTTCCATTTCAAAAGTTTCAGATGCCTTTTCATGTTTCATCCCCATGGCAGGCAGCCTCAGATGTGTTTCATTTTAGAATCGTAAGGATCTTTGAATACCATTATTCAAAGTAAAATGGAATGAATTGGAGAGTTATCAACCAACATGAAGTGAAAAAAAAAAGCATTTCAGAGGAAAACCTGTGACTGTTTTTTTCCAAAATTTATTATTTTTTAAAAAAGACAACTTAAGTGTCATGATCCCTCCTATGCGCAGGACCAAATCCTGTGAATTTGCACTGAGTCCTGTGAATTTGCACTTTGGCTATGGAAGGCTGTCCAGCAGAGAAGCCTGAGCTGACTTGCATTCTATTTAGCGGTCGTGAGATTTTCATGTCAGTCCTGTCTCTGCATCAAATGTCTCTATTATGGCAGACAGGGTAACCACTAAAAATTCAATTAACTAAACTACACTACAGTATTCATTAATAATAGTACCTTTTATGTACATATTCACGTTTAACAGTGCAGACACCTCGATGTGAAACAATGCATGTCAAATAATGGAATATGTCAGGCTAACCAAGAAAGTGTTTGTCGTCTTTGCTAATATACAACTGATAATGGGGCTTTTTAATAAGTTCAAGCAAGCTACAGTTAAGTTGCCCTGTCTAAATGTGAGTAATGACATGCTGAAGACTGGCATGAATATAAAGAAACTGGCATGAAGAGAGGGGCTTTCTGGAGTTTTGTTGTGTGGCACTTACAGAATAACACTCTAGAGACAGAGTGGGCAGTATGATTTTTCAACATAGTTAGCCCCAGATAGGGAGCGAGCAGCTGCAGGAAATGGAGAATTACATTTCCCTAAGTTTCTGTGGAACTCAAATAGTCAAAATATACTATTTTATTGTCCAGGTAAAAATGTGGGACAAGTGAGTGTACTTGGAAAAGTGAGTATCATCTCTACTTTTTAAAATGAAAGATAATATTCTGGTCTTTATAAGACCGAGAGGAATGTAGGGGTTAGAGCTTATTAATAATGTTAATGGTAGTAATGATAATCAGAACAGCTAACACATATTGAATGGCTATCATATAATAAGCACATGCTAAGGGCTTTGTGCACTGAAGTCTCACAACAGCCCCACGGCAAGCACAGATCATCGTCTCTTGTGAGGAAATCTGCTCCCCCTGTAAGAAAAGCCAAATTTGTTCAGGTATTAAAAGGAGATTCTTTGGTTCCAGGAGGAGTGTCTAGTCTAGCATGATTAGGCTGAACTCAGTATGATAACTTGCTCCCATTGACAGCTCTAAGGGGTGAGCGTGTGACTAACTTCCACTGAAAGAAATAGAGGCTGGGGGCGGTGGCTCATGCCGTAATCCCAGGTCAGGAGATCGAGACCATCCTGGCTAAGACGGTGAAACACCATCTCTACTAAAAATACAAAAAATTAGCCAGGTGTGGTGGCGGGCGCCTGTAGTCCCAGCTACTCGAGAGGCTGAGGCAGGAGAATGGCATGAACCTTGGAGGCAGAGCTTGCAGTGAGTCCAGATTGTGCCATCGCATTCTAGCCTGGGCGACAGAGCGAGACTCCATCTCAAGATAAATAATAAGTAAATAAAAATAAATAAATAGAATGGGAATCTTATGGGGATGGTTTTATTCCAAAATGAAAAGAAAAAGCCAAAAGCCTCAAGAAGAAAAATTGTTTTGATTTATCTCCTCCTTTTCGTTACAAACATGGGCATGGTGTCTGAACTGGCAGAAGCCAAGATTCTTAAACCATGAAGCGATAAGCCCAAGTGGGACAAAAAAAGGACTGAGAAGAAGCCTGGGACCCTGGTGGTGCAGGTGAGGCGCTGTCCGATTTAGATCGCCTTACCCCTAACTTCTCTATATATGAGAAAATAAACAAACCCTTGTTTGTTCAAGCAACTCATGCCAGATTTTCAGTTACTTACAGATAAAAGCATACTAAACTGATACAAAATCCTATAGGGTTTTTCTGTCAGCAGAAGTGTTATGGCTACAAATAAGAGAAACCATCACTAAAACTGTTGTACAATAAGTTAGTTTTTTATCCCTGTGTTATGTAGTCCAGAGAAGAGCTTCCAAATGGGGCAATGGCACAACAGTACCTCGGGACCCATGGTTGTGACACAAATAGAATGTGCTGAGGGGACGCCCTTGTCAGCCTTGGGGCAGCTGAGCCAGCTATGGGGCAGCTGGTTCTACTGAGCTGGTCACCGATTTCAGTGTGATTTACAAATACTGTCATTTCATAGCTACAGAAAAAAAAATTGCTGGAAGCATAGATTCAGTGGGAGAGACTTTTAGAGATGCTTGACTCAGAGACTGAAGAACTTGGATTCTTTCTGTCCTCAAGGCAGCACTACCAGTATTGGTGTCACATTCGGACATGAGTGGGTTCCTCTCCTGGGACCAAAAGATATTTCCCAGGACAAGTCAGTGACTTCCTCACATATATTAAATAGAATGTCAATTTTCTGGTCGATTAGACATCTATAATATTCAATACAACTATACAATTTTTAAAAAATTATTCTTAGATCTCAATGCCCTATCTGATGTAAATCTCTATGTATTTATGTTCCAGCCTATGTTTTCATGGAAGTTCCTGTATCACACACACACACACACACACACACACACACATATATAATATATATACACACATACAGGCAATGTGTGTGTGTGCATGTGTGTGTGTGTATATACACAAACACATATATACTATATATAACATATATTATGTATATATCCTGTATTATATAAATATGTAATACAGTAAGTTTGTCATCTAATGAGTTCTTGCCTTCATTTCTTCACGAAGAGAATATTTGATTAAGAAACTTAAAATCTCCCAATATAATTGATAAAGAAACTGAATATCAAATAAAATTCTTATTAGTCTTACACTCTTTTGTCTTTTCTTCTTTGATTGTCTGCAGAACCATTTTCTGTGTCTAATTATGATCAACCCAGACTGCCCTGAGCTTGCCTCTCCTATTGGCCACTTACTTGATGTGTAGTTCAAGGCAACCACTTATCTGCACTTCGGATTCTTCATATGTAAAATGAGTTGCTGTGGCAAAGAAATGAGGTTAAGCCTACAAAGCAAATAAAAATGTAGCTATTATTTTCTTAGAATAAAAATTTCTTCAGCAGAAAGAATGCTTATAGTTTTATTTTGTGCAGTGTCCAACACATTACTATCATTTATTAATGTGATATTATAATAACCTCTTTTATTATTATAACATTTTTCAGTGTCAGCCACAGTATTATTGTTATATAAAGCAAAGCAATAATCTTACATAACTAGTTTCAAATATCTCTAGTATTAATATATTTCCTCTTCATTGAAATTAAAATATCCAGAGCTTCTTAGCCATCAATGCTAAAGTTAGAGGCTGTTTATTTTTTTCATTATTTTACAAATAATGTCTAACTACATCATACTGTCTTTTCTTATAGTATATATTCTTTTGTGGAAAATCAGTGAATTTCAATGAGAATTTTAATAAGTCCTAAGTACTGTGTTAGATTTGCTTTTCTAGGTATTTAGTGTGCCCCATGAGAGGTCTTGAAAGAAAATATGTGGATAGGTTCTTATCAAGTGCCTTTCAGAGTTTGAGGCATATTGTGATTTTGATTCATTATTCCTGTTTTTATGTGCAGTAGTTTTACATTAATATTATCTAGATCTTTTTGTAGACAGTTTCTAATTTTCTCTAATCAGCCAGAGATCTGATAGGGATTGATAATCTCTTGAATTCATCAATTTGGTAAAAAAAAAAAAAAAAAGATTGGAGTAATCATGAAATACAACATCATAAAAATATCTGTTCACATAGCTTTATAAATGCATGCTATTTTGAATTTTGGTATTAACACTATTTTTCCTATAATTTAGAGTCATACGGCATAGTAAATATCATTTAAATACTCTAAAATTATTGAAAGTGTAGCAAAACAATCTGCCTCATAAGAATTGTGGTATATAAGTGTATAAAGACTATAATTTCTCTATGAGAAATATGGGCCTGTTAACATGGCAAAATGAGAAGAAACAAAATGTTTGAATGCCTAAATGTAAATGAAAATAGTCATTTGCATAAATTTTAAATACATATTATTTAAATAAACCTAACAACTTAAAAGTGAAGATAATCAAGTGAAGCCTCAACCATTTCACATTTTTGTTGAAAAGGAAAAGTGTAAGGTACTATAGGAAAAGTCTGCTACAAAAAAACAAACAAAAAAAACATTACATTTTCAAGTCTGGGTGAAGTAAACAATAGGAAAATCAAGGGAGAAAATGACATAAAGTATAACAGAGAAAGGTAATTAAGTTAGACTGTGTTTCTCTTTTAAAGAGTTGCTGTGAACCAAATACAGTTTTGTGGTGTCCAGGGCATACATTTATCGCTATGTATAACAGCTCTTAATCAAACACTGTAGTGTTAGGCTAAGTGGACTCTGAATCTTTAAGTTGTCTACTTTTGCTGTTCTTTTGCTGACTTTATAAAGTATACTTTACACTAAAGTCAGCAAAAGATTAGAGCCTTTGCCAATAATATAAATAATATTGCCAACATTACAAGATCATAATTTGACTCAAGTACTCCGCAGTGCTTTTTGCTTCTTCACCTAATGAGGACATTTATATTGAGGTTAATGTTGAGATTTATAAAAAATTGTTGTTATTCCTTCTGCAAAGTTAGTAACTTGAAGAACAAAAGGAGGTAATGTAACGTATGATGAATTTGACAAATGGTGCTTTTAGGCCAGTTTGCTGTTTACAATGGAGGTTATCACTCATAGGTACTGAACCATATGCAAATGCAATGCAGGACCTTGTTTTAGTACATGATAAATAACTTTTACCATATCAGGTAATAGGTGCTTTAGTGAAATCACACTGTTAGTTATTTATGCAGGATGTGTGTGAGTGTATGTGTGTGTGTCCTTGAAAGTATATGCTTTTTATCTCTTTCTCCTATACTAAAATGAAAAATAATCACAGACATAAAAAATATAACTCCAGTTAGGAGTGGTAGCCATTTCTTAAGAAGGTTAGCATATTGATACACATAAGTTATTTTATTAGAGATGCAATTGGTCTTTATTTCATTTACTGACTTAAAAAATAAATAAAACCCTCAACTACCCTCTTTGAGTAGAAAATGCAAATTACTGGTTTGTACATATTGCATGAAAAATGCATAATTTTTCTATCTTAACCGGCCAGTCTGTTCCCAGAATGCAAAAGCCAAGAAGCCATGTATAACCACAATCATACCATAAAGCATGTGCTTTTGTTAAATCGGCCAATTCAAGTTATAAAACCTCATAAGTTGCCTTTCATTTATATTCACAAGAAAATAGAAGTTGCATTGTCATACAATCACCTTCCATGTCTTCTATGGCTAGTCAAATCCAAAAAGAATTTGTTGACTTCATTAGCATGCTGTTTATAATTCATTTCAAATTTATCATAGCCATTCTTTCAGCCTTACCTCTGGGCCCTCTGCCCCTAGAGACGAAGGCAGTCATGCAGAAGCCGTTGCATTTCTCAAACTACCCATGGTTTTGCTCACCTTCTTGCCTCTAATCCTACTTTTCTCTCGTCCTCCAGTTATTTCTCCATCTTCTTAGACCGCCTAAGTCACCTTCCATGATTTTTTCAGGTTTGTCCTAATTCTCGCTATTCAAGAGAAACAGACTTTTTCTCTGTTACCCGTGTGTCTATTTTCTGCATAAAATTTTGGATGCAAAAAGAGAACTTCTTCAAGCTGGTTAAAGTAAAAAGGGGAAATGAACTAGAAGGACACTAAGTGAATAACTCACAACTGGGTTTATCATTAGTGTCAAGAGGGACCTAAACAAGGGATGGCAGCAGATATCTTTTGCTTTCTTGTTCTCTCTCTCTCTCTCTCCTCTCTCAGGAACCATATGGTATTTTGTCTATAAATTTTTCTTCACCATTTTTTTCCTGTATTCCCTCTTTCTGAACACCAATTTTCTCCAGGTCTCTGAGCACATGGCCAAACACCTTCTGCACAGATACTGACAACCTTCTAATTTATGAGCTCGTACTAGACCTACAAAGTCCCTGAGTCCTCATAAAAACTCCAGAAGATTGATAATCCAATCAGCTTGGCTTGGGTCAGGTGTCTACTCTGGCTATTTGGTTTGTATCTCAGCATACATTTAACCAGATCTGTTAAGCTGAACTTTTGAAAAAGCATTCCTGGGAAAAGTGCATTGAAAATTTCCAATATACTTACTTTCTAACTATTACTATTATGGCTCTTAATGCATTATATTTAAATAAGGTAACTTCCCCTACAAACTGTGGGGTATGTAAGAGTATGGATTATAGTTTCTTTTTTCTTTTTTCTTTTTTGCCCAGAGCAAGCTTGTAGTAAATTATTTAGAGGTGTGTTTGGAATGAATGCAATGTGTTGCCCTTAAGATTATGCCATCTGATGTAGCATCATGAGAACTTATTAGACATGTTTTGCAAAGGTGATTTGTGACTTTTACTTGTATTTAAATATTTGAATTGAAAAATAATGCACTATGGCTTGGATACACTCTGGGAGGCTATCAGAAAAGCTTTAACTAGATACCAACTTGTGAAATTTAAAAGCTTAAGTAACCACTTGGACTTCGTTTTTACTTTAAAAAAGATATATTAACACACAAATAACAACTAGATGTTTCAGTTATCTATTGTTGCATTAGCAAACTACCCCAAACTTAGAGACATAAAAGAACTAATTAAACTAAAGAGCTTCTGCACAGCAAAAGAAACTACCGTCAGAGTGAACAGGCAACCTACAGAATGGGAGAAAATTTTTGCAATGTACTCATCTGACAAAGGGCTAATATCCAGAATCTACAATGAACTCCAACAAATTTACAGGAAAAAAGCAAACAACCCCATCAAAAACTGGGTGAAGGATATGAACAGACGCTTCTCAAAAGAAGACATTTGTGCAGCCAAAGGACACATGAAAAAATGCTCACCATCACTGGCCATCAGAGAAATGCAAATCAAAACCACAATGAGATACCATCTCACACCAGTTAGAAGGGTGATCATTAAAAAGTCAGGAAACAACAGGTGCTGGAGAGGATGTGGAGAAATAGGAACACTTTTACACTGTTGGTGGGACTGTAAACTAGTTCAACCATTGTGGAAGTCAGTGTCGTGATTCCTCAGGGATCTAGAACTAGAAATACCATTAGACCCAGCAATCCCATTACTGGGTATATACCCAAAGGATTATAAATCATGCTGCTATAAAGACACATGCACACAAATGTTTATTGTGGCACTATTCACAATAGCAAATACTTGGAACCAACCCAAATGTCCATCAATGATAGACTGGATTAAGAAAATGTGGCACATATACACCATGGAATACTATGCAGCCATAAAAAATGATGAGTTCATGTCCTTTGTAGGGACATGGATGAAGCTGGAAGCCATCATTCTCAGCAAACTATCGCAAGGACAAAAAACCAAACATCGCATGTTCTGACTCATAGGTGGGAATTGAACAATGAGAACACATGGACACAAGAAGGGGAACATCACACACTGGGGCCTGTGATGGGGTGGGGGGAGGGATAGCATTAGGAGATATACCTAATGTTAAATGATGAGTTACTGGGTGCAGCACACCAACATGGCACATGTATACATATGTAACTAACCTGCATGTTGTGCACATGTACCCTAAAACTCAAAGTATAAAAAAAAAAAGAACATCCATTGATTTTCTCATGAGTCTTCGGGTGAGGACTTCGAACAGGGCAAAGAAGGTCACTCTCTCAGCTATATGACTTCAGACCTCAGCTGGATGGTTCAAATGCCTGGAAGCTAAATGGAGGTTTCGACTGGGGTCATATTTCCAGGAACTTGATTCTGGCTGTCTCACATCTTAGATTTCTCAGTTATTCTCCACATATGATCTTTGCATTTCTCAATTCTTCTTCACACACGATCTTTGCATTTCTTAATTCTTCTCCATTTGTGATCTTTCCACAGGGTGAACGTGGTCTTCCTTACAATATGGGGGTCTCTAGGGATTTGGATTTCTTACATTGTAGAAGACATCTCCTCAGAAGAAAGCAGACAGGCTTCTTAAAGGGTAAGCCTAGAACTACAAGATTATAATTTCTAATGCTTTGTATTAGTAGAGGCAAGTCAAAGGGCAGACTAAGGTTAAGGGGGAATACACAAACTCCACATGCGGGGAGGGAAGAAGGGGAAAATGGCCATCTTTGGAGACTGTCTAGCAGAGACATGTAATACATTTAGATACTGCTTTAGCAATTGAATTCCAGCTTCAGAACAAATGCTGCTTATCATCTATTGATCAGTTTTTAGTGTTTGTATGAATTTAGAGTCTCATTTCCAATTTCCTATATATTTATGTACTATTATTTACTTATTTACTTCTTTTCACTTTCCAAACGTATACCTGGATCGGCATAAATGGCTGAAAATTAAAAGCCCAGCATTAGGCTTTGGAAGCACTCAGCACTCTCAAACTGTTTTACAAGTATTAACAGGAGAAATGCATAAACTGCCATATACCTCCTGCTCACCAAGATGATCTGACTTTTCCTAGATAACTAAAAAAGCTATTTTAGTGCTTTAGTGCATTTTTGTTAACACAGATCAAGACACTAAGAAACCTAGACATTCAGGGTTACCCAGTTCTATTGGTGATATAATGAGAAGTTCAAGGTTATGTGTCTAAAAGTGCTCATATTGTTGAGTACTTCACACTTTTCTTTCATAATCATTTAAGAGATCTCAGAAATTTTCAAAATGCCCAAGATTTCATGTAAATGTGTTCTGTATTCCAGAAAAACTTTCTTTAACAGTACAGACAATGAGCTCGATAGAGTGCTCAGGCCAGAGGTAGCTGACCTCTGTTTTACGTCATATTCAGTATGAACTCTGGTTCAGTTAAGATTTAGTTCAGCTGTAAATAACAGAAAACTCAACCAAGAATGGCTGAAACAATTAAAGGACCCGTTTTCTTCTATAAAACTAACAAAAAGTTTTGTAGGTTTGCAGGTCAGGGCTCAGCAAAGTAACAATGCTACCAGGGACCTGGACTCTCTCTTTTTGCCCTGCCCTCCTGACCTTGTGGCCCTCGTCCTCTGTCTTAGTCTGTTTAAGCTACTGTAAGAGAATGCCATAGACTGACTGGCTTATAAACAAGAGGAATTTATTTCTCACAGTTCTGGAGGCTGGGAAGTCTGGCTTATAGACAGCTGGTTTCTAACCATGTCCTCATGTGGTGGACGAACAAGGGAACTCTTGAAGATCTCTACTATAAGAGCACTAATCACTTTCCGAAGATTGTACCTTTGAATACCATCATCTTTGGAGTTTTATGTCTTCACATACGAATTGTGGGAGGATGCACACATTCAATCTAGGGCATCGTCCTAGTCACATAATGAATGCTACACCTTTAGAAGTTGTTCACCCACTTCAAACAGAAAATTTTTTTGAAAATGCTTAATACCTTTTGCTGTGAGTCTTTGTATCTTTGACAGGAAAGGTAGCCAACCCCAGAAACCTCCCCTTAAAGCGGTTCAGCCAGGTACATTTCACATAACCACTTCTGTTTGGAAAAGGAGTCTAAAAAGCTGTTTGATTTAGTTTTATAATTTCTATGATAAGTGAAGGCAAGGGGAAGGGGCTTTGAATGGGTTCTGTGATCTAGTCTGCAGGATATGCTACTCTATTCTTCAGATTCTTGTTATTCCATGCAATTGACAGAGAAAGTTTCCAGTAGTGAGGATGAATCTTGATGTATATGTTTATGCTTGTTATAAAATTGGAGCAGGAAAACATAGATTTAAGTTGTCACTCAGCTATTGCGAAGGTGACTGACCTTAGACATATTGCTATTTATATCATATCATCCAACCTGCCATTTATAGATCAGATAGGAAGATATCAAAGGAAGAAACAAAGAGGAATAGGTACCTCTTCGTAAGGAAATGAAATGTTCCCATTTTCACTGCATATGATAAGAAATTGAGAAAACAGATACAGGTTTCCACTCACACCTCACTGGTCTGAATTGTGGAACATAACCAGAACTGCAAAGATAACTGGGAAATTAAGTCTTATTTTGCTAAAATCATTACCACGGTAACCAATTATTTCAAGAAAGGAAGGAGGAGAAAATGGATTGTGAGTATTCAGCTTGCTGTATCTATCACATCTACATTTGGGTATGTGTAGGTATGGTGAGGATCAAATATTCATTGACTCTTTAAATCATTGTTCATACCTATGTATGGATTTCCTGCAACAAGAGTGTTTTGTATATACTTGAAACTGCAATTATCAAGAGAAATGAAACATTCCATTGTGGTACTTACATTACAGTAAGGAAAGAGACAGCAAAAATGTAGGCAAAAATGTGTAATGTAAATCAGATAATGATGAGTGCTACAAGAAAAAAAAGGCTGAATGATAAACTAGAGAAACTCTGGAGGTGAAATTGGGCTTTCATTTAAATGAGATTGGTTGGAAGACCTCTCTGAAAGAGTGTATATGACCAACACTTAATATATGAGTAGGACCCAGAAACGCCAAAAATCAAGAAAAAATCATACGAGTATTGAGCAGAACTCTGGAGGAAAAAGCCCCTACAAATTGGCTTACCATGTGGGAGCTGAAAGAGGGCATGGTAAATGAGATGGTTAGGGTACCATATGGGATTAGAGATTTCTGCTGACTCAGGCATTGTGCTTTCTTGCATGCCATGATAGGAACTTTGGATTTTATCCTCATAGTAATAGGCATCAGTGGGGCACTTGAAAGAGGAAAATAATGTGTGATTTTTATTGGTAGAAACTAGATTGTTGATGAGATTAGAGTCAAATCTTATGTTACATATTTTATATATGCTTAGTATTCAAATAAGAATTAATTTTTTCCAGCGACTTTTCCAAATGTTATATTGAAGTCAAATCAAAAATACATTACAAAGCACTAATACTGTTGCCCATCAAATTTGGAAGTACTATTAGAGATAATTGATTGCTGTTATGTAACCTTAAGATTTGCTGAAAATATCAGCAAAACAAAGTAGTAAAAGCAGCATAATTAAGTTGCCCAGATAGGCATTTTGTGCAAAGTATGCAGACAGCACATGGTCCATTACTGTTCATTGATATTCAGCTCATGTATACACTTCTATAAACTTCCTGGGTCTGCACACTTACTCATATACACTTACTCATATAGTATGGCTGTATGCATAGTATGGCTGTAGCCCACCCCCGCCACATCCCCGAATCTCAACTTGAATTGTATCTCCCAGAATTCCCACGTGCTGCGGGAGGGACCCAGGGAGAGGTAATTGAGTCATGCGGGCCGGTCTTTCCCATACTATTCTTATGATAGTGAGTAAGTCTCATGAAATCTGATGGGTTTATCAGGGGTTTCCACTTTTGCTTCTTCCTCATTTTTATCTTGCTGCCACCATGTAAGAAGTGACTTTTGCCTCCTGCCATGATTCTGAGGCCTCCCCAGACATGTGGAACTATAAGCCAATTAAACCTCTTTTTCTTTCCAGTTTCAGGTATGTCTTTGTCAGCAGCATGAAAACTGACTAAGACACTTACAAATTACATTTCCAGGTTTCCTTGACAACTGAGTGATGGTTAAGCTCTCACTGAAGATCTGCACATGAAATTTGAGGTGAGAAGAAGGTCGAGGCCACTCTAATTCCACAGACGGCTTTAGCATCTTCTCCAGTTGCTGCTGAGCTTGTGTTTCATCATGAAGGTGGTGGTCCTATCAGGAGACGTGCTGACTCCATAGTTCCTGCAGCATTAATTAATAACATCAGGCATCAGGAGCCCTGGCGTTCACTGAGAACCAATAGTGTCAGTTCATGTGTGTGTGTATATGTGTGTGTCTATTGCATTTGCAGCAAAGGTAGGTTCATAAAGACGGACTTACTGAAATCTGAAAGAAAGTTCCTTCCTTAGCTAAGGAGCTAAAATGGAATCAGATCCCTGAGAGTCACAAATGGTTCCTTTTTGCTTTTCTGACTCTACTAACTTTTTGTAACCTATTTCTTCTAAAAAATCCACCTGCAATCCTAAAAATGATTTCTGTTTTCATAACAAGATCCTGATTCATAGAAGTCATAACAGCTCACATTGTAATAATGTTGCATATATACCAATACATACTTAATCACAATCAGAAAATCTGCACCATAGAAATAGGCAGATTTTGAAATACATAATTTTTAACCAGATTGTCTATTTGAAAATAATATACATAGGAACTGAAGTTCTCCTCAGAATTTTTTAGGTTAAAATATAAAATAAATTTTAAATATAAAAGATGAGATATGAATGCCTACAGCTTCAAAGAGCTAGATTTTTATTTCAATGATTTTTTATCTATAGATTATGTTCTATTAGATTCACTTTCCTCTTATTATTATTACCTTGTTTCTAGTACTCTCATTGATTTAAATTTAGATAATTGATTTACAGCTTTCATGATTTTTAAATTAAGCACTTAAAGCTATAAATTTATCTCTAAACACTGCTTTAGCTGCATCCTACATATTTTGAAATGTTGTGTTTTATTGTAAGGTTAAAATATTTTCTAATATCTTTTGTTTCTTATTTGATGGATGAAATGTAAACATATGCTGCTTAAGGTTCAAGTACTTGAGGGATATTTTTGATATCTTTTTCTTACTAATTTTTAATTTAATTCCATTATAATCAAATGAAAAACTAAAAATATTTGAAAATCAAATAAAGCAATTTAGCATCTTAACTTGGTAAAGGACAACAGTGCCTGATCATCTCAATACATAAGGCATTGAGAAGTTTCAACTACCATTTTGATGAAAACAAAAACAAAAAATAAAAGTCTCTTACTAAAAAAGAATAGAAGGATTGTCATTAAGTTAATAATTAAATTATTCAAAGGAACCTACATCTAACATCTCATTTATTGGTCAAAGAATGAACACATTTTTCTAAGCAGTGACGGGAAAGTGAGGTTCACTCTCATTACTGCTATTCAATATTGTGATGGAGGTCCTAGCTAGTGCAACAGGTTGGAGAAAGAACATAAAGTGCACACATAGAAAGAAGAAACTATAAGTGTTTTATTTGCAAATTACTTGATTATATACATAGAACATCTTAATGAATAAATGAAAATGAAGAAGTATAAAAGTAACAAGTGAATTTAGCAAGGCCTTGGGAAACGAGGCAAATATACACAAACACAAGCAATGAAAAATTGAAGTACAAAATTTTAAAATTTATATTTGAATAGCAAGTTAATTATTAAATATTTAGAGATTAGTTTAAGAAAATATGTGCATGGCCAGTACACAGACTCAAAAATGCCTAAAGAAAACAAGAACTCAATAAAAAAAATCATGCTCATAGATTAAAAGGCTCAGTATTATTAAGAAATTATTATAGAACCATAAAAGACCTCAAATGGACAAAACAATCTTGTGCAAAAGGAACAAAGCTATAGGCATCACACTATCTGATTTCAAAATATATTACAAAGTCATAGTAATCAAAACATGATGGTGCTGGCATAAAATCAGACACATTGACCAATAGAATAAGATAGAGAGCCCAGAAATAAACTCATGCATTTGATCGAGTGATATTCAGCAAAAGCAAAGGTGCCATAAGCATACAGTAAGGAAAGCACTGCATCTTCAATAAATGTTGTAGGGAAAATTGGCTATTTATAAGGAGAAGAATAAATCCATAACTCATTTCAAATATATGAGTCAAACAGATCAAAAACTTAAATATAAGACCACTGATCCACTGATCCCACAGAAATACAAACTACCATCCGAGAAAACTATAAATACCTCTATGCAAATAAACTAGAAAATCTAGAAGAAATGATTAAATTCGTGGACACATACACTCTCCCAAGACTAAATCAGGAAGAAGTCGAATCCCTGAATAGACCAATAACAAATTCAGAAATTGAGGCAGCAATTAATAGCCTACCAACCAAAAAAAGTCCAGGACCACATGGATTCACAGCCGAATTCTACCAGAGGTACAAAGAGGAGCTGGTACTATTCCTTCTGAAACTATCCCAAACAATAGAAAAAGTCAGAATCCTCTCTAACTCATTTTATGAGGCCAGCATCTTTCTTACACCAAAACCTGGCAGAGACATGACAAAAAAAGAAAATTTCAGGCCAACATCCCTAATGAACAACGATGCAAAAATCCTCAATAAAATACTGGCAAACTGAATCCAGCAGCACATCAGAAAGGTTATCCACCATGATCAAGTTGGCTACATCCCGGGGATGCAAGGCTGGATCAACATACAAAAATCAATAAATGTAATCCATCACAGAAACAGAACCAATGACAAAAACCACAAGATTATCTCAATAGATGCAGAAAAGGCCTTCTACAAAATTAAACAGCCCTTCCTGCTAAAAACTCTCAGTAAACTAGCTATTGATAGAACGTATCTCAAAACAATAAGAGCTATTTATGACAAACACACAGCCAATATCATACTGAATGGGCAAAAACTGGAAGGCTTCCTTTTAAAAACCGGCACAAGACAAGGATGCCCTCCCTCACTACTCTTCTTAAACATAGTATTGGAAGTTCTGGCCAGGGCAATCAGGCAAGAGAAAGAAATAAAGGGTATTCAATTAAGAAAAGAGGAAGTCAAATTGTCTCTGTTTGCAGATGACATAATTGTATATTTAGAAAACCCCATTGTGTTAGCCCAAAATATCCTTAAGCTGATAAGCAATTTAAGCAGTCTCAGGACAGAAAATCAATGTGCAAAAATCACAAGCATTCCTATACACCAATAACAGACAAACAGAGCCAAATCATGAGTGAACTCACATTCACAATTGCTACAAAGAAAATAAAATACCTAGGAATACGACTTACAAGGGATGTGAAGGACCTCTTAAAGAAGAATTACAAACCACTGCTCAAGGAGATAAAAGAGGACACAGAAAAAGGGAAAAACATTCCATGCTCATGGATGGGAAGAAACAATATTGTGAAAATGGTCATACTGCCCGAAGTAATTTATAGATTCAATGCTATCCCCATCAAGCTACCATTGACTCTCTTCACAGAATTGAAAAAACTACTTTAAATTTCGTATGGAACTAAAAAAGAACCTGCATAGCCGAAACAATCCTAAGCAAAAAGAACAAAGCTGTAGGCATCATGCTACCTGACTTCAAACTATACTGCAAGGCTACAGTAGTAAAAACAGCATGGTACTGGTACTAAAACAGATATATAGACCAATGGAACAGAACAGAGGCCTCAGAAACAGCGCCACACATCTACAACCATCTGATCTTTGATAAATCTGACAAAAACAAGCAATGGGGAAAGGATTCCCTATTTAATAAATGGTGTTGGGAAAACTGGCTAGCCATATGGAGAAAGCTGAAACTGGATCCCTTCCTCATACCTTATAAAAATACTAATTCTAACTGGTGTGAGATGGTATCTCATTGTGGTTTTGATTTGCATTTCTCTGATGGCCAGTGATGATGAGCATTTTTTCATGTGTCTGTTGGCTGCATAAATGTGTTCTTTTGAGAAGTGTCTGTTCATATACTTTGCCCACTTGTTGATGCGGTTGTTTGTTTTTTTCTTGTAAATTTGTCTGAGTTCTTTGTAGATTCTGGATATTATCCCTTTGTCAGATGAGTAGATTGCAAAAATTTTCTCCCATTCTGTAGGTTGCCTGTTCACTCTGATGGTAGTTTCTTTTGCTGTGCAGAAGCTGTTTAGTTTAATTAGATCCCATTTGTCAATTTTGGCTTTTGTTGCCATTGCTTTTGGTGTTTTAGACATGGAGTCCTTGCCCATGCCTATATCATTAAAAAGTCAGGAAACAACAGGTGCTGGAGAGGATGTGGAGAAATAGGAACACCTTTACACTGTTGGTGGGACTGTAAACTAGTTCAACCATTGTGGAAGACAGTGTGGCGATTCCTCAGGGATCTAGAACTAGAAATATCATTTAACCCAGCCATCCCATTACTGGGTATATACCCAAAGGATTATAAATCATGCTGCTATAAAGACACATGCACACGTATGTTTATTGTGGCACTATTCACAATAGCAAAGACTTGGAAGCAACCCAAATGTCCAACAATGATAGATTGGATTAAGAAAATGTGGCACATATACACCATGGAATACTATGCAGCCATAAAAATTGATGAGTTCATGTCTTTTGTAGGGACATGGATGAAGCTGGAAACCATCATTCTCAGCAAACTATCACAAGGACAAAAAAGCAAACACTGCATGTTCTCACTTATAAGTGGGAATTGAATAATGAGAACACTTAGACACAGGAAGGGGAACATCACACACTGAGGACTGTTGTGGGGTGGGGGGAGTGGGGAGGGATAGCATTAGGAGATATACCTAATGTAAATGACGAGTTAATGGGTGCAGCACACCAACATGGCACATGTATACATATGTAGCAAACCTGCAGGTTGTGCACATGTACCCTAGAACTTAAAGTATAATGAAAAAAAAATATTGAAAAAAAACTGACTCAAGATGGATTAAAGACTTAAACCTAAGACCAAAAACCATAAAAATCCTAGACGAAAACCTAGGCAATACCATTCACAGCATAGGCATGGGCAAAGACTTCATGGCTAAAACACCAAAAGCAATGACAACAAAAGCCAGAATTGACAAATGGCATCGAATTAAACTAAAGAGCTTCTGCACAGCAAAAGAAACCATCATCAGAGTGAACAGGCAACCCACAGAATGGCAGAAAAATTTTACAATCTATCCATCTGACAAAAGGGTAATATCCAGAACACACAAAGTATTTAAACAAATTTACAAGAAAAAAACAAACAACCTGACCAAAATGTGGGCAAAGTATACGAACAGACACTTCTCAAAAGAAGACATTTATGCAGCCAACAAATATATGGAAAAAACCTCATCATCACTGGTCATTAGAGAAATGCAAATTAAAAGCACAATGAGATACCATCTCATGCCAATTAGAATGACGATCATTAAAAAGTCAGGAAACAACAGATGCTGGAGAGGATGTGGAGAAATAGGAACACTTTTACACTGTTGGTGGGAGTGTAAATTAGTTCAATCATTGTGGAAGACAGTGTGGTGATTCCCCAAGGATCTAGAACCAGAAATACAGTTTGACCCAGCAATCCCATTATTGGGCATATACCCAAAGGATTATAAATCATTCTACTGTAAATAGACAGATGCACACGTATGTTTATTGTGGCACTGTTCACAATAGCAAAGACTTGGAACCAACCCAAATGCTCATCAGTGATATACTGGATAAAGAAAATGTGGCACATAAACACCATGGAATACCATGCAGCCATAAAAAATGATGAGTTCATGTCCTTTGCAGGGACATGGATGAAGCTGGAAAACATCATTCTCAGCAAACTAACACAAGAACAGAAAACCAAACACTGTATGTTCTCACTCATAAGCTGGAGTTGAACAATGACAGCACATGGACACAGGGAGGGGGACATCACACACTGGGGCCTGTTGTGGGGTGGGGTGCTAGGGGAGGGATAGCATTAGGAGAAAAACCTAATGTAGATGACGGGTTGATGAGTGCAGCAAACCCCCATAGGATGTGTATACCTATGTAACAAACCTGCACATTCTGCACAGGTACCCCAGAACTTAAAGTATAAAAAAGAAAATAAAGGAAACTTAACTGTTTATATCAGTAGTTAGAAACTGTATACATGAACCAGGAATTGTGGCATACATCTGTAGTCCCAATTGCTTTGTAGGCTGAGGCAGAAGTATCGCTTGAGCCCAGGAGTTTGAGACTGCAGTGAGCTATGATTGCACTACTGCACTCCAGCCTGGGTGACAGAGGGAGACCTTGTCTTAAAAAACAAAAAAAAAACAACTTTAGAACTCTGAAATTTTTCCTCAGAAAAAAAAGAAAACGAAAATGAAAAAAAGAAACTGGGCAAATCACCTGACTAAACAAAACAAGACATACAAATAAATAGCCACCAGATATATAAAACTATGCTCAGCATCACTAATCATCAGGAAAATACAAATTAAAACCATGATATCACCTCAAGCTGCTAGAATAGTTACAATAAAAATGATCAGAGATAACAGGTGTCATGGAGGATGTGGAGAAAAAGGAATCCTCACACACGGTTAGTGAGAATGAAAATTACTACAGCTATTTTATGGAAAACAGTATGGAGGTTCCACAAAAACACTAAACATTGAATTGCCATATCATCCACCAATCCCAGTTCTGGGTATTTATGCAGAAGACTTAAACTCAGGGCTGGGTACAGTGGCTCACACCTGTAATCCCAACACTTTGGGAGGCTGAGGCAGGTGGATCTCAAGGTCAGGAGTTCAAGAACAACCTGGCCCATATGGTGAAACCCTGTCTCTACCAAAAATACAAAAATTAGCCGGGCACGGTGGTGTGCGCCTGTAGTCCTAGCTACTTGGGAGGCTGAGGCAGGAGAATCACTTGAATTCGGGAGGCAGAGGTTGCAGTGAGCTGAGCTGACACCACCGCACTCCAGCCTGGGCAACAGAGTGAGACTCCATCACAAAAAAAAAAAAAAAAAAAAAAAAAAATTAGGATGTCAAAGACATATCTGTATTTCCATGTTCATTGCAGCAGTAGTCACAAAAGCCAAGTTATAGAAACAACTTAAATGTTTATCAGCTGATAAATGGATAAACAAAATGCGGTATAATGCACACTGGAATACTATTTTCTCTCAAAAAAGAAAAGCCTCTCACTTGGGACAACATACATGAATCTAGAGGACATTATGCTGAGTGAAAGGAGCCGGGCACAGAAAGACTAATACCATGTGATCTCACTTATATGTGGAATCTAAAAAAGTCACATTCATAGAAGTAATTGAATGGTGGTTATCAGAAGCTAGAGCAGAATAGGTGGATGAAAATAGGAGAGATGTTAACCAAAGTGTACAAAGTTTCAGTTAGACAGGAGGAATATGTTCTATTGATCTATTGCACAACATGCTTACAGTTAATAATAACATATGGTGTATCTCAAAATTGCCAAAAGAATATATTTCTACTTCACAACATTGTGGAAGAGCTATGTATTGATGGCCATTACTTACAGTTGGGTTATGTCCAGATAAATCTGTCATACAAGAAGGATGTAACCCCATTCCAAGTCTATGAGCATCTGTACACTGGGGACAGATCTACTGGGTTGAATTTCTGACTCAAGTGCTAATGTTCTAAGTGACCTTGAGTCAATTAATTTTCCTTCCTATAACTCAGTTTCTTTAGCTAAAAAATAGGAATAAAATAGGGATGATGCCACTCTAATAGTTAATTTTATTTGTCACCTTGACTAGGTCACTGGGAGCCCAGATATCTGCCCAAACATTAGCTGCGTGTTTCTGTGAGGTTATTTTTTAAAGATGAGATGATCATTTAAATAAATAGAAGGAATAAAGCTAGTTCTCTCCCTAATGTGGGTTGGCCTCACCCAATCAATCGAAAGCCTGAATGAAACAAAAGTGGTGACCCTTCTCCAAGTAAGAGAGAATTCCTCCTGATTGCCTTCAAATTAGGAAATCAGTTGAAGTTCCTGCTTTCAGATGCAGACTGAGCGATCAGCTCCTCCTAGTCTAAAGCCTGCCAGGCTACTGAAAGAAACTACACCACTGGCTTTCTTGGTTCACAGGCCTTCAGATTGGGACTGGAAATAAACCACCAGGTCTTTGGGTCTCCAGCTTGCTGGCTCACCCCAATATTTTGGGATATACCTGGCTCCATAATTGCATGGATCAATTCTTTATAATAGATCACATACACACATATACTCACCCTATTGGTTTGCTACTTTGGAGAACCATGACTCATACAACTACCTACCTACCTCATGTGTTTTTAGTTAGAAATAAATAAGCCAATACATAATAAAGATTTTAAACAACATCTGACAAAAGGTAAGAACTCAGTAAATGCTTTGATAGAACTTAAATAGTCATGTGTCACTATCTAAATGGTTCTCCTAATTTGGTTTGGAGAGAAGTTCCTACTTATAATTATGATCTAATAATTATCACATCCTAATATTTATGAAGCAAATTTTAGTCTACATTAACATTTATTTTCTTTACAGGAGATATAAAGAAGAAGAACTTTTTTATTTATATGAATTGAATGCAATAAATATCTCTGGAATATAACTTATACAATAATTCTTAGTTAACACTTAAAGAAACAGAGCCTGTTTTGAATAAAAGCATAATGCTGAATAAAATATATAATACAGTAAGAGCAGATTACAGGGAATGACAGGAAAGAAAAAATCATGATAGAGACAAAGTAAAACAAAGTCATAGCTGGGCGTTAAACACAAAATCAATCATTTCAGTGTGGATTTGAAGAATTCTGCTTCTGACCAGCATGAAATAATATGGACCAGAATTACTCTCTTACCTGAAGGAACTAAATAAACAACATAGTTGGAAATCAGTCAATGCAAGACAGCGATCCTTGAAAGAAGATCAACAAATGAGACAAGCCCTACAATTTTTCAGGTTACTGCAGGAGGTTTCCTGTTCACCAGGAGGATAATGTAGAGGAAGCCTGGCCACCTTCCTAAATGGAAGAGATGGAGTTGGGAGCACAGAGCAGATAAGGTGCCTGGACTTCTTAGGGTAGGGTACCAGGGAGAAGGGAGTTTCCCAATGAAACAGAGAGGTCTAGAGATTTATAGAGTACACCACTGGTGGTTAGTTTTAGGTGTCAAACTGACCAGGTTAAGTAATACCTAGAGAACTGGTGAAGCATTGTTTCTGGGGGTGTCTGTGAGGGTGTTTCCAGAGAAAACTGCTGTGAGTTGGTGAACCGAGTGGGGAAAATCCAACATTGATGTTGCTGGACCCTGTCCATTTGGTCAGGGGCCCTGATAGAACAAAGAGGCAGTGGAAAGGCAATTTCCTTTCTGTATTAGTCCATTTTCATGCTGCTGATAAATACATACCCGAGACAGGGCAATTTACAAAAGAAAGAGGTTTCATAACTCCATGTGACTTGTGAAGCCTCATAACCATGGTGGAAGGCAAAGAGGAGCAAGTCATAGCTTACATGGATGGCTGCAGGCAAAAGGGGAGAGAGCTTGTGCAAGAGAACTTCTCTTTTTAAAACCATCGGATCTCATGAGGCTTATTCACTATCACGAAAGTAGCATGGGAAAGACTTTCCCCCATGACTCAATTAGCACCCACCGGGTCCCTCCCACAAACACGTGGGAATTCAAGATGAGACGTGGGTGGGGACACAGCCAAACCATATCGGCCCTAGGTTGGAGGTTGATAAAATCCTACAAAACAAAGCTTAAAAGCAAGCCTCAAAAAAAATCAAACTGTTTTTAAGTAAGTTGAATTCCAGAACAAAGTTCAAGATTATTTATTTAACAGTACCCAACAACCAAGCAAGGAACAAATTCACAATAGTTGTAATCTAATGAAAATTACTAGGCATGCAAAGAAACAAACAAACAAAAAACAACAAAAACACGATTTATACATAGAGGGAAAAATCAATCACTGAACTATGATATGAATGATAGAATAATAAAGGCATTATAATAGTGTTCATACCCTATTCCTTAGGCTAAGAAGTGAAAAGAAAAGTTGAGCATGTAGAGACATGAAAGATAAAAAACAAACAAACAAACAAAAATGCCCAATCAAAATACTAGAGATAAAAAAAAAGATAAAACACAGGACATAAATGAAAAGTGCACTGGGCAGAATTAACAGCTGATTAGATGTTATAACAGAAAACATTTGTGAACTCAAAAAAAGAAAAAAATTGTAAACAAACAAAACAAAACTCAGAAAAACATTTAAAAATTCTACCATTAAAAGAGATAATAAAATCCTCAAAAGGTGCTAAGGAACATAGCGTCAGGCTTGAATATCCCGATATGCATGTAACTGGAATCCTTAAAAGAGAAATAAAATTGGAGGGAAAGTCAGAAAAAATCCTAAAGGTTTATGCACCTCTAAAAAAGAGGTTTAATATACAGGAAGCAAACACTTGCAGAAGTGTGAAGAGTAATAGACACATCCTCAGTTATTATTGATGATTTCCACACCCTTCCCTCCATGTTCTATAGAAATAGTAAGCAGTAAATCAGTTAAGGATACGCAAGGCTTGTACAAAAATAACAACCAACCAACAGGGCTTAATTGGCATGATGAAACACTCAGTCCAACAACAGCGGAATGTACTTTCTGCCTCCAAATGCCTTTATGACTGCATTGTTCAGAATAGAGGAAGAATAGTGAAGGGAAGGGAAAAGAGAGGTCCCCGTGGATATTTAGCTGATAGAAGAGCAATGGATTCAAAATTGTAGTCACCCTTGGCAGTCCTGAATTTTAAGCACTTGATTGACCAGAAACCCAAAATTTGCATAACAAATTACCTTTTACCTCTTGCCTGATTTACTGCAAAAGTCATTAAATGGTTATCCATGTCTCTAGAATTGGCCCCCTCAGATTTATTTTCCCTTTCTACTGCCAGAGTGATAATTCTACAGTGTAAATCAGATCATTTGTATCATTTCTTTTCTTAAAACTCATCGATGGATCACTGTTGCATTTAATACAAATTTCTTAGCATGATTTTAAAGGTCTTCTCCTACTGTTTCCATTTCATATTTGAGTTTCACTATTTAATCATAATTATTTCATGTAGTGGGACTTGCTGTTCCTTTTTCCTGGCATATTTTCCGTTGTTCCTGCTATCATTCATATAAACTTGTCTCTCAAATATTAATACCTCTAGTAAATTGTTCTTGATACCAAATTTGGGTTATGTGGCCCTCCTATGTTCTTCCATAGCACCTACTAATAATAAACTAGTAATTTACCACATTATAGACTAGTTAATCCTTATATGGTAATTACCTGTTTCTTCATTTGTCTTCCCCAGTAAAGTGTAAATGCCTAGAAGTTAAAGATTTCACCTTCTTGATCAGGGCACACTAAGCTTCAGTCCAGGTGGTAGGCACAAAGTTGATGGTGAATTTGGGGGTGTATTTTAGCTATGACCATGAAAACTCCAAGATCCTTTTTCTGATTGAGGCGAAAAAGCAGTTCATCTGGACAAACAGGCGTGTCTTTAATACACAAAGCATACCTCCATGAATATCAGGAACTGCCCACATATTTCTAGAGACTGTCGACTGAAAAAGTCTCTCTGGGGTCTGCGAAGGTTGAGGGAAGCAGGATTTTCGCAATGACTTTTAAAGAAAGACTATTCACATTTTTCTCTTGTCCAACGTGGCCCTAAATTTTCCCTCAGCTTCATTAAACATAGACACATTTTCCTGCCTCTGCGCCTCTGATCTCCCGCTCACCAGCCCTTACAGAATCCAGGTGAACCCCCATAGGCCTTTTCTTTCCGTTTACTTTTCTTAGAGCATTTATTTCCAAAAACTTGTAATTCTAAATTTTTTATCTGCTCCTCTGAGATGTAAATACTTTTAAAAGCTTCATGACTGTTTCACAAACCAGAAATATTTTTCTCAAGGGCTTGGGAACCATCCCTTTGAAATGTAATCAAGGAATAAAGGATAGGATTGCCCTATCTCCCAATCTCTTTGGGATGGTAGGAACCTAACTTCAGGGGGGAGTACCTTGCTTCATGCAGATATGAGAAAGATTACTTGCTAAAAATCACATGAAATAATGCAATGATGCCCCGAATATATATGTGTGTGTGTATACATATATATATATACACACATATGTATATATATGAATATATGTATGTATATGTGTATATATGTGTGTGTATATAGATAGATAGATAGATAGATAGATAGATAGATAGATAGATAGATATAGATATAGATATATCACTTACCAGATGAAGATAAAACTAAGGAATCTCCCATATATCATTTGTAGCTTATCCTAGTAGAAATTCTCTTAGCTACAGGGGAGATAAGTTATCTCCTGAGGGAGGGTCAGTTTCCTATCTGGCTAGGAAATTCTCACATAAACACAAGAGTCGAAGGCAGAAAGGGAACACAATATTAACAATAAACAAATACATATGTCACTGGGTTGCTCTGAATAAGAAATAAGAAAGAGGTGATCTTGGCCAGGCGCGGTGGCTCACACCTGTAATCCCAGCACTTTGGGAGGCCGAGGCGGGCGGATCACGAGGTCATGAGATCGAGACCACCCTGGCTAACATGGTGAAACCCTGTCTCTACTAAAAATACGAAAAATTAGCCGGGCGTGGTGGCGGGCGCCTGTAGTCCCAGCTACTCAGGAGGCTGAGGCAGGAGAATGGCGTGAACCCGGGAGGCGGAGCTTGCAGTGAGCCGAGATCGCGCCACTGCACTCCAGCCTGGGCGACAGAGCGAGACTCTGTCTCAAAAAAAAAAAAAAAAAAAAAGAAAGAGGTGATCTTGCCAGGGTGGAAGAGTGAGGGAACCAAGTCACATCTGTGCATGGGGGAGCTTTTCACCCACCTGAGCTCAAAGACTTTAAGCAAATGCATTCCACTTTTAAATCAAATCAATATAAACGTTTTAGCCCCTTTCTTTAGCTTTACATTTCTACAAGCCTGCAGAACTTTACAAATAATTATTTAAAATTCAGAAGGGAAAACTTAGAAAGGCTATTTGGTCCCCTCAGCCTTTAACTTTCTTGCCAAATTTGCCTATATTCAGGTTTAACATTCCTCAGCTAAAAATTCTTTGCCCGGGAGTGATCCTTATACATGAAGCAGGTGTAACTACAATTTCTCAGGGAAATGCTTCATAAAACCAGAGAATCGGTACATGAATTTGCAGTGAGAAGTGAACCGGTTATGCTGCTGAATTCATTCCTCATCTACAAGCTATAAAAATCATATATGGAAATCATGTGGCCTCATTTCAGGGAGGAAAGATTAAGAACAATAAAAATTAGTTGTGAAAAATAGATGTTTAATGTCATCAAGATTAAAAGAGATAATGTGTTTATTCATTCTTCTTACATAAAAGATTAAAACTCACAAACACAGAAGGGCAGATATTTTATCCTGAACCTCTGTGGATGGGCATTGTTAGTATTTTGCTTCTCTCACTCAACTTTTTAGATATATTCATGGATTGCAAGCACCATCAGTGACTGATATATTCATATTTAGATGTTAATTAGAATCTATGAGGCAACTGTCACACCTTCCTGGCAAACTCAAGCAGATTTAATTGCTTATGTCGTTGTTGTTGTTGTTTTTTCCATTAAGGTAATGTTGCATATTACTTTGAAATTACATTTTTCTAAATTTATACTTTCTATCTCAAACTGCAATCCCATCACCCTCTTTTCTAAGGCCATAGAGGATACCTCTTCACATCTGTAAGTGCTGATATTAAATTCCTCTATAACAAGAGCCTTGATGTTTAAAAGAAAACTATTGATTCATTTTCTGAGAAATTAAACAAGTTTTTCTGTCTATCCTTTGAGAAGACTTTGGATAAAACATCAAGTGCCCTTTCATTTTAAGAAACAGTGCGTGTTTAGGAAATGACAAGTTCCTAAACATATGATTTTCAAGCTCCGGCACCATTTAAAAAGTAAGTCAATATCCTGCTCACACACACTTATATTTGTCTAGCTTTATTAACCTCTAAGCTTATATTCACATTGCAGCTTAGATTTTTTATTAGCACCATGCTCTAACACTGATCTAACCGGCTGCTTTGGTGCAGCTTAGATTATTTAAACTCTTCTTCTGTGGATTCAGACAGGAGATGTAAGAAGCATACATTAAAAATACCCAACTCTATGTAAATCAGCAGAAGTAAAGCAATGAAGAAGAGGCTTGAATAGAAGCTTTAGATTGGATATGCACTCCAGAGATGCACAGTTACCATGGTGATAAGAGCTAGATAAATAACAGAAAAACTGACAGACAAATGGACAAAATAAGATCTTATTTCTAAATTCACACCTTATATGATTGACTATTTTTTGATGAGCAATGTTTATTTGTACCAAGGGAAATACAACATTAAAGAAGACATTTAAAATTCATCAGCATTTCAAAATAATCACTTAATTTATTATAAGTGAAAAAGTACATGCTTTGGCCCATTGCTGTCATTTTTCTGTTTGTGGCATAATCTCAGACACATACAGAAACAAGCAATGTTAATAACCATGTGTGTAGAGGAGAGATTTGTACCAGCCTTGCCGAGGAGGCATGGAGTGGCCTAGGCCTTTCTGCCACTGTTTTAGAGCTCAGAGCCTGCTTAGGAAATGCTCCCCACTTGCAAAGACCTCTCAGTTCATCACTTCTGCTTAAGAATTTCATTCTGCATCATTGACATCCTCAAAAAAAAACTGGAATTTCAAAGATTTCTCCAAGTTTTATGTTGCTAAAAGTGCATACCAAAATTCAATTTTAGATGATGGTATCTTCTTGTTTAGAGAAACAGATGCCCCCAAACAACCCTACATGCTCTATTTGGTTATCAAAAAACAGACATGGATTTCAGTGTGAGGGAACAGAGGTCCTCAGAAACATGGTGGGCTGAGTTACTGAGCGGGGGCTCATCCCTAAGGAGCTCTCAGGATGTGCATAGCTGCTATCTGGTACTTATATTTACTACCCTTCCACTTGATAAAATTATCTTATATCACCCTCACGCTACAGCAAAGCCTGTTAAATCAACACACCCTTTTGTAAAGTATTTTGGGGGTTCAGAAGCAAATGTTGGCTTCTTTAAAGTAGAAAAGAAGCAGTGAGAACAGCATAAAGAATTAGGGACAAAAGAACCACAAGAATGACAGAGAAGTTGAGACCTTCAGCCAAATGGAGAAGTCAATGAGATGTTCATGTAGATGTGGGAGAGGATTGAACTCCTCTCAGTTATACAGACTATGAGCTGGCATTATTGTTTCTTGAATATAAAAGGAAATAATGGCCCTTCCTAAGACAGATTACTGATGTTATATACTTACTTTACATGTGAAGGGCAGCTGTGTTACACAGGTGAAAAAAAAAATTCAGCTTTGCTTAATTTCTTTTAAAAAGCTGGAAACATGTCTCAGTGACAGATTTAGATTTTAAAGACATGGATGTTTGAATGCATAATACATAATACATATATAGTTTAAATTTATAATTTTAGATAGTACTCTAGGAGCTAGCAAGCATGGTTTGATACAGATACCTCAATAGGAAGTTTGTAATAGCAGGTGACAATTTTGAAGAAGATAGCTTTAAGATATTTCTGTTAAATAATCTTCCAAAAACTCTACTGGCATCTTATTTTCTAAAGGAATTACTCTGGTCACCTGTTATCAAATCAAGAGTTTAATGAAATTATTAAATAGTATACCACTTAATTTTAAGAATGATTTGAAAAAACATACGATATTGCCAAAATGTGAGTTTCTTTTCTTTTTCTTTTTTTTAATTTAAAATAAAGATCTATATAACAGATGTTTCTTTGAGTTACTGTAGGCAGAGATTCAAAGATCTCAGCCTTGCCATCAAGGCAAATACAGTCCTTGCCATCAAGAAGTTTAGAGTTATCCTATATGATGAGTGAGCTGGAAGAGTGATCATGGAGAAAAGGGAAACACAAATTACTGTATTAAAAGCAGAGTATGCTAAATGCAGAGTATCCTAAGACTCAAAAGTGATGATATCTTATTAGAAACCCAAGGGAGAAGATATTAAATCTGCTTGTGGCATAGAAGAAGCTGTCAGGGTACAGTTTCAGCTATTATGCTATAGCATTGCTACAATCAATTTCAAATCACAAATAATTAAAAACAAAGGTCGGATCATCATGTCTGGGGACATTTTTTAGTAGTCAAAAAGTATCTTTGAGCTTTCCTTATTAAAAAAAATTCAGAAAATCAACGAAAAATTAAAATGTTTAGGAATCCTTTCATGAATTTCAAGTCTTTCCAGTACACGGAATTTAAAGTAATCTGTAATTGAATATCTGAATGACTAGATGCATAGCAGACACATAGCAGTCATCGTCTCTGGAGGAGGGAGGAGACACCCCGTTGACTCCATAGCCTGCTTCCACACCAGACAATTCAGGACTAGGATGGCACACCAGCTGAAACCACCAAATCAATACGCATCCAGTGACTTTGAAAACTTGTGTTCCTTTGAGTCTCATGCAGTCTATGTATACTATCACTCTTTCTCATTTCTCTATTATATTCATCTCAATTATCATATCACTCAAACATATGGATTGAAGACCTTTGAAAAATATCTGTCATCATCTTGAAAGATTTCATCACTGATGTGGCACACACACTTAGAATACTGAATCTAAGAATATTTGGTCTTTGCTCACCGAGGACTTTCTGGTTCTGAAAACATTCCCTGCCAAATAGTGGGTGTAAAGTAAGCACATAGTAAAGTGTTGTCAATTAATCAATTAATATGTGATCAAGACTTCTGCTTCTTTTTTAGGGTCATACATAGCTTACTGTCATTTGAAACTGCTCAACCTTATACACCAAAAAGTTATTTGTTTGTTTCTTTCATTTAGCTTTCTGGCACTATTTCTTGCCAGGGTTATTTTCTCAAGCAATGCCTGATACACATGCCAGATCTTTGAACCTTCATAGACACCTTTCACTTTTGTATTTGTCTGTTTTTAAAAATTTATGTTTCTTCCTAATCTCATTTCCTTCAGAATTCAGCCTTTGGTCTAGAAAAAAGGAAGAAAATTAGCAAAATATTTAAATGCTTTTCTTCTGCGGCACCCACTCAGCAAAGAGCCAGACCCAGCTGCAATCTTTAAATCTATAATCTAAGTAGATTGAACCATAAGCTGGTTCAATATATGATAATGAATCATTATATGTTGTCTCTCTCACTTAATGGCACTGCCCCGTCAGCTAAACCTCCAAGAAAACAGGAATCTTGTTTCGGGGCCTGTTATATAACATTTCCGAAAATCTTTTCCCTTGAAGTGCATGTTTTCATTCTTGTAGTTCTGAAAATCAGTTCTTAATAGAACCAGCCAAGTAATCTAGAACACAAAGCTAACCATGCCATTTTCCTTAAACACACACACACACACACACACAAACACACACACACACACACCTCTTACTCGTCACTGTCTTGTACAGGATAAATGGCAAACCACTCAACATGTTATATGAATCCCTTCTACTCCCCCGGAATCAACTCTAGCCCTTTTCTGCCTGCAGTTTGTACATCATCTAGTTGTAGTCCAGACACCTCACAACATTTGGTGTATTTGTGGCTAGGATGACCATCCTATCCACTCTTCTCTCATATTCATCTTGAGGTTTCCTATTACTCTATAAAATGAACGTGAGTGTTCTCCAGGAAGTCTGCCCAGGTTTCTCTCCTTCTCCAGGTTCCTTCTGCATTTCACAGTTTTAGTTTTTTCAGAAAGTTAGTTCATGTTTCTTTTTCCATTAGAATTGAATGAGAATCTATTTTATACAGTTCTGTAAACGCAGAATTTCACACACTACTCACCATTTAGTACAGTTCTGATAAAAGTAATCACTAACTCAGTTTACCAAGGTAAATAAGTAACATAAATACCTCATTCCCAAAGTTCAATTCGTCATCACATTGTATCCATTCTATTTTTTAAAAGCAATTTTTCAAACTCTGCATTTTCTTCTCCATGCCCTCATGTAACTATACTAATACATAATCTCGAAATATTTTATCTGAAAAACTACAAATTCAATTCATTCTCTCATTTTTATAATATTAGCAATTAAACTGAATCACATTACATGGTATAAATTTTCTAAAACATTTTAATGATTCTCAAGTCTTTCCTAGATTTGGTCAAATCCTCTAATTACATTTTAAATATATCTTTTTTTCTATCCTGATATGGTTTGGCTGTGTCCCCGCCCAAGTCTCATCTTGTTGTGGCAGGTACCTGGTGGGAGGTAACTGAATCATGAGGGTGGGTCTTTCATGTGCTGTTCTTATGATAGTGAGTAAGTCTCATGAGATCTGATGGTTTTATAAAGGGGAGTTCCCCTACACAAGCTCTCTTGCCTGCCGCCATGTAAGATGTGACTTTGCTCCTCGTTCACCTTCCACCGTGACTGTGAGGCCTCCCCAGCCATATGGAACTGTGAGTCCATTAAACCTATTTCCTTTTAAATTACCTCGGGTACATCTTTATTAACAGCGTGAGAAAGGACTAATACATATCCCTTGTGCAATTCCCTAGTCCCCTCCTTTGTGAATCTTCTTGTTCACTTTCTATGGCTATCATGTTAAACAGAAGGTTTGTCAATTCCTCTTTGTGGATATGCCTTCATGCATGTTATTCCCTTTGACTGGATTATGCTACAAAATTGCCATGACACTTTAGAAAACCACTCAATCCTCAAAGTCCAATAAAACATTTCTGTCATCAAGAAGACAACTATCAATTTATTTATTTCTTCTTCGTATTCCGCTTAGGCCTTGTTAACATTCCCACAGTTATGGTACTGCAGGGAAGGCCAAAGATTTGTTTCCCTATTAATCTGTGAGCTCCTGGAAGGGAGTGAGCCTGTGTTGTCTTTAAGACCTAACATGGTCTGACAGAAACGGTATGCACTCAATATAGATGGGATTATACTGAATGGTGTAGTCAGGGTTCTCCAGAGAAACAGAGTTGACAGGATATATACACAGAGACATATATAGGAGGGGATTTATTAGGGGAACTGCCCCATAGCATGATGGAAGCTGAGAAGTCCCACATTAGGTCGTTTACAAACTGGAGACAAAGAAGCCAGGAGTGTGGCTGAGTCCAACTCCAAAGGCTTCAGAACTAAGGGAGAAGATGGAATTAAAGGCTGAAGGCTTGAGAGAGTGGAGCTGGGTTGGGAGCAGTTGGTCCCTGGAAAGAGCCCTGGAATCCAAAATCTGGAGAACCTGCGGTTCTGATATCCAAGGGCTAGGAGAAGAAGGGTGTTCTGGCTCCAGAAGAAAGAGAACAAGAGTTCACTTTCCCGGAGTGAGGTGATATCTTACTGTGGTTTTGACTTCTTTGATGATTAGAGATGTTTAGCATTTTTATATACCTGTTGGCCATTTGTATGTCTTCTTTTTAGAAAAGTCTATTCATATATTTTGCCATTTTTAATTAAATTATTATTTTTTCTTGCTATAAAGGTGATTATGTTCTTTACATATTCTGGCTATTATTCCCTTGTCAAGTGAGTAGTTTGCAAATATCTTCTCCCATGCTGTGGGTTGTCTCTTCACTTTGTTGATTATTTGCTGTACAGAAGCTTTCCAGGTTGATGGGATCCCATTTGTCCATTTTTGCTTTGGGTGCCTGGTGCTTCTGAGGTTTTACTCAAGAAACTTTTGTCATCTCGCCCCAGTTTAAAATGTCTTTTATCAAAAAGACAGGGAATAATGGATGCTGGCGAGAATGTGGAGGAAGTGGAGACTTCAGACGCTGTTGGTGGGAACGTAAACATAAAATAGTTGGTGTACCACCACAGTAGTACAGCCACGATGAAGGACAGTATGGACGTTCCTCAAAAAACTAAAATTAGAACTAGTATATAATCCAGCAATCCCACTGCTGGGCATATACCCAAAACAAAGAAAATCGGTATATCAAAAAAAATCTGCCCTCCTCTGTTTATTTTAGCACTATTCACAATAGCCAAGATATGGGATCAACTTAAGCGTCCATCAACAGATGAATGGATAAAGAGAATGTGGTATATATACACAAAGGAATAATATTCAGCCATAAAAATTAAGAAAATCTGTCATTTGCAACAACATTGAGGAACTGGAGGACATTATGTTAAGTGAAATAAGCCAGGCACAGAAAGACAAATGTCACATGTTTTCGTTCACTTGTGGGAGCTAAATAACTTTATCTCATGGAGACAGAGCTTAAGGTGATGGTTACAAGAGCCTGGGAAGGGTAGTGAGGAGGTGGAGACAATATAGAGCGATTGTTAACAGGCATGAAAATACAGTTAGTAGCACAACAGAGTGACTATAGTCATCAACGATTTATTATATATTTCAAAATAAGTAGAGGAATGGAATTAGAATGTTCCAAATTCAAAGAAATGATAAATGCTTGAGGTGATGCATACCCCAATTACCCTGATTTGATCATTACACATTGTATGCTTGTATTAAAATATTACATGTACTCCATAAATATGTACAACTGTTATTTATCAGTGTATCAGTAAAAAAGAATTCACTCTTCCTTCTTTTTTTTTTTTTGTTCCATCCAGGTTCCCATCCAATCACATGGCACCAGCCCACATTGAGAGAAGTTCTTCTCCACTCAGACTACTAGCTTCCCCACTGAGATCACCTCCAGAAATATCTTCACAGACACGCCCAGGGCAGTTTAATCATTCTAATCAAATGCCAAACCAACAAAGTTTCCCTTTCAGCAAATGATGAACAGGCTCACTCCCTGCTGAAACATTTAGAATAACTATTGCAATAATTGAGAATAAATGATATTTTACCAGTTATCTGTGTATCCCTTAATCCAGTCGAGTTGACATCAGAATCAACCACCACACTGAACTAACTTGCATTTTTAGAAATTGCACTGTGGAATATTACTGGATGCCTGAGAAAATGACAGGTGCTTCTTTCTTTTACTTAATGCAAAATTCTATCTTAGAATTTACCACATTGCCTTCACTAATTATTCATCCCTCAAGCTCAAGCACAGCGGTCTTGATCTATTCACACGTATCAGAGTGCTTTGCACATATTCAAAACTTAATAGTCATTTATGAACTGACTGATTGAATAAATGAATAACTAAATGAATGAATAAAATTGAGTAAATTTAGCCAAAGAGAAAATAACTACGCAATGATATGTATGGGTTCAAACCAATTAAAGTATTATACATTCATTATCATTTCCTGAACTAGCAAGAAAATCTTATTTTATGCAGCCAGGTAAGGAACTATTTAATAATTTTTAGTAACTTTCCAATGTTGGAACAAACAAATTAGAATTTTTTTTCTCCTAACCAATTTTATAATTTATTTTTAGCTTAAAACCTAAAGTTGAAGATTTGGAAAATAACAAATATGATTTGATAATATATTCTTTATACTTTACAATACCTTAAAAACATTATATAAGCTCTTTCAATAGTGCCTAAGAATATCAATAAAAGTAAATGCGCATGAAATTCCTAGTTTAATGGGTAGAGATAACACTTGATATGTATGTATTAGAATCTATGGACCTCCTATTCCCAGACCACCCTCATGTTACAAGAGAACTCCAATTCTGTCCCTCACACTCTTCAGTAAGCTGTGCATGAGGACTGAGATATTGAACAAATTGATCCGGTACCTTAATCAAGTAACTATATGATTGGCACGTTACCAAGAAATGAAAATATAGTTGAGTTGGAACAAAACAGAACAGAAATAACATCTTAGAAATTGGACGCGAAGATTTACAAAGTGAGTATCCGCAATAAATGTAAGACAGAAAGCACCAATGGGGACAGCTGCGGGAGTCGACAGGTCACGTCCAGGAGGAGCAGTGAGACTGTTCATCAAGAATAAATGTTGCTCCTGCAATGAAACTGATATAAGAGGCATAATAAGATGAGAAGCAAACATATTTATTTTTTAACAGCTATATATTGAGAAATAGTGCACATACCATACAATTCAACCATTTGAAGTGTTCAATGCAATGTTTTTACTAAATTCACAGGTAGGTGTATTATCATCAAAATTAATGCTAGAATAGGATTTCCACCTGCAACAACAACAACAAAAAAAACTGTGTAACTTATATGTATCAACCCCTCTTCCCATCCCTAACCCCAGCTCACCATGACATCCATCCCTAAGCAACCACAAATCTACTTCCTGTCTTTATAGATTTGCCTATGCTGGACGTTTCATATGAATGGGACCATAGAATTATTGGTTCTAGTTCCATTTGACAGGTCAAAACATACACACACACATAAACACGAGAAAGAAGTTGAGTAAGTTTCTGAATGTCACAAAGCTTTTAACAGTGTCAGGATTTGAATGCAGGCAACTTGACTCCAGATTTATGGCATCATTTGTTACGGCAGATGCTGAAATATCATCGCTGTAACTATATGTCAAGAAGAGATGAGCAGGGGTTTAGACCAACTGAGTATATCTAACAACGGTAAATTGGAGGATACGTTATTTGTATATTTAATTAGCTTTTTTCCCAAACTTTTGACCCATCTGATAAGCTTGGATTTTATTATTATACAACTAATATCAATAATGCACAATTAGTCTTTTTTCCTTCAGGAATTTTAGCCTTCTATACAACCCATCATACAAGATGGTGAGTAAAATCAAAGCATTAGCTAGGAGTATAGAAATTTCCAAAGAAAGAAAAAAAAATCAAAGAAATTAAGTTGGAATTAAAAATCAATGTTAAAGTTAGCATAATAATTTAAAGCATTTTAGAGTTATATTAGGTAAGTGGAATGTTAGGATGTTTTAGTCTTATGAATAAAGAATTTATAAAATATACACCAAATTTAAGCTGATCCTTTTTCAGAATGAGAATTATCAGAGATTAAGTATGCAACCACTCTAAAAACAAAATGTGAAAATGCTAATATTTACTCCCTGTGGCAGTTATTGCTAATTTTCTCCAATGTCCATTTTTCCTTCTCTTAATATTTGTAATAAAATCTCAATAAAGTTAGAGACTACATTTTGTAGGCTTCTTTGCAGCTAGATGTACACATGACATGAAAAACCATAATCTGTGACTTCCACAGAGCACTGCCATTTCAACGGGAGACTGGAAGCAAATTCTCCTCTTTTTGATTGTGAGATAAAGTTAAAATGTTCATGAATAACTTGGGTTAGACACTATTTTGGGAGTTGAATGACTTTTGTATTTTCTCTATGATCTCAAATGAAGATATTTTTAAAAAATATAATCAATAAATTCTGAAATTTAATATCATAAAAATTTGAATACTTTCTTCAGAAAGAAAAAAATATATGTAATCCAGCATTCTGTGTAATACAATTATCTATTTATAAATTTATTCAAATATTATATATATATGTACATATATATATGTATTTTCCAAAATTTGAAGATGTGATGCAAAAGGGGAGCTTATAGAAGGGCAAACAATTTCCACAACTGCAACCCAACAATTGAAAAATAAAGTAATAATATCCTACAATGTGTAGTTAAGCAGAGGAAAACACTCTTGTCCTAATGAGAGAGTTGAGTAAATCTCTACACAGGGGTAACATTTGAGATAACACTAAACAAACAAACAAAAATAATGGAAAATTGCCAGATGACTAAGTGGGGGAGGGAATATCCAGAGGCAGAGAATAACATGTTTCTAGATGATGAAGCTTGGAAAAGCGTAGTGAGTTTGGGAAGTCTCATGGTTTTTGTTGTTATGGAATCATAACAAGGAAGATGCAAAGTACTAGCAGATGGACAAAATTACAGACTCTCTATAATTACATAATTATAGTGTATATAGTTATACAGTATGTATAATGTATGTACATGGTGTGTATATAATATAGATATTGATAGTGTATATATCAATTATACATATATAGAGTGATCCTTAGATTACCACTGTGAGAATTTAGAAACATAACTATACTTCTAAATATACACGGCATTAAAGTTATATTTCTAAATTTTTAAATTTAGTTATATTTCTAAAATTATATTTCTAAATTTTCATATATAATTATAGTGATCCTTAGATTATATACAGTGATCCTTAGTTATATAACTATATAATTATAGCGATCCTTAGTTATATTTTATATTTAGTTTATTTCTAAAATTGCATTTCTAAATTTTTATATATAATTATAGTGATCCTTAGGTGACCATTGCAAGAATTTAGAAATACTAAATTGTAAGACAGATGGCTTTTAGAAAAGGAGTTTGTAAAACAGATCATGAGACCTGGTGAGATACAAAAATCTTTCAGTCAATTGATAGAATGTGGGAAATGTAAATAAGGCGTTCCAGATATTCTTTGAAGTTGACAGTAACATCCTCTAAGCATGACAACAAAAGGTAGGATTGTCACTGACTGTTGGGACTTTTATTATATCCATTTAACAAACAATAATTTATCTGATGCAACATATGCTCCAATCAGCAATTTAAATATCTATAAATGAAAGCTATGTGTGGAATGTACTTAGAAACTAAGGACATATTGCTAAAAAGTCAGCAAGATACAGTAACCATTATAGAAAATATAAAGATGGACTAAACACATTTCTTTTGTGAGTACAAACAACTAAAACATGGTCCATTATATTATAAATATAAATCAAAATGAATCAACTGATACAGGAAGTCTATGGAGAGAGAAATCCCAACTGATTGGGAAAAGCCAATCAGTTTTGTGCAAGATTCTGTGCAAGACATGGAATACTGGATTAAACAGAACTAAATTAAAATAAATAAGCAAAGACTTAATGGAGATAGTAGTTTTACAGTGAAGAGATGAAAACAGAAAACACACATTCCAGAAAGAGGGTTTATTATGTGCAGAAAGTGAAGGTGCACAGAGAGGGAAGAGTGGATACAGTCTGACAGGTGATTGGATACACAGAGCACAGTGTGGATGATGTGGCTGGAAGAGCTCAAAGAGGAGGTACGGGGAGATTCTATTCAAAACAGTGTTGCTAATCACTTTAATTAAGGACATACAGAATCATATGCAATCAAGAGGAGTTTGATTCCCCCTCTAGAATCTCGACTTAGTTACATTCTATAAATGTCATCAATTTTAATTTGTTGAGGTTCATACCAGATAATCATGAACAGAATCATTTTTGGCATCAACTACTGTCCATTTTCTAAAATTAAAGTCAAAAGAGTAGTTAACTGAGGTTCAACCAACTTGTACGATACTTATAAAATTGTCTCACTGGAAAATTATTTTTATCTAAACAAGTTTCAAAATAACTAAGATTCATCTAAGTAAGGAAATCAATCAGTCATCTTTGATTCATCGAAGTACACGATTCATATCTTAACCATAATTGAATATTAATAAGTATATGTAAAAAATGCTAAAACAAATTATTGATAGGTTCATATAATGAAACAATATTTGTATCTTGTCTTGTTTTTCTTCATATTTTCTTAATGACCTGGTTAAGAAAAATGAGCTTCTTATTTTATCTTAGAAATTTTAAACTTCCTAATGGATAGAAAGAAAAATGTGTGTTAAAAATATGATTTTTTCAGTGGTAAGTGTATTTATTTTTCTTTAAAATTAGATCACTGAAGGATCTATAAAACAGATGGTAACAGGCATTACTATCATTAATTTCTGTCTAGAAAAATGCAGGGGGTAAATTATTTTTAGATAACTTGAAATGTTTCCTTTCCCTCAAAAAATATTTCTGTGGAACATGTTTGCTTATGGAAATCTCTGGATTAAGTAAAACACAGTTATGTGTTTATATATTTATATGTATATAACCATTGGACTGGTCTTGGTGTCAAAAAGTGAAAATTTACATAGTAAAGAGATATGCTTTTGTAATGTGAAAGTAAGGGTGACGATTTACGACTTCCAAACTTACCCATGATTTTTCCTAAGGTGACCCAGGCTCTAAGGAGGAATGTTGTTCCTCTGTTACTCATGCTAACCATCAACTTAAAAACAAACTAAAAATGTACTGAAAAAAAATGGTGCCAAAGGACTAAGAATAGAAACGTTTTTATCAGATTTCAAAAATGCACAAGGAATCATCTTGGAATATACTGAATATTAAACTTGAAATTGACACAGAACCATCTAATTCATTTCCATTCTAATTATTCTAGAATAGTCTTGAAATAACTGACTTCAAAGCATTAAAAATCTGAAAAAAGAATCACTGAACATCAATCTTGGATAACTATAAATAAGTCATAAATTTTTTTTTAAAAAATGTTAAATTTATATATTGCAGATTAGGAAATCAGCAGTTCTACAGTATGTTCTAATATATTATTTTATCAAGATATTTGGAGGTGAAAAGAGCAAGATGTGTACCCACAAAGAGAAGTAAAACACTCTATCTTTCCCACTGGATGCTTCAATACGTAGAATCCATGGACTGTACTTTCTGCATAGCCATGCTCCATTTGTAAGAGAACAGATGATCTGAGCCCACCAGAGCAGTAATTTTCTCTATGCGTATTCAAAGACTAGAAATTCAAGAATTCAGCAACACTAGGGTAAAAACAAATCAAGTGGCAGCACAAATATATCTTGAGATGAATAAAAAGTCTCAGAAATACATGGAATACAGAAGTAGACATTTCTAGCAGTTAATATGTTCCATCTACACTTAGAGCTGTAGATCCAATCTACTTCCTTTTCATAGTCAGGGAACCAAAAACCAAGCAAGATTTGCATTCTGGCAAGATGTGGCCCTGATATTTACCAGCACAGTTAGGACATAGCCATCTATATCAATATACATCTATTTCTAAGAGAAAAAAAACTGTCAGTAACAACTGAATATTTTCATAATAACAGTAACAATAATAACGATAAACTACTCATTGAAAACAGTTAAAATTAATTCTTAAATTACGTCTCCAGATCTCATTCTCACTGAGACAATTTCATAACTGTACGCATCAACAGCGATGCTAATCCATCCCCTAGTGCATTGGAACAGTCAATGCTAATGTCCTTAGATTTTCAGTGTAACTCCATGTGCCTTGTAGCAATCTTTTGGCAGTGTAATATACTTATATAACATGTATTTGGAGTCTGAGGACAGCACATTTCCATTGCCAAACTTAATCATTACTGCTGGGGCTGTTTTCTTTATTTATTTTTACTTTCTACATTTTGCTTTTCAGTTTGAACAACAGAATTCTATTCCCTATGGTGATTGTTATCAGTCTGCAAGGGCATGAAGTGATCTAGCCAAAGAAGAACAGTGTCATCAGTACCTGTGATGTCATTTGGGGTTATGTTGAAGGGAATTAGGACTTCCACACATGTTTTCAAAGAAATATGAACTTACAGATATATTTTTAAAAAACAAATGAAAATGCTTATTATCCATTCAGCAATTTAGAAGCAATCATACTCTGTGGTAAAATGCTTATTAGTTTTCATTATAAAGAAATCATTATTTGAAAATCACTTAGCCTAAAAAGTAATTTCTCCTGACAGTGATTTGTTTAGGATTTCTAAATAGCATTGATTTAGCCACCTTCTCTATAGGAATATTTGACTTTCACAGAAAGACTTAGTTGTAGATATAGAATGTTGCTAAAATATGAAACTATATTAGCTCGTTTTCGAATTGCTGATAAAGGCATATCCAAGTATGGGCAATTTACATAACAAAGAGGTTTATTGGACTCACAGTTCCACGTGGCTGAGGAGGCCTCACGATCATGGTGGATGGTAAAAGGCACATCTCACATGGTGGCAGCAAGAGGGAGAACGAGACCCAAGCAAAATGGGTTTCCCCTTAAACCATCAGATATCGTGAGACTTATTCACTACCGTGAGAACTGTATGGGGGAAACTACCGCATGATTTAATTATCTCCCACCAAGTCCCTCCCACAACATGTGGGAATTATGGGAGTACAATTTAAGATGAGAATTAGGCGGGGCCACAGAACCAAACCATATCATTCCAACTTGACCCCTCCCAAATCTCATGTCCTCATATTTCAAAACACAATCATGCCTCCCCAACAGTCCTTCAAAGTCTTAACTCATTTCAGCATTAACTCAAAAGTCCATAGTCCAAAGTCTCATCTGAGACAAGGCAAGTCCTTTCCACCTATGAGCCTGTAAAATCAAAACCAAGTTAGTTACTTCCTAGACACAATGTGGGTACAGGCATTGGATAAATGCAGCCATTCCAAATGGGAGAAATTGGCTGAAACACAGGGGCTACAGGCCACATGAAAGTCCAAAATCCAGCGGGGCACTCAAATCTTAAAGATCCAGAATGATCTCCTTTTACTCCATGTCTCACATCCAGATCACGCTGATGCAAGAGGTGGGCTCCCATGGTCTTGCTAAGCTTCGCCCCTGTGGCCTTGCAGAGTACAGCCTCCCTCCCAGCTGCTTTCATGAGCTGACATTGAGTGTCAGTGGCTTTCCCAGGTGCATGGTGCAAGCTGTCAGTGGATCTAGCCTTCTGGGGGCTGGAGGACAGTGGCCCTCTTCTCACAGCTCCACTAGGTGATTTCCCAGTAGGGACTCTGTGTGGGAACTCCAACCCCACATTTCCCTTCTGCACTGCCCCAGCAGAGAGGTTCTCCATGAGCCCCCCACTGCTGCAGCAAACTTCTGACTGGGTATCCAGGCATTTCCATACATCTGAAATCTAGGCAGAAGTTCTCAAACCCCAGTTATTGACTTCTGTGTACCTACAGGCTGAACACCAAAGAGAAGCTGCCAAGGCTTGGGGCTTGCACCCTCTGAAGCCATGGTTTTCATCCACAGCTGAAGGGGCTGAGACACAGGGCATCAAGTCCCTAGGCTGCACACAGAAGGGGGACCCTGGGCCTGACTCAGGAAACTGTTTTTTTCTAGGGCTCGGGACCTTTGATGAGAAGGGCTTCGGGGAAGACTTCTGATGCCATGGAGACATTTTCCCCATTGTCTTGGGGATTAACATTTGGCTCCTTGTTACTTATGCAAATTTCTGCAGAGGGCTTAAATTTCTCCCTAGAAAATGAGTTTTTCTTTTCTGTCACACTGCCAGGCTGCAAATTTTCTGAACTTTTATGCTCTGCTTCTCTTATAAAACTGAATGCCTTTAACAGCACCCAAGTAACATCTTGAATGCTTTGCTGCTTAGAAATTTCTTCCGCCAGATACTCTAAATCATCTCTCTCAAGTTCAGAGTTCCACACATCTCTAGGACAGGGGAAAAATGCTGCCAGTCTCTTTGCTAAAACATGAAAAGAGTCACCTTTGCTTCAATTCTCAGTAAGTTCCTCATCTCCATATGAGACCACCTCAGCCTGGACCTTGTTGTTCATATCTCTATCAGGCTTTTGGTCAAAGCCACTCGACAGGTCTCTACGAAGTTCCAAACTGTCTTCTTCTGAGTCCTCCAAACTGTTGCAACCTCTGCCTGTTAGCCAGTACCAAAGGTGCTTCCACATTTTCTGGTATCTTTTCAGCAACACCCCGCTCTACTAGTACCAATTTACTGTATTCGTCCCTTTTCATACTGTGCATAAAGACATACCCGAGACTAGGCAATTTACAAAGGAAAGAGGTTTAACTGATGTATTAGTTCATCTTCACGCTGGTTGCTGATAAAGACGTACCTGAGACTGGGCAATTTACAAAATAAAGAGGTTTAATTTGACTCACAGTTCCACGTGGCTGGGGAAGCCTCACAATCATGGTGGAGGCCAAGGAGAATTAAGTCCCAGCTTACATGGATGGCAGCAGACCAAGAGGGAATGAGGAAGATGCAAAAGCAGAAATCCCTGATAAAACCATCAGATCTCGTGAGACTTATTTACTACCGTGAAAACAGTATGAGGGAAACTGCCCCATGATTCAATTTTCTCCCACTGGGTTTCTCCCACAACATGTGGGAATTATGAGAGTACAATTCAAGATGAGATTTGGGTGGGGATACTGAGCCAAACCATATCAATTGGACTCACAGTTCCACGTGTCTGGGGAGGCCTCAGAGTCATGGCGGAAGGCAAAGTGGTACAAGTCACATCTTACGTGGATGGCAGGAAAAAAAAAGAGTTTGTGCGAGAAACTTCTGTTTTTAAAAGCATCAGATTTCATAAGATGTATTCACTACCACGAGAACAGTATGTGGGAAACTGCCCCCCAAGACTTAATTATCTCCCACCAGGTCCCTCCCACACATGAAAGGAATTATGGGAGTACAATTCAAAATGGGAATTGGGTGGAAACACAGAGCCAAACAATATCAGAAACTAACAACAATTTTTTCATTTTTCCCTGAAAGAATGTGACATCTTGATATACTGAACCTATTCAGAATATAACTGCAAATATTATAGTAAAATATTTTTATTTATTTATTTATTTTATTTTATTTTTTTGAGACAGGGTCTCGCTCTGTTGCCCAGGCTGGAGTGCAGTTGCATGACCTTGGCTCACTGAAACCTTCGTTTCCTGAGTTCAAGTGATTCTCCTGCCTTAGCTGCCCAAGTAGCTGGGATTACAGGCACACACCAACACACCCAGCTAAGTTTTGTACTTTTAGTAGAGACGGGGTTTCACCATGTTGGCCAGACTGGTCTCGAGCTCCTGACCTCAAGTGATCCGCCTGCCTCGGCCTCCCAAAGTGCTGGGATTTACAGGCGTGAGTCACCATGTCTGGCCAGTAAAATATTTTTAACCTAAAAAAAAAACAAAAGTCACAAATTACAAGCATAACGTTCTTTTTTTTTTTTTTTTTTTTTTTACAAATGAGAGACTTTCCGACCCTCAATGAGAACATACTTATTGGTATATAATTAATTTATATTTGTTTCTATAAAGAATAGGGACTAAAATATTTGCGAATGTTTAGAATTTTTTTCATGTTTGATAGTGAATTACTGAGGACGTCAATAATGTCCAATAAAATAAAGAATACAAACAATACATGAGTAGGTAATAGTGCATGAAAAGTTCTTGGCCTGTTGGCCTAAACTGATTGGTCTTGAGAGCCAAATTTCTGGCAAAGGCCTATACATATATGTCTTCATTAATACAAATGCAAATATTTAGTCCTAAGTAATTAAAGCCAAAGTCCACCAGAAGGCAAAGTAATTATTTTGGTAAATAACATTTAGTAAGACAGAAAGGCAGGGAGGCTTACTGGTATGGACATAATTGATATAAATCTTCTCCAGTTGCATGGCTGTCCAATCTTCCTCAGTTGCATGCTTGTTCAGACTCCAGAAGCATTCGACACCGTATCAGGGAGTGCTGCATTTTCTTTGGGTAACTTGTTAGGAGACAGAAGAGTGGCCACTCATTCTACCTTCACCATTTACAAATTATGTGAACTGATAACAAATCATTTAATAGCTCTAATGCATTTCACACTGTGAGTAAGAATAGCCTCACAGCACTGTCATGGATGTACAATGACATTGTATAATATCTCTGAAATTGCTGCAATTTATAAATCCCTGTATAAATGAAATATAGAATTTTATATACATAAATTTTTTTCATAGATACATGATTTGATAAAATTAAGACTGAGAAGAATCCAGTTTTTTGAAAAACTAAATTTTGGAGTAAATAATGTAGAATGAATAACCTGTAGAATCATAATGTCAATTCTTATAAAACTTTATGTAATGATAACAGCTGTCAAGTTTGTTCCATAGTTGACTTCTGTCCTAGAATTCCATTTGATTCTATTTGGTCTTATTACCTGCATCCAGAAAGCAAAACTCTCTTCCATATCTTCCCAAATGATATGAAACTTGGGAAAGGTAGATCATGACAACCTCTATTCCAGGGTCACATTGATTTTTCAGACACGCAAAACACATCCCACTACATCAGAAAGCAGCACCATTATTAGCCCTAGCTACTTTACAATGGACACATTTGAAGCGGACAGTTATAGCAGTAAAAAGCAATGAGGGGAACTGAACTCAGGGACATAACCTTATTACGTGTAACAGGTCACTAAGTGTACTTAGGATTTTGAAAACTAGTTTTTCACCCAATAAACTTCTAATTAATTAAAAGTGCTAAAATTATATCATTGATATGTATTGCAAATGTATATATATTGAAAATTTTAATTGTTGTATGTTTTCAGTAGGTATCATATTTTCTTTTATAAAATAAAAAGGAATTATTATTTATCTCCAGAAATGTTCTCAACTTGTTCATTTTACACCACTGATACACAACCGATGATACACCATTTTACACCACTGATACTATGTCATGTCTGGCTATGGTAGGGGATGGCAGTCTCTGAATAGATATATGTATATATACATGTATTTCAGAACTTTGTTATTTATCAGGGTAGAATCTTAGGCCTGAGCAACTTTATTGCAGTTCAGGTGGCTTAAGAAGCGTTTGCTTTTACTCTTCCTACAGTGGCAGGGTATGATTGCTAGAAATGGTAGCAGAAGCATTTCTGACCACTCTGTAAAAGTAGATTACTGTTGCTTTTTAACATGGTAAGAGACACATGGTGAGTCCAGGTGACTTCTGGCCTTCCCTCACAGTCAAAAAATGCTTCCTTCCGCTTGACCCCCCAGGAAGCCTGAGATATTTGCCTGGACCCTGAGCTATGACATAGTTCCTCCCTCCCCAACGCCAAAGAAGCTTGAGGCTTTGCTTCATCTGAAAGACCCAGGAGCGGGGTGGAATTTCATGCCTATGCACCACCAAGGTGGACAATTTCAAGTCTGCACCGCTCCCACTCAGAGTTTCTGAAGAACACCGAGTACATGCTCTTGGAAAAAGAGCTTGCAGTTCATTGCAAACTTTATAACTGTATCTCCCAGAGATTCCAATTCCTCATGATCACCGACATACCTGGTAAAAATTAATTAAAAATTTAGCTGTCTTCATAGACACTTTTATGGGAGTCACCTCTACTTCTTGTGTTCTTCTTAAAATGAAGCATCACCAGTGTTCCCTTGAAGGGGGGTTTGTTGCATTTTAAAATTCAGCCCACTTGTTTGCCTTATGACTGAGGTTTCTGATGAACTCAAGAAAAAGTAATTATTTTGGCAGTTATCAGATTTTTTTCGTATAATTATGGTGGGAAAATGCTCTCATATACAGCTTTCTACGTACTAAGCAGAATACCACTGTTTTTGGTATTATAAATAGCATAATTTTAATATTTTCATTTTCTTTTATTATTTCCTCAGGCTGAAGGAGCAAAAGGAAAATTCTGAAAACATCAAAACTGGGATGTTTTGAGGAGGAGCCCCATAGGTCTGAAGGTCAGACGTTGGAAAAGTAGTGATTGACTGAGTGGTGTTGGTGTTGACGGTGGGCTATGTGTATGTGGAGGGTGGGTCATGGAGCTGGTTCTGCAAACCTCTAAAAGTAATGAAATTGAATTCAGCTGCTGCTGTGGGGTGGTGCTGTGGCTGCAGAGGGAAATTTTGCTAGGTTAATGCCTTCAAGGAACCGAAAGCGAACAGGAAGCCCCAGGGAAGCAAATGAAAAAGCAAATCCCTTTCTTTCTCTTTCAGCCACATAGTTTTCTTGTAGTTTTCCCTATTGGTAGAAGTTAACACAGAGATGTCTGGAAAAGCAGAAATGTCATTGGCTACGTTCCCTACCTTATAATGTAAAATATAGTAACATTAATTTAATAACTGGCACACTCACCTTAAGAACCATGAGTAATCCCATAATGAATAAATTAAAAAACTGGTAGGCCATTGAGAAAATCTACGATAATAAGAAAAAGTTACCACAGAAGGAAAACATACAGGAAAAGATGGCAATATGAAAAAATGACGGTTGCACTGGCAGAATTTCAGAAAGAAAAAGAAGGAAAAGCAAAACACAAATATGAAAACACAACTTTAAGTGAGAATAGATGCAGGAGAATAAAAAAGGCATGAAGATACATTTAAGATAGAAATGAAAAAGTGTAAATTAATTCAATCAGAATAAAAGAAAACCAAATATAATTTATAGAGACGCAATGACAAAGACACGACATACACAGAATCAGTTTATAAAAGTCACACCAATAAATTTATAGACACGAATTAAATTGTAATTTAAGCAAACTTTTTAAAATAAAAAATACTTACTTGAATCTATATTTTAAAAATCACAAATTATCCCAGAGTAGTCTACATTTATACATGAGCAAAATAGAATTATTAGAGCTTAATGATTAAGAATGGATATTTTGGCAAACAGGCAGAGAACGGAATCCCTGATAAGGGAGAAGAATGCAGGCTCAAATTTATTTTTTGCCATATTCAACATAAACGATAGTGAAATAATACCCTCAAAATAATCAGAGAAAAAAAATAGTCAAGCTTGCAAACCGTATAATCTGACAGGCTTCTTTTTAATCATACACGGTATTAACATTTTAAACTTGCAATCACTTAAGGCATATTATTGTGGTGAGATTATCTTTTTCTAATTTCTGGAAGATAAATAGCATCCAATAAGATAGAATTGAGAAAGCCATGGCTAAAGGAGTGATGGTGAGCAATGAATTTATTTACTTCTACAAGGACATCCTAAAACAAATATTGACATTTGGGATACAGAACAATAAAAATGGAATATACTCCTAAAATATAAAATAATGTAAATTTTAAAAGTTGGAAGTGAAAGAGGGAAATAAACATATGATGCAGGATAAGCTATTGATTGCCCCATTTATTATATCAGGGAGTCATAAATGTAGTTTAAAGCTGGCAATTCAGCTTTTACTGATGAAAATCTGATGATTTAGAAAAGGAGGGTAAAAAGAGGAATCATAGATCTTCATAATGTTATTATTCATAATAGGGTATTTACAGATATTCTACAAAGATTAAAAATGCTAGAAATATTCAATAAACTTTTGAACAAAAATACAATCTATTTTAAATACAAGACTGCAGGCAATAAATAAATTTTGAAAACTAAGGGAAGACTATTAAAGGAAAATATATTAAATGCAGGGAACTACATAAAACATATAAAAAGTCAATCCATACATGTTACACAACAGTATCAAAAATAAACCAATCTCACCTGATTAAAAAATAAAAGCTGATTTTCTGTTGTATCAAAAATCAAAAGCCAGCCAGATATGTAATATATATTTTTAAAACATGTAAACTAAATTATTTAGAATGTTGAAAATGAAAAGAGCCAGCACAAAGCCATATTAAGCAATTGCAAAAGAAATCCATTTACAGAAAGAGACTTTACTATGTTAAAGTTTGCCTTCCTCAGTTAAGCTGAAAGTCATGCATGTCTCTAACTGAATAGCATAGCTATGGCTACATGTTGTATGAGGACAAATAGATGGAAGCCCATTCTATAGTTGAAGAATGTAATTTGCTCTGAACAAAATCAAATCAGTTTTTAAAAAATATCTTATAAGACATAAAACCTTACAAAATGTAGAGGATATATAATTGATAAATATTATTCATGTTACCCTGGACATAGAGTATCATTATGTTGAGTAACAAAAGTTACCCTTATGTAATTACCATTATATTAAGTCATACAGGAAAACTTAGAAAATTAAGAAGAGTAAAGACAATGCTTTTTGATGGCAATACGATCAATAAAAGTAACATCAAAGAATAAAAATCCCCTGTTATTTAAATTGGCAAAAACTTCCTTCTTAGACAACACTGGCATGAAGATGAAATGCAAATAAATTTGCACATGATTAAATAAATGATGTGAAATTCCTAGATCATAATTTTTGTGATGAAGCAATACAAAATTTAGAGAAAAAGTCAGCTTTAAATGCTTAATCTTAAATCAAGAAAAAATGGAAATAACTTTTAAGAAGATTAAACAAATAAAAGAAAATATTAATGATACCAGATTAAGACAAATGCAAAATGGATTATAGAACTAAATATAAAATACAAAACTATAATACTTCTAGAAAATAAAATAGGAAAAAATCTAGGTTATTTTGGATTTGTCAATTTTTAGTTTTTCGTTGCAACACCAAAAACATGATTCTTGCAGGAAAATAAGTTGGATTTTTTTTCAATGAAAGAAAGTAATATCTCTTTTCTTCCCTGTAAAAGAAAATGAAAAAACAAGGTACAGAGTGGGAAAATGTATTTTTTTTTTTTTTTTGAGACAGAGTCTCGCTCTGTCGCCCAGGCTGGAGTGCAGTGGCGGGATCTCGGCTCACTGCAAGCTCCGCCTCCCGGGTTCACGCCATTCTCCTGCCTCAGCCTCCCAAGTAGCTGGGACTACAGGCGCCCGCCACTACGCCCGGCTAATTTTTTGTATTTTTAGTAGAGACGGGGTTTCACCGTTGTAGCCGGGATGGTCTCGATCTCCTGACCTCGTGATCCGCCCGCCTCGGCCTCCCAAAGTGCTGGGATTACAGGCGTGAGCCACCGCGCCTGGCCTTAAAACACATATTTGATGGAGGACTGGCAAAATATACCAAGAACTATTAAAACAAAAGAATAAGAAAATAAATGATTAAAAGTAGACTAAAGATGGGGACAGACACCTCATGAAGAAGATAAACAGATGACAAGTAAGTACAGTCAACTCTTGAGCAACACAGGGGTTAGGGAGCCTGACACCCTGCACAACTGAAAATTCAGGTATAACTTTTGATTCTCCAAAAATTTAACTCCTAATACCCGACTGTTAACCGGAAGGCTTACCAAGAAATAAACGGTTGATTAACATGTATTTTGTATGTTATGTGCATTACGTACTGTATTCTTAAAGTAAGCTAGAAAAAAGAAAACAGTATTAAGAAAATCATAAGGAAGAGAAAATATATTTACTTTTTATGACATGTAAGTGTAAGTGAATCATTATAAAGGTCTTTATCTTCATTGTCTTCATACTGAGTGGACTTAGGAGGAGGAGGAAAAGGAGCAGGTGGTCAAGCTGCCTCTGGGTGACGGAGGTGGAAGGAATATCTGTGAATAGGTGGGCATGTATAATTCAAACCCATGTTGTTTAAGGGTAAACTGTATATGAAAGATGCTTTCTCTTTAGGGAATTGCAACTTAACACAACAATAAGATATGACCACATATTTATTAGAACTGCTAAAATCAGAAATGCTGCCATCACCAACTTCTGGGGAAGATGTGGGGCAACAGAACTTCCATTGATTGCTGACAGAAATGCAAAATAGTATAATCACTTTGGAGGACGGTTGGCAGCTTTTTAAAAAAAATTAAACATGGTCTTGCTATACAGTCCAGCAACCCCACTGCTAGTTATTTACCCAAAGAAGTTGAAAAGTTATGGTCACAAAAACTTGCTCATCAATGTTTGCAGCAACTTTATTCATAATTGACAAAAATTGGGAGGCACCAATATGTCCTTCAATAGGTGGATGGATAAACTAACTGTGATACATCTGTTATCAAACTACAAAAAACACTGAGGAATAGTAAATGCATGGTGTGTTAGTGTCCTTTTCAGATGGGAAAGAATCCTATGTGACAAGGTTATATATGGTATGATTCTAACTACAGTGGTCCCTTGGTATCCACAGGGGTATTGGTTCCTGGATGAGCTCCCTTTACCCTCACTGTGTGAATACCAAAGTCAAAGGATGCTCAAGTCCCTTATATAAAATGGTGTAGTATTTGCATATAGCCTAACCATATCCTTCCATGTATTTAAATAATGTCTAGATTACTTATAATACCTAATAAAGTGTAAACACTATGCAAATAGTCATATTCATTGTTTGTTACTATATTATTTTTAAAAAAGTATTTTTGCTTTGTGGTTGGTTGAATTGGAGAATGCAGAACCCACTGATAAGGAGGGCCATCTGCATGTCTATGACATCTTGAAAAACACATAAAGACAGTACAAAGATCAGTGGCTGATGGTTCAATTGGGGAAGAAGGCAAAATGAATTGAAGCATATGCAATTTTTAGGTCATCAAAACAGTTCTGCATGATACTCTAATGGTAGATACATGACATTATGCACTTATCAAAACCCATAGATTGGTACAACACAAAGACTGAACCATAATGTAAAATATATACTTGAGTTAATAATAATGTGTCAGTATGGATTATTAACTGTAACAAATGTGCACACTAATGCATAGGAAAAACTATATGGGGGAGAGGGAGCAGGGAATACATGGGAATTTTATGTACTTTATATTCATTTTTAACATTAAAAAATTATCCTAAAACTACTATTTTTATAAGTCTTCTTTTGAAAAGTCTATGACCATGTCCTTTGCCTACTTTTTAATGGGGTTGTTTGGTTTCTGTTTGTAAATTTGTTTAAGAACCTGGTAGGTTCTGGATATTAGACCTTTGTTGAATGCATAGTCTGTAAATATTTTCTCCCATTCTGTAGGTTTTCTGATTACTCTGTTGATTGCTTCTTTCACTGTACAGAAGCTCTTTAGTTTAATTAGGTCCCATTTGTCAATTTTCGTTTTTGTTGCATATTCGTCAACAAGATGTTTTGGCATCTTCGTCATGAAATCTTTGCCAGGTCCTATGTCCAGAATGGTATTTCCTAGGTTAGCTTCCAGGGTTTTTATAGTTTTAGGTTTTACATTTTACATTTAACTCTTTAACTCATCTTGAGTGATTTCTGTGTATGGTGCAAGGAAGAAATCTGGTTTCATTCTTCTGCATGTGGCAAGCCAGTTATCCCAGCACCCATTATTGAATAATGGGTCCTTTCTCCACTGTATGTACATCTGGGGTATTAATATACGCTCCCTATACTGTTTCATTTGTCAATGTATCTGGTGTTTTGTACCAATAACATGATGTTTTAGTTATTGCAGCATTGTAATATAGTGTGAAGTCCTGTAACGCAATGCCTCCAGCTGTGTAAATTAGTTTAGCAACTGGAGAAAGCAGTGTGGATGCTCCTCAAAGAACCTGAAAGAGAATTACCATTCGACCTAGGAATCCCATGATTGGGTACATATGCAAAGGAATGCAAATTGCTCTACCATAAAGACACATGCACACATGTTCATCACAACACTATTCACAATAGCAAAGACATGGAATCAACCCTAAATGCCCATCAGTGGTAGACAGGACAAGGAAAATGTGGTACGTATACACTATGGAATACTACATAGCCATAAAAAAGAATGAGGTCATGTCCTTCACAGCAGCATGGATGGAGCTGGAGACCATTATTCTAAGCAAATTAATGCAGGAACAGAAAACCAACTACCGCATGTTCTCACTTGTAAGTGGGAGCCGAACAATGATAACATATGGACACAAAGAGGGAAACAACAGACCCTGGGACATACTTGAAGGTGGAGGGTGGGAAGAGGGAGAGGATCAGTAAAAATACCTATTGGCTACCATGCTTATTACCTGGGTGACAAAATAATCGGTACACTAAACCACTGTGACATGCGGTTTACCTATATAACCGACCTACACATGTACTTTTTAACCTAAAATAAAGATTATAATAAAAAATAAAAATAAGATGTAAAAAATGCAAGGAAAATAATTAATTAGATTTCAAATACATAAAAAAACCACACTCATATAATTTAAAAAATAGCATGAGTCACAAAAAATGTATATACATAGCAATATTTTTGTAAAAGTGGATCACATATATAGATATATTGGTAATTATATATACATTCATGTGTGTATTCATATTTGCTTGTATCTACTAAAAGAAACTAAAGGTATAAAAGCTGATATTGGGCTTTAGTTGACAGTTTGAAGAGACAACAGAGGAAGGGAAAGAGATGGAAGAAAAAGTGGCATTGTAAAATTTTAAAGCTCATTTTGGGAGACATTTTATTGAGAAGCTTCAAATTGCTTTAATTAAATTTTAAATGTGATAACTTCAGAAATAAATTAAGCTTCATTCTTTCTAAAGAACATAACCTTTGAAAACTCTGATTCAATATCATAAAAGTAAAACAACTCGTGTGAAAATCTATCATTTTACATTTTTTTTTTGAGGTGGAGTCTCACTCTTGTTGTCCAGGCTGGAATACAGTGGCGAGAACTCTGCTTACTGCAAGCTCCACCTCCCGGGTTCAAGGGATTCTCCTGCCTTGGCCTCCCAAGTACCTGGGATTACAGGCGCATGCCACCATGCCCAGGTAACTTTTGTATTTTTAGTAGAGAAGGAGTTTCACCATGTTGGCCAGGCTGGTCTCGAACTCTTGACCTCAGGTGATCAGCAAGCCTCAGCCTTCCAAAGTGCTGGGATTACAGATGTGAGCCTCCGCACCTGGCCCATTTTACATAATTTTTAACAGCTCATAATACTATGGGAATTTAAGAAAATATTACTTCCATAAATTAGAAAGCATTTTTCTTTAAAAACTTGAAAAATGTCACAATTCGTGATTGCCTTTATGTCGTGTGCCATTGCAATAACAGATTTCTGATATTGTTTGGCTCTGTGTCCCCTCCCAAATCTTATGTAGAATTGTAATCCTCATTGTTGGAGGAGGGTCCAGGTGGGAGGTGATTGGTTGATGGGGTGCACTTCCCCCTTGCTGTTCTCATGACAGTGAGTGCATTCCCATGAAATCTGGTTGTTTAAAAGTAAGTAGCAATTCCCCCTTCTCTCCCGCTTTCTCCTACTCCAGACATGTAAGATGTGCCTTCTTCCTCTATGCCTTCTGCCATGATTGTAAGTTTCCTGAGGCCTCAGCAGTCATGCTCCCTGTACAGCTGTGGAACTGTGAGTCGATTCAGTCTCTGTTCTTTATAAATTACCCAATCTCAGGTAGTTCTTTATAGCAATGCAAGAGTAGACTAATACAGTGTCACATTTGTATTAACTGTTTTTATAACATATATTGAAAATTTGTTTCACAGCTTTTATTGAAATATTTTGTACTGTGTCCAGTTTTCTCAATTAAGGTAATCACATTTAGTGAAATGAAACAAAAACTAATAATTCAACTAAAAGCATTTCAGAGTTGCATATTTGACATCAAAAGCTGGACTAACAATGTTAGTTATTAGATTCATTAATTCTATCTTGGAGAAAACTCATGACTCTAAAACTAGAGTTAGGTTGGGCGCGGTGGCTCACGCCTGTAATCCCAGCACTTTGGGAGGCCGAGGTGGGTGGATCACGAGGTCAGGAGATCGAGACCATCCTGGCTAACATGGTGAAACCCCATCTCTACTAAAAATACAAAAAATAAGCCAGGCGTGGTGGTGGGCACCTGTAGTTCCAGCTACTCGGGAGGCTGAGGCAGGAGAATGGCGTGAACCCAGGAGGCAGAGCTTGCAGTGAGCCGAGATCACACCACTGCACTCCAGCCTGGGAGACAGAGCGAGACTCTGTCTCAAAAAATAAAAATAAATAAAATAAATAAAAAATAAAACTAGAGTGAACTGGTTGTATAAATTTGGTTAAATTGGTGTCAATCACATATAAAATAATTGTAGACCTCACATTGTATATTACCTTTATTATAATAATCCATAACCTAATGTTTATGCATACCTTTTTCTGGGTGATTTTTCCAATGGCATTATGGAGTTTGGAAGATTAAGAATTTTTGTATTAAGTCTGTTCAGGCTGCTATAACAGAATACCATAGACTGAGTGGCTTATTGATGACAGGAATGATTTCTCATAATTTTGGAACCTGGGAAGCCCAAGATCAAAGGATGGGCAGATTTAATACTGGGGAGGACTCTCTTCATAGAGGGCTGGCTTCCTGCTTCATCCTCACTTGGTACAAGGGGCAAGAGATCTCTCTGGGGTCTCTTTCATAAGGTCACTAATCACCGCCTAAAGGCCCTACATCTTAATATCATCAGCTTGGGGTTTAGGATTTCAACATATGAATTTGAGGGAAACACATTCAGTCCATTACAGAATTGTTATATCATTTTTACTTATATGAAAGCTGAGGATAAAGTAGGTGCCTTGTTTTGATGAGGGTCACAGAAATAGAAGATGAAACCAAAATCTTGGGCTCTTTCCATTACACACTTTTTCCTTCTTCCTCACTTAAACTTTTCTCCAATAATATCTGCAGGAGTAATTTTGCAAGTGATGGCCTTAATATTCAAAGCCTCTAAACTGCTGTGATAGTATAAAATATCTTCCCTTTCATTGTATTACTATTAATTTTGTTAGAATTTGGATTCTGACACTGTAAAGTTTGTCGTAAATTCATTTTTTATCTGGGTAATCTTAAAAAAATCATTCTATGTCACTACATTTTAGCTTTCTCATAAGTAAATGTAGAGAGATTGAGAAATTAAGTTAGATAACGTGACTATCCTTTGTAAACTTTAACAGATATAATACATGCTATTCTTTTTAAACTGGAGATTGGTTTAGAGAATGAAATGGTTCTCATAGGAGTGTTGCTATTACATATTTCTCTACTCATACAAAAACAGACATGCTGACATAGGCAATAAATTGACAGCAAAATGAAGACAGAGATTACTAATGAAAACTAAACAGACATATCATTAATTATAACTGCAAAATTATTCTACACCAAAGCAATATAATAAGAGTTAATTTTAAATCCACTTTAGAATAAAGGTTAAACTGTAGTTCCAGCTACTCAGGAGGCTGATGCAGGAGAATCGAGTGAACCCGGGAGGTGGAGCTTGCAGTGAGCGGAGATCACGCCACTGCACTCCAGCCTGGGCAACAGAGCAACACTCCATCTAAAAAAAAAAAAAAAAAAAAAGCTAGAAGTGTATTAAGATCTGAGTCTTCCTTGTATATTATGTAGGCTTCTAACACACAATCAAATAACAGTACCATATATATAATCCTTCTTTTTAAAAAATCTGATCAAAATTTTACTTGGAGGTAATGAAAAGCAAAATCCATGTTGACTCCTTTCTACAATAATAGTTAAATGCAGGATTATTTGTGCATGAACTTAATAATTTCTAATCATCAACCAAATTGTAAACACAATTCAAACCAAATGATAATTTTTATCACAATAAACTGCAACAACCTAATGATTTATAAAATTACTAACACCATCTTTGAGTTTTTCTGGAAGTCTAAAAGCACTTTAAAATACAAAAGTTTATTTACAAAATTACCGATAAATGTAGACACTGTGTCCTTCCAAACAAGACATACTTTAAATTGACCACTCAATCTCAGCTTTCAAACCTTGACTCCTTGAAGATGCCGGATATTTTTAGACACACATTTTATAGCCATGTTTCTTTTGCTGGAATGTTAGAGAGAAACAGTTTCATTACTATAGCTTTACTTTGTGAAACTACTTTTTTTTTTCAGAGCTATTATCCTAAATGTGGATATTGATGGCACTACCCGTGGAGTGGAAGCATTAGAGCTGCATAACTTTTAGATATTTTATATAAATCTTCACTATAATGTCACTCCTGGCAAACAGCTGTGCTGTGATATGTCACAATGATGAATCATCAAGCATGGTAAAATCTAAAGGACAGTTATATAAAAACTTGTATTAATAAAACATAATTTTCACAAGTGCAAAATGAACATTTGCATATACTCTAAAAACTTCTATAGCATTTACTCCAAAGTGTCTAGTACATGACCATAATTTAGGCTCATGATGATTTCCATGTGGTATTTCAAAGAGAAACAAATCCCTTTTTAGGACATAAGACTGACAGTTAATTGTACAATGTGAGATTATGTTACAGCAAGATCTAATGTAAGTACCTTATAAAATTACACTGGACTCCCAGTCCAGAAAAAAATCACGTGGACTCCTTTCCCCTGATACTACCCGCTAAGTGTCAACATAAACCCAGTAAATGATGGAAGGGACAACCAAAGCATAACTCTGAAATGTCAAAAGAGGAAAGCACGCTAAGAAGGGACATCAGGACTGGAGGAATGTCATAGAAACAAGGCATCTTAGAGCCACTGCCCAACAGAGAAAGACGACTGAGAGCCAGAATTTTCTTTTTTTCTTTTCTTTTTCTTTTTTTTTTTTTTTCTGAGATGGAGTTTCCCTCTGTCACTGAGGCTGGAGTGCAATGTCACGATCTCAGCTCATTGCAGCCTCCTCCTCCCGGGTTCAAGCGATTCTGTGGCCTCAGCCTCTTGAGTAGCTGGGATTACAGGCAGGTGCAACACGCCCAGCTAACTTTTGTATTCTTAGTAGAGACGGGGTTTCATCATGTTGGTCAGTCTGGTCTTGAACTCCTGACCTCAGATGATCTGACTGCCTCTGCCTCCCAAAGTTTTGGGATTACAGGTTCGAGCCACTGTGCCTGGCCTTTATTATTATTATTATTATTATATTTTATTTTATTTTATTTTTCTAAGTTCTTGGGTACATGTGCAAGATGTGCAGGTTTGTTGCATAGGTAAACGTGTGCCATGGTGGTTTGCTGCACCTCTCAACCCATCTCCTAGGTTGCATTAGCTCCAGCATTCATTAGCTGTTTTTCTTAATGCTCTCTTCCCACCCCCACGCTCCCCTAATAGGCCCCAATGTGTGTTGTTCCCCTCTCTGTGTCCATGTGTCCTCATTGTTCAGCTCCCACTTGTAAGTGACAACATGCAGTGATTTGTTTTCTGTTCCTGCATTAGTTTGCTTAGGTTAATGGCTTCCAGCTACACCTGTGTCCCTGCAAAAAAACATGATCTAATTCCTTTTCAGAGCCAGCATTTTTTGACCTCTCCCTCCCCTCCAAACAAGTAATGGATGATGGCTCAGGTAGGCTTATTTCTCCTTATGAGTACCATCAACAAAACCAGGGCAGCCTGGTAATACTGGGCTGACCAGATGCCCCACTGACAATAAGAAGACAGAAAAAGCTCCTTTCACACCAGGCTACTGGACCTGAGACTCTCTTTCCTTCCTAGAGACAATTCATCAGCAAGGAGGATGTCACCTCCACAAGCACCTTCCCAAGAAGCACTCTTAGTTTCCTGGGCAATAGACTCTCTTTCCCCAGCTTAAGAAAACAGACAGCTTAAAAGGAGGAAGCTCCTTTTATCTCCTCAAGCAACACCAGGAGGGTTCAGTGAGAAGCCCAGCAACACGATAGGAGATAAATCAAGCTGTCCAAAATTGCCCCTCAAAGTCTCTGATAATTCAGTCGTCATTAGACCCACAGCAATGGGCCAGGTCCTGTGTGCTAAACCTCCACAGGATGGCGCTGTGCTAAAATAACAATGTAAATGGAACCAAGAGCCTGCTGACAAACATAGCTAAAAATTCTGGTTACAATAAAAAAAAAACCACCCATCATAAGGAGAATGTCACAGGTTGAATGAAAAAACACAATCAGGTTGGGTGTGGTGGCTCATGCCTGTAATCCCAGCACTTTGGGAGGCCGAGGCAGGAGGATCACTTGAGGTCAGGAGGTTGAGACTAGCCTGGCCAATGCGGTGAAACCCCGTCTCTACTAAAAATTTAAAAATTAGCTGGGTGTGGTGATGCACACCTGTACTCGGGAGGCTGAGGCAAGAGATTTGCTTGAACCTGGCAGGTGGAGGCTGCAGTTAGCCAAGATCACACCATTGCACTCCAGCCTGGGTGATGGAGTGAGACTCTTAAAACAAAAAACAAAAACAAAAAACAAAACAAAACAACAAACCCACAATCAACAGTTGCCCACACTGAGATGAATCAGAAGTTGGAATTATCAGACAATGACATTAAAGCAACCATCATAAAATGTTTTAACAGTAACAAATTATCTGAAAACAGATGAAAAAAGAGAAAATCTCAGCAAAAAATAAAAATTGAAATGGTGAAAAAGAACCAAATAAAAATTATAGAATTGATAGAACTGAAAAATGCTATGATGAAAATCTTTAAAAACCCAGTTCTCTGAATAGGCTCAATGGTAGAATGAGATGACAATGGGTAAGAGAGTAAACTTAAAAAGAGATTAAAATAATTTACCCAACCTGAATAAAGATAAAAATAGACGGAAGAAAATAAAAATAAAAAACGAGTAGAGCCTCAGGAACTTGTTGCAGCAATAACAAAAGATCCAACTCCGTATTTCCAGAATCACAGAAGCAGAAAGAGTGAAGTGAAAGGGTGTTCTAAGAAATAATAAGTGAAAAGTTCCCAAATTTGTCAAAAGACATAAACCCACAGATTCAAAAAGCTGACTGAAGTACAAATAGGAAAAGCTCCAATAAGGCTTGCAAAAGAGATGATACAAGACACGCATATTGCAAAAGAAATAATAAAACCATCCCTAATGCAGGTGACCTTGTTGTCTGCATAGAAAGTACTGAATATACAAAAAGAAAAAGAAAAAAAAAAGGTCTTAGAACTGCTAAGTGAGTTCAACAAATGGTAGAATACAAGATCAACATATAAACATGAAACACGTTCTCATATGCTAACAATGAACTTGTAAAAAGTGAAAATAAAAATTCAATACCATTTGCAGTCACTCAGAAAAAAAACTATACATAGAAATATATTTAACAAAATGTGTTACAAGATGTATATGCTGAAGATTACAAACTGCCAAAGGAAATTCAAGAACACCTAAATAAATGGAGACACACTGTGTTCATGGACTTCAAGATTCAACACACTAAGAAATGTCAATTCTCCTCAAATTGACATATAGGTATAATTCAATTCCTATCAAAAACCCAGTAGGGTTTAAAAAAAAAACATAGAGAAGCTTATTCTAAAATGTATGTGGACAGGCACAGACCCTAGAATAGCTAAAATCAACCCTGAGAAATAAAAGAGAAGTGGGAGAAATCACTCATTAGAAATTAAGGCCTTTGTGTAACTACAGTAATGAAAATAGTACTGCATTGGTAAAGAGATAGATATATAGATCAGAGAAGCAGAGAACCATAAGACAGACTGTATACTCACACAAATATGTCTGACTGGTTTTCAACAAATAAGGCGATTCACTGGAGGAAGAATAGTGGTGCCAGAGTAACGGACACCAAAGGTAACAAACCTTGACATAAATCTCACATCTCATACAAAGATTAAGCCAAATGGATCATACACTTAGAATATGCAAAACTACTATTCTTTTAGAAAAAGAAATAGGAGAAATTCTTCAGGATATAGGGTACGGCAAAGTGTTCCTAGACATGACACCAAAAACATGATCTATGAAGAAAAAATTGATAAACTGGAATTTAAACAAATTTTAATAAAACCTTTGCTTTGGGAAAGATCCTGTCGAAAGGATAAAAAGAGAAGCTACAAACGAGGGGAAAATACTTGTAAACCATATATCTGACCCCCCCTCAAAAACAGAGACACTACCAAATGTTGACGAGAAACTAGAGAAACGAAAACATTGGTATATTGCCAGTGGGAATGTAAGTACAGCCACTATACAAAACAGTTTGGTAGTTTCTTACAAAACTAAATATGCAATTATCACACCAAACAGCAATTGTACTCTTATGCATTTATTGCAGAGAAAACAAAGCTTGTGCTCACATTGCAACTTGCCCGTGAATGTTCATAGCAACTTTATTCATAATAGCCCCAAATAGGAAACAACTCATAATTCCCTCAACAGGTGAGTGGTTAAACAAATTGTGTTGTGTCCATATCATGGATTACTCCTCAGCAATAAAAGAGAATAAACCACAGATAGATGCAACAACCTAGATGAATCTGCAGAGATATATCCTGGCTGAAAAAAGCCAATCCTGAAAGTTACACAGGAGATGATTCCCTTTATAATACATTCTTGAAAGGATAAAATTATAGAAACGGGAAACATATCAGTGATTGCCAGAGGTTAAAGAGCAGGACAATGGGGGAGAGTGAGTGTAGTTATAAAAGGGCAGAAAAGGGAACCTTGTCGTGATGAAATGTTCTGTTTTGACTATATCAATGTCAACACCCCAATTATAATACTGTGCTATAATTTTCAAGGTGTTTCTATAAAAAAAAACCTAGGTAAAGGGCACATGGGATCTCTTGTTAATATTTCTTATAACTATGTATAAGTCTACAATTATGTCAAAATAAATAATTTAATTTAAATAGACTGTGTTCTAATCTTTAGAAAAATAAGATAATGGTATCCAACCCTTTTGTTACTCAGCTATCTAAAGTTATTTTAAGTGTTTTTTTTGTGGTTGCTTTATCAATTTAATCCTTCTAAGAGGGGAATCCTGTTACCACTGCTGCTTTTAATAATGGTGATATTCTAAGGGCAATCACTCCTGTTAGAGCTTCTGAAAGGAATTGCAGACATGCAGCTGTAACCATCATAGGGAAGTTAAAAATGCCTGATAGGCTTACTTAGTTTATCCTTATCATGAACCGCAAAGTATTAATACCTTCTACTGCTCTTGTATCTAATATCCAGAAGGAAAGTGGTTGGGAATGCCAGCATATTTTCCATGGTTTTCTAATAAATTGCACTTCTGCTCATCTTGTCCTTGATAGAAACTGGTCCTGGTTCACTTACTGGGCAACGGTGCACACTTCCAGTAGTGCGTAGCATCGCTATTGGATCATCATCTAATCATACAAAATGAACGGAAAAATAATGCTGAGAAAATTATTTTCTGTCTCCCTCAAGAAAAAATATTGGATGCCTATTTATCATCCATTTCTATGAATATTAAAAACTTCTAGGCTGGGCATGGTGGCTCATGCCTGTAATCCCAGCACTTAGGGAGGCTGAGGCAGGTGGATCACCTGAGGTCGGGAGTTCGAGACCAGCCTGACCAACATGGAGAAACCCCGTCTCTACTAAAAATACAAAATTAGCTAGGTGTGGTGGCACATGTCTGTAATCCCAGCTACTTGGGAGGCTGAGGCAGGAGAATCGCTTGAACCCGGGAGGTGGAGGTTGCGGTGAGCTGAGATCATGCCACTGCACTCCAGCTTGGGCAACAAGAGAGAAACTGGAAACTGTCTCAAAAAAAAAAAAAAAAATCTAGATTCAGCTTTTATATAGCATGCTCACGAGTTTCTATAAAATTTAAAATGATAAAATATAATGTATAGAAGAAGACAATGTTAATCCATTTTGTTGTTTAAGAAAGAAAGTACTCAACAGCAAACTTGGATTTAAGCTTTTGCATTTTCCCTCATCCTATTTTGAGATTATTGATTTCTCCCCACTTTGGGTTAAGTCCTGCCCCTCATTCTCAGAATCAATGATTGCCTGAAGTTGTATGTCATTTAATCAGTCCCACATTCTGTGGAATACGTCGGAATGCACATTGATTATTTTGGTCCAGTTGAAAGTTCTTCTCTATATAGAACTAAATCTTTCACTTGCCCACGAAGCCAGTAGTTTTGTTATTCATGATCTCCCAGTAACAGCTCAGCCTCAAGGGAATTGGAATAAAACTGCGTGACTTGTGAATTGTTATTTGTCAAATCGAACTCAGATGCTGCTGTTATCCCTAGAAGTTGAGTCAGAGTCTCCCAAATCTCTCCCTTCTTAGTGCACAGATGTGACAGGCACTCATACCTTTTCAACCGAACTTGTTTTTCTCTGAAAAAATAAGCATTTCATATAAAATCCATTAATTTCTCAATAAGTATTAAGTCCTTGAGATGTCTATAAACATTTTATTTCAGTGTTACAGTTTAAATATGATTCAGCTAGCTAGCAAATAAACACTGTAAAAGTGTATTTCTTACATTTTAAAATATGATATAACACAATGTCATATTGTAAAAATAGCATGTAAAATTACATAATGTAAATAATACATCATGTGATGATTTTACCATCATTTATAATCAGTATACTATTTTGGGAAAAGTAGATGTCCTAAAATAAAAATTATGTCAGCTTCATTGGAAAAACCATCAGACTATTTTAAAAAGTCGGGTTACTGAATCATGGTGAGTTTTAATTAGAGAGAACTTGAGGGGTTAATGACGAAGAACTCTACCTGGAGAAGCCATATGTCTCAAACAGAAAACCTAGAGAAGAGCCAGAGGACAAGGACACCTACCCAGAAAAACCAAGTACTGTTCTGCCAGGGGCTGGCTGCTCTTAGAACTAAAAATCAGGCCTTGATATGAAAGCAAAGTGGTGAAAATGGGTAAAATACATTCATTTTAGGCAATGTAGAATAAAATAAGTGGCATTAAAATAAAACAATCACTATTAATATATGAAATACTTGGGATTCCTCTCCTTTCTTCCTTTCTTCTTCCTCCCTTTTTGCTTATGTATTATGTGGAATTATTTAATACTGCATTAATTACTGACTCTCAAATACGTGATACTTGCTATGGACTGAATGTGTCTTCCCGCTAAATTCATCTGTTAAAGGCTTCACCTCCAATGTGATTAGAGTTGGAGAGAGGGTCTTTAGGGAAGTAATTAAGGATAAATGAGGTCCTAGAGGCAGGGTCCTGATCCTACAGGAAGAGTGGCCTTATAAAAACAGACACTCCAAAGCTTCCTCCTGCCCCCTTTCTGCTCAGACACCAAAGAAAAACCCTGGGAGGACACAGAAAAAGGCAGCTGTGTGCAGACCAGGAAGAGGGTCCTCACCAGAACCTAGCCAAGCTGGTGCCTTTCTCACACTCCTCTCAGACTTCCAGCCTCTACAACGGTAAGAAAATCCATTTCTCTTATTTAAGCCACCCAGTTCGTGTCATTTTTCGTTATGGCAGCCCAAGCTGACTAAGACAATTCTTATTTTACCACATATCGAAGCTATAAAAGATAAGAGAAGTAATTTTGAGTGACAGATATCATAGTTGAGAAAATCAAATTTGAAATGCCTTTATACAATGAACAATATGTGTGTACATGTTAACAATAATAAAATGCATAGGCAATGTACAAGAGTGTGCATAACCAATATTTTATCAAAAATATATCTGGGGCTTAGATGAAAATTAGCAGTTGGAAGGAGAGTTATGGCAGAGACTGAATGTCCTAGCCTCAGGGTGAGTCGACCTAGAGGCGTCCCCTTGTCGGAGTGTAAGGTAAGGTTTTCTTACACTTGAACAAGACAGATATGTGTTTCTTTCCAGGGATGTCTAAGTCTACTATTCTCCCAAAGGCAAGATAAAGGATAATAATAATCTAACCAGTTACTTTTAATGTGCTGTTGAAAGTTCAAAACTCCCTTGGGACACCTGGGGCTGGCCTTTGTGCACTGCTTAGGAACGTAGAGACTGATAAATTATACCTGGTTTGACTAGCTTGGCTAAGTGACCAGTGAGATATTAAAGAAACCCGTGTGAAACTGTTGCTCAGACTTGTCTGAAACCACAATCCCTCACACAGGTCTTGATGGTTCATAATCTGAAGAACACATGTGTCCTCTGTGGCTGAGAACGGACCCCGAGGGACTTCACCTGGAAGCCTCTGTGTTCCCTAAGCTTGCTCAGTCATTCTACCTCCAGTTTGCAGCATCCTTTACCTTAAAGCCTTACATGGTTCACGTTGTGGGACCTTGTGATTCCATTCAATTGTGTGATCTTGTATATTCAGTGCAGTAGGTCATTGGGTTAACGATGGAAGTAGAGACTTGACTAATTTTCCTACCTTTCTCGAGGCCACGTATTCACACCGTTTCTGATAATTTGTTTTCCTTAAACAATGTAATGTAGACGATTCTTGAATGTTAGGACACTGAACACAATGATCCTATAGTGCCAGTTTATCCCTCAGATATTCTTATTCTCGCTTGTTTCTACGACAAAATACTCTTTCTTCAAATTTTTATCTGTTTAATTATGAGAGGTTATGTAGATTACCAATGAGTTCCCACCTTTCCTCTAAACAGGCTTTATTTTCATTGTAATTATTCAATGACTGAATTTATCCAAAGTAACTGACATCTATCCAAAGTTTTTATGTTGTCGCTAGTCTTCTTGGATAGATGATGAGTCTTTCATAAAGCCTGATTTTCATGGCTGTGTCTTCATAGTGAAAAAGAGTACATGGCTTATTTAATGTTCATAAAGCAGTCCAAGGTGCCGTTTTGCACCTTGCTCTAAAGAATCTAATATACTACATAATTTTGAGTGGGGATGACTTGTTCTTGGTAATCTACTCAGCAGTTCTGTAAAAACTGGATTGCCCCTTTTTCCAGGGGTGGTCATATTAGGTATTTGTTTTTCTTGGGCAAAAGGCTCTGCCTTCTGCCAAACAAACTACTATCAGCAAGACTCATTTTGCCTTTCTCATAACAACTCTCTCTATTCTCATGTGTGCATCTTGGGAAGAATGACTGCTATTCTTTTATTTTTCTGTAGAAGTGTTGAACAAAGTGGTGATGATGCCCAAGGAAACTTCTATTTAAAGTGCTCACATCTATTGAATGCTATTGAGATAGCAATGCTAAGCAAATCAATGCCCCAATCAGAGTATTGACTACTCTTACGGAAGTCCAATCATTTGATTTTTAAGATTTTTTTTACCTATTAATATTTTACAGAATGTTTTCTTTCAAAGATCTAGCATTAAAGCATTTTATTTTAGTCTTATTTCAAAGCCCTACGTTGATACAATCATAATCATTATGTATGAACATAATAAGATCAATAGATAAATGATTTATTTTTTCAACTATAAACAATGTTACATAAAACGGAGCAATAATGACTGATAAGAAATGCCACCAGCTCAATTAGAATACATTTAATACATTTTTATTCTATAGAGATTGTATAAACCAATTTCGTCATATAGTTTGTTTATAAAATGGTATGAAGAGTAATATGTACTCTGTGTATTTCTGTATCCATAGTCTACTGCCATCACAATCTTAGTGGCTCAAAACAAACCAAATTTGTGATCCTAGGCTTTGTGTGGATCAGGAGTCCAGCACACTGTTGGTGGGTCTACCCTCTGGTCTCCTAAGGCCGAAATCAATGCATCAGTTGGTTGTGTAAGCAAATCTTGCTGGATGTTCATGCATCTCCAGATTTTGGGACGGCAATAGACCATTCTAATGGGTTCAATAAAAATCATTGATTGGTTGGGTGCAGTGGCTCACGGCTGTAATCCCAGCACTGTGGGAGGCCGAGGAAGGCAGATCACGAGGTCAGTAGGCTGAGACCATCCTGGCCAACGTGGTGAAACCCCGTCTCTACTAAAAATACAAAAATTAGCTGGTCATGGTGGCACGTGCCTATGATCCCGGCTATTTGGGAGGCTGAGGCAGGAGAATTGCTTGAACCAGGGAGTTGGAGGTTGCAGTGAGTTGAGATCACGCCACTGCACTCCAGCCTGGTGACACAGCAAGACTCCATCTCAGAAAAAAAAAAAGTTATTATTTTTTCCATTTCTGTAGGTTTTTCTTATTGTTAAAAAGAGAAGCAATACATTCTACCTCTTTACACGTGGAAGCAGAGATTGAAAGCCCCGACAGCTACATGGGGTTATTTTCTAACAATATTCTACCACTTAAGCTACTTTTCTCGTAACATCATTAGGTCTTAGGTAATGTCTAAAAGTTATGCTAACTTTTAATTTCTTTTTCAAGCAGGTTAAATATTTCTGATTATTCCCCATGCTGTGAAGCATTTTCTTCACTTACTCATAAGGATATAACAAAGACATAATATTACCTATTGTTTCATAAAATACCATTGCAAAATGCAGGCCATTAAATGGATCTAATTTTCTTAAATATTCTAAATATAATGAAAAATAAGAAATAAATTATGTTAAGGTAGAAGAAGAGGAAGGAAATAAATGTATGTTTGGAAACGTTGTATATCCTGGTAAAAAAAATTACACCAAAAATAATATTTGAAATACTATACTGAATGACTATGAAAGCCAGAAGCAAGTGATATAACAAGACAGTGGTTAAAGATAAATGTTAAATGACTTAATTATGGAATACAGTTGACCCTTTAACAATGTAGGGGTTAGGGGTGCCAACCCCTGTGCAGTTGGAAATTCACATATAACTTTTAACTCCCCAAAAAAGTAACTACTGACAGACCATGACCGGAAGCCTTATCAATAATATTAGCAGTCAATTAACTCATATTTTGTATATTATATGCATTATATACTATATTCTTTTGTTTTTCTGAGATGGTGTCTCTCTGTGTTGCCAAGGCTGGAGTTCAGTGGCACAATCACGGCTGACTGCAGCCTCGAGCTCCCCAGGCTCAGGTGATCCTCCCACCTCAGCCTCCCTAGTGGCTGGGACCACAGGCGCCTGCCTGTTTTTTATTTTTATTTTTTATAGAGAAGAGGCCATGCCATGTTGCCCAGGTTAAACTCAAACTCCTGAGCTCAAGCCATCTGCCTACTTTGGCCTCTCAAAGTCCTGAGATTACGGGTGTGAGCCACTGTGATCAGATCCTATATACTGTATTTTTACAATGAAGTAAGCTAGAGAAAAGAAAATGTTATCAAGAAAATTATAAGGAAGATAAAATACATTTACATTTTATTAAGTGAAAGAGGATCATCATTAAGCTCATCATCTTCCTCATCTTCACGTTGAGTAGGCTGAGGAGGAGGAAGAAGAGGGGTTGGCCTTGCTGTCTCAGAGGTGACAGAGGTGGAGGAAAACCTGGGTATAAGTGGACCTATGCAGTTCAAACCCTTATTGTTCAAGGGTCAACTGTAATTTATTTTCAGATTATGTAAATGGAAAAAAGGAAGTAGGAGAGTGTTGATTAATGAGTAGTTCTTTGAACTATCACCCCTCAGCTACCTTGTTTGTGGTTGAGAATAAAGATTAGAACTATCAAAAATGAAGAAATTGTCATTACTGCTGAGAGATAAAGAGAAATATGGAATGAATTCATAAAAGGAAAATGGTAACCCTTAATAATAAGAGTACATGTCATGTTTGAGTTTTATCAAAATTCTAAGAATCAGAGGAATAGGTTTTTCATCTGTAATAGTTGAAATAAGACTTTTTAAAATATTAGATATGCTGCTATAAACATTTCTACATAGAAACATTAACACATGCATACATGAAATAACTTTCTTAAGCATATTTTTACTTTAAAATTTGTGTTGTTATTGTTGTTTACCAAATTCGTTTCTCTTTTGCTTTAAAGTAATTATGTTAAATCATTCAATATTGAACACAATAGTCCTACTTACTTTTAGAAAATTATATTCTGGGCTACACAGCTGTGTAGAACAAAATCACACTTCCTTTTACAAATCTTGAATAAATCTTATGCAAATTTCACATCAATTCTTATTACAAAGTAGAAATCCCATATAAAGATCATATGCCAGAGAATGAGTAAAGCCCATGAAGGCAGGAAGGGTAATTTTATATGACATTGATCTCCCTAAACCTTCCTTTGAGTACTCTACCACAGTGGGTTAGAGATACATCAGCTTTCTACGTCCTCTGTAACTAATTACCACAAACTTAGTGGCTTTAAACAAATTTATTATCTTTAATTTCTGTAGGTCAAGAGGCCAGTGCTGGTCTCACCTGGTTAAGATAAAGGCGTGGGAAGGAATGCATTTTTTTTTTTCAGGTTGCTCTCAGGGGAGACTCTGTAGCCTTGCCAGATACCAAATATTTCTCACATCACATCTCTGTGAACTACTCTTCTGCCACTCACTTACATTTTTAATAGCTCATGTGATTAGGTTGGGCCTTCCTGAATAATTCAGGATAAATCTCCCTATTTGAAGATCTGCTCATTAGCAAATTTAACTGTTATCTGCAAGAGTATCTTTGATTAATTCCCTTTGTCATGTAACAGTAGGGTATTGTTTTAGTTTGTTAGGGTTGCCAAAAAAAGTACTACAAACTTGGCGGTATAAACAACATACATGCTTCATCTCACAAGCTCAAATAAATTTACATTCTAATAAATGTAAATTGAAATAAAGATTGGAGGCCAGAAGACATATCTATGTGCCAAAGTTTTCCCCTTTTTATAAAGAACACCTGTCACATTGTATTAGAGTCTACCTAATGACCCCATCTTAACTTGATCGTCTGCAAAGACCATATTTCCATAAAACGCAACATTCATAGATATTTGGAATTAGGACTTTAACATCTTTTGGAGGAATGAAACGTACCCTTGACATGTATCCACAGGAGTAATACCAGGGATTAGGAAATGGGAATTTGTTGAGGTAATTTTTCTCCCTAGCACAAGTGATTCTGGCTACCCAAAAGATTTCTGAGACATAGGAAGACTGAAAGTCCAGCAAAATATGTGGACATGAACTAGTTACAATGAGCTTTCTTCATTACTTCTATTGAGTAAATATGTCTGTATACATTTCAGCTTGGTCTCTTTTATACCAAGGGGAATTAAAAGGAGTTTAGTGTGCCCATGAGTTTGCTGGAACATTTTCATACCAGTGTCTTCCTTGAGTGCATTATAGTACTGGTGAGGAAAATAAGTACAGGATTCCAGGAAAACAAATCTTAGAAAACACAAGCAAATGCTCTGTTTCTATTTCCTTTTCTCCATTTTCTTCAGCTTCAGCCCTTCAAAGATTCTGCTTGTATTATATTAGGGCAATCAACAGGTCAGTTTTTTGCAAGTTATATCCGGTTTGTTGAATACTGTAAATGTAAAAATATTTTACTCCAATTTTGTGCATGTTAGGAATAATTTAATTTGATTTTCTATATGAATTGCCTAGTAGAATACAATATACAAGAAGAAATGTAAATAATAAATTTGCTATATCTACTTTAGCCTTATAAATAATTTAATTAAAATAAAGCAAAATCTATTTGGTCTAAGTAAGTCCTAGTTCAGCACACATAATTTTTGATGTTTCTGAGATGGTGAAATATATAATTAATATACAGCCCTCTTATCAAGACCAATAAAAATTGAGCAATAAAATATAATCTGATTGTGCCATTAGCAAAAATGAATTTTTTATAATCTCTTAGCAACTAAATAATAAATTATTTTTCAACAGCTTTTAATGAGATGAAAGATAATCAGCAGTTGCAATAAAGTGCTGTAACATCCAATTTGTATGAGCAGTCTGTTTTCTGTGAATAGTGAAGTCCTCATATCTTTCTTTGGAACTAGAAATTATTTAATCACAATCAAGAATCATAACAAAATCACTTACTAAGAAACAAATATATTCTCTTCACTACTATCCTTATCAAGACTAGTACTGTAAACATTTAAAAAAATTGTTATTATTTTATTGAAGCACAATCAAATTTAGTATTGTTGATTAATGCATTTGGTCTATTAAAATCTTATGGTTTTATTTTATGTTTTTAGCATACTCTTTCTCTCTTTGTATTTTTATACATATGAATACAGGTGATCTTTTATGTGTTTATACATAACTAATTGTCAAATAGTTCTATTATCACAGAAATGTTCATACAAATGACTTCATTATCACTACGTGAGACCATTCTTCTCAACTTGTCCTTTAAACAACACTATTTTTGAGACTTCAATCCATGCTTATCTATTATCTATGCTTCCCTAATTGGTACAGTTAGGTTTCAATTTATTTTATTTTATTAACATGAGAGCTCCCATTCCCTCTGGAATAATTTTAATTGAATTTCCGTAGTAAATCAGAAGAGTCAGACAAGAGCAGAGTTACTCTTTTTGAAGCAGGGGAGTTGGCCATGGAAGTACCACTATTGAACATCAAGGTACCACAGAATATAGTTTTAAACACCATCATAGTTGAAAATTGGTGAGATTTTGGAACTTATATCTACTACTTCTAGATGTAGAATCAATGATCTCTCACTTCCTTGTTGCACACTCTTGAGTCTGTAAACTCCTCTCAGCCCTTTCCTAAATGTATGCACTAAGATACAAACTACTGTGTTTCACCAAGAGTCCTTATCAATACTTAAAAATATCACAGTGATGGCCTCCTCATTGAGCTACAGAAACATATTTCTCCAAACTTCCACAGGATAATAGACAAGCAGCTCAAATTGAATCTCACAAACACCAAATTTATTGCCATTACTGTTTAAACTCCACTTTACTTTTCAGTTTATTTCTCCACCTATAACCACTACTTTGCTAAACGTTACGAATTAAATGTTACCAAGTGTTACTGCCATCGAATCAAGCAGAACAACTTGAGTCTCCATTCTGACATATCTATTCTTTTAGTTCTATTGATTATAAATTCCAAAGTTTTCTTCAATTTCTCTGTACCTCTTTGCCATCCTTGGCACAGCTGAAATCAATTTCACATCATCTTGTGGGTGCATTATTTCAAAAGTCTCATAGTTTTTCTCCATCATCTGCCCACACAACAAAAATACAAGTATTCTGGTTCACTAAGTCTTCTTTACATAATTTTCTACTGCACATGATTTAAAACCTACCATCCTTATAAAGGTATACAAGACTTTTTTGTATGCTATTTCATATTTATATCTACAGCTTTATGTTACGCAACTTCAACCTTGCTTTCAGTGAAAAATTAATCATAGAATCCTGCATATGACCCTCATTCTACTTTGCAATCTGTTTATTCTTCTTTGATAGCCATGTTTTCATCTCATTCTTATATACGAAACTCAGTTTCAATATCACTACCTTCAGCAGTGCTAGTTCTTTTGGTTTAGCCTTTCCCAGAAGTAGACTCTGAGAAATGGGTAAGTTCAAGTAATTTCCTTGGAAGGTAATATCCAAAACCACTGAAAAGGGAATGCACAAGGGAGACAAAAAAGGAAGCCCATTACAGATGTGTCATTGAACAGACGTATTATTGATACAAGTATTGGCAACCTGGAAACAAAAAATAAGCAAGGGGCCAATGTTGCTAGAAAAAAAAAGGTGTGAGTGTAAATTTGAAATAAAGGATTTGGAGTTTTTTAACTTATTATGCCCTTTTTAGGGGGTGGGATAGATCAAATACGAGTTTTCAAGCTTGCACTCTTAAAAATCACAAACTCTTGTCTCTTCTGAACACCAATATTATCCTACTGTAATTTTTTATGATACCAGATATGTAAACTGCATATGCTACATGAATGATATCTTGTAGATTCTATTCACATTTCTCCATCTAGTGACCATAAAAAGGTCACTAGTTTAAAAAAAAACACAGTTGAATTATAGACTCTCTTTCCATTACTTTAAAGATATTTCTTAGAGAGCTTACTTTTAAAAAGTAAAATTATTCCTCAGCAATGACACCTGTGGTCTTATTTTTAACTCTTCCACATACTCTTGTGTTACACTACTCGTGTCTTTTTCTCCTGTCCTTAATTTTGGTCATTATAAATTCCAAATGCCTCCTAACTGAACTTCAAACATTTGAATGATATGCTTTAGTATCAAAAAAATTCTGATAATAAATAGTATCATTCATTTATTCACTCGTTTTCCCATTCATGAATGGGGCTGCTTGTCAAGTACCATGCTAGTTCCTAGGACACAAGGCAAGTGAGCCATGATCTTTGTCTTAAAGATGTCAGAGCCTAACAAGAAAAACAAACAAGTGCTAATTTAAAAAAGTAACACTTTGGTGTGATAAAATGGTATAGGAAAAGCAAAGGAGACATTGGTTAACTAATTTTTGAGAAAGCTTCATGTGCTGCTGTATCTTGAAGGACGAGTTTGCAAAATAGATAAGGAGAGTAATAGAGAACAGTGTGTGAAGACAAAAAAAAATATGAAGTACAGGGGATGGCAGGCAATTTGGGACGTTTTTTATACAGGGCAGAGAAGTAGAGAGCAGCAGGAGATGAACCCGAAGAACAAAACAGAGGCTAGAGAAATGTGAAGATATGGTCAGCACTGGTGGAAAATGTGACTATTCTAAAGTTGTAGTTCATTATCACTTTAGAAGTATGTGTTCTAGTTGTGCAGATCTAATTTCTGCTTGAGCCCTTGATATGACAATGTGTTATATACATTTATATTCTGCAATAAGAGATAGGCAAGTAGTGGAAATGAATGGGACATCCATCCATTTTTCAGCTGTGATGAATTGTAAAGTCATGATTAAAGCTCTGAATTTCTTGATTAAACATTTGTTTTTCTGTGTTGAATAGAAATTTGGATTTTAAAATTTTTTCCAAATAAGACTCACAATTAGATCAGTTTTGGAATTTCACATAAAATCTACATTCTTTAAAACTGGAAACCTCACATGCGGTATTAATTACGTTACTCTAATAAGTATGATCTCTCGATTTCACTCATTATTCAGAACAGAAATGAAGGTGACTCTTCTAGAACATAATAATAATTATGCCACTAAATCATCTTGGCCCTAATTATGTTTAGCTTTTTATTTTCTAGAGCTACACTTATAATCATTTAGAATCCATATACATTAAAGATAAAAATTCTGGCCTTCTAGTTTTTTTTTTTCATCTACTTTCAACCATCTTTTCTACTCTCAAACACCTCCTTCGTCATGTGAAACTTTAGTTATTACCAATAACCAGGTACCTCAACATTTTAATTTCAAGTATCCCATTTTCTAAACAGCATCTTGTCTTTTAAGTTCACATTATCTTCAGTCTGATAATTAGTTACTTCTTTCATCATTTCAGAATTTACAGTTGTATTTAGTGGGGTGGAGCACAGAAAAATACATGTACACTGTCTTGTTTAGACCTGAAGTCTGGACTTTGCTTTTGATCATAAATAGCTTATTTCTCATCTATCATCAATATTTTCTTTTAAAAATTCATCGTTCCTAAAGAATATTCTAATATCTCACATTTTAAATAAACAAAAAGACCACAGATACCATAGTTCTCAGTCATTGTCACATTTCTCTGCTACATTTCATTGTGAAATACCTCCAGGGTGTTCCAAACTCACTGGTTCCCCACTACCATTTATTCCTTTTCACATTTTCTCATTTCACTCAAAACAGGCTTTTATTTCTACTTTCCAATGAAACTGCTCTTATCAAAGTCACAAGTAATGCCTTTTTTTGTCAAATTCATTTCTCTATCTTTAATCTCTGTCTTTGACTGTCAGCATCATTTGTCATGATTAATTATTCTTTTCTCCTAGTTTCTAGGGTCCCACACTTTGCTAGTTTTCTACGGAAACCACGGGAGTGTCATTTTCAATTTCCAGATTGACTCCATTCACTTTCAGAAACTCCAAAATCTGGGATGCCTCTGAATTTACTTTTTGATTCCTACTCCCTTTAGAAATAATTGCTCACGCCATAGGTGATACCATCTCTATCTACGGATATCATTTAAATACTAGGATTACCGTGTCTTTATCTGTAAATTCTACTTCTCCTCTGTGTTTCAGAATCTTGTATTTGATTGCCTACTGGGTATATCATCTTAGAATTCTAATAAGTGTTTTAAAATTAACATTTACAAATCTGAACTCTGTCACTGGCATCATTTCTCTCCACAGTTCCTATTTTTCCCATCTCAATAGATAGCACCACCAAGAGTAAATCCATGACTCCCTTTTTCCCTCATAATGAACACCCAATCCTCAGCTTATTGACTATAAATTCAAAGCACATCATGAATTTTTCCACATCTCACCAATTCAATTACCACCAACCAATCCAGACCACTATCATTTCTTACCTCTATTGCTGCAGTGGCTTTTTAACTGGTTTCCCTGGTATTTCTAATGAATTTACATGACAGTGAAATAAATAATTTTAAAATCTTAATCATATTTTATAATTTTTGTTGTTAAAATAATCAAATATTCCAATGAGGTAGAACACCCAACCTCCCAGTATGCACAGTGTTCTGCTTTCTTGTTCTATCACACTACTCCAGCCCAGTGGTTCTTATACTCGGTTGCACATTGGAATTACACAGAAAACTTTACAACTACTGAGTCCATGGTAATGCCCTCAGTTAGTCTAGTTTAATTGATCTGTGGTGTAGTCAGGGCAATTAAGAGTTTTAAAAGTTTTCCAAATAATTGAAATAATCAGCAAAGTTTGAGAATCACTGCTCTAGCCAAATTATCCTTTTTGCTTTCAATTGAAGAAGCCAAGCTGGTCTCCACCTTTAGGACAGGCTTACCCAACCCCCAGTTGACTGATAATAACTCATAGCTTCCCCTCCCCTTTACAGCTAAACTGGGGTTGCCTCTTTCAGATGCTAACTGTCTCCAATTTGGGAGCTCATTCTTAATTAAGGACTGACACAGAGAGGTACCAAAGCCAGGCTATTGCTTCAAGATGGGAGTAATGCTATGGAGAAATTTCTGTTATTGACTTTTTTCATGGAGTTAGACAAAGTTTCCAGCTAAGACTGTTTTCTCTTTTCTTTCTTCCCTTGCTTTATCTTGTTTCCCTCACTTGAACAAGAATATTAAGTCACCTTATTAGATTTTTGTCACTAGCTCTTTCGTATGCCAGGGATACCTTTTCCAAATATTGTCACACACTTTTCTCCTCTTCATTCAAGTTTACTCAAATGTCACCTCCTAAGAGATGCATTTATTATGACTTTGTTTAAATATACCTGTTTCTCCACTCCCACAAACTTTATTACTCCACGTATTTGGTTTACAGCACTTTACATTATATGTTTGTGTATTTGCTACTGGAATATAAGCTCCATGAGGTCATTGACCACCTCTGTTGTTAACTCTATGTCTTCAAAATGTACTTAATATCTAGTAATTAATTAGCAAATATTTCTTAAATGAATCAATCAATGGATAAGCTCCAGCTTGTTTTCATAAGCTGGGAAGAACAGGAATTGAGGAGCATGGTGATGATTACACATTCTGAAGCTGTATCTTGGGACTTCTCCAAAACTCTCTGTAAATTAGGTCTGCTGACTAATGACTGGGCTATATTCAACTGAGCAATCATGATAATTCAGTTCCATTATGAATGAGTCAACTCTATAATTAAACTGGGCATGAAGTAATGCATTAAAGAATACTTATTACCTTCCATAATTTAGATATAATGCTAGACAATGGGAGACAAAGACTCATAGACTCATTGCACAGTGCATCATAGCTAATGATGAAGACAATACTTTTTTACATAATGAAGTTATATTGAGATGGATATTAAGAGAAATGACAAAAATTTAGTGTAAGCCTGAACATACTGTGCTTGTGGGAGATGGGGAAGAAGTAGTAGTGGGAGAAGATGTCACAGTACTAACACAGGAGCAGATATTTGATAGAAAATTGTTAAGCAGACAAGAAAAAAAGGGCAAGGAAATAACAAGTCAAAATCATAATGACATAAAAAGTATGATAATCTCAGAGAAGCTCAAGTAGCTCGGTATAGCCAGAGCCTAGGGTAAAATTAAGGAAGTGTCAATAAGTGAGATCATAAAGTAAGCACATTTTCAACAGTTAAAGTAGCTTGGTTTTGCCCAATAATTACGAAGAGCTATTGAGAGTTTTAATAAGACTTGCTATGATCTCTCTTCCTAAAATGACAACTTTAGTTGCAGTGAAGAAGGTGGATGTGAACTGGAGACACAATAGAATTTTTTTTAGCTGTCTTTCTATATTCCAGATAAGGAATTATAATGGTCTCAATTAAAAGCATTTGTAAAACAGAGAGAAAAGATTCATTAAAAAACAATTTGGGGACATGCTGATATAACGTTAAAAGCATTTGGATATGGATGAATGGAAGTGATGAGCACCACAGATGGCAACATATATCTAGGTATTCTATTGTTTAATTTAAAAAAGGAATATCAAAAAATATTAAGAAGAACTAAGATAATCCAATTAGTCATTACAATTACACACTTTATGAAGCCTGACCATATGTATTCAAGGTGAATAGCAAGTATTTTTTTGTCAATACTACAAAAATTAAAACCTTGCATATTCATTCAGCTCTTACTCTTGAGATTCAAGAATGTTGAGAACTGATTGCCCTGATATTCATGTTTTGTTTTGAGGTTTAAATAACTGATTTAAGTAATTAGAGAAGGACTCTATATTCATCTTTGATAGTAAATGTAAGTTTCAATCCCTGAATACCTATTTTCCACGTTTGTGCCTCTCTCTAAAATGCAGTAATTTTGCATTTTTCCAATCATACACTCCTGCATTCTGATGTTTGCTTCTTACTACACCAGGCATTTAGACAGCTGGAAGCTACTCCTTCTCCTTCAATTTGGTGCCTGTAGCAACAAGAATGGGAGTCTCTGGAATATCAATTTGGAATACATTGCATCAATTTTAAAAAATCAAAGAATGACAGTAAGGTGACAACCTTAAAACCTAATTTTATTATTCCCTGGCCCATTAGTATAGTATTTATAAGTTATAAATTCTATCTCTAATAAGGTATATAATAGGGATATTATCATGATTCCATTCATATATTTTAAAGATAGAAAAAATTTCCTTTAAAATTTTATTCTAGTAAAATATGTGTAAAATAAAATAAACATTTTAACCATTTTTGAGTGTGGAATTCAGTAGCATTACGTTCATTCAAACTGTTGTGCAACCATCAGCACCATCCATCCCCAGAACTTCTTCATTTTTCCCTACTAGAGCTCTGTACCCACTAAACAGTAACTTCCTATTTCTCTCTCCCTATTCTACTGTCGGTCCACATAAATTTGACTAGTCTAGGCCACTTATATAAGTGGAATCATACAATATTTTCCCTTTTGTGACTGGCTTATTTCATTTAGCATAATGTCCTCAAAGTCATTCCATGTTGTAGCATGTATCAAAATATCCTTCCTTTTTCAATCTGAATAATAATCCATTGTACATATATAGCACAATTTATCAGATCATCTGTCAATGGACACTTGAATTGCTTACACCTTTTGGGTGTGTGAAGAGTGCTGTCATGAACATGGACATACAAATATATGTTTAAGACCCTACTTTCAGTTATTTTAGGTGTATACCTAGAAGTAAAATTGCTAGATTATATGGTAATTCTATGTTGTTGTTTTTGAAGAATTGCTGTACTGTTCTTCATAGGTACTACCCTATTTTATATTGCTACCAGCAATGCGCAAGAATTCTAAGTTCTCCATAACCTTACCATTTGTTATTTTTTTCTTCTTCATTAAAAATATCCTAAAATGTATATAATTACCATTTAAACAAAATGTTACACAAACTTTCTTAGAGACAAGGAAAATGCAGTGTTATTAAAGATACATAAAATATCTTAAAATTTAGTTAGCTAATTTCAAGCTTAAGGGTTCTCATCAGTCACAGCAAATTATTTGTAATATGATATTTGTTATATTTCAAGAGTCCCATTACCATCCAATAATTTGGTGATCAGCTGGAAGAACTTACATGATTCAACACAAACTCATGGATAAGATTTTATTACAAAGAAGCACACAGTGTGGAAACAGCAGGGAAAATATACATAGAAAATGATAGAATGGTTATCAACAGGATTTGAAGGTCTCCTGATCTCTGTAAAGGCAGAGAAACTTGCTTTTCTCTCCAGTCAGGAACAGTGAAGGCACATGCAAGATATCTCCACCAAGGGAAGCAACTTAAGTCTTGGGATACATGTTCTTAAATGGATCAATTTACATGACCAACCATAGTGCAGATCCTAAACCAGGCACCAGATGCACATCATGAATCTTCATGTTTACTTTGACAATGTTGACAGCCTGGCACACCTTGATCCACTGCATTGGACCTATAGAATAACATCCCTAATCAGTAACCATGTGAACATTCCTGTAATTTAATTTTCAAGTATTTGACCATGATTATTTTTGTGGCCATAGAGATTAGCAATAACTGAGTAAAACAGATCTGCTGTGTTAACTCTATCCCCACAATGTACACATAAAGAAAAGAATAATTGGATGTACATCTAAGTAGATAAATATATGCAATAAATATATTAGATGGAGAGATACACAACCATTTCTTAAAAGTAGTTATCTGAATAAGAAATTTCTTATATATCTCTAATTTGAATTTCACATACAAACCTTTTGCCAAAATATTTCCCCCATGAACAGCCAAAAAAAAAGAGCACATTATACCATCTTGTTCAATCTGTGTAAATGCTGGCAATACATATTTTGCTGATTCCAAATTTGCTCTTTGCCAGGGCACAATATTTAAAAACATATCCTTGGCAAAGTTTTAAAAGTAGATCATTTCCAGTATGCAATATTTAATATTCAATGGTAACTTATTTGAAAGACTAGATCTTATTTACGAACTGCCACATGAAAAAATTACCCCCAGAGTTAGTATAGTTTAAAACAACAAATACTGTAATCTCACAGTTTTTGAGCCTCGGGAATCCAGTGGCAGCTTTGCCATTGTATAAAGGTCCCTCACAAGTGTGCAGACAAATTGTTGGCGGGGGCTGCAATTTCACCTGGAGTCTTGACTGGTGGGGAGAGGATGCTCACCTAAGTTCTTTCACTAGATTATTGGCAGATCTCATCCCTTACAACATAGGCTTCTGCACAGGGCTGTCTTTACACTAAAAAAGACTGTCTCCCGAGGAGTAAGCATATCAAAGAGCAAGAGAGGAGACAGAGGAGCCCAGTATAGAAGCCACAGTCTTTGTATAACTTAACATCAGAAACTGTATTCTTTGTAATACCTATTCTTAGAAGTGACATCCCTTCACTTCTGCCATATTCTGTTGGTCAGAAACAATTGGCCAGGAATATTCCGGGGGAAGGAATTACACAAGGGTATAAACACCAGGGCAGAGACTTTTGGAGAGCACCTTAGAGGCTGCCTCCATGTAATGTAGAACCCCCACTCCAAATTCTTGGCTTTTTAATTTCTCACATTGCCTGTATGCTGGGATGAGGAGTCTTCAGTACTCCCAAATGCTAGTACCTAAATTTAATAAGTAATCTAACCAGATAAAATTTAGTTATTAGAAGATCCATTCTAATTTGTGATTACCAATTAACTGAATGGTATTTTGCCCAGGAAGTACAGTAGCTAGATCTTCACCCATTCTGCATTTAGGATTCTAACACTGAAAACTTAAGTGACCTTGAGCTCAGATTTTGACTTAATCCTTTTGGAAGAGGATTTAAAAATACAGTTAATAAGCTGGGTGCAGTGGTTCACACCTGTAATCCCAGCACTTTGGGAGGCTGAGGCCGGCGGATCCCAGCTACTCGGGAGGCTGAGGCAGGAGAATCGTTTGAATCCAGGAGGGCGAGGTTGCAGTGAGCCAAGATTGTGCCACTACACTCCAGCCTGGGCGACAGAGTGAGACAGTTAATAAAAACCTCTGACAGCTTTTTATCTAGCTATTTTATTTTATTTTATATTTTATATTTTATTTGGTATAATCTATTATAATATTTTAGATATTTTATAATATATAATGTCAATTTATACTTAATTATGTAAATTATGTAAAAGCAAGCGTCTACTATCCAATATAATGTCAAGAGAGTGAAACAAGTTACAGGTAAATGTATGATAATTCTATCTGATGATAAAATTTTTAAAAGATCATTTAAGTCAGTATTTTCCAACCTAGATGGGAACATAGTAACTGAACTGAAATATTTTGAAATCTAAACTACCTAACTCCACACAAATGCACTAAGTAAGTATTTCTTGGGTGACCCCTGTATAGGAGATGAATTTTAAAGATGACTCAAATGTGCAATGTGTGTTGAAAGCTACTAAGGTAAATGATTACCTTATACGAGCAAACAGAGGTTCTGAGAAAACTACTGCAACACCCAAAGGTACGTAAATGATTGAAACCTCAGGTTGAAGGCATTGGAGGGATTCATGCACTGCGAAGGGCAGTACTAGTTACCCAAATAATTGATGAATTTACACATTGCGCTGTTGTTACTCACTGGAATAAACAAAATTTTCATTTCATATATGGCTTTTATGTGTTTCTTTTGAAAATGCGCACTGAGCGCTTTCAGACGGCTCTAATTGAGTTTTTCTCTTGCGTTTTCACATACAATCATCAAGAAAATGTTACTGACATTATGGCAATATATAGTATGATTTTAAAAAGTACAATCTGAATGCCTTCTGATAACTATTGTCAGAAAAATTCAAATGAATCATATTTCAGATCATTGTTACACAATAGCAATTTCAAGGATGATGCGATGTTTTATATCTGCATTGTACATTATGCAACCACTATTCACATGTAGCTAATGAGCAAGTGAAATGGAGACAGTGAGGCAAAGAAAGTAATCTACTTTATTTTATTTTGTGTTAATTATTTTAAATTTAAATTAGCATAGCTACATGTGGCTAAAAGCAACCTTATTTGAAAATATAACTACATTTTTTAAAGACACAATTCTTCAGAAACTACACTTCTATTTGTTTGCTATGATGTATCCCTAACTTTGATGGAATTAAAACTATGTTATCCTTTTTGATTTCTACTTCACTCGCAAAAAAAATTGGGGAGAAGTTTTATTTAATTTTCAATAACTTGAATTATTAACTATAAGGGTTTAAACTCTCCTTGGAATTACAAAGTTATATTTTACTAATTTTATATAAATAAACTTTAAATTGGACAGGATATGCTAAGGTGGCGGGTTTTTCTGATAAAAGTTGCTGAGGAAAGATTGTCCTTTGAAAAAGAGAACCACATTTATTTTAATATTAAAGTCATGATTATAATTTTAAAAATACAGTTGGCATTCAAAATACACAAGGCTCAAGTAAACCTAAGCTGAATACGTCCCCTCCTGAATCTAAAATAATAGTCAAAGTTAAAAATCTGAAAATAAATTGGTAAACGAATAATTTAGCTCTTAGAGGAGAAATAAATTATCAAATTAAGATAACCAATCAAAAGTGCCTCCCTCACTTTCAAGAGTAAGTTTCAATTATTAAAGACTTTTAGTAAGGGCAGTCCAAAGCCCTATTTCTTAAAATGAAACTCTGTAAGTTATAAGTTGCAGCTATGTTAGTTATATTTTAAAACATATTTCTAAGAATAAGTGATGCATAAAATTTACGAGTAGGATACACAGAAATTGCAGAAACATGTATAATATCAAAACCACAATGAGATCTCATCTTACCCCAGTCAGAATGGCTATGATAAATAACATGTTGGCCAGGATGTGGAGAAAAGGGAATGTTTATTCACCGTTGGTGGGAATGTAAACTAGTATAGCTACTATGAAAAACAGAATGGAGACTTCTCCAAAAAACTAAAAATATAATTATAATTTGATCCAGCAATCCCACTACTGGATATCTACCCAAAGGAAAAGAAATCATTATATAAAAAATATACCTACACTTTTATGTATATTGCAGCATTATTCACAATAACAAAGATATGGAGTCAACCTAAGCATCCATCAACAGATGAGTGGATAAAAAAATGTGGGATATATACACAATGGAATACTATTCAGCCATAAAATAGATGATATCATATTATTTGCAGCAACATGGATGGAACTGGAAGTCATTATATTAAGTGAAGTAAGCCAAAGACAAAAAGACAAATATCGTATGTTCTCATTTACCTAAGGGAGCTAAAAGAATTGAGCACATGGAGGGAAAGAGTGAAAAAATAGGTTTCAGAGACTGGGAAGTGTGAATGGAGGGGTAGGGGGAAGGATGGAGGGAAGCAGGCTGAAGGGTACAAACATACAGTAAAATAGATGGAATAAATACAATGTTTGACAGCAGAGTATGGTGACTATAGTTTAAAAAAAAATGTACTGTACTCAGGAGTCGAACACTCTAATTACCCTGACTTCATCACTACACTTGGCCTACAAGTAACAAAATTTCACACGAATCTCATAAATTTGTACAAATAAAAATATTTTAACAATTTAAAATAGTAGAATTTTTTTTAAAAAATCACTTGGATAAATTGAAAGCTTTGATGTATTTATTTTAATCTCACATTTATTTACAGATGTTTGGTTTGGCAAAAATCTTTGAATCATAACTCAGAACAAAAGTAGCTGCTAATTATACAACACATTGATACAACTTTAGATTGTTTGATGTTCTCAAAAATTTTCAGAGTTTCAAACTTTTGTGTTCAAATCTATCATATTTTTAATCTTTAATGACTAGATATGCTTTTTATAGACTTTAATTTTTAAATAGGCTTTCTGACACATTTTAATAGAAAGTAGAAAAGTTATTTACCTAGACCTATAATGTACATGTATAAAATTCAATTTGTATTTTGGTCCAAAGAAAACGCAGTCAATATATACCTGTATTAATAAAATAACTGAAATATCAGAAAACAATCTTAGAAATTATTATTGATTTCTTGCTATGAGAAAGAAGTCGGTAGTTTGGACATCATCAACACAGTGCATGGCTTGTCTGAGAACTCCTGAGACAGTATTGGTGTTTCTCAGGCTGCGAACGATGGCAGGAGAGCTGCATCAGAAATAACTTTGGTGCACCAGGAGGCTTGCACTGTTTGCTTGCATGCTTTATACACTGTATCTTCGGAACAGTTTTACATCCACAGCAAAGTTAAACAGAAAATACAGAGTTCATCCCCTAATTACCTCTTCTCTCCCTCCCTACCACACATGCACAGCCTCCTCCCACCCCCAGCACAGGGGTACAGTGGTTACAGTTGATGAACCAATTTCCTCACAACGTTATCACTCAGAGTCCATATTTACATTACGGCTCAGGTTGAGTGCTCTAGTTCTATGAATTTTGACAAATGTAAAATGACATGTATCCACCATTACAGTATCATACAAAATACTTCCACTGCCCTAAAACTCCCCTCTGCTCCATATATTCAGCCTTCCTCCCCTCAGTTTAACCGTTTCCTTATATTTGTGATCTACCTTTACTTCTTTATTACTTCCATCCTCAAGGTAGCAGACACCTATGCCACAAGGGACATTATAATGCGATGATTGAGCGCTGTGTGTTAGGGTCCCTCTGGTGAAGCTAAAAATCGCTTCTTCCACTGCTCACTTAGCCACGGACATGTTTCTTAACTCCTCAAAAATCTTAACTTCCTTATTTGCAAAACATACATGCGTAGCATATCTCATACGAGGTTAATGTAGTGTTTAAATACGTACGAAATGTGCCCAGTTCATGGTAATAAATGGCAGAATGAGGAAGGAAAGGGAGGTGGAAAAGGAATTTACTTTATGCTGGGCAGAGTGAGGAGATTCTGCATACGTGATTCCACTTGTTCTACGTTGTATTTGTGTATTACACCTGGTCTTCTGAATTCAAAATATGCCCTTTTAAATCCAATTTGAGCAGACAGCATTATCAAATATGGACACTAAAATCAGGCTTAAATGCCAATATTCATACAAAGCAGTAAATAAAATGTTTCACAATCCCACCTTTAAAAAATTCCAAAAGTATTGTAACAAACTTTTCTACTGTGTAGTATTTTTTGCTAGAAATTAAACACTTTTAAGAACATGTAAATACAATATAGAACAATTGGAATGATGCCCTGTACTAAGCTTTAACATAATGAGCTCTGGTAATTATTTCATGAAGTTATTTTTTATCTCTGTGCTGTGGGGTTTTTATACATTTTTCTGAGTTAGGATTTTAAGAGATAAACAGCACAATCTTTTAACTCAGATGCCTGGATAAAAACTAAATTGATGTGTACAAAAAAGAACAACTTGTGCCTGAGATTATGGGTTTGACACATAGACACATTTGGATAGTAAATATTAGGGAAGATAAGTTAAAAGACACATTTACATCACTCATGGAAATTGAAACTACAAACAAAAGTATTGTTCACTGAAAATCTTTGTTTATCAAAGGTGTATATGTTGGTAGAGTTAAACTTTGGTCTTCCAACTTCTTTCTTGAAGGAGGAGTGTGCCAGAAAATCATTTTTCTTTACAAAATTTATGAAACTAAGGGTTCTAATTATCAGTTTTTCATAGAAGGTTATAACTTAATAGCAGACCAGAAACAAACTCATGATTGGTATATTTAAAGAAGAAGTAAAAAACGATAAAATAAGACCTCATTATTTGGAAGAAGAAAATTAAAATATTGCTTTCTTAATCTGAATTTTGAGACTCAATTTGTATATCAATTATGGAAAGTTTAAAAAATAATATTTATGGTAAATCTATTAAGGAATCATGATATATTAAAAATAATTATGTAGTAACAAAACAGAAAAACAGACAAGAATCCCTTCTAACATGAGGCAAAATAACAAACTTTTCTGAGCCCCAATATTCTCATAAACATAATCATTTCTGCCTGGCTCATGGGCTCATGAGAATCATATAATATTGATAGGAAAGTGATTTGTAAATTATGAGGTTCTACATGGTGCTACTAACATTTACAGCTGTGGCTGTAAATCTCACATATTGCAATAACATTTTGTATAAAATCTTTTTTAAAGTTACAGACACAAAGAGATGATCATCCTGAATAAACATCTCAATTTCGACAGATCAGTAATAAATACAAGGGGGTTTCAAACTTATCACATTTCTAAACATATAATAATCACATTAATGTTTTTTAATGTTATCTCACTGTCTCAAAAAAGAAAAACCCAAAAGCAGAAACCAAAAAGACAGGTAACAATCACAGATTAAAAAATCTATAATTTATTTCTCAAATTTGAAATGATTTCATTCTTTTCTGAATTTTTAATATATTCTGTTTACTTTTTAAGAGACAGTGATAGTATTCAGAAAGTATTTAAATTCTATATTTTTTTCTAACACTCAGAGTCTAAATAATCAAATATTTAAAGAAACAAACCTGGCATAAACAGACAGTTTCTCTAACAAATGCGTGTGTATATTAATTTTCATCATTTCCTAGTGAATGTTTGTTGTTGTTTTTCTCTGTGTTTAAGGATTTGATTTGTTCTCTGATGTAACCATATTCCCTAAGGGAAAAAATAAACACAGATGAGCATCTATCCCTCTTTTAATACCTTTCCTACTGGATTATTTCATAAAAGCTATTAACACTTTTACTCATGCCTTTACCACAAATATCCTTGAACTGACTGAACATATATTACTGAATACTGTGATGATAAAGATGCATAAAACATCACTACTTTTAATTTAGAGCTGATATTCTCCATTTTGTATCTTTTAAAATGATTCTTTCAGATTTCCTTCAGTTGCTTGTTTTCTCCCCAAGACGAAGTTCTTACTTTTTGATGACTAATAAAAGGGCAGTCCTTATGCCATTATGATTACTGCTAAGATTCCTCAGCTACCTATGAGGGTATTGCCAATCCTCACCAATATTTTTGGTAACTCGTCTTTGCACAACACTTGGTCAACTGCATTTCTGAGCCCTGCAAAATTGATGATGCATTTGTTTCCTATTGTGGCCATAAGAAGCTACCACAAATTTAGTGGCTTTAAACCATACTAACGTATTTCCATACAGTTATGGATGCCAGAAGTCCAGATTGGCTGGACTGATTCCTCTGCTCTGGGTTTCACAAAGCTGGGCTAGTCACAGAAGGCTCTGGGAAGAATCTGCAGCCAAGTTCATTCTGGTGGTTGGCAGAATCCAATTCCTTTGAATTATAGGATTATGGCCTCCATTTTCTTGCTGGCAGTTAGTTGGGGAACATCCGTAGAGGCTAGAGGCTTCTCTCCTTTCTCTGCAGGAGGAAACCTACACCTCAGAGCTGTGAAATGTGCATTGAATCTTTCTCACACTGAGTCTAACTTCCTGTTCTCCCCACCACCACCATAGAAACAGTTTCCTGCTTTTAAGGACTCATATGATTAAGTTGGACCCACCTGCATAATCCAGAATAATTTTCCTATTTTAAGGTCCAGTTTATAACCTTAATTACAATCTGAAAACTCCCCTTTGCCATATGATGTAACTTATTTATAGAGTCCTGGGGTTAAAGCATTGACATGACTGGAGGTGGGAGCATTATTCTGTCCACCACACAAGGTCACACTTCTGGCTGATGGACGTCACATGTCATTGCCGGGCAGAAACACAGGAGTGCCAGTGCTTGGTCCCCAGCTTCTTTTCCTTTACTGTGCTGGCCCTGGAAGGACAGGGGGCAGAGCTGTGAACCTCTAGGGCACAGCCGTGCAACACTGAGGATTAGCACCATGCTTCAAAACCAAGATGCGTTTCCCTGGTTGAATTCTGAGACTGTGTTGTAGGAGATGGGTTCTTTTCTCCTTTCATTTTCCCCCGCATTTGAACAAGAATGTCTGTAACTCTTATCCTATGCCAACCTCACTATAGTATTTGGGAGCAGATAACTTGTTTTTTTAGTCTCATGGGTCCACAGATACATACTTAATTTAGGTGACTCAACTGATGAGATTTTGAACTTTTTGAATTGAGAACTTTTGGATAAAATTTTGGAATTTGAATTGATGTTGTAATGGGTGGAGATCTTTTGAGAATTTGGGATAAGGTAAATGTTTTTGTATAAAGGGCTGACATCAATATTTGAGGGCTAGCAAGTTGACTGTGGCAAGCAGAATAACAGCCCCCCAATGATCTCCACACTGTAATCTCCAATACCCATGAATAAGTTACTTTATCTGGCAAACGACAATTTGACTATGTAATTAAGGTATGGACATTAAGATGGTGAGATTATCCTGGAATATCCAGTGGGCTCAATTACATGAGTCCATTAAAAAAATTGGAGAAATGAGTTAAAAAATGAAATGTAAAGGAGAAAAATGAAATTCAAAATGTAAGGGACAGAAGGACACAACTCAGCTTCACTGGTTTTGAAAATGGTTGAAAGGGTCACAAACCAGGAATGTGGCTGGCATTTAGAAGCTGTGAATGACTGTCAGCCAACATCCTGCCATGCCATGGGGATTTCAGGCCTTTAGCCACATACAACTGAATTCTACCAATGAACCAAATGAACAAGGAAATAGATCCTTCTCTAGAGCCTCCAGAAAGGACAGCAGTCCTGCCAGCCCCTTGATTTTAGCTCAGTAAAACTCGAGTTGTATTTCTGATCTACAGAACTATAATATAATAAAGTTGTGTCAATTATTTCATTAAGTTTATAATCATTTTAGGGTGGTAATATCAAACTCATAGAGCCCTCATAATGATGAAGGCAGGACAGTTAATTAGCCTTGCAGCAGGATTATAAATATATGCTGTGCTCCATTCATTACAAGTGAATGTCAACTGTTACTGATTCTCTTTTCTCACAATGTTGAAAAATAATTCAGTTTCCAGATTAAAGGAAACATATCATACACTAGGGCTGGGTTAATCTGCTCTAGCAAATATTCCACACTTGGCACAGCAGCTGCAATCAAGGATACTACTTGGTTGGTTGTGTGGTGGTCCGCTATCACATTTCAGGATATGTCTATCTTTTATGCAGTCCAGTTGGTTAAATTAAATATGCCATCAAAAAGAAAAGGAGTCACCATACTGGCCTGGCTCATTGACCTTGATCAGCAGGAAAAGGTAAAGTTACCTCTACACAATAAAGGAATATGTGTGAACCTTGGGGTGATTGACTAGGGTGCTTTTTACTAATCCTTTGCCCTATCGTGATAGAATGGACAGATATAGTAGCCATAGACAGAGGCAGTTCTGATTATCACATTTCAGACCACTCTAGGATGATGAAGGTATGAGTCTCAATGCTACATAAGCCACCAGGACCCGTCAAGGAAAGAGGATGATGAGAAAGAGGGAAAGAAGGAATACTGGCTGTGGTCCTGGCAATGGAGCTTGCAATTCATCCAGTGAACCTCCCACTTCTGAATTCTCCATTCCCATTTTCCCTCTCGGATGTTTGCTCTAATAAAATCCTTGCATGCTTAGTTCCATGTTACAATCTTCTTCTCAGAGTACCTACACTAACACAATTTTCTACTGGATAATGAATGTCATGTTTTTTCCTTATAACTAAAAGAATCAATTCTAAATGTGTATTGTGTACTTTTGTCCTAAGTTATGTTCCAATTTCAAGTATTAGTTAAGAAAACAAAATTGGCCAATCTTGGCTCACATGGCAACACTCCAACCTTCAGCATCCTGAAAGAACAAGAATATTAAGATCTCTTAGTGTCTATTGCTCCTAAAACCTCCTATATAGACAGACTTTAAATAAATCAAGCATGTCTAGATGATAATCATATATTACATCACACTGCATGGCTTTCTAGCATTTAAGTATGCCCATTGACTATATTTTTATTTTAAAATTTAAAAACTATCTTGCATTAAGTAATGCATTTATGCTTAAAAAACCTGAAAACATATGTACCTTCTTTTTCTAACCAAAATCTTGTAAGTGTGATCAGTTATCTATTAGTTTATTAGTTCCAAGTCTAAGATTTCTGGGTAGTAGTCTTTCATTTGCTAGCTCTGTCATCATTTAAGACTTAATTTTCAGCAACCTATGACACTAATGGCAACATTAACTTATTACTTATATGCTCCATATTCAATGGGCATAAAGAGGGGAGAAAGAAAAAGGATGGTTTTAAGTAAATTAAAATATATGAACAAATGAACAAATGAATCTTTACAAATGGTCATTAGGTTACATCTATTCTTTATTAATCTACTACTTCCTTCTCCATCTCATGCTGCCATTTCCTTCACCAACTTTCAGTTGGGGAACATATACCATTAAGGTAATAACTGCTTAACTGCTTTATTTATGTTATAACTCCTTTAGAAATATACTTACCCCATTGTAATGAGTACTATATGATGTAATATTTTCAACTGGTGAGAGTGCTTGCAGGAGAAGCTATACCCCATCTAGCTAATAAAAGTCATAGGGTTACAGTAACTCTGCAGCCAGGACGATTCAAGGATGTGGAGGCCACGTGGAAAAAAAGAATTAGATGATTCTAAAACTGTAGCCCCCTATGAGATTAGGATAATAAAATGATTAATGTGTGTAGAGGCACCAAGAATTCACCAGCCAGCCTGCCCCTGGACCACACAGGCTCACTCATGAGGCAGAAGCAATGTCTGTACAATAGCTGTCATTTCCCTCTGCTTTCAATCAAGCACTAAAAGGGGACACTGTTTACATTTGGGATGTCTAGGCATAATATCCAGATGCTTGAAAATTTGACCACTCAGGCGATGAAGGCTGGTGACCAAGCATGCAATCCCATGTACACCATGCCCCTGACACTTGGAGCATTGGGCACTAGATTGCCTAAGCAGTCATTTTAGGCTGCTATAAATTTATTTTAAATTCTCCTAACCCAGCGCTCACCACTCACCTGCAGGTTGTCTGAACTAGTAAAACGCTTCACCTGGCAAGAAGGAAATACCTGGAAACATAAAAGATGGAGTTAGCTTGTTCTTGTTAACTGTCTTGTACTTGGGTGCCCCCCAGGAGACGCATCCCCAGCCTACAGATGTACTTCTCACAATGTGGGCTCTCCTCCCTTAGTCTATTGTAAATCTACATCTACCATCTGTCACTGAATGCACCAGAGGCAGAGGCAGAGGCAGACCATATTAGCCTGGCCAGGTTACCACTGGAAGACAAAAAAGCTCTCTTTAAAGGTGGTTTCTGCACCCTGGCTAACGCTATCTATTGCAAACGGATCAAAGCAGCAGTGTCCATCGTGCTGCATTCGGTATTCTGAGATCCATTCTCTTGTCTTGTCCTCACTCCCCCAGTTGCTGATGATGTAGGGGATGGATTACAACATTATGCATGAGTTTTCATTTCCTATTTATTGTCCTGGCTTCTTCCAGCGTCTCAAAAACAATGCCAGTGACAACTTGCACAACATTTGTGGGTTGAAGGAGTATGGGTTGCTGACAGTGGAGTGTGAGGCATAGGTGACATACTTTGAAATCAAGTATAGACTGAAAAGTAGGGGTAAACTTAAGTCTAAGACAAGTTTTGTTTAAGATGACTTTACATAAACAAAACTACCCTCCTGCAGAGCACCATGGAAACTGGATATAGCTGAATGTTTAATTAAGACAATGCATCCTAGTAGAGCAGTGATTGGCAATCTTTTTCTGTAAAGGGACAGATAGTAAATATTATAAGTGGTAATTTTTGACAGTCTCCATTGCAACTATTCAATTCTGCTACTGTGTCATAAAAGCAAGATACGTATCATGGATGATATGTAAACAAGTAGGTGGCTCAATGAAATTTTATTTGCAAAAGCAGGGGGAGGCCAGAGTTGACCTGTGGGTTGTAGTTTTCTGACCCCTGTAGCAGAGTGACAAGGAAGCAGATTGAAGAGTGGGCATGACTGAGCCTTAGCATGGTAACACTTTAACCACAAGGCTTAGGTCCCAGTTCCCAGTCTATACTACGGGCAGGCATGTTCTCTCTCAGTCTTTTAGTGGAGAAACAAGTATGATAGCAAAGCTTCCTCTGCATCCTTTAGCTTTATCTGCAAAGCTCTACACCAGCCTGACTGTGGTGAGGAAAAAGCTGGGTTCACCTAATCAATATAAATGGAGTTTGGAACAGAATTAGGGACCAAGCTCACACCATGCCACACAGTTCTAGCTACCAGATTGAGTCCCATCACTGTTCATGTCAGAAGAGGGTTGCTGTTTCCTCAGTTTTGCAGCTTAAGGATGTAAAAAAAACTATGATTTGTCCCCAAGAGTCCGATCTGTGGTCTTGGCTGATGAAAAGAATATGATAAGTAACAGGGCACAATACATTAGCTACTGCTCCTTTTTAAATGATGCAGTGTCTTTTGGAATCAGGCAAAAGCTTTTTATCCATTCTGGACTTTTCTATGAAAACAGAGCTCCAATAAAATAGCTTTACTGATCTCTCTTGCCACCCCTCATCCATTTTTTCCCTGGAAAGAAGAAAAAATTATCTAATTAATAAATCAGGAAGAATAAATTCAGGATGCTAGGTTCAGCTCCTTAGTTCTTTTAGTGATTGAACTACCAACAAGAAATAGAAAGCATACATTTCCTCTCTGCTCCTCCGTGTCATAAATTTGCACATGAAGACTGTTTCCATTGAGATACATGCATAAATGGTTGAGCATTTTCTGTGTTTTGAAAGAAGTCTCTAATTCCAAAGGTCAACATTGGAAAGCACAATTGTCCACAGACACAATCTACACTTTTACCAGCAGTAAAAGTGATATTTTCTTTTGCCCAACCTGTATTCTCCACGTCTGTTATCCAATTCAATCAGCATTCTGGCAAAAACTGGATGTTACTTATTAGGTCTTCCCTTAATATTCTCAGCAATGTCATTGCCAGACTCAGTCTGAGGGTTAATAAGCTCTACTGTTCATTCAGGGAGGGCTGCTTTTTATAAATAAATAAATAAATAAATAAATGCCTCATAACTAAAATAATCAGAACACAGGATCTTTATTTTGGTGGATATAATCTATTTCCTAAACCTAGAGTATGGGGTAAATCATATAAGCATGATAGAACTTTAGTGGGCTACCCAACAATTACTATCCCAGTAAATAAATCATCAACAATTACCTAAGATGCTTGGGAGTCAAACATTCTGTTTACTACTGAAGCAGTATTGCTTAGTATAAAAATGCATGTGCCTTGTTTCTGGTGGCCAAAAGTAAAACCCATCCATACCCAGAGAATTCAGGTAGCCCATTAGAATGGGCAGCATGTGTACCAGCATCACCAGATCATAAAATTTCACATAGTGCTGCTTTCCTAAGAACCTACAATTCTGTACCAATGTGTTTGTAAAAACTATGGTAATAGGATCGACTTCTAGGCCATCTCAGGAAACATAGTTAGGAGGTGAAGTTTTCATTGCACATAATAAATCTGTTCCAGGATTCCCGTGCTCTAGTCCTTGGGTTTTTTCATAATGGCAAGAATTTGGGGTTTTATGGGAATAATTAGAACTCTCCCAATAGTTTAATTTAGCACCTTGAATCTAGAATCTCCAGTAAATGTACTTGCACCAATAAATTAAGATCTTTCTATGACTATATTCTCCTATCATTGATGTAACTCCTTTAAAATGCCTCTGATGCTTGGGTTGGCATAACAGGCCAAGTAAAGTGCTGAGTTTCATTTCTCTGTGTCTTCTCATCTTTCTATATTTCACTATTTTCAATCTTCAGGCTCTGACTCGTTCATCATCCATACACTAACTTTTTATGAGACCTCACAAGGCTGTGAATGAAACTGATATTGTATCTCAGCCATCTGCAAGATCAATAGTTGAGTTTGTTTCTTAAGTATCTTAGCCATGGAGCTGGAAGTGATGAGAAATTCTTTCCATGGTTGTAGAAAAGCCATTGGTTTTGGCCTATTGCATAAGCTACAGATTTAAGATTTTGAAAGTTTCTTTCTTTCTTTTCTCTCTTTCTCTCTCTCTTTCTCTCTCTCTTTCTTTCTTTCTCTCTCTCTTTCTTTCTCTCTCTCTCTCTTTCTATCTCTCTCTCTCTCTTTCTTTCTCTCTCTCTCTCTTTCTCTCTCTCTTTCTTTCTTTCTTTCTTTCTTTCTTTCTTTCTTTCTTTCTTTCTTTCTTTCTTTCTTTCTTTCTTTCTTTCCTTCTTTTTCTTTCTTTCTCTGTCCAGTTCTGCCTAAATATAACATCTATACTCTTACATACAGAATACCCACCCTAAGTCCTGAATTATTTCAGCTCTTATCACTGGACCTCTGTATCAGTCAGGGTCCCACCAGGAAACAGAACATTCAAATAGGGAAAATGAGAAAATTTGATTAAGGAAATATTTTTAAAGCTGTGAGCATGATTAAGTGAAACCAATAAGAGATAACTAAACATCCCATGTTGGGACTAACAAGAGCAGGGAAGCCATTACCACCTGTCCTGGGCTAGATAGCACCTCCCCACCCCCTCACCAAATTAGTGTCCTTTAAAAAATCTCAGAATGTGCTTTTACTTGGTGCTTTCAGATTTCCTAAGGGTCATTGCAATTCCACACATTGCACAAGAAATTAGTTAACGTGAGGTCATACCCTGAGTAGGTAGGCCCTTAATCCAATGTGACTAGTGTCCTTATGTGAAGAGCAGAAGAGTCACAGAGACAGGAACAGAGTCATCACACCATGTGATGACAGAGGCAGAGACTGGAGTGATGACTACAAGGCAAGGCACACCAAGGATTCCCAGCAACAGGAGAAGTTAAAGAAAAACATATAAAAGACTCAGCTCTTCAGAAGGAGAATACTTTGCTGTGAACTGATTTTCATAATTTCCACAGAACTCTGGGAGAATAAATATCCTGTTTTTAAAATAATTTCCACTTTTATTTTAGAATCAGGGATACACGTTCAAGTTCGTTACATGAGTATATCCTGTGATGCTGAGGTTTGGGATGATTGATCCTGTCACTCATGTACTGGACATACAGTATCCAATAGTTAGTTTTTCAACATTTACCCTCCCTCCCTCCCTTCCCCTCTAGTAGTTATCAGTGTCTATTTTTGACATCTTTATGTCCATGAGTACCCAGTGTTTAGCGCCCAGTTATAAGTGAGAACATGCAGTATTTGGTTTTGTGTTCCTGGGTTAATTGCTTAGAATAATGGCCTCCAGATGCATCTATGTTGCTGCAAAGGACATGATTTCATTCTTTTTCATGGACTCATAGTATTCCATGGGGTATATGTACCAAATTTTCTTTATCCAATCCATATTTGATGGACATCTAGGTTGATTCCATGTCTTCGCTACTGTGAATAATGCTGTGATGAACATCCAAGTGCATGTGTCTTTTTGGTAGAATAACTTATTTTCTTTTGAACATATACACAGCAATGGGATTGCTGGGGTAACTAGTAGCTCTGTTTTAAGCTCTTTGAGAAATCTCCAAACTGCTTTCCACAGAGGCTAAACTAATTTACATTCCCACCAATAGTGTACAAGTATTCCGTTTTCTGCACAGCCATGCCAACATCTGTTGTTATCTGACTTTTTATTCATAGCCATTCTGATTGAGGTGTGAGATGGTATCTTCTTGTAGTTTTGATTTACATTTCTCTGATCATTAGTGATGTTGAGCACTTTCATGTCTGTTGGCTGCTTGTATGTCTTCTTTCAAGAAGTGTTTGTGCATGTCTTATGCCCACTTTTTAATGGGGTTATTTCTTTTTTGCTTGATGAATTGTTTAAGTTCCTTATATTATCTGTTGATTTAAGCCACCCAGTTTGCAGGCTTTATTACAGCAGCCACAGGAAACTACGACATCACCCACAGGGCCACGGAAGGAACTGGCTATGAAGAAGAGGCCCCCTTTACAGAAACTGCAGCCCTTGGTAGGGAAATACCATCATTGCAATTCTGTAGCCTGGCAGGGATGGACCCAGGGAACACACCTCACTTTTCTGTGGTCCAGTCTTCCATCAGTGCCTACTTTGGGTGTAACGTAACCAAAAGCTTGAGAGAACCTGTAGACATAGTTCTTAGAGATCATCCTTTCAGGCAAAAAGCAGTGTGAGGAAAGATGGAGAGTATGTCTGGAGAGGCCAGGAGAGCTCTCTGCACATCCGCCAAAGCCCTGTTTTTCAATGCACACTTTATGTCATGTGTTAAACAGCTATTTCTCCACTGTGTATTATACCAGGATGTCTAGTACCTGAATTCTGGGCAAGGCAGAAAAATCTGGTTAAGGAAATTGACAAACACAAATGTGATTCAGTGATTATAATCACTGTAGAAATCATACCACTTAAAAGACTTGTTAGAATACCATCACCACTGCTACACATGTGATGTGTACCCTGTAACCATGGCCAGTTCTGGTGCTGGTCCTGGGATATCACTCCTGGGATATCACTCCTGGCATTACTGGTTGGATATTAGATTCCAACTTTGAAACTCGGACAACTGCTACTTGATATTAGTATTGAGTTTGAGATCTCTTGTGTTTATTTTTCAAATGCAGTCAACCACCTGCATCTCTCTCTTTCTCTCTCTCTCTCTCTCTCTCTCGGTGTGTGTGTGTGTTTGTATGTCTCTTTTGCATTATTATTTTTTCCACATTCTTTTCCAGAGTAGGATATGCATCTGATTCAAGTTTTGGGTCACACTATTTTGACCTAATTTTAAGTACTAAGAAATGCAATTTGGGAACTTTTTCAGCATTCATTGTAAGAAATAAGTTTCTGCCCCAACCAAATGTAAGAATAAGATAAGGTGACTGGGCATACAAAAAGTTACACTTCTATCAATTTTTCTTATTACACAAGAATCCACATGTATTATTCATATCCTTCTTTTACAGAACATTGTTAATACTAAATTAATTTAAAATATTTTATCTGAATTGAGCTGAATTAATTATTACAAAATGGATTTTTGCACAATATATATTAAATGAGGTATTTCTGATTTTCAAATATATGCTTCACACATACATCTCTGGTATCTCTGAAATTATATGAAAATTTCAATATCCTGTAAAATTAATAAATGTTTATTTTAACAGCTTACAACATAAATTGACTAAAAACTGAGAAAGTTTGAAAACTGATTAGAATCTAATAAAATGTTTCATTAAAACATTCTCTGTGACTTAACAGAATTATCATTTAAATCTCAGAAATAAAATTTTAGTTACACAAAAATTCTGATAATTTCTATATTATTCCATTTTTCCCACCTAAACTTTGAAATTGAAAGTCCCTTGAGGAATCACTTCACACTAATATTACTTCAGATAACACCAGTGAAGCATTTATTCCTATCAACTATGATGAACAGGGGACTTAAATACTTGGTGTTACTCAACTATCTAAAATTCCCTCAAGTTTATCCATAAGAATCAATTTGAACAACACTTACTCAGAAAGATAATGTTCCTTCCCTAAAGAGGTCAGAGAGTGAATCTACACTGGGACTAAGGCTATGCCTTCTGGCAACCACATACATCCATTGTCATGGGACTATCCACCTGCATTATCATAGGACCACCCATCTCTGTTATCATGGGACCATCCACCTCTATTATCACGGAACCATCTACCTCAATTATCATGAAACCAACTACCTTCAATATCATAGGACCAACTGCCTCCTTCACCCTGGGACCATCTACCTTGATCATCATGAGACTACCTTCAACATCATGGGATCAACTACTTCCATCGTCTTTGGACCATCTCTCTCCATCATCATGAGACCATCTACCTCCATCATCATAGGACCCAATACCTCCACCATCATAGAACCAACTACCTCCATCATCCTGGAACCATCTACCTTCATCATCATAAGACTAACTACCTTCATCATCATGGGACCAACTACCTCTGTCATAATGGGACCAACTGCTTTTATTATCATGGAATCCCCATCTCCACCATGACATGGGACAATCTACCTTCATCATTATGAAACAACCAATTTACCACCATCATCATAATCATCAACAAGGCCCAGACACTCACCAATTCCTGCCCTCTAAGACCTATAGCCACATCACCGCTGTCTTGAATTCATAATGACTTTTTATGCCAGTTGAGGGCAGTCATGAAGGCACCTAAGACCTCCAGGTCTTTAATTATCTGAGTTGTAAGCCTCTTCACGTCGCTTCATAAATTTATTCTCTATTTTTTTTTTATATTTCTCTCCAACCTCTAAAATTTCTGTATGCTCTGAAATTTGGGGACCATTTTCAGCAACACCCCTATATCCTAATTCCACTCCCTGAATGCCTCCTTAACCTACATGTGCTCTAATGATGCTGCTTCCCCTGAAGCCTTCTCAGGGTGGCTGATTTTCTTCTGAATCATCTTATGTCTCTCTGGGCAAGGAGGTGAGTTAGGGGATTCCTAGCTTCTCATGACAACTTTCAGAATATTCATTCTCCTTAGTTTAAAATAATGATAATATTATTATGTCACCAACTAGTTACATTGCTGTTGTCAACTGTTAATGCTTGGGTCATATTTCTATATTTATGGACATTTTACCTCCAGGCTAATATAATTTTATCAAAAATTACCTCTGCCTTAAGTCTTGGTGATTTCAATCTATGTGTAGATGGGATTTCCTGTACTCTGACCCTCTCACTCATTGTACTCCTCTCCTCTGTAAATCTTGCCTTTCTCCTCGCACTTCTAGGACTGTGTTGAAAAAATTTGCTGTTATCTATAATATAAACTGCAAAGCATCTCTAAATGCTTGCCAACCACCTATATTTTCAGCTAACTTCTGATTGTATCTTGCTCCTAACAATCCTTTTACCTAACAAAACATGTAAGTAATTAATTATCCCATTCTTTCATTGTTTCTTATCCCCTTGACGGTGAGAAATCTAGCTTAAATTTCAGGTCAACTTTTATACTCCTTTCCTTGCCCCCATCTTTCTTGACATGGGCAGAAATCTAAGTCTATTCAGACCACACCTGTATCACAGCCATTGAAGGTGGCTGGAGGAAGACACAGAATCAGTCTGATTTATCTCACCTTAAAAAAAAAATCATGATTATGGACCTACATGGTCTTATAATGCTATCTGAAAGTTACACTAAAGGTTTCAAGTTTATTCATTCTCCTTCTTCCTTGCTGTTTAAATAACATCACCTCTTCTTGAATCTCAACATCTTCCCACCCACTTCATTCAGCTGAAAATGCTGCATTGTTCTTAACTGAGAAAATCAAAGCAGTTAAAAGAGAAACTCCGTAGCTTCCATTCCATACCATTGCACCTACCTACCAACACCTGACTCCATATTTTGTACACACCTCCAACAGTTGTTGAGATATGTCTGTTATTTTCTAAAGACCATTCTTCTACTGCTTACTAAATTTGAATCTTTTCTCAGATACATAGCTCTGAGCAATTCTCAGTTCTCTCTTTTACGGCATCAAATATTGCCTCTCTATTGGATTGTCTCCATTAATATAAATGATCAACTTTATTTTCTCCTTTATAAAGAAACAAAAACCCTAAAACCTTTTCTTTATCCCACTTCCTTGCTATCTACCACTCCATTCCCTGTTCCCCTTGCTGCAAATATTTTTGAAAAAGTTTTTAATATTATATGTTTCTAATTACCCCCTCCAGTCCCTTAAACCCATCTCTCCATGAAAAAAAAAATCCTGCTTTTAACAAGATCATCAATGATCTTAATGTTGCTAAAACCAATGGCCAGTTCTCAGTCTTTATTTATTTGGCCTAAAGACAGAAATTGGCACAGTTGACCACTTCTTCTCCTTCAAGAAACTCTCTTCACTGGGCTTCCAGGACACAACATTTCTTGGTTTTATTTCTACTTCACTTGAGTCACTCTCCCTCAGTTTATTTAATGGGTTCTTCTTTTATACTTGACTTCCTAATATTGCAGTGCCCCACTGTTTAGTCTTATGTCCTTTATCTTCTATGTATTATTCTATGTCTCATCCAGTTCCATGACTTTATGAATCATCTCTGTGCTGATGTCTCTCAAAATTGTACATCCTGCCTAAGTGTCTAAGCCTCTGCAAACTCATATATCCAACCCACTGCTTGACATTTCCAAAGAGATATCTCAAATTCCACACAACCCCAACTGATGCCTGATCTTCCTTGAATTTTTCACCACAGGCTTCTACAATTCAGATGAGGAAATCAAAATAATTAAATAATTAAAATTGTTCACCTAAAACATTACAGACACCCTTAATTCTTTTTTCTTTTATGATACCCCCAACCAATCAAAGTAAAACATAAAAAATATTCAGAACAATCTTCAAAATACATACAAAAACTGAAGCACTCCTCACCATCTGATCTGCACCTCTCTGACATGAGTCACCATCCTAAATAGCCCAGGTTACAACATCACCTTCTCACTACTACTCTGCTTGCTATTTCTCACAGAGAACCAAGTGAGCTTCCTGTATTAGTACGTTCTCAAGCTGCTAATAAACACACATCGAGACTCGGTAATTTATAAATAAAACAGGTTTAAGTGACTCACAGTTCACCATGACTGAGGAGGCCTCAGGAAACTTACAATCATGGTGGAAGGGGAAGCAATCACGTCCTTCTTCACATAATGACAACAGGAAGTGCCGAGTAAAAGGGGGAAAAGCCTCTTATAAAACCTTCAGATCTCGTGAGAAGTCCCTCACTAGCTGCAAATCAGCAGCATGGGGTAACTGCCCCCATGATTCAGTTACTTCCCACAGGGTCCCTCCTACAACGAGTGGAGATTTTGAGAACTACAATTCAAGATGACATTTGGGTGGGGACACAGCCAAACCATATCACCTTCTAAAGTGTAACTCAGATTAGGTCACTCCTCTGCTCCAAAGTCTTCTGTGCCTCCCCTTTAATTCACAGTAGAACCAAGGTCCTCACTATGGCCCATGAAGCCCAACAGGATCCGGCCTCTCAAACACCTCTCACCTCACCTCCTCCTTCTCATGATCACTGGCTCACATTGACCTCACCTTCACCAGTATTCTGGTCATTCCTCAATCACAGACTGTTCTCCTTTTCAGATGGGCTGTACTGGCTTACTTCTCTGCCTGGAACAACCTCTCCCTAGATATCCTCCCCTTCCTTTTTATTTATTTATTTATTTTTTGGTCAAATGATACTTTCTGCATGAGCTCATTCTAAGCATCCTAGATACTACAATGACCTCCTCCTTCTCTCCTTTGGTGTTCCTGATCCTCCTTACCCCACTCTGCTTGTTCTTTATTCCATAGTACATATCACAGGCCAGCAAACTGTAAAATATATTTGTTTTAGGCATATTTTAATTGATCGGTTTCTCAATGCTAGAATATTACTTCTAAAAGCAAGAATCTTTACTCATTTTATTTACCAATACACCCTAAGATCTGAAAAGTGCTGTTCTCATTATAGTGCTCAGTAAATATTTTGAACTAATATATCACATTTCATAGGTTGAGACAAAATTTAACCTTTTGAATTGACGCAAAGAGGAAAATGCCACTCCTAGTATGTTTCACTCTGAACAACTGGAAGTATTCCCAGGTGTAGATTATTTTTCTTATCACAGAAAAGATATCTAACTAATTCACACAGATATTATGTTCCCTGCTAGAAAGCATCATATATCTTACATGTCCAAAACAGACCATGTTTTCAAATTACCAAGAATTAATTTACACTTCTATAAAGAATAAGCACTCTCAGATCATATAACACTGCATTGTTACATAACGTCATCCCTCGTGTTTTATAGAACTTGATTTCTTAAACTTGTCATGAATTGTTCAAAATTCTCACCAGCTTTAGCAAACTGTTGAATAATGCTTTTCTGCATATGGCTTTACCTAAGATCCTCAATACAATTTTATTTCATGACATTAAGGAAGGTAACAGACAATGTGTCAGAATTTTGCATTTTTATTAGCTGTGCTTGGGGGAAAAAGCCACATAATCAGACCAGAAACTCCTCTCCAAAACTATTGTCTTATATTGCAAAGGAAAAATCTCAAGAAGACTGAGATATTTTAGAAGCCTAATTCATATGAGAATACATTTATAATTTTAAGGAAATGATTTACATGTCCCTAGATTGTAAATTCTTGGAAGTTGTATCCATATTTAGACTCCCCTTTTCCTGCCACTTTTTTTTTTTTAACAGCAGTGGTGTGTGCCCAGTAGGCATCAGGAAAAGGGTTGATGATTATAATGTTATAAAGTAAAATTACATTGTCTTCAAGGCATTATCCACAGTAACGGTACATTCTATTCTTATTAGTGCATTATATCTTGATAAAGAATTTGTCTCAATAAGCCTGTAGCACTAACTTACTTGAATTGATTATATGTATTACAGTTTAAATGGTTTTCATCTGACCCATTTTAAATTCATTGCTTTATAATTTCTTTATGAGACAGGATAAGTAGGAGTAGGCAAGAGGATTCTTTTCTATTATACTTTAATTTTTATACATCAAAGCACATTTTCCACATGTCAAAGTCAGTTAGGTCGATTTTCCACAGTTGAGAAAATTATTTAAAAAATTAAAATGTGGTTAATTAGATTTATTTACTGAATTTTGTGAATTCTTACATTCTTTTTCACAGGAATAGTACTTACTAACCAGGACTCAATTTAAAGGAGAAAAGTTAATGGTGCTTTTAAAAGCAATGTCTTTTATAATTGCCTTTATAGTAGTTTAAAATGATTTGCTTCATTATATGTACTGGTTGTCTTCTCTTTATCTAAAGTAAACATCATGAATCTTTCTGATTTCACTTATAAATCTACATCATATCCTTTACTTTTTGTCATTCTGTTCTTAGGTTGTTTGTTAAGACATATGTGGGTTAATCGTAATTATTACGTAAACAGTATGCACTTTCCATAATGAGCCCCAAAGAGGCCACCTAAGTTTCCTTCTCCATTTTCTGTAAGGACTGATGGATTTGTAAATAAACTATTTAAAAATCATATAAAATAAAAAGTTTTTAACCTAGCTTTCTTTTTATTTGTTTTGTGTTTTTAGAACAACTTACTATTCAGTGCTTTGGTCGTGGAGTATATGTACAGAGGTCATGCAGTAGGAGATTAATAGCTGAAGCAGAAGCGATTGTCGTGTTTCAGGCTCAGGGTGAATCGCGTTTTACTTGTCAGTAAATAGGCCTAAAGTAAATTTTAAAAAATGTTCCTTGTCTGTTTTCTGTTCTCAGTTTCTCATTTTGTTACTTACTTCTTGAGAGGCGATATTCTTTATATTTTATGAATTCAAGTTATTTTCCAATAGTGTTAGTTGATCAAAAGCCTGCTTCTTAACAATATTTCTCTGCCAGCTAATGACTGTGAGGATTCATATCATACACCTTGACACATCCAGTCTCCAGCTGTAAACGCCTATCTTTATACACACAGCTAGTGATTGTATCTGTCAAGATACAGCATATATACACCAGCTATGTTTATGTCCATATATAATCACTATATCTGTATATTGAAAGATGTATTGTATCTGTCAAGATAGTATATAGATGCAAGATACAAGATAGTATATATATTTCTATATTATGCATGTATATACACACTAGCTATGTGTGTTTATGTACATATATACACACAATCACTAGCTATATATACACATAACTAGTGTGTATTATAAATATATAGTATCTTCACAGGTACAATCACTGTATGTGTGTATAACACAAATATGTGTATATATATGTGTATGTGTGTATATACTAGCTATATACACACTAGCTATGTATACACATAACTAGTATATGTACACACACACATATATGTTTATATATATACATGCACACATAGCTAATGATTGTCTGTGAAGATACTATATCTATTATGTATATAATATGTATATACATATCATATAGATATCTATTATGTATAAAATGTTCAGATATGATTGTCAAAGTAAAAACAACACAAATAATCTTCAGACAAAATAGAGTTGTATATGTTTAATAGTGGTCATATCAATATACAAAGTAATTGCATTTCTACCCAATAGTATTGAGCAGGTAGAAAATGTTATCCAGTTTTATCAAGGAATAAAATAAAAAACATATATTTAAGGAACTAAGGACTTAATCCAAGAAAAGGTGGATATGGCCTTTACGAGCTTCATTATAAGTCTTTATTAAAACAAATTAAATATAATAATCATGGTTAGATAATTAAATCATGTACATATGTCAGTTCACCACAAATGAACTATAGAGTCAACAAAATCCCATTCATAGTCCAATAGGTCTTTTTTTTTACCAGAGAAGTTTATGAGATTTTCTTCTAAAATTTATTTGTGAAAACAAAAGTCTAAGAATAGTTATGAAAATTCTGAAAAAGAAAAAATCCTAGTCAGTTGGAATTTAGCCTCCTAAGTATCAGACTTTTAGTACACCAATATTAAGTCTTCAGAATAATTAAATTGTGTGTGTGTGTTTGTGTGTAGTCAAATATATCAATAGCACAGAACAGAGCACCCAGACATATATGGGAAGGTAATGTAGAATGTAGGATGCAGTACAGAGTAGTGGGTGAGAAGATGGACTATTTAATAAATGGTAGTGGCATAATTGCATAATCACAAATTACAAAGAAGTAGATAAATTGGATCTCTGCTTTATATCATGCCCAAAAATAAATTACAGAAAGATTAAAGACATCAATATATAAGGAAAAACTAAATAATTTTAGAAATATATATGTATAACCTCGGAATATGGAGGAATCCTTTTTAAAATACATAAAAATGCAACCCATAAGGAAAAGATGTATAAATTAGACTACTTGGAAATTTAAAACCTTGGTTCATCACAAGACATGATAGGTAAAATGGAAAAACAATTACAAACAGAGAGAAAATCCTTGTAATATTGCAGATAAAGTATCAATATTCAGACAGATAACTAAAAAAGAATGACAAATGACTCATTTGAGTAAAGGGGAAAAACATGAATAGGTATTTCACAAGAAAAAATACGTAAGTGGCAGATAAAAATATGAAATGTTAATATTATTAGCAATCAGGAAAATGTATATCAAACATATAAAATATGATTTTAAAATCACTAGACTTTCAAAACTTAATTTCAGGCATTACCATATATTCCTAAGAATATGGAAAAACAGAAGTCATCACAGCCTGCTCTAGTGAATATAAATGATATAAATATTTAAACATTTGTATTTTGAAACAAAGTGGAATATCTCCGCACTCTATAAACCAATAATTTGATACATAGAAATATGCCTTACAGAAACAAGTTCATCTGCCCTTGGAGCTATGTGTGTTTAAAAAGAAAAAAGAAAAAAATGTCAGGAAATCACAATTTCATTGACAAGAGAATACATAAATGTATAATAATAGATTTATAAAGTAGAGCAGTACACAACAATGAAAATTATTTGCACCAATAAAATCACACAATGTTAAAAATGAAATATTCAGTGAAAAGACAGGTTGCAGAAAAATACATACAACCGAAAAATTTCAGTTATATAATCCAAATATGTATACATACATACTATATGTATAGCATTAATTACATTTATGATAAAAAATAAAATAGAAAAAGGATATATTTAGTATAACATTTAGCTTGCTGGTTGTTCTGGGAGTTTAGAGGTATCCTGTAGGATGCTCGATTGTTCCCTATCTGAAGTTACAGCACGGATCGTGAGTAAGCACTTTTAATTACTCTTCAAATTATGAAGAGTATTATATAGGTTATATATATGTCCTATGCTCAGAAATAAAAGGTGGGGAGAGAAGGAGAGAGAAACATTGCAATCTGAAAGAACAACTTTAGACAAGTTTTTTTGGTAATGACAACACAGCGCATGAGAATAAATGAGTATCAGGCCAGAATCTCAGAAACTAGGAAAAGATGATACAAGATGAGAGTTGAGATGTAGGCAGGGAACAGAAAATGTGCAGCGTGGTGGCTATGCTGCACATTTTCATACGTACCAGTCCCCATGAAAAGGAGGCAGAAATTCTTAGAGAAATGTCTGATCAAAAGTTCAGGAAAGGAATAGTAGAAAATGAGATATCTAGTTATACCAGAAATCACAGAAGTGCTCACAATAAAGGACACATTATAAAAGAGAAGACCTCTGATCTAGATGAGAAGAATAGCTTGTGTCAAACCCAAGGTCCTAATAAGATCAAGAAGAAAGCCAAGTAAAAGACATACAAAAAAAAACGTATCTGTGTAAATGCATCAGAGAGCTGTTGAAGCAAAGAAGATAAGAACAACTGAAAACATAGATATGAAACACTCTTCTTAAGATTCCATGGAGAGATCTGGCCAATACCACCTTAGCAAATTGATCAAACAAAACATCATTAATAGTGGGACATCAGATGGTATAGCCCCCAATAGGATGCAATAGATTATACACAAAATCACCTCTAAAATCCCCAACACTTTAACAGAAATGCAATCAAGCTTCCAGACATTTTTCCTGTTTGTAGGAAATGCAGCAATAGAGAATTGAATAAAACAACATGTGGAATCAAACAGACAAATTGAGAGTAAAAAATAGTCTATGAGGAAACTCACTCTTCATGGGTCTTCAAAAACCCAATGTCATGAACAAGGGCCTCTTAGCAGACATAACAACCCATTGCAAAGTTTGAACTGGATTGAATGGTGCTCTGGATTTAAAAAATGTAAAGAATAACATAGACTCTTGTAACAGTTGGGTAAATATGTACGTGTACTATATGACATTAAAATTATTTAATGTTTTTTAAGATTGGTCAATGCATTGGTATTGATTGTTTTGCTTTATGTAATAAAACATCTAAGACCATAAATAGTGCTGCACAAAAATAGTGATTAAATAGGAAAAAAGGGAAGACCTTTTTTTTTTAAGAAAACTGCTATCTAATAAACATAGAAGGGATGGTAAAAAGGGACCCTGCATTTTGCAGCTCTGTGTATAATATTAACTATTGCTTCAGGCAAATACATTGTTAAAGGATGATAATTGTCCTCATTATTCCCAAGGTGAATGCCATTGTATTTGGATGTAAAGCAGGTGTAATTTCAAATTATATACCAGGTGTGTATGTGCGTGTGTGTGTTTGTGTGTTTGTGTGTGTGTGTATGAAAGAGAGAGAGAGAGAGAAGGAGAAAGTGGAAGGTGAGAAATGTGGTGGGAGACAGAGAAAAAGAGGAGAGAGAGGACAAATATGGCCAGTCTTTGCCAAATTTATCTAGCTGGTATTTTTCTTTCAACATTTCTTTACATTTGAAATTTCTCTCTGGGAAATTGAGATTGTGGGAGCTTATGATACTTGTCAAAATTAAAACACACACACACACACACACACACACACACACACACACACCCATCAATGTTGAAAAAAATGTTCCAACTAGGATGACTAGGATTTAGGGATGATGATATGTATTAATCAACATTCAGCATAGCATCTCAGGACCAGGGGAAAATGGGCAAATTAGGTAGATAGAAGACAGAGATAGATAGATGATAGATTCATAGACAGATAGACAGATATAGCGATATGTTATTTTAAATATGTAAACCCACAGCCTATCAAAAAATTAAAGAAGAAATTTTCTAAATACTTAAGCATTTTGTATCTAATGCCAAGTCTTTTGATTTTAACAATTATGCCAATAGAGCATGCGTAATGTGAACTTAAGATGTTAATAAAATATGGATTGATTTACTACTCTTAACGAAATTAAAATATCTCATAATAGTTTAACCTATGAGAAAAGTATTTCACAATGAATATCCTTCCACAAAAATATTAACTTCAGCCCTAAACTAAGAAATTATAGGTTGTGAGGGACAAGGTATTTTTTTTTTAATTTGTAGAGCTAATAAATGTCTTGGTAGTTTTTCCCAGAGAAGTATGTTGGTTTAGGTAGCTGATTTTTACAATTTCAGAAAAGTGTAGGATCACTGAATATCTTGGGGAACATTAATAAAATGTGGTGACAACAGCTTTTAATGCTGGAATCACTCTCACAGCAGGTCTGACTGCCACACAATGAGTAATCAAGAGATGCCAAGAAAATGGTGTTGAAGTGAGCTGAAAGAAGTGTGGCTTTCTGGTCCTTTTGGCACCCACAGGAGACGATGAACTGGGCATTCAGTGGTGGTTTAAAATGCAGCAGGCAAGTCCAGCAAATGTAAATGGTATTTTAGAAAGACCTTAAGTAAGTTGTGATTTTTTTTAGAGATGTAAATCAGTTCACATACATTCAAAACCTAACCCCAGCACTGTGTGCATATGTAGAGCACAATTATGCACTTTCTCACACTCCTGAATCTAATTGCCCTCTTTCCTGCTCTCTTTCATGTCCTATGTAAGATAACCTCTGGAAACATTTTAACTTCCTTGGGTACTTCTTATTTATCTTATCTTGAAAAATAATGCAATAAAATATTTGAAGCAGGGCACAGTAGCTCATTCCTGTAATCCCAGAACTTTGGAAGTCTTCAGTGGGTGGATCACTTGAGGTCAGAAGTTCAAGACCAGTATAGCCAACATGGTGAAACCCCATATCTACTCAAAATATTAATACAAAAATTAGGCGGTCATGGGGGTGTGCCTGTAATTCCAGCTACTTGGAAGGCTGAGACATGAGAATCACTTGAACCCAAGAGACGGAAGTTGCAGTGAGCCAAGATTGTGCCACTATACTCCAGCCTGGGCAACACAGCGAGACTCTGTCTCAGACAAAAAGAAAAAAATGTGATGCATCTTTGAAATTTTACTTTGTAAAACCTATCTTGAAGAAATCAAAAGTGAATGTTGCAATTTCTATTATTTTATCAAAAAATTCAAGAAGATATTAAATTTTCTTTAATTTCATGACAAAATTTTTAAAGGATAGTAGATGTCTAATTATTCCAATTCATAGCAAAAGTCCTTATTTTAAATGGCATTTAAAATAATCATATTTAAAATAGTGCCTGAACAGCAACATAATGTAATATAACTAATTGTGTACTATTTTTCAGGAACATGATATTCTTGATTCAGCCAAGATATTAAATTCTTATTTGACTTGGCCAAAATTTTAAATCAGTTTGTTGCTGTTTCCTTGATGTGGTTTGGCTGTGTCCCCACCCAAATCTCACCTTGAATTTGTAGCTCCCATAATCCCCATGTGTTTTAGGAAGGACCCAGTGGGAGGTAATTGAATTATGGGAGTGGGTCTTTCTCATGCTGTTCTCATGATAGTGAATAAGTCTCACAAGATGTGATGGTTTTATAAAGGGCATTTCTCCTGCACATGCACACTTACCTGCTGCCATGTAAGATGTGCCTTTGATCCTCCTTTGCCTTACACCACAATTGTGAGGCCTCTCCAGTCATGTGGAACTGTGAGTTCATTAAACATTTTTTGTTTATAAATTACCCAGTCTCAGGTATTTCTTCATAGTAGTATGAAAATGGACTAATAGAGGAAAATGGTACTGATAGAGTGGGGTACTGCTATGAAGATACCCGGAAATGTGGAAGTGACTTTGGAACTGGGTAACAGGCAGAGGTTGGAACAGTTTGGAGGGCTCAGAAGAAGACAAGAAAATATGAGAAAGTTTGAAACTTCCCTAGAGACTTGTTGAATGGCTTTGACCAAAATGCTCATAGTGAAATGGACAATAAGGTCCAGGCTAAGGTGGTCTCAGATGGAGATGAGAAACTTGTTGAGAACTACAGTAAAGGTCACTCTTGTTATGCAAAGAGACTGGTGGCATTTTTCCCCTGCCCTAGAGATCTTTGAAACTTTGAACTTGAGAGACATGATTTAGGGTATATGGAGGGATGAAATTTCTAAGCAACAAAGCATTCAAGACAAGGCAAAGCATACAAGTTTGGAAAACTTGCAGCATGAGAATGTGATAGAAAACAAAAACCCATTTTCTGTGGAGAAATTCAAGCCTTCTGCAGAAATTTGCATAAGAAATAAGGAGCCAAATGTTTTCCACTAAGACAATGGTGAACATGTCTCCAGGGCATGTCAGAGCCTTTCATGGCAGCCCCTCCCATCACAGGCCCAGAGGTCAAGGAGAGAAAAATGGTTTCCTGGGCCAGGTCCAGGGCTCCCAGCTGTGTGCAGCCTTGGGACTGCCTCTCACCTGCTCCAGGCATGGGAAGGGGTTAAGGTACTGCTAAGCCCATTTCTTCAGAGGGTGCAAGCCTCTAGCCTTAGCAGGTTTCATGTTGTGTTGAGCTTGCAGGTGCACAGAAATCAAGAATTGAACTTAGGGAACCTCTGTCTAGATGTTAGAGGATGTATAGAAATGCCTGGATGTCCAAGTACAAGTTTGCTGCAAGGGTGGGGCCCTCATAGAGAACCTCTGTTAGGGCAGTGCAGAAGGGAAATGTGGAGTGCAAGCCCCCACACAGAGTCCCAACTGGGGCAATGCCTAGTGGAGCTGTGAGAAGAGGGCCACTACCCTCTTTGGACCCCAGAATGGTAGATCCACTGACACCTTGCACCGTGCACCTGGAAAAGTTGCACACAGTCAATGCCAGCCTGTGAAAGCAGCTGGGAGAGAAGCTGTACCTTGCAAGGCCACAGAGGCATAGCTGCCCAAGGCCATGGGAGACCACTTCTTGCATCAGCATGCCCTGAATGTGAGACATAGAGTCAAAGGAGATCATTTTGGAACTTTAAGGTTTAATGAGTCCCTATTGGATTTCATACTTTCATGGGGTCTGTAGCCCCTTTGTTTTGGTCAATTTCTTCCATTTGGAAGGGGTGTATTTACACAATTCCTGTACCTCCACTGTATCTAGAAAGGAGCTAAGTTGCTTGTGATTTTACAGGTTCATAGGCTGAAGGGACTTGCCTTGTCTCAGATGAGACTTTGGACTGTGGACTTTTGAATTAATGCCGAAATTAGTTAATACTTTGGGGGACTGTTGGGGAGTCATAATTGGTTTTGAAATGTGAGGACATGAAATTTGTCAGGGGTCAGGGGCAGAAGGATACGGTTTGCCTGTGTCCCTACCCAAATTTCATCTTGAATTGTACTTTCCGTATTCCCCATATGTCGTGTGAGGGACCTGATGGGAGTTAATTGAATCATGAGGGCAGGTTTTCCTGTGATGTTCTCATGACAGTGAATAAGTCTCACAAGGACTGATAGTTTTATAAAGAGCAGTTCCCCTGCACAGGCACCCTTGCCTGCCATCATGTAGGACATGCCTTTGCTCCTCCTTCACCTTCCACCTTGATTGTGAGGCCTCTTTAGCCATGTGGAATGGTGAGTTGGTTAAATCTCTTTTCTTTATAAATTACCCAGTCTCAGGTGTTTCTTCATAGCAGTATGAAAATAGACTAATATATTCCTTATCCATATGTGATAATGTATTTTTTCAGGGTCAAATCAAGTCTCTCACGGCATGGATTGTTACAAGTTTCTTTCAAATTTTGTGGAGTCCTTGCATTTCTCTGACTTCATGTTTTGAAATCCTTTTGGACTGTTTCCCCTAAACAAAATCCTGAGTTTATAACCATGTCTTCCCTGTATTTATAACCATGTCTTCCCTGTATTTTTCAGGAAATTCAAACCACTGAGCATTTTGTACAGTAGCAACTTCTGTGACAGTAGGAGGGCTTATCCCATAGGAACAAACACATTACTCCTTTCCTTTCTATCCTGCCCACATCTTGTTTGCTCTCTGTCCTCTAACATTGCTCCCCAGTGTGTGATTCTCCACACAAGTCAGAAGCCCCTGAGAAACACAGCCCAGATGCAGAAACACAGCCCAGATGCAGAATGACAGCTCCTCTCAAGGGAAGATGCACTCACAGGGAAGCCCAGCATGCTTAGCCCAGCTGGACATCTTGCAATGCATTCTTCCTACATTAATAATAATAATAATAATCCCTAAAAATGGAAGTGCCTAAAAAAATGAACATTAAGAAAGCCCTTACAAATCTGTAACATTACAATTGTTTTGCCCTTCTGATTTTATTTTGGTATATGTGAAGAATAAGTTCAGAGTCATTATTTTGAAGTGGTCCAGAACATAAATTCTAGAGCTAGGCTGTCTGGGTGTGGACTCCAGCTCTGATACTTACTAACTCCATGGGCTTGGACAAGGTCCTGCCTGTGGCTTAAGTTTCTCCTCTGTGAAATGTGGATAATGGAATAATACCTCATCAGGCTACTGGAAAGAATAAGTTAGTTACTGCATCCAAAGCATTCAGAGGAGTGACTGGAACATATCAAGCATTATGTCAGTGCTAACTTACAAAGTTTGACACTCATAAACTAACCCGCAGATAGATTAAACTCTGTGGTTAGTGACAAAGTTATTGTCATGTTCCTTAACATGCAATTACAATGCATAGCCCCCAAGTGCTGTGTATGGTTTCATATACGGTAAAGGTTTTTGCTTTTGTTTTTCTTTCTAGTAGATATATCTTGAAATTAAAGAAAGACTGTCTTCCATTTGTTTTTATTCCCCAGAATCTAGAATCATTTTATTCAAAGAAATCACTGAAGATGTTAAGTGAATGAGACTATATCTATATCTGTCATTTCCATAATTTTACTTCTTCTGACTTCTCATTTATATCTGAAATCCAGAATTCTATAAAATCTAGGTTTTCATATCCAACCATCTACTTGAAATTTTCAATTAGTCATTTCAAAGACAACGCCAATTCAGCATTTACCACATAGAACTAATGGTCTGTTCTCTACATAATTTCCCTAGTTCCAACTTCCAAATTTCAGTGTACTGTAATGTTATCAATATAGTTTTAAAAGAGAAAAAGGATATCTTCTATGAAAGTGTCCTTTTCTATTCTCCAAAATATAGTCTAGCACCAAGTTTCATTGTTGTTATTGTTTTGTGACAATCATTTTATTATTAAATTATTATGGGAGTTTTGGGTGAGGGAGATTACAAAATAGTAATGAGTTGGGATTTGAATAAATATAATGTCTATATTTGTATGTATGTTTAGAACTGCATAAAAATTGCTGTGTTGCTGTGAAATTTATTTTCACAAAATATTGTGCAATCTGCTTCCCAAACAATATTCAATATTATATCTAGGACACTTTTCTTTTCATTATACAATTAACTGACACTTATTATAAAAATACAACAAATGTCATATAGTTTACTATAAAGAATAAAATTATAACTGTTTTTCCAAATGTAACAATTATTAAAATCCAGAAATATCCAATTTGATAAATACAGATATATGTACATATTTATAACCTTCTAAATATGCTTGCTTACACAAAAAATTGTTTTAGAGTGGTTGTAAAATGTTAGAGGTCTGAAATCCACACATATGTGTGTACACATGCATATGCAACCACACACGTACCCTTCATTATAATGCAGCATGGCTGTAATAAAGACATAAAGTTTTTTGAATGCAGGTGCCAATGTTTTATATGAAATATGTGAAGTGTTGGGATTTTCTTCTGTCTTAAAAGAACTGTTATGTGTTTTTCCCTTGATGCCACATCTCCATGTCCATTTATTTTTACTACCAATATAATTACGCAGCCTTTAACCTGCTTTCCTAGCCAGCCCTATCTAAGTCAGAACTATTGTCAAATTGCCACTAAAAATATTAGGGGTAAATATCTAGAAGTAAAATAACACAATTCATTACATGGGTAAATATCCAGAATTGAAATAACAAAATTAAAGGGTATTTAAAGACTATTTAAGTGTACTAGGTATTAACGTTAACTGTAGTCACTGATCTATCAAAGACCAGGTCTTATTTCCTCTAGCTGTACATTTGTACTCATTATCTGCTCTCTTTCATGTTCATAAAACCTTCCCTAATAATCCCATGTGCCTATACCTTTCATCAATAAGCTTTTTGTACAAACACTCTACCTAAGTCTTATAGGGAATTCTAAATAGGATATAGAATCCAATAGTTTTTTTCACCAATGAAGAGTATTTGTTTTCTTAATTGCTAAAGGAAAGTATGTTAAACTCTTCAAAGTTGATATTTGCCAACTTTTTCCCCAATAGGACAGCATTCCAATTATTGTTTTAGCATAAAGAACAAATTCTCATAGGCATTTTCAATGTTAGGGACAAAATTGTATAGAAACAATAAATTCTTCCACATTTAGGTTTTGGGATGTGATTAGTAGGCTCCAGTATGGTCCCAAGTTAATCCCACCCAGTGAGCCCTGATTCACAGAGGTCCTGTCTTTAAGAGTCTCAGCTCCTACATTTTCTTTCTATTGCCCATAGTCCCCTAAGTACCTTCCAGAGACTCATGATACTTTCCCATTTATTCTTATTTCATTTGACTTGAACGCATGCTATTTGAGAGTATAATATGCAATCATCACAAAGGGACGCCAGACCTCTAGGAAGAAGAACTAGAGTTGCAAGTGTAACAGGTAGAAACTTGAAGGGCTTTTTAATCACTCTGTTGCTTATATTTTAAAGGCTGACCTAAAAATGCTGTCACTGAGAATTTTACGTGTAGTGATATAGATAAGGCTAAACTACTGTTATTGTACCACTGAAGCAGAGCAAGTTCCTGTCCCAGGTGCAGGGATTATTTTAGGAAGGTCAATGCCATTCTTTCATAGTTACAAAGGCCATGATACCAAGATTACAAGATTATAACATTATCTATCCATAATAGGTGGACTGTACAGATTTGCCTGCCCCAGGCCTGTAACCATTCAGGAATGACAAAATGCATGTTTTCCAACCAATTTTCCTGAAATAATAATAAGTAACATGTACTGTATATTTGCTATGTGTCAATCATATATATGTACATATTATATATATATATATATATAATCTTCAACATGTTAGAAAAAATAGGGCTGACACTTTCTGTGACATTCCCATGAAACTTACCTATATGACTGCTATGCAGTTGATTACTCTTACAAAATAGCAACACATTATGACAAAGGCAATTAAAGGATTTCAACTATAACTTTTATGCTAAATGTAATCTCTTTACCAGAAAAAAATTAAAATGTCCCCACTACTCAGTATGCACCTACTGCTCTATGAAATGCCTTTCTCCCTATCACAGTTAAGAATCACCATTAGAAGTTATTGGGGTTCATTAAGGAGAGAAAAAACTACATCTTCCCTGTTTACCTCAGAGTCACATCAACTCTTTGGCTTCCCAACATAATCTAGTCCAAAGAGGGATATTTCAGGCAACATATATCATGTTTGAGTGTGCCTCTCTGACCCATTAACTGAGTAACACATAAACTCCAGTTGTGTGGGACCCAGAGCAAGTGAGGCCCTGCGGCAGCTGCAGAGCGGTGCAGCTGCTCAGCTGTTGAGGTCAGAGCCCTCAGCAGATGCAATGAGGCTGAAGTGTCAGCAGCAGAAAACAAGGCCATGCAGGGCCTGTGGTGAGCCCTCTGTGTGACTCACAGAGCAGATCTTCAGAATTTTACAGCAAAGCTATGACACACTCTGCAGATGAGTGTCTTTCTTTGGAACGACACCTTCTACCTTGTCATTGTGTGCTGGTGGAAAATAAGGAGTACCAAGAGACCGTGCAATCCCGAATGCTGAGCATGAACTCAGTGTTATCCAAACCTGTCCATGACATAGAATTGAATGTAAACATAGCAATCCATCTTCAAGTACAAGTACTAGGTAGGAGATGGGCTGAAGCAGGTCTTGAAAGCGCAAGGCAGTTCTATGACCAAGCAGTTCTGACTTTCATGGCTGTTCTATTTATCTCCAGGTTTCCCACAATCCACAGGTAAATCTGCATGGAACGTTTCATATAAATAGTCTTATTTTTATAAAACAAAACAAAACACAAGCCTGATTTACAGTTGGTTCTTCAAAATATGCTTGAACTGCCCAGCAATGTTTTAAAGCAATATGATAGCCCCACTTAGGATTCCCTTGGAGGACAACGGGTGTATTAGTCAAGATATACTAAAGGGACAGTGCTAATAGGATAGATGTGTGTATGAAGGCGAGTTTCTTAGGAGAATTGACTCACACTATGAGAAGGGGAAGTCCCACAATAGGCAATTGCAAGCTGAGGAGGCAGGAAGCCAGTCCAAGTCCCAAAAGTAGGGAAGTCAACAGTGCAGCCTTCAGTCCGTGGCCAAAGGCAAATCACTGGCAAATTACTGGTGTAAGTCCAAGAACCCAAAACCTGAAGAACTTGGAGTCTGATGTTCGAGGGCAGGAAGCTTCCAGCACAGGAGAAAGATGGAGGCTAAAAGACTCAGTAAGTCGAGTGTTTCCACGTTCGTCTACCTGCTTTTATTCTAGCCATGCTGGCAGCTGATTAGATTTTTCCCACCCAGATTGAGGGTGGGTCTGCCTCTTCCAGTCCACTGACTCAAAAGTTAATCTCCTTTGGCAATACCCTCACAGACACACCCGAGAACAATACTTTGCATCCTTCTATCTAATCAAGTAGACACTTGATATTAACCATCTCAATGGGTAAGTTGACAAGTTGGCAAAGCTTCAAGTTTTGTATCTCTTTTTAAATTTAGTGTGAAAAGAGACACCACCTCCCATTATTAGAGGCCCTAACTGGAATGCTAAAAAAAAAAAAAAAAATTCAGGCAGTCATTGGTTTTTATACCTTCCAAATATTTATTTCACTTATGTACCCATTGTCTTAAAACAATCACAAGGTCTTTCTAAGACAAAAATTTTTATGGCAGTTTTTAAGTGGTGACCATGTAAGTTCCTCCTTCATTAAACAACTATCCGTGAAATGTAAACATCTTTCTAGTATAAAAATCATAGTATTTTAGTGTTTGACCTTTTCGTCACTAAATCCAAATGCCATATGGTGATGTTTTTTTTCTATTATTTATCGTTTTCTTGTGAACATTACATATTAGCTTTCCATTGACTGATAAATGAATAAATTATAAATGAATAAAGTATGAATAAGGCATTTCCTCATCATTAATCGTACTAAAAATAGTAGCAGGCATTGGAGATGTTGTTTTGGGTAGGAGACAGATCACAAACACTGGCCCCTAAGACCGAGGTTTTAAAATATTTCATATTGTCAAATACATCTTTTAGAAACTGAATTTATACCCATCTAACCTTCAGATAGTTTAGTGTCAGTAATGACGTTTAAAATTTTTTTATTTTAAAATCTGTTATTTTAGCAGTAAATCAATAAATTACTACAAAGGATGTAAGTTATATAGTAGATATAAATAAACAATAGACAACATCTAGATTTATATCTCTAAAAAAGAAACAGGAAAATGAGAAATGTACACTGGAATCTGATTATAGGCAAAAAAACAAAAAACAAAAAACAAAAAAAAACCCATAGTAAGGAATCTATGTAAAAATTAAAACTATTTTCTGTTTTTCAAGGTGCCTGATTTTAAACCTCTGTATAGAGTCATAGTTTATTCTTTTACTTTGGCATGCATACATATATTAAAAAACATGTTATCTTAAAGAAAAGAAAATTTTTCTCAAAGTCAAGCCTAAGATGGATTCTTTATTCAATGTCTTGTTACAGTCTCAGCAGCCGACATCATTTCCATGTTCCCATGTAGTCAAGTGAAGCCCTCTGCATCTGACTTTCCCCACTTCTCAGTGGGTACTGGTAAGCAACAATGTCTGAAAGAAATTGAAGGAAGAATCCACCACTACAATAAGACAAGCGAAACATGTGAAAGCCTTAAATTGGGAAAAGTGTCATTTGAGTTCAGCGAGATGAAGTTGGTCTATAGTCATTTCCTGTTTGATCATGCCCAGAGGGAGGAGAGAGGAATCCCAAAATAAAAAGACGCTGGTTGAATAAACACACTAAGCAACTCGGGCACACTGCCACACAATTCACACACAACCTCCCTCCATTAAGAGTGTCCCCACATAAAATAATGTAGTTATATGACATTATAGTTACTTTATTCAGCTCTAGATCTGAGATGACTAGATAATACATTCATCTTAGTTCTAAAATTGGCTGCTTGGGATCTGAAAATCTGTAGCTAAAAAATGAATATAACTATTTCAAAAGTACCAAATGTCACATAATAGATAGAAATAAAAATAACTGCAATGGAAACAGCCGGTTACAAAAGGCTAGCAGAGGAAATAACACATTATGTTGCCATAACTTGCTGGAAAGTGATAGCAAAGATTAGATATCATAGTTGGAAACCAAGCGGCTTCCTTCGTGACCAATTTGCCTGTCCCTGGTTCTACAATTTAGGAGATTATCTCTCTTGGTCCATTATGGCTCATGTCCCCAACAGAAAGACAAACTGGGTTGCTTTTCTCCTTTTCTCCATTAGAGAATACACTATGTAAGAAATTCAACGCTTGCCCATCCAGGTTTCAAGGATTCCTGGATTTCTCTTGGAAACTGAGCTGTCATAGACTTTTGTTTTACAGAGCTGGGGGTTTGTGATCATACAACTCCTTTAAGTGAAGATCTCAAGCCATGGTTGGCAAACTACAGTCCTTGGATCAAATCTACCCCACTGTCTGTTTTTATATGACCTCCTATCAACAGATTTTTTTTACATTTAAATTGTTTTTAAAACTCAAAAGAAAAATGATATTTTATGAAATGAAAATCACACAATTTAAGTTTCAGCATCAAAATATAAAGTTTTATTGGGACACATCCCCACTCATTCATTCATGCATTGTCTGTCATTGCTTTTCTACTCCAATAGCAGAGTTGAGTTGGTCGTGACAGAGACGTATGGCGCACAATACCTAAACTGCTTACTATCTGGCCCTTCACAGAAAAAGTTTGCTAACTCCTGATCTAGATACCAGAATGGAGCTGTCTGCCATTCGGCAACTGATTTCAGATTCTTTTCATCCCCTTAGCCCTCATATTGAATGCCTCATCTAGGGAACTATCTTCTAAAGTCATGTTTGGCAATATAATGAAATATTTAAGCAGCTAAGCATTTCCTTCAGCCCTAGAAGACATTTCAGTGGATTTCATTATACATTGGCAGAGAAGGGGTGTGAGAATGAAGTGGAAGCCAGAGAAGCCCTAGCTGTGTTGGTTCTAATTCTTTCTTTTCCTGCCTTCATATGTTTAGGCAAACATATGATTTTGGAGGATGAAGTGAGGGGAAGAAAAGTGATTACCTGTCAAGTGGCAAAGACTCTCCTTTGACCAAAATTTTAACCAGGTTTCTCTGAGTCTTCGGACTCGATCTTGGGCTTTTCTCTCTGTCCTTGTAGAACCCAGATTGAGCAAGAACCCTTCTGATATGGTTTGGATTTATGTCTCCATCCAAATCTCATCTCGAATTGTAACCCCTGCCTCTCAAAGGAGCGAGCTGGTGGGAGGCGACTGGATCATGGGGGCAGTTTCCCCATGCTGTTTTTGTGATAGTGAGGGAGTTCTCACAAGATTTGATGGTTATAAATGTGTTTGATAGTTCCCCCTTTCTCTTTATCTCACTCCCCTGTTGCCATGTAAGTCACGCCTTGCTTCCCCTTCACCTTCTGCCATGATTATAAGTTTCCTGAGGCCTTCCCAGCCATGCAGAACTGTGGGTCAATTAAACCTTTTATCTTCATAAATCACCCAGTCTCAGGTAGTATCATCATAGCAGTGTGAGAACGGACTAATACCTTCCAACTTGGTTTCATGAAAACTCCCCTCCCTTGGTATCTGACTACCCTGTATATCTGATTACCCTATCCATCAAGTTGCTTTAGCCAGAAACTTCTTATCCACGATGTTCCCTCTTAGTAAGTTTCCATCCACTGTCCCCGATCTGCTCGTTGGCCATAAATCCCCACTTGCCAATCCTGTTGCAGTGGTCTTTATACCTAGCCCCATGGTTCCCCTTGAATGAAGTAAGCTTTACCATCTTTAACAAGTATTTGAATAAGTTTTTCTTTAACACAAACAAAGCTTACTATTACGTAACTCTCAGCCATCCTGGATTTCACACTAAGCTAAAAGGCTTATTTTATCCTGGTTGTATCATATTTTTCATGTCTTTGCTTTCAGATATGCCAACATAGATTGATCATAACTTTTTTCCTGTAACACTTTGTTAAATGTAGCAAAACGAAGTCAACATATTTCAAAGTGTTGTTATATTTTTACTGCCTTCTAAAGCCCCAAACTCCGTAGACTAGAATATGAGTTCCAGGTTATTGTAGATGACAGTTTAAACAGCTGTTTTGCTGTTGTTTAAGAATCACAAACTTGGCTGAAAGTGGTGGCTCATGCCTGTAATCCCAGCACTTTGGGAGGCCAAGGCGGGCGGATCACAAGGTCAGGAGACCATCCTGGCTAACACAGTGAAACCCTGTCTCTACTAAAAAAAAATTCAAAAAATAATAGCTGGGCAGGGAGGAGGGCGCCTGTAGTCCCAGCTACTTAGGAGGCTGAGGCAGGAGAATGGCATGAACCTGGGAGGCGGAGCTTGCAGTGAGCCGAGATCACGCCACTGCACTCCAGCCTGGGCGAAAGAGCCAGACTCCGTCTCAAAATAAATAAAAAAATAAAAAAAAAAATAAATAAATAAATATAAATAAATAAATAAAGAATCACAAACTTTCTAGTTGGGGATGGAGAAAAAAGTATCTCCTTTTCCCTGCTTTCATTCAGCCACTGAACATGGAGTGCCTCTTTTTGCTTTTCTTTTTCATATTCTATGGTTATATTAATTTGGATTCCTTGGACATCAAGTATGGAATCCGAACTCAAACTCAGTTAAGCCAAACTGTAATTTTTATTGGCACATGTAATTAGAAAGTCTACGGGTAGACTTGGCATTGACCTATCCAGAATTCAAAGAATATGATCAAAACTCCGTGCCCCTCCCTTCACCTCTCAGCTCTGTGTTCTTCTACTTTGGCCCCATTCTCTGGCACGCTTTCCTCATGTGGTGAAAATCATGCCTGCTGGTGGCTCTAGGGTCCCGTTAAATTATGATTTATTAACTCAGAGAGAGCAGGCGGCGCTTGCTGGGGCAGCTTCCATACGTACCCCTAAAATCCAATTTAAGTAATTCTGTTTGTGTTGCCTACCGACTACACATTCATGAGTGGGTCCAAAGCGGTGGGAAGATTCTGATTACCCAAGGGGGCCATGTGTCTACCCACAGATCAGGTGAGGATAGCATCTTCCCCCAAAGGAAATACATTCACAAAGGTGTTACAAACATCCTCTATGCTTTTCTATGTGTAACTAGATATTTTAAGAGGCAGTTTGCCAATATATTTTAAATTTAAAATGAGCACCCAAATCAAGAATATTTACATCATGTTAATTGGGGTGGGCTGAGGTGGGGTACGGGATAAAATTGTTTCTATGCCAACTAGACCTAAAAAGATGTCATCACCTGAGGCCATTTACAAATGCAATATTTACAATATAAATTTCTATCAGTAGGAATTGCCAAATTAACTAGTTAATTAAAATGGGACACCCAAATATGGATACTAAGCAGTATTTTAAAATAAGTACTTGTGTAATTAACATTAGGTATAATCACCTGTAGTTACAAAAAAGTTAATCCAGTATAATGTAAACAGGATACTATATTTTATATATGTACAGGAAATTATGTGTCTAAGTTTTATATATATGTATCTCTGAAAACAAAAAATTGTAAAATATTCTAAATAAGAAGGCAACATTGATTATTTCTAGAACTCTGTCTTAGGATGTCTTCTCTAGACTTATCTCAGTGGCTTAAACTGTTACTACACAATGTATTCATAGATAAAGTATGTAGTTAAAAACATTTGATAAGCAGGAACAGAAACCAAATATTGCATGTTCTCACATATAAGTGGAAGCTAAACATTGAGTACACATGGACACAAAGAAGGGAACAATAGACACCCTACTTGAGGGTGAGGATTAAAAAAAACTACCTGTCAGGTACTATGCCTGTTACCTGTGTGATGAAATAATCTGCAACCAAATCCCCACAACATGCGATTCGCCTATATAACAAACTGCACATGGACCCCTGAACATGAAGCAAAAGTTTAAAAACACTTCAGAACAAATATTTGTTTAAAATTACAATGAATAAATTGCATATTAATGATTTTATTTCAGAAAAATCTGAGAAAATCTCTTAAAAATTAATTGGAACTGAGATTAAGGTAAAATATCTTGTTGTAAATTAAATATATATGAAAACAATAATTTCATCTACAATAAACATAAACAGAAAAGGTAGAAGATATTATAGCATTAAGTTCCAATGGATAGTAATAATGAAAAAGATACAATACCTAGGGGAAAAAGGAAACATATGTATCTATATGGTAAAAATTGTAAAATACTTCTAATTTCTTGAATCAGAAAAAAATTCAAAAATGGAAGAAATATTCATAACATATTTGATGAAACATAGATTGCCCTAAAATATAGAGTTCTTACAAATCAATATGTAAAAGACTCAAATCTGTTCTTATACATATGATTTATTCCCAAAACAATAAATAAATGGTTTTTAATGTGCAAAAACATGCACAAATAGGCAAAAATTCAAATAATAGCACATCATTTTTCACTGATTAAGATATTCAAACATTTTAAAGTGTTCAAAATTTTATAGCCCTTGGAGAAGGTACAAAAAAGCTGTGCACCAATGTCCTGTTGGTGTGAAATGTGAGAAAGGCGTACAACTTCTCAAGAGGAAATGTAATAGTAACTACCATAATTTCCATTACATATTCCCAATAAACTAGTTATTCAATTTTTAGAAATCTATGTTATAGATGCTATAGTGCATGGACAGAAAAGTACAAATGCAAAGTATTTTTGTAGCATTATTTGTAATAAAAACAATCAATAAAAAAGGTAGACATTGATTAACATAGCATTAGTTAAATTATATACGTCAAGAAAATGGTATTTAAAATAAAATCAGGCTAAAAGTACGAGTGTGTGTGTGTGTGTTTGTGTGTGTGTGTGTGTGTGTGTGTGTGTGTGTGTGTGTGTGTGTGTTGTAAGGATGAATAAGAAATTCCAAAAAATGCTTTGGAATTGGGTCATTGGTGGGGCCCTGGAGTGGGATAACATTTGCCGTCGTACAACCGTTTGCATTGTTTGGAAAATGTAATTCAAAAATACTCAGACAAATCATTTTAGTTTTCACTCTGAGTTTATTCTATATGAACCATTTCAGTTTCCATATCAAGATTATTGTCAACTTTTAATGGTGGAATTTTAGGGCCTCAGTTATTACTTATCAATGGATTAGAATGGTCCCAATTATTTCTTAATGAGATTTATGAACAGGTTTACAGATATAGTCCTTTATTTTTTTTTTTTTCTTTTTGAGACACAGTCTTGCTCTGTAGCCCAGGCTGGAGTGCAGTGATGCTATCTCAGCTCACTGCAACCTCCGTCTCCCGGGTTCAAGCGATTCTTCTGCCTCAGCCTCCCAAGTAGCTGGGACTACAGGAACCCGCCAGCATGCCTGGCTAATTTTTGTACTTTTTGTAGAGATGGGGTTTTGCCATATTGGCCAGGCAGGTCTCAAACTCCTGACCTTGTGATCCGCCTGCCTTGGCCTCCCAAAGTGCTGGGATTACAGGCATGAGACACCATGCTTGGCCTACAGATATATTCTTACATCCTAATTTCGATAATAGGTTACTACTCCTATAACCAATTTCATTGTCATGTAGGAAAAAAATCAGATAGCGTGCACATTAAGAGTGTAGATTTATAGTCACATAGACTTGGATTGAATTCTAACTCTGCTATTTTCTAGATGTGTGCTCTCTGTCAATTTTATATATATGAGAATAAACTTCTTCATCCATAAATTGGAAAAGTAGAATTTAACCTCATGCAACTGTTGCAAATGATTCAATAGTACAATATATATACGGCACCAATTGTGGTACCCAACATTTTTAAGTATTCAATAAATGTACATTATTCTTATCATTATTCATTGTAAATAACTCCTGTTATCTGCTGGGAATATATTTCTAGACCCCCAGTGGATGCCTGAAACCAAAGACAGTACTGAACCTTATATACATTATGTTTTTTTCCTATACATATATAACAATTAATAAAGTTTTATTTATAGGTTGGGCACAGAAAGAAAATAACAACAGTAATAAAATGGAATAATTATAATAATAGATTGTAATAAAAGTTATGTGAATGTGCTTCCTCTTTCTCTCTCTCAAAATTTCTTATTGTGCTCACCCTTCTTCTTGTTATCTACCAGTTTGATAACTGAGGGCTACTAATTGACAGACGGCACACACAGTGTGGATCCATTGGATAAAGGGCTGATGCACCTCTCAGGAGGGACAGAAAAGGACAGCGTGAGGTTTCATCACACTACTCAGAATGGCATGCAATTTAACACGTGTGAATTGTTTATTTCTGTAAAATTTTATTAATATTTTCCACAGTAGAGCATGGGAAACTGAAACTATAAGAAAGTAAAATGGGGAGTAAGGGGAAATTACTATATTTTTCACACCTAATTTTGAACTCAGAAAGCCAAACCCCATGGAATTGAAAGGATGTAAACATCTCATGCCCATTGATATCCGCTGGCTTTCAGAACTCAGTTTGAACAACAAGGATTATGAATGACTACTTAAAATATCAGTACTTTATTTATTCCTTGAAACATGCCACAGAGGTAGCTTAGGGATCTCCACCAGAATATAAAAGAAAATTACTAGAAAATCCTGCCACACCTGCTTTTACCAAAATACTTATTTTATATTTGCTTTCCATGTTGAAATAAATTTTATTTTACAAATGTATTATCAACAAAAATGAAAAATTTCAAAAGCACATTTTTTAATTTTCTCTCTTAATAAAATTAAAGACACAAAAGCATTGAAAGAATGCCCTAAAACAGATGTTTCATTTTATTAAATATTGTCTAATTTATGAGGGTCCTTAGAAATGATATTTTGTCTTACATGGGGAAGATATTAAAGCCTATGTTGAAGAATGCTGTAAAACCAGACATTTCCAAATCAGGAATAACTATGGATCTTCTGAGTTATGGACATGGGGACTATGTAATGGGCACCATTTCCTTCTCCATATTGGCTTCCAGATAGGTGAAAGCCAACTTTGTGGCCCACAGCCCACTCAGAGCAAATGTGAAAGGTTCTTAAGAATTGATTTTTGTATTAGTCTCATTTTGGGATCCATTTTATGAGTCCCTAAGTTTATATTCCTTTTTCTTTTCCAACTACTTCTATTCTAGGACATCTTAATGCATTTTATGTATCTATTCTTTTAAGAAATATGTATTGATCTTCCACTAATGGGCTAAGACCTGGGATGGATGCTTCACTCTGAGTAGAATGGATTACAAAGTACATGACCTTGCCAATAGGAAATTTATATTCAATGCACACTCTCTTGTAAAAAGCAATCTACTAATTAATTACCTAATAAAAATTTATCATGTTAGGCAAGGAGGGTAAATCCGCATCCAGCATAAGTGTCCATTCCACAGTCACCCTCAAGATGGAAACAGTCTAACATAACGTGAAAACTATAAGGGAAAGAGGGCATATCAGACTCTCAGAGAATGGTCCCTTCCACTGGCAGACTGACACTGAGCACTGGCAGTAGTCAGATCAGCTTTGGAGATGAAAAGTCCATGTGATGACATGAATGCTTAACATTCATGTCAAGTACCCTGTTAACTTTGTTTGTAAGCCAACTAGGAAAGCTGGAATGAAGGTGGATGCTAACTCTTGGCCATAGACAGAACTTGTCCACTTGATAATTATAAGCCTCATCTACCATAGCTGCTTTCTGTTGAGCTTTCATATGGAACACAAATATTTTCATACTCCTGGGACTCTTTAGTCCCAGTCTTAAAATCAGGGTCATTTCAAGTCCATCTCCAACCACGGAAGTTATTAACCGCTACTTATGAGCCATGCCTCATGCCAGGGAAAGTAGACATTCAGATGTGCTGCTTGAAGCTTTGCCCATTGGAATGACAGTGTCCTGAGGTGGTACACCCTAAGGTTACCCCCATGAGTCATGCCCTTGTTTAAGCCCATCTGCTTGAGTGTGAGTAAAACCTGTGATTTTCTCTTAGCCCATATAATATGGTAAAAGTGGTAAGATGCCACTAACATGATACATTATGTTGTATGAGACTGTGCCTTAGCAGACTGTAGTCTCTCCTGGACTTGAAGGAGTAAGATGATGTGATGCGACCTTTGTATGGTCAGAGACTGTGGATTGTCTCTAGTTGCTGAGGCTCTCAGTCCTAGAATTATAAGGAATTGAATTCTGGCAACAACTTGAAGAGCTTGGAATCAGGTTCTTCCCCATTCAAGCTCTTAGACGAGAATGCAAGTTTACCAACACCTTGATGGCAGCTGATCTGGTTTGGCTGTCACAACTCACCATTTCTTCAGAACTTGCCAAGCTACTTCACATATATTTCACTTCAATTTGGAGGAAATTCACATAAATATGCCCAATTTTGTGGCTTAGCAGGTTAGGTCGAACCGATTTCATAGTAGTCAGCACAGTTTGCTGGGTTGCTTGGTGTCCCTGGCTCAGCCACTTAGCTTCTACTGACGTGCATCAGTGAACTGTGACCTGTGTATTGCCTGGGATTCTCCCATCAGGGCTGACCTCACATACCACAGATGTTTCTGATTGGCCACAGACACTTCGTTACCTCTGGATGTGTTTGACCACAGGACCAAGTAGCAGAGCTTCCTGCATTGTAACATGCTAGAGAGTATCATAAGAGTATTAATCTATAATCAACCTTTTTCTCCAAAACTTTTGAATCCAATCATACAGACACTGAATGCGGCATGGCTTCTTTCAAGGTATTTTCTATATAAGTTTTGAATTCAAATTGCTAACTCTTGATCACTGTACATGTCATTGTCTTCTTCCAATCTGTCTACAACACACCAGGCTTTCTTACAGACCTTAACTTAATATGAATTGGTTTGTGAATAAATAACAGAAACCCTGAACTACCCAAGCTATGGTAAATAGATTATGTTCTAGCCAATGATATCCATTGAATTGTTTAAATGTAACCAATATTTTGACATAAAAGCAACCAGTAACTATCCCTCACAAACTGCAAATGCATATGTGCATTTTCCCTACTCCACCACTCCCCAGTATAATTGACATAACAAAAGGGATAGTGTGAAGATAAATATACAATTGAACTAAAAACAATGAAAGTATTAGAAAGAGAAAATAAAATTGATTTTAATCATGAGAAATTGATGGGAAAACAGAACAAGAAACGACTATGCCCAAAACACAAAGGAACACTGATAAAACACTATAGTTTTCTTTAGAAATTACAAAAAAAAAAAAAAGTCAGTAAATTAGTGAGGCAGTTATTCAGGTAATTAATGAAGAGTCAAATTCAGAAGAGATGGACTAGTCATATCTTATTCTTCTTAATTGTATGTCAAGAATATGAGACTTGTATTAGCAAATTCTCTCACTATGATAAATTCCAAAAGTAGCAATCTGAAGAAAAGGAATGGACTATAATGAGATTACACGTTAGTGGGTGCAGCGCACCAGCATGGCACATGTATACATATGTAACTAACCTGCACAATGTGGACATGTACCCTAAAACTTAAAGTATAATAAAAAAAAAAAATTTAAAAAAAAATAAAAATAAAAAATAAAAAAAAAAATAAATAAAATAGAGATTATAGAATTGAGTTCACATTCAATATCAATGCCTCCAGTATGAGACTAATAAAGGAAAATACAATTCTTTCAAGGAGAGAAATACTACAAATTTATCACAGTTCATCAGAATCTTCCATATTTGATAGTTCATAGGGAGTATCTTCCAAAAGTATTACCTTCCTACTCCACTTTTCCTTTTAAAATATATAATTGGGAAAAGTTAATTATATTTGCAAAATGGGACATAAATGATATAACTCTTGACAATATAAAAATACTATTACCTCCTGACCTCGTGATCCGCCTGCCTTGGCCTCCCAAAGTGCTAGGATAACAGGCGTGAGCCACCGTGCCCCGCCTTCAGCTTGTTCTTGTTGCCACCACCTTACATTTATCCTCCTTTTCCAACTGCTTGTGGACTTTGGACTTTGAGCTCCAGCGTTATATTAAAGACAACAGCCTGACTGAGACCACTCAACCAGCATTCACAATGGTGTATAGGAAAATCTCCATGCAAAGCAAACAAACAAACATACAAAAGTCCATCCATATATATATATATATATATATATATATAACACACACACACACACACACACACACATATACATGTATACATACATACACACACTGTGTGTGTGTGTGTGTGTGTGTGTGTGCATGTAGAGAGAGACAGAGAGAGAGAATCCTGGATGATAAAGAATTTGGTAGGAAGAGTATTTCCAGAGACATAGAAACTTACAGAGGAGTACTCTGAACTGGTTCTGTGTATTCTGGAAATGTCTCTCTAGATTTAAAGGCACAAGTGACCCTGCTCCCAGGGGCAAATTGGCAAGGTAGGTACTAATGGCTTGCAGTAACGAGACTGTCACTCAATTTATGACCTTTAGGTCTCTGTTATCCAGTGACTATAGAAGGCATGGTTCTGAGTGATAACGTATTTGTTGCCTTAGGATAGTTTAGTAAAATTAAGGAGTATAGTAGGGTTGGCTGATTGCTTCTAAATGAACTAAAACTTGGAAAAGAAAATAATGAGTTCAAGACTTTAAATTTGTAATTCAAAGACTGCATAAGGAAACTGAAGGCTTCAATGACTACCCTGAAAGAAAGCCATCTCTCCTGTAAGCTCTGGGCTGTTCTTAAAAACACAAAGTCTGATCCTGCAGGTGGCTTAAATATAATATGAATTGAATTCCCAACTTAACAGTCTCTTTTTTTAAAGAGAGAACATTAACTGGAAGTAAAAATGATCATGAAACTTGGGATATGGATGTACGGGCAGAATTAAATGAAACTAGGGACCATGGACCCCTATATCCTGCTGATCCTTCTTTGCCCCTGAAGAAGTCCTTCTACTCTTGCTGAGGAGGTTATTCTCTTCCTGTCTAAAGAATCTATACAAATCTCTCCTGTACTGGCCTTGCAAGGCACTGTTGATCCTCCCCAGGACCTATACTCATCACCTCCCCTTGCTTCTAGACATATAAGTTGACTCAAGTCCCAACAGGTCTGAAAGTATGTGGGACAAAACTTGACCACTTACTAGGTTTAATACCCTCTAAAAGGATTGCACCATTTTGCCAATGTATACAGAAATCTAAGAATCATACATGAGCATAGAACTGAAAGGTATGATGTCCAGGTAGGAGAAATATAAGTCTGATCAGGGCAAATTTGTTTTATATGAGTATACTAAGGGAAGATACTAGGCTCATGTTTCAGCCCAATGGACAAGAACATAAACCCAAAGATGGCTTACACTAAATATGACTGAAATGACAGAACTTCCTGGGTATACTCTGGAGAAAGTTACCCGAAGACTACAGATATCAGCGTAATAATGTAGATTAATTACCTACCTGCTTAACCATCTAGAAGGGTGCAGTGGATATAGCGCCCATCACAGCTGGGAGAAAGACTTTTTTTTTGAGATGGAGTTTCACTCTGTCACCCAGGCTGGAGTGCAGTGGTATGATCTCAGTTAACGGCAACCTCAGCCTCCTGGGTTCAAGTGATTCTCCTGTCTCAGCCTCCAGAGTAGCTGGGACTACAGGCATGCAGCACCATGCCCAGCTAATTTTTGTATTTTTAGTAGAAATGAGGTTTCACCATGTTGACCAGGCTGGTCTCAAACTCCTGACCTCAAGTGATCCGCCCACCTTGGCCTCCCAAATTGGTGAGATTACAGGCATGAGCCACTGTGCCCAGCCAAGAAAGATATTTTTTTGGAGATCCCTACCTTCTTTGAAGTTCTGTGGTTGAACCTCTGTATAGATCAGAAATCACAGTGAAACTAATACCATTTAACTGAGATCTTTCAATACAACAGGGATAATGGGGCACCAGGATGGCAGGGGCCAAGTTGAGGCCCAGTAACTAAAGACAACATAGGCAATATGGCAGCATGGACAGAAGAATCAGAGAATTAATCAGAAGTGTGTGACATGCAGAAATCTTTGGCATTAGTTACTTGATCATCGTTTCCTGGGAAATGAAATTGATGGGCATACTACTGATTTCTTAATCGATAGGAATAAACAAAAAAAGATCTAGGTGGAGTGAACAGATATCTAACCTGAATCATGAAGACACAGACTCACTGCTCCTCAGTCAATTCCCAGACTTGAGCCAGCTTCACCATCCACAGCCATGTGAATGAAGATAAGGCCAGAATCTCCACATTGGCTTCATGACTTATGTATTGAGGGACATTATGGTAGAAAACATATGCCGGGCGCAGTGGCTCACGCCTGTAATCCTAGCACTTTGGGAGGCGAGGCAGGTGGATCATGAGGCCAGGAGATCGAGACAATCCTGGTCAACATGATGAAACCCCATCCCTACTAAAAATACTAAAATTAGCTGGGTGTGGTGGCACGCACCTGTAGTCCCAGCTACTTGGGAGGCTGAGGCAGGAGAATCACTTGAACCCAGGAGGCAGAAGTTGCAATGAGCCGAGATCGCACCACTGCACTCCAGCCTGGTGACAGAGCGAGACTCCGTCTCAAAAAAAAAAAAAAAAAAAAAAAAAGAACACACACACACACAAAAGAAAACATAATTAAAAGACACTAAAACTGTATCTAACCACAAAAACAAAAGCAATGCCACATTCCTGAAAGGACTGAGGAAATTAATGTCACTAGAATGGATTTGAAAGTTACAGGGGAGGTGTTTCCCAATATGACCTTGTTCATCTCACCTATTTGGCCTTTGCAGGCACAGATGCTTCTTGGAGAATGACAGTAGACAATCATAAACTTATTCAGGTGGTGACTGCAATTTCAACTACTGTATTTGATGCCATTTTCTTGCTTGAGGAGATCAACACATCACTGGAAGTTAGTATGCAGCTACTGATGTAGTGAATGCTTTTTTCTCCATATTTGTTGATAAAGCAAATCAGAAGCAGTTTGCATTCAAATGGCAATTCCAGCAATAAATCTTCCTTGTGCTACCCTGGGAATATAGCAACTCTCTAGCCCTGAGATATAAGCTACTCTCTGAGCATTTGGTCATTTTCCTGCTTAGCAGGACATCACACTGGTCCATTACCTTGATGACACTATGCTAATCGGATTTGATGAACAGGAAATAAAAACTACTATATACCGATTAGAAATTGCATGTCGGAGATACGAAACATAATTCACAACAACTCAGGGGCCTGGAATTTCAATGACACTTCTGAAGTTCAGTGATTTTGAGCATGTTAAGATATCCCTTCAAGGGCGAAGGACAAGTTATTGACTCTAGACTGTTCTACAACTAAGACAGACACAATATGGAAGGGGACTCTTGCAATTTTTTGAGGCACCATATAACTCATGGAGGGGGTTAGTCTAATCATATGACTCAACAATTGCTACACTTTAGAAAGGCTTGGAACAAGAGAAGGCTCTGCAACAGATCCAGGCTGCCTTGCAAGATGCTCTTCCCTTGGATTACATTATCTGGCAGATTCAGTGGTGCTTAAAATGTCCTTGGTAGACAGGAATGCAGTTTGCAGCCTTTTGTAGTCCTCTGTAGATGAATCACAGTGCAGACACTTAGGATCACAGAGCAAAGCCACTGTGTTATTGATGGATTATATTATCCTTTTAGGAAACACGTTTTGAACTTGCTACTGGCCCTTAATAGAAGCTGTCACACCAAGTTACCATGTGACATGAGCCATTTATCATCAACTATGTTTTATCTGATCCACCAAGCCATTAAATATTGGACATGTAGAGCAGCACTCCATCATCAAATACAACCAGGAAAAATCAGATCCTGAAGACACAAGTAGATTTCATGCAGAAATATCCCAGATGTCCGTGAGCTTATTCCTGCTAAATCATATTCTATCTATGGCCTCATATTGTCTCTTTGTGATAGGATAACCAAGAAGGAAAAAACACAAAAGCTTGGGCTTGATTTATAGGTGATTCTGGATGATATGCAAGTACCATGTAAAAGTGCCCCCATGCAGAGATGGCCTTAAGTACAGTAGTGCAGGAAAGTCCTGCTGGTGGACAAAACTATGAGCACTGCACCATTCTCCTTACATAGAAAGAGAAATGGCCAGAAGTAAAGGTCACTATTAATTAGTGGCCCCTGGCTAACGGTTTGGTTAGATGGATGAGGGACTTGGAGACTTAAACATTGAATTTAAAAATGGGTGAAAATCCACAATGAGATACCACTATACACCTATTACTTAGGTACAATTTTTTAAAATCAACAGTATCAATTGTTGGCGAGGGTGTATATCAACAGAATCTCTAATTCATTGTGAATTTCTAATTCGATGCAAAGTGGCACAGCCACTCTAGAAGTGTTAGAATTTTTGACAAATCTAAAGACAATCCTTTCATACAATCTAGGTAATGTGCTATTACATATTCACCTGGCTAATATGAAAACTTATATTCACATAAAAAATGCTTAGAAATGTTTATAGCAGCTTTATTCATAATTGCCAAAACTTAGGAACAACCAAGATGTCCTTCATTAGGTGAACGGACCAGCAAACTGTGGTTCATCTATACAAAACAAAATGAAAACAAAATTTCAGCAATAAAAAGGAATGATACTTCACACCATGCAAAAACATAGATTATCTTACAGGTGTATTACTAAGTGAAAGGGGCCAGTCTGTAAAGTCTACCTTCCGATGAGTGCAGTATTGAAAGTGAGGAAAAGTACAGGTTTATGGTGAAGAGATCTGATCAAGACTGCCTCTGGCAGGTGACCAAGGTTAACATCAACAGGGATAAGTCATGGTGACAGTATGTACCCTTGATATGATGTGATGATAATGGGACTTTACCTTTGTAAAAGCCTCCTCAAAAGCCTAATCATTAAAAAATATAAGACAAAACCCACGTGAGTAATACCATATAAAATACCTGAGTGGTATTCTATAAACTTCTTTAAAACTATCAAAGTCATCAAAAACAAGGAATGTCTGAAGAACTGTTGCACTCAAGATCAAGTTAAAAATCAAGTTTTTAACATTAGGTTAAAAACTAAGGAAATCTGCATGATGTCTGGACTTTGGTTAATAATAATGTATCAATATTGGTTCAATAATTTTAACAAATATTTCATAGTAATATAAGGTATTAAAAGTAAGTAAAGCTGGAACTTTCTTTATGAAGGGCAGATATGATATAAATTCTCATATGTCTTATGGTATGAGGACTCTATCTTCTTTGCAACTCTATTGTAAATATAAAACTACTGTAAAATAACAAGTCTATTTTTAAAAAATTAATGGCAAGGATATTTGGAGAAGATATATGTGAGTAGACCTCTCCTGGTGAGCAAAAAGTGTGAAGGCATCTGTGTCCCATGTGACTGCTCACCAGAGTGGCCTCATCAGAGGAGAATTTTAATAATCAGGCAGATGGGTTGACCTGTTCTGTGGATATCAGTTAGCCTCTTTGCCCAGGATCACTTATCGTCATCAATGGGCTCCTGAATCAAGTGGTCATGGTGGCAGAGATGAAAGCTATGCATGGTCTCAGCAACAGGGACTTATACTCTTCATGGCTGATCTGGATAAGTCATGGCAAAGTGTCAAATCTCCCAATAGCAGAAGCAACACTGAATCCTTGCTTTGACATCATTCTCCAGAAGGATCAGACAGCTTCCTGGTGGCACGTTAGTTACTCTTGGTGGTTTCAACCTGGAAGAGGCAATACACTCTTCTTAGTGGAATAGAGGCTTACCCTACATATGAAGTCACTGTTCCTACATAGAATGCAATGCTTTTAGGCTGTGCTGCATGAGAGTCTTTGTGTTAAAGAAAGGAATGCGGTCTTCAAAGGGCATGACAATAATTTCACTGAACTAATAGTTGAGGCTGCTTCCTAGATGCTTTGGGGTCTTCAGGCTGTTGCATCAACAAGCAAAAAGGAGTTGAGTGTAATGGCTGTGGTTATTGATTCTGAATATGAAAGAGAAAGTTGATAATTACTACACAATGAAGTAGGTAGGACTATGTTTGGTATACTGGAGAGCATGAAGAGTACTTTATAGTACTAAAATTTTCTGTAATTAAAGTCAATGGAAAACTATAACAACTAAATTCAAAAGAGTCTGCTAGGGCAGGTGCAGGGGCTCACGCCTGTAATCCCAGCACTTTGGGAGACTGAGGCGGGCAGATCACCTGAGGTCGTGAGTTCGAAACTAGCCTGACCAACATGGAGAAACCCCGTCTCTACTGAAAATACAAAATTAGCAGGGCATGTTGGTTCATGCCTGTAATCCCAGCTACTCGGGAGGCTATGGCAGGGGAATCACTTGAACCCGCGAGGCAGAGGTTGCAGTGAGCTGAGATCAGGCCATTGCACTCCAGCCTGGGCAACAAGAGTGAGACTCCGTCAAAAAAAAAAAAAAAAAAAAAGACTGCTGATAGCCTCAGCAATGAAGGTTTGTGTCACCCCACCAGGGAGGGAACCATGACCAGCTGAAGTGCTTGCTGAGGGCAAAGGAAATATGGGATGCGTAGTTAGAAATTCCAGCTTTGGATACCACTTGCAGAGAGAAAGACTGCAATTGTTGCAAGTATGTCTTTCTTATGTTAACAAGAATATGTTTTTACATTAACCAATTTTTGTTTCTTCCCCTTTATCACTTCCTCATCATCTAACACGTGTTAACAATAATTGATTTAAATGTCAGTATTTGAGTTACAGGAAATCAATGGAGGAGCATGAAAAGGCCAGAAGAAAAATGAACATCCCCAAAGACAAAAAAGAAAAAAGAAAAACCCACTTTGTATCCTTTCATATGAAGGGTTAGAGTTTCTTCCATTGTGTCTGGGTTTCCTTGCATTGTGTCCAATGGAAATGTGACATTGTTATTGTCTTCATTTAGGGATCAAGTTTGGTTTAAAAAGATGCGACGAGTAACAATTTGACAAAGGGTGGACTGCAGTCATTTTGTAATATGTCATCGTGGTAAAGAGGCCAACTAAATATTTTTGTTTCCTTTCCTCTGTGTTTCTGGTTAGTGTAGCCCACAAGAGAGATTCATACTCTAGATTGGAAAGCAGAAGTGAAGCAGCCCCCTTTTTTAGTTCACATTTACTGTCAATGACCCCAACTCACCTCGCTGGCATGAGACAGCATCTGAGCCTGCCCCAGCTTCTCCAGGACTCTCCTTCAGCGTCTCTGACTCCTGGGTCAGGTGCATGCGTTGAGCTCTGAGAAAAGGGGCCTTGTTTCCGCAGGACAATTATTCCACCATGGTCAGAGGCAGCAAGGACTGACATGGATTTCAGTTTGCCACTGTGGACTCTAGATCATGACTTTGGGTTACAAATAATTCTTGTTCTCTGCCAGTTTACCCGTTTTCTGCCGCCTGCTGTCACCTCTTTGCACTTCCAGCTCCAGCATAAGACCTGAACACCACAGCCTTAGAGAGACCGCTTCACCATCTTCCAAAAGTGAAAAGGGTCAAATCCCTGGAACAAATCCTTGTGTGGTTTTGTGGTTTGCTTCTCTGATTGAACCTGGCCCAATATAAAATATTCACATCATTGCATTAAGACGTTTACTGTGATAATCTTTATAAAGACTAATTTCTAAGGGTCAAAGCTCTATGTTCATTTCAGAAATTTCGGGGTCACTCTTCAGCTATGACCCTTGTAGTTAGGCCATATACTGAAAATCAAGTTGATATGTTCTGTATTGATCTAGTAAGCCAACAGTTCTTTTCTTTTTGGCATTTATAATTACTGAAAACAAATACAATTTAATTCCTTACATTAATAGTGTTTAACATTATATAATTCATTTAATATTTATTGATTAAAGTTCATGTTTTCAACAATAGCAATTATATTAACTGCTAGATAACAAATCTATGAATATTATTTCTATATTTTTAAATTATTTCTAATTGTACATCTATATTTTCTAATAAACTTAAAAATATCTTTTAAAAATCATATAATCATTGTATAATTTTAATAATCACCTTTATGATTTGGTCCTCACTCATTGTATCCTTACACTGATTGTGGACATCCATTAAAAACAACATCTTAAAATATAATTTCATTTTATGTAATCTTGAAAAAGCAGCTTCAAAATTTCATGTGCATTTCAGGCAAAAATAAGTAAGCCCTGCCCTATTTTACTTTTTTTTAATGTACCATAAAGCTTTCCACATGTGCTACATATTTTGGTAATAAATTAAACACAAAATCATCTACCAATGTTTTTGGTATCAAGTAATTCTCATTACAGGTTATATTGGCCTTAGATTCTAAACCACAGTCCACAACGGAAAGATTATAAAGGGGCTCAAAAAATGTACCACAGAATGTGTGAAAGATATAAAAGGGCTTTGCTTTTCTCCCCTGAAATATATACACTTGTACTTTTGTCAGCCTATGTTTTAGCATGCTTGCTATTTTTTTCAAACAATGATTACTATAAAATTGAATATTAGTAACTCACTCAATACATGTCATCAACTCTTGAGAAAATTCCATGTAATTCTTGTTCATTCTTTCTGCAGCCTAATTTTAAACATTTTTGTACCTGAATATAGTAGGACAGTTTTTGTGAAAATAATATACTCTATTTAACATTCTCACAACTTGTAATTTAAAGAACCTCATTTTCATACAAGCCAATGCAAGAAGATTGCTCAAAAAGATACTCAACATGGATTTAAAAAAAAAAAAAACTTAAAAATGGCCAGTGTTCCACCAAAAACCCCAAATAAATCTATCCTGAAACAGGACACTTTTGGAAAAAAATTCTTCATGTCAATTTTAATGCCACAAAGTAATGATAACCACCAAGATGGGGAGTGGTCACTCCAATCAATACTTCCTAATGGAAACAGAATAATACAATTAGAACATTTCAAATGGAAAATATACAAAAACAATACTACTTTCAATAACACATTTAAAGCATGCTTGTTACAAAAATATTTTCAAAACCATTAATTTTTAATTCACTAGAGAACAATAGGTATTGAGGAACATTTTTGTAAACAAATAAAAATTAATATTAAAATTCAAGAGAGTGTGCCAAGAAAGGCTGGTGGAAATACAATTTGTACCATTCAGAATTAAACATGGTATTAGTTGGGCACTAGGGAAATTACTTTGCCCCAATATTTTGTTTGGGGAATTGGCATTTCTAAGATCAAGGACAGATCTCCCCGTGAAACCTAAAGTGCTGTGTCACAGACCGAAGAGACTTTCTTTTTTATATACAGGATTGTAACCCAATTTCTCCAATTTGCCAATACTTTTGAACTGAATGCAACCCAATAACCTATAGCATTTTTCTATTATAGATAGTGCTTATTAGAGCTTCAGTAAACTTCAAGAGCTGTGACACTTGTCTATTTATTTCACGGATGTACTTTAGTCTCTTTTTGTAAACTGTCCTGGCTGAAAGTAGGTGCTCAATGAATATATGCTTAATTAATAAACTGGACACAGATCATTGTAATTATAAAGTAATTAATAATATTTCTGAGAGATTTGGGTAGGGAAAATGTTGAAATTACCCAGGAGATTCCTACTCCTTGGCATACAGAGCTATAAAATCCCATCCCCTAGAGTGTGGGTAGGGCCTGTGGATATTACACAACACTCACCACCGTGGAAATGTCACATTACACAAGACTGCATCTTAGCAGACACAGCAGAGGGGTTCTGATGGCCTTGATGAAGTCAGCTGCCCTGTTGTGAGGGGACTGCATGGTGAGGACCTGAATCCAGCCTCTAGTTGCTGAGAGTGGTCACCAGTGGAGAGCCGCAAGGAAACAAGGACCTCAGCCATGTAATCAGGAGGATGAATTATTTCAACCACCTAAGGAAGCTTGGGAACAGATCTTTCTCTAGTCTGGCTTCCAGATGAAGACACAGTTGGCCAGCACTTGATTTAAGCCTCAGAAGACCCAGACTTACAGAAATTATGAGATAACAAATTTGTGTTGCTTTAAGCCAATAAATTTGTTACATGTCAATAGAAAACAAGAACAGGGTCAATGTATTTTCTTATACTAGGAAGATTGAATTCCTTCTTCCTATTGCCATAGTATAGTTAATATCCTAGGAAATGATGGTTTCCAGCTTCATCCATGTCCCTACAAAAGACATGAACTCATCTTTTTTATGGCTGCATAGTATTCCATGGTGTATATGTGCCACATTTTCTTAATCCAGTCTATCACTGATGGACATTTGGGTTGGTTCCAAGTCTTTGCTATTGTGAATAGTGCTGCAATAAACATACGTGTACATGTGTCTTTATAGCAGCATGATTTATAATCCTTTGGGTCCATACCCAGAACCATCATTCTGAGCAAACTATCGCAAGGACAGAAAACCAAACACTGCATGTTCTCACTCATAGGTGGGAATTGAACAATAAGAACACTTGGACACAGGATGGGGAACATCACACGCCAGGGCCTGTTGTGGGATAGGGGTAGGGGGGAGGGATAGCATTAGGAGATATGCCTAATGTAAATGATGAGTTAATGGGTGCAGCACACCAACATGGCACATGTATACGTATGTAACAAACCTGCACATTGTGCACATGTACCCTAGAACTTAAAGGATAATAAAGAAAAATCCTAGGAAAGTGGATCTGAATCAATACATTGACCAGAAAATAAATGAGCTGTGGTCACAGGAACATGTGGTTAGAACACACACAGCAGGAAGTGTTAAACAAGAGGATGCAAATGTCAGGAGCACAGACAGAGTATGAGTGCAGAATATGACCCTGGAAACCATTGTGGACAACCTTCTGATTTCACAGCTACAGGAGGGAGTATTTCACTCTGCACCATTAGCTGTACCAGCCAGGGCAATGCATTGACCCCAAGCAATGCAATGGTATCCAAATGTCATTCCAGTCTCAGCATGGGTTCTGCTTTGACTGACTGTAAAGAGGTAAAGAGAAATTACGATCTTACTATCTTTGTTGTTTACTCTCATACCTTCAAGTTACAATAATGAAATAATGAAATTGAATAATGAAAACAAAATAATAAGAACAAGATCTTTACACTATTAACCAAAGGGTCTCTGTATTTCCCACAGGTCTTAATTCCATGCAGAAATGCTACTAAATCTGCCATTTAGTATCAAATGATATCTTTGGTATAAATTAGTGAATGTGAGATACACACATTAAAGGTATAATAAAAGTAATATTTTTTATCCTCTGCTAGTTCAATCTAAGAATTTTCTTTGCTTTCTTGATTATATTGGGATTAAGCTTCAAGTAGCTTCTTAAAAACATCATGGATGAAATTAATGCAGATTTATTAGAAATAAATCTCATTTTCTATCAATCCCAATAGGCCAGATCTAATTGGAAATTTCCTATTCATTTCAAAGAGAAATATCAATTATGATCATTTATATGTGGCTTTAAATAAGACGTGCACATTATCATTATGAGTCTGAAATCAAAAGCATAAGATCTAAAATCCTGTTGGCATAGGGTTTTGAATATTGAAACATATGAAAGCATGACGAACATTTTTAATTTGATATCCTAAAACAGGAAATCAAGTCAAACTGTATTCAATTAAAAGTAGTCATTTAATTTTTTATGGTGGAGAAAATAATCACCAAAATATTTTTGCCAAGCTAGCATCTTGCCTTAATTACTGACATAGACACCAATTGTATGTGTTACCAATACGAGGACATTTGAATGGTTGAAGTCCTGATATGCTTTTAGAAAAAAAAATATATATGTCTCTCAAATAAAATCTCACAACTTCATAATATTTGTGTGTCCTTGGGGAAAGAAAAGTTCTAGACAGAACTAATAAAAGTACTGAAAATAGATCAAACTATCTAAAGGACAAAAATCAGAGAGAATCAGCAAAATATTTTTGCTGGGTGAGCTCAAAATAATGTATAGTTCTCGACAACATTGACAAAGCCATTACATAAAAAAATAGAGAAATTTAAAGGGGGAAAACATCTACTAAATGCATTTATTAGAAAGTAGGAATGGGAATTCCATACATTTAATGAATATATCAACATTATTATTTAATTCTGTTTATTTCATTTAGCTTTCCTAACCAATGACATGCCATCATTTACCAAAATAACAATTCTAATAAATGTATTTTCACACGCATAGTTCAATGGGAGAAAATCAACTGCAAAAGGAAACCATGATACTTGTATTCAAAGACTTAATTTATATTTAAAACTGAGGTTAAGAATCACGTATTTTTCAGCTATGATGAAAGACAATAAAGGAAAGGAAATTATGCACATTAGGAAGGCCTAAGGTATGAAAACATAATAAAAAATTTATTATAATTCTTAGGATTCATTCTCAACCTAAACAAAGGCAAAGGGAAGACAGCATGCTGGCCTGCCTGCTTGGCAGCAGTTTTTCTCAGAAGGTCCTTGCTGCTTGGTGCTTCCTAGGAGTGTTCATAGATCTACCAAAGTGAAACTACATATTCAGAGAGACGTACAACTCATAAGGGGCTGAAATTGACCTTCGGTCCAGTCTAATCTAGAATTTCAGCATTCATGCCCCCCATGGTCATTATCATTAAGGGCCTGAGTCCCAAGCTTTGCAGTTGCAGCTGTACATGTGACAGAAACATGGTTTATTAGTTTCCTAGGGCTTCTAGGAAACATACAGCTATAAACTGAGCAGCTTAAAACAACAGAACTTTATTATCTCACAGCTCTGAAGACCAGAAGACTGAAATCAAGGTGACAGCAGAATTGGCTCCTTCTGGAAGCTTTGAGGGAGAATCTGTTCCATGCCTCTCTCCTCGCTTCTGGTGGTTTGCTGGCAACCCTTGGCTTTCTTTGGTTTGTAGATGGATCCCTCCAATCTCTGCTCTGTCACTACATGAGGGTCTATTCTCTGCGTGTCTTCACATTGTCTTTTTATAAAAACAACAGTTATTGAATATAGAACCTACCTAATCCAGTATGACCTCATCTTAACTTGATAACTATATCTGCAAAGATTCTATTTTCAAATGAGGTCACATCCTGGAATTCCAGGTGGACATATATTGGCGGTGGACACTAGCCAACCCAGCAGAGATTCAACCCAGGAGAGCGTGTTCTCTGGACCTGTAACGTTCACATCTAATCTATGTTAAAAGTACCTTCATCCCATCCCCAAAACCTCTGTAACAGTTAATCCATTCTTGCATTAATTCTAAATCAAAATTATCATCTAAATATTATCAACTCAAACGGTTCCAAACCTAATAATCTAAATCAGGTGCAAGAGAGACTGGGATTGTGATTTGTCCTAAGGAAATATCATTCTCTATGAAAGTGGGAAACTAGAAAACAGGATACATCCATCCAGACCACAATTATGGGACAAGCATAGTTAGACATTCCCATTGCAAAAGAGAGAAAATGATACGAATGAAGGCATCACTCATTCAAAGCAAGATTGAAACCCAGTCAGGCAATTTTCATCAGATTTCAAGACCTAAAAATAATTATCAGGCTTGCTCTTCTCTCTGGGCCCACGGATGTTCCAACTTCTGGACACTTCAGTGTTCCATCAGCCCCTGCTTCTGGACCCAGTGAGGTCCTGTCAGCCCCTGAGCTGTCCTCAGCTGAAATGGCTCCCCTCTTAATTCCTCAGCAGTGACCACACACTTCAACCCTTTGGGGAGCCCATTTCCTTCCTTTCATTCTTTTTTCCCCTCCAATCTAAGCTTGGGGTGGTTTTGCTGATGTAACGTTTTCAAAGTCTTATTGGTCTTCCATGGATGTCAAGGGGATCTATGACTTTATACAAGATGGATCTCCATGGATCCTTCCTGAATAACTCCCTCTCTTTCTCAGTTTCTGCTGAGATGGTGGACTGGATCCGTGATTGCTTTTCCAGCTATACCACTGGTGTTATCCCCACAGCATGTCTTTTCATCTTTTACAATGTGGCTAGGCAGATGATTTTCTAAATCATGATGTTCTGGTTCATTTTGCTTAATAGCTTCATTCTTAATTGCTCTCCTCTCACATTTTACTATAAAAATCAAGGATAAATAAAGCCACACCTTCCACATCTTGCTTAGAAATCTCCTCAGCTAAATATCCAAGCTTACTACTTACAAGTCCAACTTTCTACCCAGCACTGTACGACAATTCAGTCAAGCTCTATGCCACATCATGACAAAAATCACCTTTCATCCAATGTCCAATAACATGCTGCTCTTTTCCTTCTGAGATCTTACTGGAAGCACTTTGTCATGTTTATATTTCTAGAAATATTCTGTTCATGATGACATATGTGTTCTCTACAATGACAAAATGTTGCCAGTGTCCTTTCACTTCCTTCTGAGCTATCTCACAAATTACCTGTAATGTCCCTATTTATACCAACAGTTTTTTAAACTCAGTCTAGGCTTTTTCTATATATACCTTAAAATTCTTTCAGTTTCTATCCATTATGAAATTCCACATCCACTTCTACGTTTGTAGGTGTTTGTTACAACAGTGTCCCACATCCTGTTACTAACATCTGTATATATTTCTCAAGGCTGCTATAATAGATTACCTCAAACTACGTGGCTTAAAACAACAGAATTTATACTCTTGGAGCTCTGGAAACTAGAAGTGCAAAATTAACATCAGCAGAGTTGGTTCCTTCTGGAGAATCTGAGGCTAATCTATCTCATGCTTCTCTCCTACAGAAGCTCTAGCTATGCTATAGAGTGGAATCTGAAGCATAGGGTGCCAACCTGTGGATGGATTTTCTTAAGTATTTAACTGTAGCACGTTTCCATGGGACATTGATTATAAGACACCAATATTCTGGGAATGCAATCTGCTAGAATCACTTTTAGACAAATCAACTCTTTCACTTTCTCCTATAGATGGAGAGTGGCCATTTCTCACTTAGTTATAGTGACTCAAGTTCTAGAATGGTCACTAACATTTTCTCCCCAACTAAAATAAATATATAAATAAGGTGCTACTAAATAAGGGCAAATTAGAAGATTGAAAAAACATTTTCATGGCAAATAGAAGAAAAATACAAAAATGAGAATGAAAGTGCTATAGTTATTAATCATTTCACATGCAACATCTGTGAAGTGTGTGTGTGTGTGCCTATGTGTCTGTGTGTATGTCTGTGTGTGAGTGTGTGTGTGTGTATGTATGTGTGAAGTTAATGAATTTGGCAGTCATTTTTTTATCTAAACAAAGTTGTCTGAAATTAGAATAAGTATTGTCAAGCCAATAATTAGATCAACTCCCAATCATGATGTGATGGGAAGAGAATCACCTGAAGAATAACAAAATTTAATAAGAAAGGGGAAATTCATCTCTTCTGAAGGCCCTGCTTAAAGCATCTCTTTTGCTAATACTTTACAGTGTCATATGTCTAGCATCCTCAGACTAAACATCATAGCATTTTGTGACAAAGCCCATGATTTATAGTTATAAATCAATTACTAATCATTAGTAAATAACCACATAGCATATACAGGTATTTGATGGTGAAGAGAGAACTAGATATACAGCCTGTTCAAATATAATTGGGGATACACAATACTTGTGCATAAAGAAATAAATCGTATATGTTAATTATACATTTTCTATTGATAGAGTTGTCATGAGAAACTAATTTTATTTGTGAGATTTAATTTATTTCCATTGCAAATGTGAGATCATTTTTTATATTTTATAAACCTATGAGAGCTGTTTAGCTAGAGCTGGTTAGCAGGAGCTAAAAAGAAAGGTATTTTATTAAACAAAATCACTTAATTACCTCTCCCCAAACAGGGTCATTATAAGCTAGAAAGACAGCAAACTTAATGAGAAAGAGGGCAAACATGCTTAAACTATGCATTCAGGTCTGTTTGACAGGTAAAGTCATTCGTTTTCATAAAGGCTGAAGATTAAGTAGGAAAAAAGTATAATGGTGGATAATTCTCCAGGTTTTTTAGTAGACTATTAGAAATATAACTTCTTATCAGATATGAAGTATAATTTTATTATTTTATTCAGAATGGCATATTTGGGATTGGCTATATTCTCAGAATATTTGGCAGAGTCACGTACATTTGCATAGGTTAAAATACTTTCTAGGCTGGATGCAGTGGCTCACGCCTGTAGTCCTAGCACTTTGGGAGGCTGAGGCACGTGGATCACCTGAGGTCAGGAGTTCAAGACCAGCCTGGCCAACATGGCGAAACCCCGTCTCTACTAAAAATACAAAATATTAGCCAGACATGAAGGTGTGTGCCTGTAATCCCAGCTACTTGGGAGGCTGAGACAGGAAAATAACTTGAACCCAGGAGGCGAAGGTTGCAGTAAGCCAAGATCACGCCACTCCACTCCAGCCTGGGAGACAGAGAGAGCAAGAATCTGTCTCAAAAAAAAAGAAAATACTTTCTAATAATTATCTCTGAATCACTAATCATATATAACAAATAAAAATATTATTTATAATTTAGTTTAATTTGAATATCAATTATATAGTCATATATATTACATATGCCAGAAAATAAGCTAGTCATCAAGATCCAAAAATATATATAACAAGGTCCTGCATTTAAGAGTTTGCTTTTTTAGGAACAAAGAAGCACTTTCAATATAATGTATGTAATACACAAATCATATAATAGTTATTCATTAAAATATGGAATCTATAAAGTATGATGTAAACATATATGTGATTATTAACAACATGATATCTACTATAATCATTAGTGTTAACTTATTATATTACTGAAAAACATTTTGACATTTTTAAAGACCTCTATAGTTATGATTTACAATTTCACATCTGATGAATGTTTATTGGGTATTCCCAACCAAATTTCAATCTTAGATTGCTAAATATACTAAATAATAAGTTAAAAATGACAGACAAAACTGCTTTCTTAGGAATGTTGAATAATTTTGGAGAAAATTCAGAAAGTGAAAGTAAATATATAAATACATATAGTTATACTTTTCTATATACTATTAGTGAGATTATCATTGTTTAGTTTATTTTAAAACACTTTTATGTAGCATTATTCAACTGGGATTAAAGTTATTCTAGATAATATCCTTAGAAATAGATAAAATAAAGTTGACTCATTTATTGGTTAATTTTCAAATAAGTCAATCCATGTATTTTCATTTTTTTTTTTTTTTTTTTTTTTTTTTTGAGATGGAGTCTCGCTCTGTCGCCCAGGCTGGAGTGCAGTGGCGGGATCTCGGCTCACTGCAAGCTCCGCCTCCCGGGTTCACGCCATTCTCCTACCTCAGCCTCCCAAGTAGCTGGGACTACAGGCGCCCGCCACTACGCCTGGCTAATTTTTTGTATTTTTAGTAGAGACGGGGTTTCACCGTTTTAGCCGGGATGGTCTCGATCTCCTGACCTCGTGATCCGCCTGCCTCGGCCTCCCAAAGTGCTGGGATTACAGGCGTGAGCCACCGCGCCCGGCCCATGTATTTTCATTTTTAAAAAATTATGATTTTGCATCAAAACCTTGCCAATTTGTATTTTACTAATAGGAAAATAATAGATATTTGCCGCATATTCCCTTAAATATGCTATATACTTAGGATTGTATAATGATGACCAAAGTTCAGATATTATGTCTCAATTCGTTTTATCAGACTTAATTTTTAAAGAACTAACACTATCCATGGCTTTAAGTAAATATACACCTACTGATAGAGTTTGGATGTGTGTCTCCACCCGAATCTCATGTTGAAATGTAATCCTCAATGTTGTAGGTAGGGCCTGCCTGAGGTAATTGGATCATGGGGGCAGTTTTCTCAAGAATAGTTTAGTACCATCCACTTGGTACTGTCCTCACCATAGTGAGTGAGTTCTCATAAGATCTGGTTGTTTTAAAAATGTGTGACACCTCCCCCACCTCTCTCACTCCTGCTCTGACCATGTGATGTGCCTTCATCTTCTGCCATGATTGCAAGTTTCATGAGTCTCTCCCAGAACTAAGCAGATGCTAGCACCATGATTCCTGTATAGCCTGCAGAACCAACTAGGCCTTTTGTCTTTTCTTTTCTTTTTTTTTTTTTTTGAGACAGAGTCTCGCTCTGTCAACTAAAGCTGGAGTGCAGTGGCACTATCTCAGCTCAGTGTAGCCTCCACCTCCCAGGTTCAAGCAATTCTTGTGTCTCAGCCTCCCAAGTAGCTGGGATTACAGGTGCATGCCACCAGGCCTGGCTAAATTTTTATTTATTTATTTTTAATAGAGGTAGTTTTTTGCTATTTTGGCCAGGCTGGTCTTGAACTCCTGACCTCAAGTGATCTGCCCACCTTGGGCTCCCAAAGTGCTAGGATTACAGGAATGAGCCACCATGCCTGCCATTCAATTAAACCTCTTTATTTGGTAAGATAACTGGTCTCAGGTATTTCTTTATAGCAACTTGAAAACGGCTTAACACAGAAGATGGGTACCAAAAAGTAGGGCTCTCCTATAAAGACACCTGAAAATGTGGAAATTACCTTGGTACTGGGTAAATGGGCAGACGGTGAAAGAGTTTGGAGGGCTCAGAAGAAAACAGGAAGATGAGGGATAGCCTGAAACTTCTTAGAGACTTGTTAAGTGGTTGTGACCGAAATGCAGATAGAAATATGCACAGTAAAGGCCAGCATGAAGAGGTCTCAGATGAAAATGAAAAACTTATTGTGAACTGGAGCAAAGGTCACATGTGTTATGCTTTAGCAAAAAACTTGACTGCATTGTGTTCATGCCCCAGGAGTCTGTGGAAGTCTAAACTTGAGAGTGATGATCTAGGGCATTTGGCAAAATAAATTTCTAAGCAGCAAAGTGAACAAGAAGTGTGTGAAGAGGCTGTTTCTAATAGCCTATGCTCAGTTGTAAGAGCAAAGAAGTAAGTTGGAACTAAAATTTACAAGAGAAGCAGAGCATAAAAGTTTGAAAAAGTTGCAGCCTAGCCACGTGGCAGAGAAAGACAAAGCTTTTTTGAGAGGAATATGAGTAGGCTCTGGAGCAACCAGTTCTTAGAGATGCTTGCGTAACTAAGAAGAGGCCACATGCTGATAGCCAAGTCAATGGTAAAAGGGACTTGAAGGCATTTCAGAGACCTTCACCACAGCCCTTCCAGTTGGTGGGAAGAATGGTTTCCTGGACCAGAACCAAGGCCTCACTGCCCTGCATAATCCAGGACACTGCTCCCTATATCCTGGCCACTCCAGCTCCAGCTATGGCTCAAAGGAGCTTAGGTACCACTCAAGCCCCTGCTTCAGAGGGCGCAAATGGTAAGCATGGGAGGCTGTCATATGGTATTAAGCCTGTGGGTGTACAGAGTGCAAGAGTTGAGGCTTGGGAGCCTCTGCCCAGATTTCAGAGGATGTATGGAAAAGCCTGGGTGCCAAGGCAGAAGCCTGCTGCAGGGTCAGAGTCCTCACAGAGAACCTCTACAAAAGAAGTACAGAGGAAAAATGTGGGATTGGAGCCCCCATAGAGTTCCTACTGGGTAACTGCCTAGTGGAGCTGTGGGAAGAGGGCCACCATTCTCCAGACGCCAGAATGATAGCTCCACTGACAGCTTGCACCCTGTCCTGGGAAAGCCACAGGTACTCAACACAAGCCCTTGAGAACAACTATGAGGGCTGAACTCTGTTAAAGCACAGGAGCGAAACTTCCCAAGGCCTTCAGGGTCACGCATTCCAGCAGTGTGCCCTGGATGTGGGACACGGAGTCAAAGGAGTTTATTTTGGAGCTTAAGGATGTAATGACTGCCCTGCTGAGTTTCAAACATGTATGGGGCGTGTAGACTCTCTCTTTTGCTCAATTTCTCTCTTTTGGAACAGGAGTATTTACCCAATGCCTGTACTCCCATTGTATCTTAGAAGTAACTAACTTGTTCTTTGTTTTACATGCTCAAATTAGAAGGAATTTGCCTTGTCTCAGGTGAGACACTGGCCTTTTGACTTTTGAATTAATGGTGAAATGAGTTAAGATTTTGGGGGACTGTTGGGAAGGCATGGTTCATATATTGCAGTGTGAGAAGGACATGAAATTTGGGAGGGCCCTGGTGCAAAATTATGTAGTTGAGATTTGTGTCCCTGCCCAAATCTCATGTGGAAATGTAATCCCTAATGCTGGAGGTAGGGCCTGGTGGGAGGTGACTGAATCATGGGGGCAGTTTTCTCATGAATGGTTTAGTACCATCCCCTTGGTGTTGTCCTAATGATAGTTTGTTCTCGTGAGATCTGGTTGTTTAAAAGTGTGTGGCACCTTCCCCATCTCTTTCTTCCTCCCTCTGTGGCACATGACGTGCCAGGTCCCCTTTTGCCTTCTGCCATGATTGTAAGCTTCCTGAGGCCTCCCCAGAAGTCAAGCAGATGGCAGCATCGTGCTTCTGTTCAGCCTCCAGAACCATGAGCCAACTAAACCTCTTTTCTTTATAAATTACCCAGTCTCAGGTATTATTTTTCTAGTAGTGCAAGAATGGTCTAACACACCTGCCCCTACTCCCACCCCCCACACATAAGCATTTTTGTCACTTTGTTATATGTATAAAAAGTAATATGGGCTGGGCATGGTGGCTCACACCTGCAATCTCAGCACATTGGGAGGCTGAGGCAGGTGCATCACTTGAGCTCAGGAGTTCAAGACCAGACTGGCCAACATCTCTATCTTTGGTAGAGATGGCCAAACCTTATCTCTACCAAAAAATACAAACACTATCCAGGCATGATGGTGTGCACCTGAAGTCCCAGTTACTCAGGAAGCAGAGGTGGGAGAATCTTTGAACCCAGGAAGCAGAGGTTGCAGTGAACTGAGATTGTGATTGTGCCACTGCACTCCAGCCTGGGTGACAGAATGAAACTCTGTCTCAAAAAAAAAAAAAAAAAAAAAAAACCAACCAGTAATATAGCCAGACACAGTGGCTCACTCGTATAATCCCAGCACTTTGGGATGCCAAGGCAGGAAGGTCACTTGAACCTAAGACTTTGAGATGAGCCTGGGCAAAATAGAGAGACCTCAGACCTACAAAAAATAAAAGTAAGAAACTAGCTGGGCATGGTGCTGTGGGTCTGGAGTCCCAGCTACTCAGGAAGCTGAGTCTCTAAAAAAAATAAAATAAAAAAAATTAGCTGGTTGTGGTGGCACAAGACTGTGGTCCCAGCTACTAAGAAGGCTGAGGTGGGAAGATCACTTGAGCCTGGGAGGTGGAAGCTACAGTGAGCCATGATCACACCAGTGCATGCCAGCCTGGGTAACAGAGACAGACTCTGTCTCAGAAAGGAAAGAAAAAAAAAAGAACAATGTATCTAAGGAGAAACTAATGGAAAAACCAGGACATGAGTTATTGATATGTGTGTGTGGATGGATGGGTAGAGGCAGATATCTATCTGGTATAAAAATACACACTAGATTTCTCATCTATATCATGAAAAGCACTGCTGCTCTTACTTGAAATAAGCCGTTTTGCTATCTAGCAGCTGTTGCTTAACATTCCTGAACACATCTCAGCACAAATAAACTCCTTATTCTACTCCATGACCCAATTCTTCTGCTCAAGTTTAATGCACACCCCTCAGGCAGAGTATAGTGAGTCCCTACTCTGTGGTTAATTAGTGTTTTGCTCTGTCTTATCTTGTTTCATTAACAGTATTTTAACATAATAAACCATTTATATGTCTGTTTACACAAGTAAACTATTTCTTTTTTTTTAAAAAAAAAGATTGTATATAACATTTTAGTTTTATGACCATGCTTAGTTTTCAAAGATAATTGAAAGATGCTGAAAACAAGTTTTGTTGAAAGAATGACTAGAGAAATTCTTATGCATCATTTTGGATATCCAAGTTTCAGTTAAAACTAAATAATTGTATAATTTTCTATAACAAAATTAATTGACCAAACTAAATTCAGGAGAGATCATTATCATTTCCTGTAGCCAATTTGGACCAGAAACCAGGCAATCAAATGTTTTACCGGATGTGGCTACCTACTTATAAATACAGCTGAGTCATCAGCAAAACACAGGTCCTTCCTTCCCTGACCTTTAAAATGATCATCCAAATGTAACTCACAAATTGCTCATGAGTGATGCTTTTACAGTATGTTATTTATATTTTCCTAGATGATGGGAAACACCATAAAATGTAAAACAGGAACTATCCAGGCTTTTTCTTTAAAATCTAAAAGTTAGCAAATAAACTTTAAAATGTAGGGAGATAGTGTCCTACAGAGATTGAATTTTTGATACATATGAGCCTCAAATTAAAGTATAACTCCACTAAGAACTCAGAGCTACTATATATTACTTATCTGCTCTCAGCCATAGTTGTTTCAAGATAAACAGGTGCACAATAATACCTACTTCAAGAATGTACTAGGAAGAACAAAAGTTATTATATATAATATGTATAATACTACAGTGCCTAACAGATTTAAATAAAAATTCCCTATCCAATATTTAAAATGAAATTTCCTAAATTTGAGAAATGTTTTATATCTAGATTAAAATGTGGATTCTTACAGTACTAAATACATTTCCAATGGCTTCAGAGAGCTCTTGGCAGGGTGACGTACCATTCCACTGTTATTATCATAACATAAAAAACATTAGATGCACAAAATTAAAGTTCAGGTTAATCAAAATATTGCTTGACACAGCAAATAATTGAATTGCACTTGCAGTGCACTGTGGTAGACAGTAATTAACATGCAGCATCTTCAAAATTTGAGTACAACTTCCAATTTCCATTTTAACGTTATAGAATGCTGTCTGCACATTTTTTAATGGTACCCATGATAATAATATATTCTCTTTTTAATCATATTCCGCGTTGCAAGAAGTGAAGCTTGCAATTTTCCCAGGTGCTTACCAAATTACTACTGCAAGCTAATTCTCATCCCCTAAGTTAAGAGTTTCAACACAGTGCACATTAACAGCCTGCTTATGTTCTCCTGTACAACAGAAGGTAAGTTAATATGTGCCTCAATTATATCCAGTTTGTGCATTTATAGCACCCCGTGGGCAGCAGTAAGAAAGCTGTAAATGTACTTACCCCGTTTTTTAATGGTTTACTATATTACAGTAGAGAAAGACTGAGAAAGTGAAAAGGAAGAAGAAAAAAAGAAACGTCAGGAGAGCAATAGAAAAGGAAATAGAAGAAAATATGATTGAATGGGGAAATGATAAGAAATGCAAATTTAAAATGATTGATTTAAAAACTTTTTAATTAAATTCATAGCTATATCTCTAGCTACATGAATGAAAGACATGTATGTATGCCCAATTCTATACACATTTTATTTTATGTATTTTTACTTAGTTTTAATGACATAGGGTTATAGAATATCTCCATTTATCAAGAATAGCTACACGTAAAATCACATGAGGAAAGATATATAGTATTTACAAAGAAACAGTTCTTGGGACACTTTTAATCTGTATAGACCAATCCATGAATACCTATAAACTCAAGACAAATTTACTTTCCTTCACTTCTCATCAATGTTAAGTAGCCAAGTCAATTTGCAGTATGAAATGTAATTCACATTTTATCAATCGAAGATATTTAAAACATTGTCCCAAATATATGTATGAGTTATGAATTAGACTCTACAAGATAATGATCCAAAAATCTGCTTATAAATTACACGTTTGAAACAACATTTACTCTATTTTTTTTTTCTTCTGGCATTCAATGTTGTTTAGCCTTATTGGCACAGTGAAATTTTAAAACAATGTAGACAGAAAGGTAATATCTGTAATGCATTATCTGATTACTTTCTGTTTTCGATATGTAAGAATAGTAGCAAATTTTTAAAAAGTGATTCATAAAGCTTATAATTATTTTTAAAAATTTTTATTAATACATAATTGTAAATATTTAGGTAGTAAATGTGATATTTTGATTCATGCATATAGTGCATAATGATCAAATCAGAGTAATTAGTAATCAAATCATCACCTTAAATATTTGTCATAGATTTCTGAAGGAAACATTCCAAATATTCTCTTCCAGTTATTTTGAAATATACGACAAGTTATATTATCATATTCTTAATGCTAACCTTTAGACATCTAAGAATAAAATCATAGACAGTTAACAAAAGAATTTGTAAGTTAAAAATATTGAATATATATTCAAGTTTAATGGAATTATTACCATTATTACCTTTCCAAGACTATTTAAAAAGTTACAATTGTTTGCCTAAATATCAATTTATGGGTCATTTTTTAATTTTTACATTACCACAGGAAAAACAAGAACTACAGACATAATAATGTAAACAATCAGTGTTTAAATTCTTCTTCTATTCAAAAAACTTCCTTGGGTTTCTTTTTCTTTTCTTTCATGCTCAAAGTGACACAACTTGAAAAACTTTCTCCTCTTTTCTATTAGCTTAAGGGTATTTTTCAATTCTGATGTTGATCAGGGACAAGATCAAACCATGCTTTTTGATTCTGTTTATGCACACAGAACTTGTTATTCATTGCCTTTGAAATTCTATGGGTCTGAGTGGCTCTGCAGCAGAGTAGTGGACAACTCACCGCATAATAGCAACGCCCACAGAACAGAAGACAGGCTGGAAATGCTCGAGAGGCGAACTAACTTCCTGTTTACCAAATTATAAACCATGTAAGTAACAGAACTTAAGTGATCTCTGTCCCCATGGGCCCCTCCTCTTCAATCAGTTTTTGTAAGTGCTGAATGGTTATTTCTAAATTACAAACATGAATGGTTACCCGATTCTTAAATCGCTTCAGTGGCTGGCATTACAATAAAGTGAAGATCTGCATATTTTCAGAACATCTGTGCATATATTTACGTTCTGGTTTCCATCTTCCTATCCAGCCACATTTCCTATCACTCCAACACAGAGCCTACAATCTAGCCACACTCAGGGCCATACAGTTCCCATCTATGTCTTAGTGCTTTCATCATCTATCTATTAACCAAAACACTAGTCTCTCTCTTTTGAAAGCTGCCTGCCTCAACTTAGGCACCATATGGTTATCCACATGGAGAATTCTCAGGTACATTTTAAGTCCAGCTAAGATGCTGACTTCTTAGTAATTTCTCTCGATCCATTCTCAAAGCAAAGTAAGTTTTTTCTTCTTCTGTGTGACTTCTCACATTGAATATGATTTTATTAAATTGCACTTCTGTCGCCTAACTGTAGAGCACGCCATAGTTTTCTGTTCGTCCTCAGTCAGAAATCTTTAACAAGAACAGATAATCAATATGAACATGAATGTGGTATAAACATCTTCAACAACTTATGAGTCATTATTGCCTAGGTCATACAAACTTTAAAGTCCAACTCACTTCTACATGTGTAGTTATTAATCACCGTGTGCATTTCAATCTTAAAAGTTGTTGAAATAAATGGAAATGAAACAAACTAGTAATACAAGGGAAGATTAACAAATCTGTTGAGAACACCCGTAAAACCCAGCATTGGAGCCTCCTCCACATTTATTCTTTAAAACAAACAAATGACCACAATTGAAAATTGTATGGGTCTCGTCTATGCTTTAAGGGATATTTGCATATCAAGGATAAAGAGAGATGGAACAATAATTTCATCATGAAATCCTAGGTACTATTGATTTGTCAACATATATAAGATGAGGCAATGTGGGAATGGGCCTACATTGTTAGATGCAAATATTCCAAGATAAAATAGATTTCAAAATTATTAGGCATCTCTGAAATTCAAAGTGCCATATTGCATGTTTCTTAGAGGTAATTACTAAGATTCTTTATAAATGAAGAACTTCATTAGTATTACATTGAACTTTGAGATGTCAATCAGATAGTCTTTCAAGTTCTTGATTTAATTCAAAGCTTTCTCTTGAAGAAAAGTACATGTGTACCCAGGGATGCTAGATACTGTTTCAATATTGCTCACATCTGTCTTGATTTGTAGGTGCTCATCTGATGCTAAACATCAGATATCAGGCCTGTTTTATACAAACAGGTTGAAACACATGGATTTCCACTTTGGGATAAAATACAAATCTGAATCCTAAAGGGCACAGCAAATTTTGAATTGTAATTGAACCCTGTAACAGCGGTTCCCAAATTTTCTCAGTTTAAGATGCTCTTAGAGTCTCAACATTTCCCCCAAGAGCAACTCTAGCCAAAATTAATACCCTCGTATTAAGTAGTTAGGTCTAAACAACTTAACACTCATGTACATCTTAAATATTTAGTAACCATTTAAAAAAATAAGAATGCACAGGAATTGAAAAAAAAAAGTATGTCATGCTTAAACAACTACATTACAGATTAGTGAGATGTGTGTATCTGATGGGTCCTGCACAACCTCTCGAGTCTTGGAACAGACTGGGCACGCCACTCACCTTTCCTGTTCCATGTAGATTTTCTTATGATACTTGCTTTATATCACAGCAACCAGCAAAAGCCCAGCTATGCAAAAATATGGCATTATTTAAAGGAGAGTAACTTAATTATGTTGAGACTGTGCTAGCAGTTTGTGCCGTGCATAACAGATGTCACTGGATTTCTTTCAAAAATTTAAGGTAACTTATGGTTCTATGAGCTTGCTGCAGTAACAGCTAACATCTTTTTACTATTGGGTAACCACATGTCTATGACACTTTTTATCTATCAAATGTATACCTATACAGGTGACAAAAGATGTGAGGACCTCTTCAAGGAGGACTACAAACTATTGCTCAAGGAAATAAGAGAGGACACAAACAAATGGGAAAACATTCCAACCTCATGGACAGGAAGAATGAATATGATGAAAATGGTCATATGGTCCAAAGTAATTTATAGATTTAATGCTGTTTCCATCAAACTACCATTGAGATTCTTCACATAATTAGAAAAAAATACTTTAAAATTTATATGGAACCAAAAAAGAGCCCATATAGCCAAGACAAACGTAAGCAGAAAGAACAAAGCTGGAGGCGTCACTCTACCTGACTTCAAATTATAATACAAGGCTACACTAACCCAAAAAAAGCATCGTACTGGTACCAAAACAGACACATAGGCCAAAGGAACATAATAGAGATCTTAGAAATAAGACCACACATCTACAACCATCTGATCTTTGACAAAACTAACAAAAACAAACAGGAAAGGATGCCCTATTTAATAAACAGTGCTGGGAAAACTGGCTAGCCATATGCAGAAAACTGAAACTGGAGCCCTTTCTTACACTTTATACAGAAATTAACACACGATGGATTAACTACTTAAATGTAAAACCCAAAACCATAAAAATCTTAGAAGAAAATCTAGGCAATATCATTCAGGACATAGGCATGGGCAAAGATTTTATGATGAAATCACCAGAAGCAATTGCAACAAAAGCAAAAATTGACAAATGGGATCTAACTAAACTAAAGAGCTTCTGCACAGCAAAAGAGACGATCATCAGAGCAAACAGGCAACCTACGGAATGGGAGAAAATTTTTGCAATCTACCCATCTGACAAAGGTCTAATATCCAGAATTTGCAAGGAACTTAAACAAAAGAAAACAAAAAAAACAAGCAAACCCATCAAAAAAGTGGGCAAAGGATATGAATAGACAACGTCTCAAAAGAAGACATTTATGTGGCCAATAAACCTATGAAAAAAAGCTCAACATCACTGATCATTAGAGAAATGCAAATCAAAACTACAATGAGATACCATCTCACATCAGTCAGAATGGCAATTATTAAAAAGTTAAGAAACAACAGATGCTGGTGAAGCTGTGGAGAAACAGAAACACTTTTACACTGTTGGTGGGAATGTGAATTAGTTCCACCATTGTGGAAGACAGTGAGGCAATTCCTCAAGGATCTAGAACCAGAAATACCATTTAACCCAGCAATTTCATTACTGGGTATATACCCAAAGGAATATTCATCGTTCTTTTTTTAAAATACATGCACACATATGCTTAGTGCAGCACCAGCACTATTCACAATAGCAAAGACATGGAATCAACCCAGAGGCCCATCAATGATAGACTGGATAAAGAAATGTGGTACATCTACACCATTGAATATTATGCAGCCATAAAAAGGAAGGAGATCATGTCCACTGCAGGGACATGGATGAAGCTGGAAGCCATTATCATCAGCGAACTAACCCAGGAACAGAAAACCAAACACTGCATGTTCTCACTCATAAGTGGGAGCTGAACAATGAGAACACATGGACACAGAGAAGGGAACAACACATACTGGGGCCTGTCATGAGGGTGGGAGGAGGGAGAGCATCAGGCTAAATAGCTAGTGCATGTGGGGCTTAATACCTAAGTGACGGGTTGATAGGTGCAGCAAACTACCATAGTACATGTTTACCTATGTGACAAACCTGCACATTCTACACATGTATCCTGGAACTTAAAATAAAATAAAATTTTTAAAACTTTATATCTAGCAAAATAAGTGTTTGTTGTGTGGTAGATTACATTATTTTAGGAATATTTGATACTTATGCCCATTGGGCCCAGTCTTGTATGAGAAGCATAATTCCCATACATGTAATATCAAGATTGGTCATGTGACTTGCCTTGGGCAATAATATGTGCCCGTAAAATGACTTGTGACATTGTCAGGTGTAAGCTTGTTCCCACCATCTGATATCCTCTCCTCCGATATGATGTGGCATGTTCCAGAGAGTAGCTCCACCTTTAGCTTTAGTAGGAAAAAGGACAAAACCATAGCCCACCTTCAATCCGTGTAAACACGAGTATAAAATAACCTTAGTTTTGTGAGTTACTGAAATTGGGTGGTAATTTATTACTGTGGCTTAACTAAAGCTGATGGACCCACATAGATATTTCAATAATTAATATATTTTAAACTAACACGTGTCTAAATCTTTAATTTCAGATGGGCAATTTGATGGACAGATATTCATTTTCCTCATTTTGGTAAGATTTATTCCCATATTTTTAAGTTTAAAAAATACTTGAACATATTATTTCAGCTTCCACAGAAGCAACATTATGTTATCAATTTTAATAAACATATCCTACATGCTTACATAGGTATACACAAACACATTTTCATGAATCATCCAAACATTTATCTATTTATCAGTTTATTCAACAGTTGCTATTAAGAACCTACTATGCTAATGATAATACTTTTCAAAATGCTTCAACCTTTTTACATACCTAATGTAGAAGTGATTGGCAAATATCCTGTGTCCTTTATACTAAAACACGAACATTTCAGTTCTAGAAAAGCTTATCCTACAGAAAAATTTGCCTTCTGTTTCATAGGATGAAAATGACTCTATATTACTCATCTTTGTATCATCTGAAATGACTACCATCATTCTTTACATATACCCAGTTCAATAAATGTGCTGAATTTAATCTACTATTTTTTTTATCTTAGCTGTCAAAAATAAAGGAAAAAAATGACTGAATGAAAGTGCTATCTATTCATTCTGTTTTATCTTGAATTTTCATATTTTACTTTACTTTTGTTAAGATAATGCAAATGTTTGGAAGCAGACAAAATATAAATTATATATAGCCTATGACATTCTTCTAGAATCATTACCTCATTATACTAAGTTGTTACCAATAAAGCACCTATATTTAATTGCATTATATATTTTTGAGGCAACATTCTCTTCTAACCAAAAAACCCATGATAATAACAAAACAAAATAATAAAAAGTAATAATGTAATAATTCTTTGACTCAATAACTCATTCCTTCTCTCTTCATTTCACCTAATCTACAAACTTTAAAAAGTGAATTCAAATGAGATTTTTATCTTAGATACAGTGCCATGCATGCCATGACTTCAAGTATTGGTTTTCTTTAAAATCTTCCAATATATTTGACTATTAAAATGAAATTACATTTAAGCTATGGAATGCACAATAATTTTATTACTTCCAGGATCTCTAATTTTCAGATAGAGCTTAATTCTTATCTTATTTTAACCAACTTTTGTGTGGTGTTGGATAGAACTGGAGAATCTGTATAAATGAAAAAATTTAACTCTCTGTCACTGCCTGATATGGCTTGGCTGTGTCCCTACCCAAATCTCATCTTGAATTGTAGTTCCCATAATTCCCACATGTCATGGGAGGGACCTGGTGGGAGGTAATTGAATCAAGTGGGCAGTTACCCTCATGCTGTTCTCCTGAAAGTGAGTTCTCACAGGATCTGATGGTTTTATAGGTGGCTTTTCCCCCTTTTGCTCATCACTTTTCCTTGCTGCCTCCATGTAGAGGACGTGTTTGCTTCCCCTTCTGCCATGACTGTAAGTTTTCGGGGGCCTACACAGCCAAGCTGAACTGTAAGTCAATTAAATTTATTTATTTTATAAATTACCCAGTCTTCAGTATGTCTTTATTAGCAGCATGAAAATGGATTAATACAATAAATTGGTATTGGGAGTATTGGGGCATGCTGTAAAGATACACCAAAATGTGGAAGCAACATTGAAACTGGGTAACAGGTAGAGATTAAAACAGTTTGGAGGGCTCAGAAGAAGATAGGAAAATGTGGGAAATGTTGGAATGTCCTATAGACATGGAGGAAGATGTGGGAAAGTTTGCAACTTTCTAGAGACCTGTTGAATGGCTTTGACCAAAATGCTGATAGTAATATGGACAATGAAATCCAGGCTGAGGTGGTCTAAGATGGAGATAAGGAACTTCTTGGGAAGTGGAGAAAATATTACTTTTTAAAATTGTATGCTTTAGCAAAGACACTGGCAGCATTTTGCCCCTGCCCTAGACATCTGTGAAACTTTGAACCTGAGAGAGATAATTTAGGGTATCTGGTGGAAGATATTTCTAAGCAGCAAAGCATTCAAGGGGTGACAGAGCTTGAATGTTTGGAAAATTTGCAGGTCGATCATGCAGTAGAAAAGAAAACCCTGTTTTCTGGGAAGAAATTCAAGCCCACTGCAGAAATTTGCAAGAATAGTGAGGAATCAAATGCTAATTGCCAAGACAATGGGGGAAAATGTCTCCAGGGCATGTCTGAGACCTTCCTGGCAGCCCCTCCCATTACAGGCCCAGAGCTGTAGGAGGAAAAAATGGTTTTATCTCTATCTCTGTTTATCTCTGTATTTATATTTATCTCTATCTCTATGTATCTCTATCTCTATTTATCTCTATCTCTATATTTATCCCTCTATGTATCTCTATCTCTTTATCTCTATCTCTATATTTATCCCTCTATTTATCTCTATATTTATCTCTATTTCTATATTTACTTATCTCTACATCTTCCTGGGAACCTTTTTTATGACCCTGGGTAGAGCTCAGCAATCCACCCTTTAAGCTTCAGCAAGAGACAAAACAGGGACCCCAGGAACTCACCGGAACTAATAGGTACAGACAGGGACAGATAGGGATAGATGAAGACTAACAGTATAAGGTCAGTGCCCTAAAGAGGTACTGGTCAGTGGCCTAAAGAGGTACAAAAGCAAAGACCGGCAATGTAAGGTCATGATTTACAGCTGTGATGGTTTAGCATTTACATGGCCAATTCTAAGACACAATCAATCTAGGAGCCTGGGAGGGCTAGAAACAAGGAGCCAGCAAGTCTAGACACATTCCAGAGCCATGAGCCCTGGATTTTATCCAAGCCGCGAGTGGTTTTATGCCCTGGGCTTATATTATGGTATGTCAGGGTAGCCTTCCACCCTTTAGCACAGAGCCTGGTGGTCCAAAGGCTAGAAGGGGTTTTAGACCTTGGACCCCGGACATGTTCCAAGACTCTTTTACATTATGTCAGACGTGCAAGCCCTACCTCAGCTTCTCCCAACACTCAGCTTTTCTCCCAACATTAAGAATTAATTAGTGCTCTATTGGATTTCAGACTTGTGTGGGGCTGTAGCTCCTTCATTTTGGTCAACTTCTTCCATCTAGAATGAGAGTATTTTCCCGACACCTGTACCCCCATTGTATCTGGGAGGTAACTAGCTTACTTTTGATTTTGCAGGCTCATAGGAAAAGGAACTTTCCTTGTATTAAATGACACCTTGGACTTGGACTTTTGGGTTAATGCTGGAATGAGTTAAGATTTGGGGGGACTGTTGGGAGGGCATGATTGTGTTTTGAAATGTGAGGACATGAGATTTAGGAGGGGCTGCGGGGCTGTGATATGGTTTGGCTGTGTCCCCACCCAAATCTCATCTTGAATTGTAGTTGCTGTAATCCCCACATGTCATGGGAAGGACCTGGTGGGAGGTAATTTAATCACAGGGGAGGTTACCCTCATGTTGTTCTTGTGACAGTGAGTGAGTTCTCACAAGATCTGATGGTTTTATAAGAGGCTTTTCCCCCTTTTGCTCAGCAGTTCTTGCTCCCACCATATGAAGAAGGATGTGTTTGCTTCCCCTTCTGCTAGGATTGTAAGTTTCCTGAGGACTACACAGTCATGCTGAACTGTGAGTCAATTAAAACTCTCCTTTCTAAATTACCCAGTCTCGGGTATGTCTTTATCAGCAGTGTGAGAACAAACCGGTACACTGCCACATCATCTATTGTTGATACAGAAAAAATATATTCATAAGAAACCTTCACCAATTAAAAAATTATTTTATGGCACTGAGCTCTGAACTTCTACAGCCAGAAATCTCAGAAAAATATTGCACACACACAGACACACACACACACAGAGATGGTGCTAAGAAATTTCTGGGTACATGTAAATAAAGCAAATTAAATATGTTTTTCCTATCATCAGTTTTGTGTCTAAACATATCTGGGTATAAAAACTATTATTTAGTTGGATTAAAAAGAAGGAAAAATATAGGGGGAGAAAGAATGAATCATTATGTAACTTATATTACCAAAAGAGCTGTCCTTTCTGAGAATAAAAATATGTTTTCTATCATATGTAAATCCTCTTTCTCCAGTAGCTGTCTAACTCTACTATAAAGCAAAGAAACAGTAAACCCACTTAATTTCCCATAGAAACAGGAGCCATAGTCAATCTTGTTCATAGAGTTAACCTCATATTTTATCTGGCTTCCTTTGTGAGGTTGATTTCTTTTTTGTGACATCACAATAATTTCTCATCCTATGGTAAGCTATAATGATGATAATATAAAAATTGAATAAAAATATACCATAGGAATATTCTAAACGGAATTATTTTTCAGTTTCCTGGGAGATGTCAACACTAGGTCTTTAAAACAGCATTTTATAATGTCAAAAAGAGTTTTTCATACTAGTTTTGCCAAGGAGTAGCATTAAAAAACAAATTAAAAATTTATGCCGAGCGAGAAAATACTTTTGAATTGTAACTGTGTCACTGAGTTGTGCCAGTGCATGAATCTGTTTGTCAGCCAAAACAAAGTGAAACAAAACAAAATATTATTTTTACTACTCGCTTCTTGATTTCTGCTTAAGGTGCTGATGAAATAATTGTTAACTTTTGATCATATCTGCGTTTTTCAGGAAATGAGTATTTTAACAGGAAAAATCCTTTCTATTAACACAATAAATGATCATTGTGACAGTCCTGGGATTTTGCTACTCTTATTATTTTGTAGATTTAAAATGGACCTACATTTCTGATTAATTGTTGTGTTTTACTGTGTCATTTAGACACTCTGCATATTGTTACTCATTGTCAGAATAAAAATTAGTCATTCCTTATTATCAGAATAAAAACTAGAAATCTAAATCATCTTTTCCACTTCAAAAGACTCAATGGAATGACATGCTACCGAAATATTTCTTTATATTAGAAAACTAGCAAAGGAGACATCAAATTTGTCAGCAAAACTGCAGATATGACTCTATCAATAATCCGTGGTACTTTTGTATTCCCCATCTGAGGCTATTATATAGCTTTGGATGACAGCCTGCTTCGACTTCATCGTATGATCCACTGGGACAGAAACTCATAACTGGCTTTCGACATAGAGCCTTCGTATAAAGCATAATAGCCACAGCCAGTCAGTATAGGGGGATTATAAGAGTACGGCAATGAACACAAAAGTTTGGGGAAAAGCAGTTTAACAGAAAACCTGACAAAAAAAAAAAAAAAAAAAAAAGCCCGGAAGGACGGCTCCTTAAATGTTAAAGGCAGGAAAGGAATGGGCATTTTAAAGTCATGCTTTGGATGATTTGAAAATTGTGTTCTTTTAGGAGCTGCAGCTATTCATTTTAAATTGCTCCACACAATCTCCAAACACCTTCCCCACACAGACACACATACAGACTCACCAAGGATGAAAAGAGTGTTCTCAAAACAGGCCACCCAACAGCACTAGAGGGTCATTGCTTCTAAATACACAGTTTACTACATTTACCTCTCATAATTATAATTTACTGCTTTCAGGATCTCTCAAGAAGAGCTCCAAGGGGTTGTTGAGACACTGGTGGGTTGGAAGTGCCCTATACTACTCGTGAGCACTGATTGATAGCTTCTGGAAATTTGTGTGCCAGTTATTAAATACAGACATTATTAAAAATTAAACTATGTAAATTTGGAATTAGATCATGCTGAAACAAAAGTAATATGTAAACATAATTATTTTTTAATATATTGTTACCATCTTTTACTATTATCATAAACTCCTGAAGTTATGTACATCTGTGCATCTGCACGGTAGAAATGTTGTACGATGATGTGCTACTGTGCGTCTTTTCACCACTCTGTGTCTAGTGCATCCACACTAGCATGTTGGTGGCTTAAATCAGCTACAGTGGTAGTGTTTACATCATGAAAATCAGCAAATTCCATAGCGCATAACTCATTTTCTCCCTCCGAGAGCTAATTTGAAAGCATTTTCCATCACACCACTGGGGTAAGAAGTTTTCAAGTTTCGCATTTGAAAAGTGGTATAGTTATTCCTTCCACAAGACACCCTTATTGAGCTGTCAAGTCATAATCTGATTATTGCTTTTTGATACCATCAGGGATAATAAATGGTTTCCTTTGGATTCTCAAGAGTGTTATGAAACTTAACTTAGCAATTAACTTTACCTGCTCATTACCAGAGTTCAAAACTTTAACTCATGTGTCATGAACTCTACTTTAAAAGTAAAATAATATAAAACCTAAAAGTAAAAAAAAAAAAATCAAAATGCATTAAGTAAAAAACATTAAGTAGAAAATATTTTTAGAAGTTTTAAAGCACTGGTCTTTCAGATTTAAGATAGCAGGTATATAACCACTTTTATTCATAATCACTCATAAGTGTTTTATGTGTCTGCAGGGCTGACTGAAATAATTCGCACATAAAAATCATTAAATACATGACTAGGAACTTAGGAAAACAAAACGGCATGACCAGTGAGTTGCTGACTGTTGTATGATGGAGAAGTGGGTGAAATTGTGCCTTTGTGCCTAGTGCTTTTGGTGAAGCTATGAAACCTGACACAATCATGGAACAACTCATTCATTTATCTGGAGAAGTAATGGAAGAAAAAGCAAAAACAAGGTATAAGATAAGACTGTGCTTGAATTAGCCAGGTATACAGCTGAGTATTGATAACATTTTCAAAGAATATCTCTAGCAATTATTTACAAAACCATATGGAATCCATATGAATTGGTAACGAGATCTTACTTTATTATCAAGTGTGTATTGAAGTGGCAAACCTGAAGAATTTAATAAACTGTATTTAAAAGCTACAGAGCAGCTTTCCCAAGAGTTGAAAAATAATTTTAACTAGTATTTATAGACTGATTATATTGAAAGTGGCATTGAGAAATTATCTGGTCTGCCTCAATTTCTAAGAAAGATAAATGTTTATCCATCCATGTACTGTGGCATGTATTCACTTTTAAATATCACAAGAGGGAATAGTTTATTTGACACTCATTGATAATCTAATCAATGGTTTATTAATTGTCACAAATTATTTGTTTAGTAACTTCTCCTTTACTACAGTTATACCCACACATGTTGTATGAATAATCATTTTTAAAATACATATTAGCCTTTTACCATTTTTGTACACATAAAGCAAATGCCTCTTGGTCATCATTAAGAGGAAATGCAAATAAGAGCAAGAAAATATACTGAGATTTTGTATGTTTTTTACAAAATTGAAAAAATCACAAGGCCGGATGCAGTGGCTCACACCTGTACTCCCAGCACTTTGGGAGGCCGAGGTGAGCAGATCACTTGAGGTCAAGAGTTCGAGACCAGCCTGGCCAACATGGTGAAACCCCGTCTCTACTAAAAATACAAAAATTAGCCAGGCGTGGTGACAGGTGCCTTGTAATCCCAGCTACTCAGGAGGCCAAGACACAAGAGTCACCTGAACCCAGGAGGCAGAGGTTGGAGTGAGCTGAGATCATGCCACTGCATTCCAGCCTGGGCAATAGAGCAAGATCCTGTCTCAAAAAAAATAAAAATAAAAATAAATCATAAATAAATAAAAGAGAGAGAAAAGAAAAAGGAAAAAAAACCACAATTGTTTACCTGATTAGAGCACAAATAGAAGATAATAATGGGGCTAGAAACATATTTTTGCTTATATAATTTACATACTGCTTATATTTTAAATGTACATAGTGTATGTATATTCCTATGACAGTTAAATAAAGCATTGCATCTATTGTGTTTGCTAGAAAGTTATTACATTCAAACTGAAAAATGACAGCAATTTAAAACATGTTTTCTCCTAGGGTAAATGCTTTGTATAAGTAATCACTGTGTTAAAAAAACAATGGCCATAAAGGTAGGAAGTGAAAATTATTGCTTAAATGCTCATTTTTTTTTTGTTTAAATAAGACATACTCCCTCATTACTTGAAAAAGGAACTAGCTACGTCACTAATAATATATGTATAGAGTTTTAAAAGTATTTCTTTCAAAATACTAACTTTGAGATATGAGAATCTCTGTGAACTTTGGACTAAGAAGGTGAAGAAGCAGTTCATTCTTTTTAAATCCTATATGGAATTCATATCATTTGTTGTTTGGATTCCCATTCACTCTTCAAAGATAATTTATAAATACACAGGAATCTATTGAACATAATTACTTAGGTAGAAAAGTATTACAAATTCTGCATAAAGAATTTGTTTCTTTTAATCACTCCTGGAAAAAAATTAACGTAAATAAATACATTTTTATAAATCTTTTAATTTGAGTTTGGTGGATATTTCTTTCGTACGTAAAAGTAATGTATTCTCCATCTAGCGACCCTAGGTTAAAGTTGACTTAGAGAAAATAACTATTTACCACGTTTATTTATTGCCAATATTTCATTACAAAAACAAGATATCTATTTCTACAAGTCTTGTAAATGTAATATTGTAGTTAAAGAAAGGAGATGATTCTATAGAAATAAAAAAATTTAATGACATTTAAAGCAGGTAATGTGGTAAATATTTATATTGATCTTTTGCTAAAAATAATGCTTTTTCATAACTAAAAATTATATCTGTTGAAGCTCCTACTTTCCATAAAATGTGCCTGAACCTGGGGAGACTACTAAAGACTAAAAGATCTGTGAAGCTTAATAATAAAGATAACTACAAATTTATAACGCATTGCAAATTCCTTGAGTCCCAGTCCAATTTTTTTCCCTATAACATTTTCATCTATTTCATTAAAGTCAAAAGAAATATGACATGGTGGCTCTCCTGTAAATCACAGTTAACTAACAGCCCAGGTTAAATAATAATAACAATAACATTAATTATAATACCTTCAGCAAAATCAGTGCAGATTTGCTAAATTCCATTGGGCCTAGATTTAAGCACTGATCAAGAAAGGAAGGCATGAGCTTAGTAAGAGTGTTTTTTTATTCATTTCCCTCCAATGGAATGAAATAGAATCAGAAATTTAAGATAAGAGAAATGGATGAAGGGCTTTCACGGGCATTTCTATGTTCATTTTCATTTGAATTCACAATGTGAACAAATATAAAGCTATCTCTGTGGGAATAGTAAACATTTTAAATTCTGTGGTTTAACAAAGTTAAAAGCTTCAATCTAAAATTTGCTGGTTTGAAATAACTTTGAAATTCTGCAAGTAGTTTCATGAGTGTGAAAATCTTCAAAGTCTGTAGACAAAAGTAAGGGCAATCACAGTTAGTGGATAAATCATTGGCAATCAAAACTCAGTGATACGATTGAAAGGTCAGTGCCTCTGTCTTTGATTTTTTGCTTTAAACTGATATTTCATTTTCTTCGATTTTCTAAAGCTGCCCATATGTGCCTTAATGTCCATAATTATGCTTAACAATTTGTCTGAATTTGGCTGAGAGCACTCAATATTTTGGATGCTGAAATATCTGCATTACATTTTTCCTTTGCTATGCTTCCAAAAATAATAAAAATTATTCACACATATATGGGTGATCATCCTAAAAATACTCATCAACACAAGGATATATAGAGAATATTTTCTTCATTTGTTTCTTTTAGGAAACAAAGATAAAAAATAAGTTCCATCCATATTAACAAACATCTGTTGTTTAGTAAATAATAAATGATTTTCTTTATTTAATATATTTTTCTACCTATTGTGGATTTCCTATTTATGCAGAGATAAATCCATAACAAACCAAAAAGTATTTCATTCACTAAATGTGTAAAAGATTGAAAAGCACTTTATTTCATTTTGATGCCTGTATTTTGGCCTTCTTTAAAGATTTGACTTCAAGAATTCCTTTTGAGTTTTAAATATTTGCTGCAAAACATTTTTGTATATAAATTAATACATGAATATAGAGTGTGATAATTCACAAATTTAAATTTCTATTATGTCAATAGTAAGACAAAACTGACTTCCTTAAAACATAGTTTGATAGGTACTCAATCAGAAATACATACAAAAATAAATACAAACCCCTCACATCCTAAGAATATTTTTCTAGTATCTACTATTCCTTCTCCCAACACTTACATGTAGATATTCAGCGAACCATTATATATTTGCCTGCTTAGGAGTGACGACAATCCAATAGGAATCCACACCTCGCTATCAGATCTTGACACTCAAAATGCCATTCCCCACTAAAAGAAAATAAGAATCTTTGTGGAAGGCACTAATTCCAGGGCTGACACATATACACAGTAATTCAAGAGGAACCTCTTATATCCACCATAGAGAAAGGAAGTGCCCAAAGACTGATGACAACATACAAAATTAATACCCAGGCCAGCCTGACTGTTTCTTCTAAAACTTAGCATCCAAGTAAATAAAATAATAATCTATTATAATCCACAAATAATATGAGAATTTGTGAGCCTGTATTGATACAGATCAATAAAGACATTGATAGTTTGGTAAGAAATAGAATATTAACAGGTCTTCAAAGTATCTTCCCATAAAATACTTACTAAATTACAAAGAGGAAAAGAGTAACTTCACAGCACAGGAGCCTCTGAGACAGCACTTAAGTGAGTCATCAAAATGGCATCAATAAGTAGTGAAACGAAAATAAATCTTGTAGTGAAAAGAACACAGCATCACTTCTATGATATTCCTGCCAAAGATGCATTACCTCAATCTGATCAAGAGAACACACCAAAGAAGCCCAAAAGGAGGTACCTTCTAAAGAAGAGCTGGCTTCTAATTTCCAAAGCTTCAAGGTCATGAAGGTCAACGAATGGCTGAAGAATTCTTCCAACCTATGGGAGATTAAAAAGAAATTGCTGGTAAATGCAGCACTTGATGCTGAACGTGTTCCTTTGCCATAAAAGAGATTGTTGGCAAAACTGCTCAAAGTCGAATGGGAGATAAGGATTAGATGATACAAGAAAGAAATGTTAATTTTCATGGTTTTATTGTGTTTGCTTATAAAACGTTCTTGCTTATAAAAAATATGCAATAAAATGGTTGGGAGTAATGGGGCATCAGGTTGGCAAATTACTCTCCAGTGGTTCAGAAGAAAATCTTGTTTTGTTTTACTAGAATTTTACTTTTCTCTGAGTTTTTTTGCTATGACAAAACTCAAAAATAATTTAAAAATGGAATAGTTATTCTGAATGGCTAATACGCAATGACATATAGAGAACAGACATTTCATCCCTCACTCTTCCAAGGTCTGATGTAAAAAAAGTTATAAAAAGGTATTATATGAAGCTCAAAATATCAACTACATCCTCTCCAGATGAGATTTTAAAACACTTGTGGAAGATTGAAAGTTGATAGAAGTGACAAAGGAAGACAGAGATAGACATGGCTGGGTGTGGTGGCTCACACCTGTAATCCCAACAATTTGGGAGGCCAAGGCGGGTGGATCACTTGAGCTCAGGAGTTTGAGACCAGACTGGGGAACGCAGCAAGACCCCATGTCTACAAAAAAATATATAAACATTTAGCCAGGACTGGTGGTTCAGCTTGTAGTCCCAGCTACTTGGGAGGTTAAGGCTGGAGGTTAAGACAGGATGATTGCTTGAACCTAGGAGGTTGAGGTTGCAGTGTGTTATGATCATGCTGTATTAGTCCATATTCATGCTGCATAAAGACATATCCGAGACTGGGCAATTTACAAAAGAAAGAGGTGTATTGGACTTACAATTCCACGTGGCTGGGGAGGCCTCTTAATCATGGCAGAAGGTGAAAGACACGTCTCACATGGTGGTGGCGAGAGAATGAGAGCCAAGCAAAACGGGTTTCCACTTATCAAACCATCATATCTTGTGAGACTTATTCACTGCCACGAGAACAATATGGGGGAACTACCACCATGATTCAATTATCTCCCACCGGTTATCTCTTGCAATATATAGGAATTTGGGGAGTACAATTTACGATGAGATTTGGGTGGGGACACAGGCCATATCCATATCATTCCACCTCGACCTCTCCCAAGCCAAACCATATCATTCCACCTCGACCTCTCCCAAGTCTCATGTCCTCACATTTCAAAGCCAAACATGCCTTCCCAACAGTCCCCCAAAGTCTTAACTCATTTCAACATTAACTCAAAAGTCCACAGTCCAAACTCTCATCTGAGAGTTTCTTCCACTTATGATCCTGTAAAATCAAAAGCAAGTTAGTTACTTCCTAGATACAATGGAGGTACAGGCATTGCATAAACACAGCTATACCAAATGGGAAAAAATGGCCAAAACAAAGTGGTTACAGGCCCCATGCAAGTCTGAAATCCAGCACGGCAGTCTAATTTCAAAGTTCCAAAATGATCTTCTCTAACTCCATGTCTCGCAACTGGGTCACACTGATGCAATAGGTGAGATCCCATGGTCTTGGGAAGATCCTCTCCTGTGTCTTTGCAAGGTACAGCTTCCCTCCCTGCTGCTTTCATGTGCTGGCATTGGGTGTCTGTTGATTTTCCAGGTGCATGGTGCAAGATGTCATTGGATCTGTCTTTCCGGGGTGTGGAGGACAGTGACCCTCTTCTCACAGCTGCACTAGGTGGTTTCCTATTAGGGACTCTGTGTGGGGGCTCCCACCCCACATTTCCTTCCTGCACTGCCTCAGCAGAGGTTCTCCATGAGGACCCTGCCCCTACAGCAAACTGCTGCCTGGGCATCCAGGCATTACCATACATCTTCTGAAATCTAGGCAGAGGTTCCCAAACCCCACTTCTTGACTTCTATGCACTTGCAGGCTTAACACCACATGGGAGCTGCCAAGGCTTGGGGCTTACACACTCTGAAGCCACGGCCCGAGCTCTATGCTGACCCCTTTCAGACATGGCTAGAGCAGATAGGACCCAGGGTACCAAGTCCCTAGGCTGCATATGACATGGGGAACCAGGACCTGGCCCATGAAACCAGTTTCTCCGAGGCTTCTGGGCCTTTGATGGGAGGGGCTGCTGTGAAGACCTCTGACATGCTCTGGAGACGTTTTTTCCAATGTCTTGGGAGTTAACATTTGGCTCCTTGTTACTTATGCAAATTTTTGCAGCTGGCTAGAAATCTCAGAAAATGGGTTTCTCTTTTCTATCACATTGTCAGTCTGTAAATTTTCTGAACTTTTATGCTCTGCTTCCCTTTTAAAACTGAATGTCTTTAACTGCACCCAAGTCACCTCTTTAATGCTTTGCTGCTGGGAAATTTCTCTCCCAGATACCCTAAATCATCTCTGTCAAGTTCACAGTTCCACAAATCTCTAGGGCAGTGGTAAAATGCCACCAGTCTCTTTGCTAAAACATTACAGGAGTCACCTTTGCTCTAGTTCCCAACAAGTTCCTCATTTCCATCTGAGACGACCTCAGCCTGGACCTTATTGTCCATATCGCTATCAGGCTTTTGGTCAAAGCCATTCAACATTCCTGTCTTCTTCTGAGCCCTCCAAACTATTCCAACCTCTGCCTGTTACCCAGTTCCAAAGTTGCTTCCACATTTTAGGGTACCTTTTCAGCAGCACCCCACTCTACTGGTACCAATTTATTATATTAGTCTGTTTTCAAGCTGCTGAGAAAGATATAACCAAGACTGGGTTATTTACAAAAGAAAGAGGTTTATTAGACTTACAGTTCCACATGGCTTGGCAGGAGGGCACCTCACAATCATGGTGGAAGGTGAAAGACACATCTCACATGGTGGCAGCAAATGAGAGAATGAGAGCCAAGCAAAATGGATTTCCCCTTTTCAAACCATCAGATATCATGAGACTTATTCACTACCGTGAGAACAGTGTGAGGGAAACTGCCTCCATGATTCAATTATCTCCCACCGGGTCCCTCCCACAACATGTGGGAATTATGGGAATACTATTCAAGATGAGATTTGGAGAGGGACACGGGGAACACAGAGCCAAACCATATCATATGCCATTGCACTCCAGCCAGGGTGACAGAGTAAGACCCTATCTCAAAAAAGAAAAAAAGACAAAGACTAAAAGAAAAAAGGAAGAGAGAGACAGACACAGAAAGAGAACTACAATCTAAGGTCACTGCTCAGCAAGTTGATGGAGTCACAAAGCAGTCACTCAGAGAGACATGGGACTTGGAAATTCCAAGTACAATTTTAAAAACAAACAACAGAAACCATTAGGCTGAATACAAGGGTTTAAATTGAAATTCTGGTAGTTAAAAAGTCACATAATTTCTAATCCAACATAGAAAATTGAAAATTCTTTTCTTAAGAAATTTAAATAAATACTGGAGTTACAAGATCTTTTCACTTTGGAAATTAGCGATTGCACATCCAAATAGCTGTATCCTCACTCACATGGTCAAGAACAATGATCACCAGTCCGCAAGCCCCATGGATTTTCATAGCTATTGTTCTAGTCTTCAGCAGAAAGAATCAAGCCGGACATTGCCAGAGATTCAAGATCTTTGAGCAAAGCACTGAACATAAAATAAAGAGATAAATCAACAAAATAAATAAACTAATGAGTGGAATCATAGACAGGTTCAGAAATTGAAGGAAAAATGTAACATTAACAGACTAGAGGTTAAAATAAAAAATAGAAACACCAAAAATAAGGAGGGACACACACATTTAAAATATGGTAGTTAAAATTAAATGTATTGGATTTTTATTTTAGGTTAACTTTAAAAGTTTAACACAAGGTCCCAGAAAGTGAGACTCAGAGAGAGAGGAAAGAGTGCTTGTTCGTGGACACAGAAAGCTGATCTCCCATAATATTTATGAGAAAAAAAGATTAATGGATTTAAATAATTTATTTTACAGGACATTTAGAAAGAGACAGTAAAGAGAAGGGGGAAATTTATTAAATAAATTAGAAAATTAACAGGACCGTTTCTAGATGTGACTGGCCTTGATCTGCAGATAAGAGAGTCACATGTGCCCAGAGCAAAAAATAAAAAATCAAACACACAAAAAATTTCTTGTCTATTTCAGTATGTTTTCATAACACCAAAAATAAAGAGAAAATCTTAAAGCCTTTTAAAACAACAACGATGACAACAGTAAGTAATAACAGCAATAACAAATAAATATACGACCAAGAAAGATGTGAGTCAAGGAAATATCAGACTTCTCACCGATGACATGGAATGCTGAAAGACAGTGAATAGATTCCCTTAATTTAGTGAAGACAAAAGTAATAAACTGTAATTGTATGCTCAGCCACACCATCAGGGAAATGTTAGTACAGAATAAAAAATATCAGGTGTACAAGAAAAATAAAAGTACTTGCACTGATTTTTAAGGAAGTTTATTAAGAATATATAAAGCAGAAACAAAATATCAATAAAAAGATGAAAATATTGAACAAACATCAAGAGCACAATGAAGAAAAGGGCAAGGATAATAGCTAGGTAGGAGGACTTGAGAAAAAAACACAATTGGAAAAGAAAATGTCAAGTATTGGAGAAAAAAAGACATTTGGAAGCTTTACAAATATCAGAAAGAAAAAAATGTGATAATAGTAGATTGCTTGTCTCTGCAGTAAATGAGATTCACAGTAAAACAGATTGCAATTTTTAAAATTTCAATCCTAAGAATTCACTTGCAGATAAAATTTAAATTTTATTAACTTTGACATTATAAAACTAAAAGTGTAAATGAGAGAGGTTGAGAGATCAAAGTCAGAGAGAAGAGTTGGAAGAAAGAGCAAGAACACCAACATTTTCTAAAATGGAGACTCAAGAGATCAAGAGAGTAGCTATGTTATGCAAAAAGGAACAAGGGTATGATATATTACTTGAAGTTATAATGAATAGAGAAACTAAAACCAGTGCAACTAGTATATGCTGCATCATTAGTTTTACATTATAAAGTTCTAATAGGCTAATCTTCAGTAATCCTTTCTTCTATCTTCATCAATCCTACCTAAGTCTATACAGGAAGCTTAAATATGAGAACACAATTAATTATAATGTAAAGATATTATTTAGAAATATTAAGTTAGCTTTTTTTTTTTTTTTTTGAGAGGGAGTCTCATTCTGTCACCAGGCTGGAATGCAATGGTGCCATCTCGGCTCACTGCAACCTCCACCTCCCTGGTTCAAGCGATTCCCTGCCTCAGCCTCGCGAGTAGCTGGGACTACAGGCACATGCCACCACACCCAGCTAATTTTTTGTATTTTTAGTAGAGATGGGGTTTCACCATGTTGGCCAGGATGGTCTCGATCTCTTGACCTCATGATCCGCCCACCTTGACCTCCCAAAGTGCTGGGATTACAGGCCTGAGCCACCGTGCCTGGCCAAAAATTTTTTTTAAATTAAAATTTTAAAATCTGTTTGCTTTTGGAAAGACCAGGAGTTTAGTAAGGAAGTAGTTCAAGTTGCTGTTTTTTAACATATGCATTTTTTAATAATATTTTATTCTAGATTCAGGGGGTACATGTGCATGTTTGTTGCATTTTTATTTCATACTAGTAGGGATTGGGCTTCTAGTATACCCATTACTAAAATAGTGAACATAGTACCCAAAGGTAATTTTTCAACCCTTGTCGCCCTCGTTGACAACCCTTGTTGTCGACCTTCTTACACTCCCCGTCAAGTTGCTTTCTATTAAGTCTTTTTGTCTTAAGTTTTCAGTATGTGCAAGGATCAATGGATCATGACGTCATTGCTTAGAATTTGTGTTAAAAACAAATTATTTGAAAAGATTTGAGATTTATTTATGAAAAGTTTAGTTTCACTGTAGTTACATGCAAGATATAATAATATTCTGGTTTTTGACATTTTCACATAACACAATCTATACCCTGATTATATGTAATGTTCATACAATATAGAAATATTATTAATTTTGAGAGAGTAATTTTTGCCTTTATCTTTTAATATCTTAAGACTGTCTCAAAATTATGAAAATGGTGAGAATTTGTGGAATAATTTGTATGTTCTAAATTGAATCCTGGATTAGGTATTGAAGGCTCACCTCCAATCCTCAGATGCATATAAATAACAAGTTGTGTACATCATAAAACAGTACAGTGCAATCATCGTGACTCAGCAAGGACTGTCTGTCAGGCGATGGCCAGCGTTAAAGAGCCGGGCATGGCGGCAGTGAGGAGATGGTGAAGGCTGCTCTTCCTCAATTACATAGGAGCATGGAATACGTACTCTTACCCACATCCCATCAGTAAGTGCACATTTTTAAACTCTTTCTTGGCACTGTAGTATCACAGCAATGTTAATCCCATCCAAAGGAGGCAGTTGCCATACAGACTTCAATAGAGAACTTTTACATTATAAAGTTATATATATATATATATATTTTAATGGGAGCTGGAATGTCACTGGCATTTATTTAGCAAGTCAAGGTGAATGTCTGTTTCAGTCATCTACGAAGACCCCGAAACAAGATGCACATACGCCAAGGCAGAATCAACTAGGTATAATAAGAATGTGGAATAAGAATGACTGGAGGGGCTGGGCGCAGTGGTTCACACCTGTACTCCCAGCATTTGGGGAGGCTGAGGTGGGCAGATCACCCGAGTTCAGGAGTTCAAGACCAGCCTGGACAACATGGCAAAACCCCATCTCTACTAAAAATACAAAAATTAGCCAAGCATGGGGTTGCGCACCTGTAATCCCAGCTACTGGGGAGGCTGAGGCAGGAGAATCACTTGAACCCAGGAGGCAGAGGTTTCAATGAGCCGAGACTGTGCCACAGCACTCCAGTCTGGGGCCACTGCACTCCAGGCTGGGTGGCAGTACAAGACCCCATCTCAGAAAAAAAAAAAAAAAAAAAGATTTGAGGATCACAAGATAAGATAAAGGGTGAGGCTGAAATATTTATGTAGCTTCTCTACCTAAGGGTTTTCACAATTTTTAGTGATAAAAATGGGAGATCAATAACAGATCTCAACAGAGCCTTTAGTTTTCTTAACATCTATTTATGATACACAGTATATGTGTCTCATTACAACATACAGATGCAATTGCAGTCACTCTCAATAGATAATTGTATTAAATTAATAAATTCCCAAGACAAAGACCTCTTTTTAAAGGAACCAGGCCTGACAGAACCATATCATACCTGGAAGGACATAAGCAAGATGAGGAAATTTTAGGGCCATCCTCACTAGAGTAACACCTATCATAAGTATCTTACCTATATCAGTACATTTGCCCTCTTCCTGTAACACCTGTGAGAACTTCTTGTGCATTAACACATCTACAGAGCCTGGCTTGTTCCCTGATACTCAAAAGGAGTCAGTAAATACATTTTAAACAAAATACAATTCTAAATATATATGATGAGAATATTAATCATCAGCTGAATTTACAGACTCAGTTAAGATAGTTAATTTTTGCATATATTTCAGTGGAAAACTTTTAAACTCTCAATCCCGACAAAGTTTACTTATGACTTTGTGGCATTTTCATTCTTGGAATTTTTAATAATTGAAGAGATCTTCTTTAAATATTAAGTTGCCTTTTTATGTTAAAATGACAAGATTACAATAAATATGTCTATGCTTCCAAATATCTAACTCTAAGCTGCTGTAAACAATGTGATTTAAGGATAGATGAATAGGACCCTACTTATTCTGGCTCATAAGAGCTTATTGCTAAATTTTCAAGAATTTTGCAAGAGCTGGTTGTTGAAATGTTGGTAGTTTGAAATTGGCTATGGGAAATCATTATAAAAGAGGGCCCCTCCTCATCCTCAGTTGTTAAACATTTAGAAGTATACCTCGGAATAAATCTTTGCTTAAGGAAAATACACAACTATATAAGAAATTAAATTTTGCAAGATCTATATCCATAATGTGTTCAACAAAAGATTAGTCCGAGGCAAAACTGTGAAGTATGCATTTGTATTTGCATCTCTTCCCTTCCATTATGCTAGCCTAATCAGAGGCAAAACACATTTTCGTAGATTTAGTATATCTTAATTTTTAAATGTCAATAATACCCATAAAATGCCCTAGATTATTTTATCTAAATTTTCTTTCAGCCTCCCATAAAACTCCCCAGCTAATAGCACCTCAAAATGGTATTAACTTTCATCTGTTTTTCCCTCTTCATTCTGTTGTCTTAGTGAAGTTTACGGTTCCCCACATGTGCCCCCAATTTTCCAAGATTCTCTGGAGCCTGATCTAGTATAAACTCATGCACTCATTTTTTCCCTTTTTGTTTGTTTACAGTAACATTTGCATGTTATTCTGCCACATGCTCAAATATCCAATTACCATAGGCTATACAATTATCTACATGGTAGTTCTCACAATGCATCAGCATCATGTGTAATGCAAGTACATGGCCTCATGCCAGACCCACTGATTTAGAAATGCTGGGAGTCGGACCCAGCAGTCTGTCCTGCAGCAGGTCTTCTAGGAGAGTCTGGTACATAAGAATGGCAAGCTCCATTTCTTTACACTGTATGCTTTGTAAAGACAGAGATTGTGTTTGTTTATTAATCACTTTATACCCACGCCCCTGCAGACTGTCTGGAATAAGGAAATAGGACTCAAATGAACAAAAAAATAGATGAATGCATTAATTAATCCTTTAAAAGACTAAATTCTAAAAGGTTTTGCACCCCCAAAAAGCTGTAAACTACTATTATGTTACTGAAATAACTCTCCCCCGGAGGGTTGAGCTTCAGCATGACATGGATAGATTATTATTTTAAGTCCTCGTTTGTTCTAAAAAGACATTGGGAGCACCAGTTAATGCTTAGGAAAGTGTTCCAGGATACTTGCATGAAAGTGCCCAGAGTAGAGGAAAGCACAGTGATATTATTTTCATACTAATCCTGCTAGAAAAAAGGATATTTAAGCTTTTATGATTGGTCTTCTCTTCAGAGCCCTGCAGCAGATTTTTTTTTTAAAGAAAGAAAAACAGTAAAAAGAATTGAAATTAGGATCCAGACTGTAATACTGTGAGGGAAAAAAATCAAAAGCCTTATATGAAAGAAGAAATATCTAACAGTAGCTTTAATCTTGGAAGTCTCCAAAACAGCTTCCACATGGAGAGCCAGCGTGCCACAGGTGCTCTCCACATGAGCAGGTGAGCAAAATAAAGAGGCTGTCAGGCTGTGATGAATTCCTGTCCATGATGCATTCATCCCAAGGTGCCCTTCTGCATCTGGTATATATCTCAGTGCATGTAAGTTTTCAGCTGGTAGTTTTCAAGAACGTAAAAGATCTCAGAACCAAAAGAGGCTGTAAGATAGTCTACAAGCCTAATGAGGTTGCTTAAGCAGTGGTAAGAAAGGAAGTATTCAGGAAGAATTGTTGTTTACCAAAGAAATAGATACATGTATTCTGATTTCATTATCCATAAAGATGTTATAGTAGGTCATTAGAATTGTTTGGGCTACAATTATTTTAAAAACCTAAAAGCCAATGGTAAATGGAGAGCTTAATAAATTCATAAAATGTATTATTTTTAAAATTAAAATAATATAGTTTGTATTAACTTGATATCTCATAAAACTGTGTATAACATGGCATGAGGTAGGTAGTTATATTTCTAAGACGCAAATGCAAAACTAAATGTATATTTCTTCCTTCTCTGCATTTTGAAGGCTAGCTGAAATGTAAATATCTCACAGGCACCTTTGTTAAGTTTTTAAATGATTTCTATGTTTACATGTATATCAAAACAGAAATGACTATGGCTATAACAATGAATTGAAAAATAAAAAATATTTTTCAAAATTTAAAAATGTTAATATGATCTAATAACAAGGAAATGTTTATTTAGTTGCTCTTGCAAAAAGTCTATCTTTGATACCAAGAAGCAATGCTCCTGAATGCTGGAAAATTGCACACATCATGTTTAGAAAAATCTTGGAAAATTCAACAGTTTTAGAAAGGAGTGTTCTGGATTTTAAAATATGTCACAATAGAAATATTTACCAAACTGTATCAGTTTTCTATCACTGCCGTAACAAATTGCTGCAAACGTAGTGGCTTAAAAGAAGACAAATTTGAAGCCTTGCAGTCTCGGGTTCGGAATCTAAAATGAGTCCTACTGGGCTAAAATCTAGCATCTGCAGGGCTGTGTTCCTTTATGCAAGCTCCTCCAGAGGAGTTTATTTTCCTTCTCCTTTCCAGTTTCTAACTGAGCACATTCCTTGGCTCATGGCAACCTCCATCTTCAAGCTAGCAATTCTTCTTTTAAATTTATTATTATTTTTATTTGCATAAATTTATGGGGTACAACTGCAATTTTGTTACATGCATATATTGCATGGAGCCTTTTAGAGTACCTATCAGCCAAATAACATACATTGTACCCGTCAAGTAATTTCTCCTCATCTAACCCTTTTTCACTCCCAGTTTCCTAGTGTGCTTTGTCTATCATTCCACACTCTATGTCCATGTGTACACATCATTTAGCTCCCACTTGTAAGAACATGCAATATTTGTCTGTGGCTTGTTTCACTTAAAACAATGACCTCCAATTCCATTCATATTGCTGCAAAAGACATGATTTCATTCTTTTTAATAGCTGAATAGTACTCCATTGTGAGTGTATACCACATTTTTTTAATCCAGTCATCTGTTTATGGACACTTAAGTTGATTCCCTATCTTTGCTATTGTGAATAGTGCTGTGATAAACACATGGGTGTAGGTATCTTTTTGATATTATGATTGTTTTTATTTCCTTATGAGTAGATACCCAGTAGTGAGATTTCCAGATCAAATGGTAGTTCTGTTTTTTTTCTTTCAGAAATCTCCGTACTGTTTTCCATAGAGGTTATACTAATTTACATTCCCATCAACAGCATGTTAGAGCTTCCTTTTCTCTACATCCTAGTGAACATCTGTCATTCTTTGTGTTTTTAATCATAGCCATTCTGACAAGTGTTAAATTATATCTCATTGTGGTTTTAATATGCATTTCTGTGATTATTAGTGATGTTTAGCATTTTTATATGCCTGGTGGCCATTTGTATGTCTTCTTTTGAAAAATGCCTACGTGTGTCTTTTGCCCTCTTTTTAATGGAATCATTTGTTTCGTTGCTGTTGAGTTGTTTGAGTTTCTGACCTTTTTTCTGATGCCACACTTCTCTCTGACTCTCTACTCTCCTGCCACCATCTTTCAAATTTAGGGACTCTTGCAATTCCATTGGACACACCTAGATAATCCAGAATAATCTCCTTATTTTAAGGTCAGCTGATTACTAACCTTAATTCCATCTGCTACCTGAATTCCTCCTTGCTATGTAGCATAGCATATTACCAAGTTCTAGGGATTAGCAGGAGGACATCTTTGAGGGGCTATTATTTGGTCTACCAACCATCCAGGAATTTCTTACTCTAAAATAGGTAATCTGTGAAAGTATTTTGTGCACTTCCAGGACATGCTTAGCAGGATCATTGTATCTGTGGCAAACTTTAATACAGTTCTCTAGGTCTTGATGGTGTGAACTTTGTGCTTAGGGCCAAAGACATCACAACATAAATGACACATTTCAGTTTTTCTTGTTTAATAGAGATCATGAGTTAAAACGTTATCCTCACCTTTTTAAAAAATCCTTTAACATTTTTTAGCACAGTATGAAAACAATTAAACCTAATGATCACAATGTCTAGTATCATAAAAATATGATATCATCGTTAATATTCCTGTAACCATTTATGAGGAGAGTACTGAAATTTAATTCTATGGTTAAAAAACGAACTATTTTAGCTTTACAATAATGATAACTGTAACTACAACTTTTAAAAAAAATCGAGATAGTATTGAACATCTTAATTTAGCATGATGGCCTTCTAAATTATCTACCTACATTTAGTCTTTCTACTCAAACAGTGTTCTTCATTCAACAACCATCCATTGAGTGCCCACCATTCTTGAGGCACTAATTTAAAGCAGTCAGCAGTCCCTGAGTTTCTATAGGATGAGGGCATGCTCCCTGATACGGTATGATGTATAGCACTCTTCATAATGTGTCCTAACTTACCTCTGCAGCCATATTCCTCCTCTGTACACAATATTCACTTCCTTCTCATATCCATTATAATCTGCCTTACCATTCTGTTCTGTGCACCTACGTCAATTTCATTTATGAAGAAACATTAGTGTCAAATCTCACAGTCCCCAAAAGTCATCTCTTCTCAATAAAGGTTGAAGTAATATTTTTTAATTCTGTGAAATAAAGCCTGTAAAATAGTGACATTAAATACTCATCAGTCTTGTGAACTTCTGTATGGCTGTTATGCTCTGTTATTTTTACTATTTTTTGTATGGAGATTTTAATGCTATTACGTATTAACTATTTGATTTTATATTTCTTATAGACAGGAGTCATGTCTTCTCCATTTCTGTCTCCACCATGTCTCTCAATATAGTGGTTTCTAATGAATTTTCTCCTATAATTTGGTGAGTAACATAGAGCCATGGGAGGTATCATTTATCATTTGCTTCAGAAAAGCTTCATCCAAATCAAATAATTGGTATTATAACTTCATTGGAAAATTCATTTTCACAAAATTGGACAGCTTTTACCATTTTTTATCCCGACAACTTTGTTAATGGTTTTTCTGAACAGATATAATGATGTCAATATTTTTAAGAAACTATTATCCATGGAAGGGAAAATGCCATAATAAATAAGACCTTAAGATGGCACCAAGATAATGAAATAAAGCATTACCAAATGGAACCATTGCTTGCATAATATATGTCATATTATTAAGTCTTAAAACAGAAATATAGAAAAACCTAGGAAACTAAAGGAGTTTACATAAAATCTGGAAAGATCTAACTAGAAATGATTAGTTTTATAACAAATATTTAAGGTTTATAATCAGACGGGTTACTTGAAAAAACTTCCCAAAGGAGGCTAAAATACAACTCATTGCATTACAGTTCCTTGAGCTTCACTTTGTAGATGTTGTAAACATAAAAATTAAAAGTTTATGTAGTGTTTTTTCTTCCAAGAATACTTGATCAATGCCACATTAATTTTGAGGACACCAAATGTCAGTGTTAACTACTTTCTTTCTTAAAGTGTGTATATGTTGTATGTTAAATAAGTGTGCAAATTAACATAAACTTTATCTTCATGATCTCAATCTAAAAATAATTTTAATTAACACCAATAAAGTAAAATTATTTTCTACAAATTATCTATCATGCAGCTATTTTGTCTTCAGCATGGTTAGTGGTTACATTTGGGCAGAATTATGATAATACTGTGAATAACAATGTCATCCTATAGTGTGCCTTACACACACCCTTATTTTATCACAATGAGAGAAATCTAGATTCTCACACCTAAATGGAGGAAAATATAAAGAAGAGCATAATTTTAAGCTCCAGTGAAATTTAATTTTTTCTTTTCAGTAAAAATAATGAAGCAATTTTATTCCTTTATGTTCTATGATACCTATGTACAGTTACAAATGAACTGGCTTACAGTAAAATGAAAATTAAAATATGTAAGTGCAAAATATGAAATCAGAAATACTTCATTTTTACCAAGTGTAGCTGGCCCCATATTCTGATAATTGTGATCCCAGTACTTCTTGCTCAGTTTCTAGGGACTCATGCTGTTTGCTAAAATAAGTACCCATGTCTTTCTTCAATACTACAATCTCCAGAATAACCCTAGATTGATAGAAAACCTGTAGAAAATAATCAAATTATTCTCTTTGCTACTAGTGCTTATTCTTTAATTAAAGGTAAACAAATTGTCAATACATTTTTCTATAGTGCATAATTTCTAGCCAGCAAGTATTAGGTCTAAAGGTAGAAACACACAAAATAAAGAAACCTACTACTGTCTCATAAACTTTTTTCCCCCTAGACACACACACATTTAATAATTTTTTGAGAGTTTATATTCATCTCTTTCTTCATGTTCTGATACACGCACAGGTTACAGAAGGATGAAATCATCAGATGTCAATGATGATACAAAATCCAAGCTTATCAGTTTTTCTTCTATCTGATCTTACATCTTACTAGAAGGTCATTGTGCCAAATTACATTTTATTTTGAGTTACTGGGAGTATTTTACTATGAAATTAATTTTAAAGCACATTTTCCAAGTAGCCTCAGTGTGGGGAATTTTGAGCAGCCCTGTATCAAGTAAATTAAGCAACAACTTGCATATAGAACCCAATTATACATGTTCACCCATAAATATGAATAATAATCTCCTTTGAATTAATTGACAAATAAACTGCCTGACCATCATTCCATGTTACTATTGGAAGAGTAAAATCATTTCAAAAACAGAAAACTTTTGAAATTTGTATATTTAGATGATGAATAATTTGAGGTAACTGTTCTACTATTTTTTCATCTGTAAAATCATTTGACTTAAGCATGAATAATGCATCAGCTACAGACTGGCCAAGTCATGTATTGTGAGGTCAAAAATCACGCTACTGAATTTACTGTTCTGTGATCTGAATAAACAAACAACCAATAAAGTGTAAGTGATACCTGAATCAATTTGCGGTCCTGGCCTTTAAGACCTGCCATAATGTATCAGGATCATTGTCATCTTTGCCCAGCATTTTACTTTCCAAATTACCACTTAAAGTGTATTGTGGAAGCAGGTGCCTGTTTGTAAATTCACTTTACAATTTTTGAAATGTGGTAAACCCAAATTATTAACAAATTTTTTCAAGCAAGAAAGCCTATATCAGATCTAATAAAAGTACATTTATGAGAGAAGGAAAATACAAAATATATTTTTTAAATGTTTGACTTTCTTGCTTTCATTTATTTAGCTAAACAATTTTGATGAGTATAATATTACAATATATGGAGCACTTACTACATGCCAGGCCCTAGTGCTCTTATAGCTTTAATCTTCACCACATCCTTGCAAAAGAGGAAATATTATTACTCTCTTGCAAAACAAAGCGTCAAAGCTTAAAGAGCTTAAATTAATTAAAGCCAGTCATTGGCAGAACTCAGACTGGAGTCCAAACTGTCTAATTACCAAGGTGGTCATATTGGTTTGCTAGGGTTAGTTAGGGCTTCCATAAGAAAATACCATAAACTATGCAGCCGTAAAAAAGGATGAGCTCATGTTCTTTGCAGGGACATGGATGAAGCTGGAGGGCATCTTTCTCAGCAAACTAACACAGGAACAGAAAACCAAACACCCATTCTCACTCATGATGGGGAGTTGAACAATGAGAACACATGGACACAGGGTGAGGAACATCACACACTGGGGCCTGTTGGAGGGTGGGGAGCAAGTAGAGGGAGAGCATCAGGACAAATACCTAATTCATGCAGGGCTTAAAACCTAGATGATGGGTTGAGGTGCAGCAAACCACCATGGCAAATGCACACCTATGTAACAGACCTGTACATTCTGCACATGTATCCTGGAACTTAAAGTAAAATAAAAAATAAAAATAAATAAAATAAATAAAAATAAAATGTTCAACCAGGTTTAAAAAAAAAAGAGAAAACACCATAGATTGGGATGGCTTACAACAAAAATTTATTTTCTCACAGTTCTGGAAGCTGAAAGTCCAAGATCAAGGTGCCTGTAGGATTGGTTTCTCCTGTGGCCTCTCTCCTTGGCTTGCCGATGATCACCTTCTTGCAGTGTTCTCCTGGGGTCTTTCCTGTATGTGCATGCACAGAAAGATTTCTGATGTGTCTTCTTCTTCTTACAAAGACATCAGTCATGTTAGATGAGAACCTCACTATTATGACCTGGTTTAACTTTAATCACCTCCCTAAAGGTTCTGTTTCTAAATACAGTCACATTGAGAAATAGGTGTCAAAAAAATGAGTTTTGGGGGATGCAATTCCATCCAAAACAGGGGTGTTCTTTTCACTCTGCTGAAGCACTAAGTCATGGACCGAGTGCTTACTTGTTCCTCACACCACGTGTGCACCAAGAGTTTCAGATATAAAGTGTACTAAGCATCGCCTCTGTCATCCCCTTGATCAGCATCTGAGAGCAACACAACAGAAAGCACACTGACAAAGACACAGACAAAATGCCGCATGCACTGACCTTCTGCAGATTCGTACAATGGTTGAATTGTGGTGTTGAGGTTGTAACAATGTCCTGAAACAGGCTTCCAACATTTGAGATGTTTAGCTGGACTTGGAAAACTTTTATTTATGGTTAAGACTATATTTGCTTATCCAGCTTATTGGTTGAATTTGATGGATTAGTATGACATCTTTCAGTTGCTTCTAAAGTTGGTCCTGTCACTGCTGGTATGTTAAAGGAGTGCTGCCTTGACGGAGATAATAGAGATATTGTATCTGTGACAATTGATGGCCGGTAAGCTATTTCCATTGTCCTTTAAATTAATCTGTTGAATTTTCCATGCCACACTACACATTCTAAAAGCCCCTGCTGGTTTTCATTAGTTAAATCCATGAGGCTGACCAAGACAGTCATAATGTTCCCCACAAATTGACTAAACTTTAGACAGGTCTCTTTCTCATATTGGCCCCTGGCCTCCCTTTACTTAGAGTGTTTGCTTTAGAAAAGTAATTACAATTTGTAGTTGCAAATTCTTTCTCTGCTCTTTTGAAATGCATATATATCTTCTTAAAAGACTACTACCGGTTTTATGCCCCAGGAAATGTGTTTCTGAAGGGCCTGGGAAGCATCTCTTTGACATGTAAATGTGAAGGAAAATAGCACCCCTGGCTCTGGGTCTCTACAAGAGTACATAGGAACCTAACTTCAGTGGGAGCCTCCATCCAAGTTGTAAAACTAACTGTTTTCATGAAGTCCTGAGGACTTAGACTTTTACTTCGAGTAAGGCGCATTAGAAAACACAGGGCCTAAGATTGCCACCACCCAAGCTCTTGAAAACGCTCCAGCCTTTTGATTCAGATGAGTTGAGTTTAATCCCTCTTATCTATTGTGATAGTCTTGAATAAAGCCTTCCTTATCTGTTTAGCCCTGTCTGGTGATATATTCACTTTTAGAAGGCTAACAGGCTGATCATGGTCTTAGATATGAACAGTTGACTTTCCCCTCTAATCAACAACCAAAGAGTTTAGGTGCCAAGAGGGACAGCTTTGCAATACAGTCTTGGAGAGTAGAAGGATTTCTATCCCAGCCTGAGGTAAAAACATCATTTCTGCTACTTTCCATCATGTCTAAAACATAATAAATGCTCAGTTAAATTAGTATTTTAACAGACTGTTGACTGTCATACTTTCTTTCTTATAAACCACCATTTTGATGAACAGTCATTGTTCTTCTTAACTCGTGTTAATAAAAAAATAGCAATTGAGGAATCCTGTCATGGAGGACAGTGGGAGTCTGTGAAAAGCATTCTATCAATTTAATTTAGGGCAAATTTGGAAAAGCAGTGTTATAAAGTACCAGAGAATGTTTGGAAAAATACTGGTAGATAATTTAGGAGAATACGCCATCCCCATTAAAACCCCTATTACCAGTTTTATGCCCCAGGAGATGTTTTTCTGAAAGGCCTAAAAACCATCTCTTTGAAATATAAACATGAAGGAAAATAGCACCTCTGGCTCTGTGTCTTTATAGGAGTAGATAGAAGCCTAAATTAGCAAATTCTTAAAAGTTGGTTGTACAACATCATTAAAATAATATAGTTGGAAAACTAGTGAATTAAACTATTTATTGTTTCTACCAAGAGTTTTGAGTCTTATTATCTGGTTATTATGAAATACCCTTGTATGTTATTTTAATACCCAGAGCATTTCATAATATATATGAATTTTTTTATACCAAGAGTTTCATATCTATAATTTTACCCTCACAAGAACCCTGTGATGTTATCCTTTTTATTTCAGTTTGCACATCATCAAGCTGGAGTGTGTAGATCATGCACTAATTATAAGACAGAGCTGGGATTCAAGCAAATGCTGGTTCCTTTGGCTCTGATGTGTATATATCAGTGGCACAGCATCATGCTGCCTTCCTCTTCCTCTCGCCTTTCACCATGAAGAATTTTCAAATGAATTTTTTCTATCATTGGCTCTAACAGCAATTCTGTGAGACAGATACATTTCTCTGCATTTTATACATATAAATTAAGAATCAGAGAAGTTGGGCAATTTTCCAAAAGTGACAAATGTAAAAACTGAAAGTGTATTCATCAGACTTAAATCCAGGTTTGACACACAACTTTAAAAGTTTAGCAAATTCGTGTAGGATAGCAAGGAAACCTGAGTCATTGGCAGACTAATCTGGAAATGATGTGCCTGGTGATCTCTTTCAAAAAAGGAACTTACATAGAAGAAATATAACAGGGATGTATTATTTCTCTGTGCTATGATTTACTTACTGTAGTTTATGTTAAATAATTACCTACCAAGAAAACAAGAGAAAATGTAATCATTTAAAGGCATGATTTCTATAGTTTGTTTTATTTTAATGATAATTTCACCCCCAAAATTAATTAATCTGTATTGCTCAGAGAAGGATTTTTCTTAGTCAATTGAAATGTTATAAGTCAAAGAAGACCAAGTGTTTTAAAAAACAAATAATACATTTCTTCACATAGTTAAAAATAATTATAAATGTTGCAATACTCCATGAAAAACTTTAATATGTATTTTAAGAAAAAATGTATAAACAGTGATATACTTAAATACACGAGGTTTACCTGGTGGTCAGCATCTTGGTTGTGACACAACTGTTGAAAATAAAATACATCCACCTCTTTCTCTACAGACAAAGTCAAATCTATATCAAATAAAAATATGACTAGAAATTTAAATATTAGTTTTTTTAACTTACTAAGGATACAAAAGCATACATGAGAATCATGCAATTATAGTACATTAATTCTATAAACACTAAACTGTGTAATTGGAAGCATACATTTAATATGAGCTATATTCATGTCCCAGACCTACTTTGACTCTGGGCACCAAATGACATAGCAAAACATAACTTAACACATTTAACTCAAGAATAAGAAGCAGAATCAAGAGATGCCTAAAACCCCAACGGGATCAATTCCTTCTTTTCATCAGCAGTCAAAAAGTTTTTTTTTTTTAACTGTCATTTTGGTCCTAAGTCCCATCCAACTATGAAGCCATTTCTAATGGTTTTCCTAACCTCAGATGCTGATGGTGAGATCTCCGTAAAGTCTTGCTTATACTATCTCCACTTCCTTACCTCACATTCCTTATTTTAATCAGTATCCTTAGAATTTTGTTCCTATTATTCCACTAAAACAGTGTGTCTAGTCAAATATTATAGTCAAGTCTCTGTCTATATGGTATTAAACACTCAATCATTGTGTATGATTGACTATACCTCCTTCTTAAAATCTTTTGTTTGCCTCTGCAGACACTATCTTATTCTGGTCTTCCTCCTATCACCCTTGCCTCTCCTTCTCAGTCTCCTTTGCCAGCTTGTCCTCCTGACCTCTAAATAATAAGGTTCAGGAGGATTATATATATATATGAATTCTATATATATGAATTCTATATATATGAATTCTATATATATGAATTCTATATATATGAATTCTATATATATTCATCTATATTTATTCATTTAGTCATCCATAGAAAACATTTCTCTATATTTATTCTCTAGGTAATAGAATATTCATCTACAGAAGATATTCATCTATATTTCTTCTCTAGGCAATCTGAGTAAGTTCCAGTTTTACATGCTATCCATACACTGATGATGGTCTGTTGCCCAGGTTGGAGTGCAGTCATGCAAATACGACTCACTACAGCTTCAAACTGCTGGGCTCAAGTCATTGATCCTCCCACTTCAGCTTCCCAAGTATCTGGGACTTGTACAGGCACATGCCCACATTCGGCTAATTTTTTTTTTTTTTTTTGAGACAGGGTCTCAGCATGTCAACCACACTGGGATACTAAACTTGTCGCAGTTCTTGGTTTCTTTCATAAGTCCTAGGCTTCCATATCTCACCATCTACTCAATATCTCCACAGGTATTTTTCAAAGGCAGTTCATATTTAGTATGTCTAAGGCACATTGCTAAATCCCCTTACCCCATTGTGGATTGGCTTGCTCTATATCCAGTATGATGTAGTTTAGCAGTGTCCCCACCCAAATCTCATCTTGAAATGTAATCCCCATCATCCCCATGTGTCGAGTGAGGGACTGGTGGGAGGTGATTGGATCATGGGAGCAGTTTCCCCCATGCTGTTCTCATGGTATTGAGTGAGTTCTCACAAGATCTGATGGTTTTGTAAGTGTTTAACAGCTCCTCCTTCACATCTGCTTCCACTTCCGCCATGATTGTTAAGCTTCCTGAGGCCTTCCCAGCCATGCAGAACTGTGAGTCCATTGTTTTATAAATTACCCAGTCTTGGGCAATTCTTTATAGTAGTGTGAGAACAGACTAATACACAATATGATCTTTTTCTAGTATACCCTTCTGAGCTATGAAGGCTGAGAAACCACAGTCTAGCTTGCCAATTCTTCCTCACAGTCAGGTTTTCTTAAATAATGTAAGATCTGCCAATCAAATACATATGCTAGGCTTATATTGGGGAGGGAGTCATTTGAAACATAGATGGGAATGCTCTAGTCATAATCAAAAGAATGCTTTTGCAGTAAGCAGGTCAGTAGCTTCCTCAGTCATAACAGGGGACATGTGATTCTAAGGATGGGACACTTTCCTGGGAAGCTCAACATAAAGCTAACTCTCAAGTCCTTCCAAAGACTTTGTCAGCTACCTTATACAGTTATGAAATTACTAACTTCATAAACTAGCCAGAATAATTTCTGTTGTCTGTAACTAAATTGCAACCCTCACAGACCTGAAGCATCCTCCTCCAACAGGCTTCTGCTTGGCATCATCATCATCCTCCCATGTCAAAGAACAAAGCTCTGGGCATCATACCAGTGTCTCTCTCAAGCCCATGCCAACCCATCGGTTCTATGTCTAAACACCCTCAATGTCCACACCAGTCCCACTGTCACTTCTTGCCACTTAACCAATCTCCCTCTTTCCTTTCTGCCACTTTAAAGTACGTAGGTTACCCAGAGTGATCTTCGAAAGACATAAGTCATTTTACATCACTTCCCTGGCCATATGCTCCTGTGAATTCACATCACACTCTCAACAAAATCTAACCTCCTTAACCTAGCTCACAATGTTCCAGAAAACACAGCCCCCATCTACTTCTCTGACCTCATCTCTGACCCTCTGCCCTATATTGTGTCTCTCACATACACCAAGCTTCGCCCGTCTCAGGGACTTCACAGTTGCTGCTCCCTCTGCCTGAAACATCTCTCAATCGATTTAAGGTGATTTGCAATTTCACATTACTTTGGTCTCTGCTCAGAAAAGCTTTCATAACCTTCTTTCTTAAATAGCAGCTCCTGTCTCTGTCCTTTCACCATCTACCACCTTATTCTGCCATATTTTTCTTCATCTGTCACTAAGGAAAGCACACAGATGCACATTTGCTTATTTTTTTTTATTTCCAGTCACTTCCATCAGGGAAGTCAACAGCACCACAGCAAGGACATGGCCTCTCTTATTTGGCCCCTGGCCTCTAGCACATAGAACAATGCCCTGCTTTTAGGAAGATTTCGGTGACTATTGCATGAATAAATTATTGAGAAAATAAATGAAAGAATGATTATTGTAGTGGTCCAAATAACATCACCTATAACTAATTCCCAAAGTAAGAGCCAGCATCAACCTTTCCCCTAGTCATTAAATAGCCTTGAAAACTTATGATGAATATTATAAAAGCTATCTTAGTTTCTGCTTTTCACAATATAAACAGAAATTATATTTTTTGAGATGATTCATATATTGTTCCAATATTTTATGTGTGTGTGTGTGTGTGTGTCAAAGAAAATGGAATAAGAATCAAAACATGTAACACTTAGACACCAGGCATTTAAAAGAACTTTTAAAACCCACATCAATAAAGAAGGATCTAGGGAACGGAGAGAAGGAGGGACGTATGGCAGACTCTGGAAGCAAGATTAAATACATTTCATGTGCCTCCCACACTGAGGTTACAACTAATGAATGGCAGAATGACCTCCAAAAGCTGAAAGTTAAAAATGGATTTCCAAGACATGAACATCTTCTGAATATACAGTAGTTGGAAAATGTTCTATGTATCACTAGTCATAAAATAAAATATAAATTGTTTCTTTGCATACATATTAGCTGCTCTCAGTAGTGCTACCATCCTCTTCAAAGGATTTGCAGTAGCAACTTTTATAAATGATTTTTAAAAGAAATGTTCCTTGCGTAATTCCCACATGCAGCAGCATAGGTTGTATTAAATCCTCCTCATCTTCCCTTTCTTCTACTCTCTTTCATCTGATTTCCACTTTTGTCTGTGATCTTTCCTTTATCTTTCTTTCTGATCCAACTTTGAGGTGATTCAGTGGCTAGAATGATAAATTATAGGAACTATAGTCAGTGAACTAGAAGCAGAGATAAGATTGAAGAACACCATCTTGCCAATTTCAATAATAATAATATTTTATATATATCACCATTTATAATTTTCAATACACTTTCAACATCAATCAGCTATTTTCCAGTCTGATTACCACCATTCGATAGAGTAATATAGGTAGACATTATTAATTCTATACTATAGAATCAAAAACTTCGTTATTAAAAGATACAATCATTGTTGTTCTAGGAAATGAGTGTTTTAGAATAAGCTAGCCTGTCCATCATTTCCTTGCTCACACATGGATTTATATATTTTTTTCAGCTTTAAAAATTATTTTAAGTTCCTGGATACATGTTGTACTTGTCTGTTTTCACGCTGCTAATAAAGATATACTCAAGACTGGGCAATTTACAAAAGAAAGAAGTTTAATTAAACTTACAGTTCTACATGGCTGGGGAGGCCTCACAGTCGTGGCAGAAGGCAAGGAAGAGCAAGTCACATCTTACCTGGATGGTGAAAGGCAAAGAGAGCTTGTGCAGAGAAACTCCCGTTTTTAAAACCATCAGACCTCATGAGACCCATTCACTATCAGGAGAACAGCACGGGAAAGACCCCCCCCCAATAATTTAATAATCTCCCACCGAGTCCCTCCCATAACATGTGGAAATTATGGGAGCTACAAGATGAGATTTTGGTGGGGACACAGAGCCAAAGCGTATCACATGTGCAGGACATGTAGATCAGCTACATAGGCAAATTGTGCCATGGAGGTTTGCTGCACCTATCAACCCATCACCTAAGTATTAAGTCCCACATGCATCAGCTATTTATCCTGATGCTCTTCCTACTGGCACCCCACCAGCAGGCCCCAGTGCGTGTTGTTCCTTACCCTGTGTCCATGTCTTCTCATTGTTCAGCTCCTACTTTTAAGTGAGAACACATAGTGTTTGATTTTCTGTTCCAGTGATAGTTTGCTAAAGATAATGGCTTCCAGCTCCATCCATGTCCCTGCAAAGGACATGATCTTCTTCCTTTTTATGGCTGCATAGTATTTCATGGTTTATATGTACCACATTTTCTTAAATATCAAATTTAAGTTAAGAATTTTAATCTGTGTTTTTCCCTATGTGGGTCAGAAAATAAAACAGCATAGTTATTTATTTCAGAATAAGCCACTGCTTTTTCAAAATGCATTGAATCTTTTAAGAAATACACAGATCTCGTGGTTTGGTTTTGCATCTCCCTGATGACGAATGAGTCATGTTCTTGTTGGCCATTTATGTCTTCCTGGGAAAAACGTCTATTGAGGTTCATTGCTGTCTTTGAATTGTGTTGTTTATTTTTACTATGGAGTTGTATGAGTTTCTTATATATTTTGTATATTAATCCCTTATCAAACGTATGGTTTGCAAATATTTTCTCCAATTTCAATATTTACTTCATTTTGCTGATTATTTCCTTTACCGTGCAGAAGTTTTTATTTTGATGTAGTCTCACTTCTTTATTTTTGCTTTTGTTGCCTGTGCTTTTCATGTCATATCTAAAATATCATTGCCAAGATCAATGTCAAGGAGCTTTTCTACCATGTTTTTTTCTAAGTTTCAGGTCTTACATTTAAGTCTTTAATCCACTTTGAGTTACTTTTTCTGTTAGGAAGGCTATTTTTTTTTTTTAATAAGCGTAGTGAGGATGTAGAGAAAGGGGAATGCTTACGCACTGTTGGAAGGACAATAAATTGGTACAGTCATTATAGGAGAGCATAAGGTTTCTTAAAAAATGGAAACAAAACTACCTGTGGGTGTGAGTGACACATGTCCTATGTGTGAGTGTGAGTGAGGACACTTGTCCTGTGTGTGGGTGTGAGTGACACGTGTCCTGTTGTGGGTGTGAGTGACACATGTGACTTATATGACTTAGCATCCCTAGTTCTGGGTTTGTATCCAAATGAATGGAAATCAGGATCTGTAAGAGAGATCTGCACTCCACGTTCACTGCAGCATCGGTCACAAGAGCCAAGATATGGAAACAACCTAAGTGTCCATCGATGGATGGATGAATAAAGAACATGTGTTACATATACATACCATGGAATAGTATTCAGCCTTAAAAAAGCAGGAAATCCTGCCACTTGCATCAACACAGATAAACCTGGAAGACCTTATGCTAAGTGAAATAAGCCAGAAGTAGAATAAGCAAATACTTTATGATCTCACTTCTATGTGGAATCGAAAATAGTCATATTCATAGAAGCAGAAAGTAAAATGGTGATTATCAGGGGCTGTGGGGAGGGGAAATGGTGAGATGTTGGTCAGCGTACACTTTAGTTCATGCAAGATGGCAAAGTCTGGGGATCTAATGTATAGCATGGTAACTACCAGTGACAATACTGCACTATGTACTTGAAATCCACTAAGAGAGTAGATCGTAAGTGTTCTCACTCCAAGAAAAGAAATGGTAGATATATGAGGTGAAGGATATGATAATTAGCTTGAATGTGGTGATTATTTCACCATGTTTATGTGTACCAAATCATCAAATTATTTACTTTAAATTCACACAATAAAAATAATGCATATATCAAACTTTTGTTGGGAAGATTTTTTTTTAACTAGAGAAGCAGGTCTATTGAACTACTAGGGCTTCCAAGGCATTATTGAAAGAATAATGAGAGAATAAAAATCCAACATTTTGATAGCTGGATAGTCTGTGAAACCCAGCATGTGGCATCAGCTCTTCCCCTGAGCCACCCAGTTGTTCTCATCTCTTCCCACTGCCAACTCCTATTCTAGCATCTGCCCTAATGTGTGATATAGGTTGGATATGTGCCTCACCCAAATCTCAAGTTGAATTGAAATCCCCAGTATTGGAGATGGGTCCTGGCGGGAGGTGATTGGATCATGGGGACAGATTTCTTACGAATGGTTTCACATCATCCCCCTTGGTACTGTTCTCATGACAGTGACTGTCTTCTCATGACATCTGGCTGTTTAAAAGTGTGTGGCATCTTGCTCTCTCTCTTGCGCACTCCTGATTTCACTGTGTGACATGCAAACTCCCCCTTTGCCTTCTGCTATGATTGGAAGCTTTCAGAGGCCTCCCCAGAAGCAGATGCTGCTATGCTTCCTGTACAGCCTGCAGAAGTATGAGGCAATTAAACTTTTCTTTTCTCAAAAATTATTCAGTCTCAGATATTTCTTTATAGCAATGGGGGAATGGACTAACACAATGTTAATCTACTTTTCAGTTTATACTTAATGCTCAGATGTTCTTTTTTGTATTACCAATGTTTTAGTTAGTTACTGACGAGCAAATAATGCCCTAAAGAGACATATATAAGCCTGGGTTTCTTAAAAAAAAAAAAAAAAGAAAGCCTTTGGAGGTGGAGTCAAGTAAACTTTACAGAGATTTCACTCTTCTCATCTGCCTGAGAACTTCTTACAATAAAACAAATTCTAAAGGAAATGCTTCTGAAAGGCTCACATTAGCAGGGACTTTTGTGGACTTGGCCTATACGTAGATCATGGTACACAGATTTTCAGACCTACTCAAAGACTGGCAGACTTTGCTGGCAAGCAGGTCTCTGTCCAGAATATTTTACTGATACTGTCTTATTAAAACGCTGCAGCCAAGAGTCAATACTACTCCCTTTCTCCCATCTGATCAATTTCCATATTTCAATTAGGAGAACCTAGAAATGTTTCCAGCTAGTGTTACACTTTGAAAATTTTCTTCCCTGGTCAAGCAGTGAACCAACCTAGTGGCCTTCAGGGCTGTCTTTTTTTTTGAGACGGAGCCTCGCTCTGTCGCCCAGGCTGGAGTGTAGTGGTGCGATCTCGGCTCACTGCAAGCTCCGCCTCCCGGGTTCAGGCCGTTCTCCTGCCTCAGCCTCCCAGGGCTCTCTTTTAATCAGGCTTTTACATTACAGCTGTAAGGTAAATTGAATGGGAAGACCATTAATTAGGATCACAGCTATGCACAATCACTTAGGTGTTGTAACCAGGATCTGTGTCTCACGACAGGACTACAGTGAAAGAATGAGAATCTGCTTATTAAACAAAACAAAACAAAAAACCAAAAAAAATCTTCTTCCATAAAATTGTGATGAGGTGTTCCTCTTCTTACAGCTTTTGGTAGGCTAGACAGGAATGGACTATTTTAGGCTTTCTTACAGCTATAGTTAAGAAAATCCCTCTGGGCACTTACTCTGTCCTCCTTCCTCTGTCTCAACACTTGTGTGCACCCAGAGTCAGGATGGCTTCATACAATTTCTAAAACAGTTCTTTAACACTGTACCGACTGCCAGAGATTTGGTGAACAACAGCTGCGGCAGATTTTGTAAGCTAAATGTCCAGTCCACCACTCTCCTGACTTGATATTTGCCAGAAGTAACCAAAGGGCTTCTCACTTCTTCATACCTCCACCTGTCTGTCAAAAGTCTCTTGCTTTGCGGCGCTTCACGTTACCTTGCACTGACCCTGAAGCTGTGCCCTCTGCTCACAAAGCCCTTGACTAGTGTGGTGACTGGAGTCTAAATTTGTGAATAGCATTTGGACATATCTTCTAAATGTTTTGTGTGTGAATAAAAGAATAATAGATACAAAATCATATGATCTCATTATAACCCTCTTGAAATATTCTCTCAGATCAACTTTTTTGCAAAAATATGTCAAGAAATGAAATTGAACAATTAGATTTTTTCTGACACTTTATGTTGTCCTTGTACAAGTCATAACTAAATGCTTAAGAGTCAGTGAGTATTTAAAGATAAGAGTAATGTGAAAATAAGTCCTGATATCATTTGGCTGTGTCCCCACCCAAATCTCACCTTGAATTGTAGTTCCCATAATCCCCATGTGTCATCGGAGGGACCCAGTCAGAGGTAATTGAATCATAGGGCAGTTACCTCTCTGCTGCGCTCCTGATAGTGAGTGAGTTCTTGAAAGATCTGATGGTTTTATAAAGGGGAGTTCCCCTGCACATGTTCTTTAGGCCTGCTGCCATGTAAGACATGCCTTTGCTCCTCCTTTGAGTTCAGCCATGATTGTGAGGCCTCCCCAACCATGTGGAACTGTGAGTCCATTAAACTTCTTTTTCTTTATAAATTACCCTGTCTCAGGTATGTCTTTATTAGCAGCATGAGAACAGACTAATACAAAGTGCTTTGTACGATTTAGCAATAGCCATGCTAACACACTACACTGCAACAGAGTTTAATGAAACGTGGTGTGATTTTTGGTAACCATAGGTGTAAAGGGGAGCAAACAGGCAAGACCATGGGATACAGCAGCAAAATGTGTGTACACATATGGTATGCTGGGGCACAAGACCTAAAATTAAGGCCTGATGTTATGTGTGCCTTGACACCTAGGGAGAACTGGGATGCCTAGGAAAAACTTGGGGGCCTAACCGCAAGTTCTGGGCCTTTCTCTGTTGAAAGTCCCCAGCTACACATCCTTCTTTGTCATGGAGACCAGCACAGTGCTTGCCTATCCCTGAATTAGAGGCTGCAGTTCCTGGCCAGCCTAGTTATTCAGACAAGCCAATCTCATCACTTACAGGAGGTAGGTCCATGCCACCCTCTTGTTACTACAGAGCTGGCCTTCCCCAGTCCTTGCTTTCTCACTGTCTTTCTTAACGCAGCCCCTGTGTGGTCCTGCAGGCCATGCAGTGTCCTCCTCTCCCAGGCTGTGTATACGTGTGACTAATTCACTGCTGCCAATCTCACCTGCCCAGTGCTGGGTGCTTTGAGTTCAGCCACCCCCATAACCCTCAGGTGGGAACCCTCCTTCCCCAGGGAGTGAAGAGGAAGTCATCAAAACTTGTGGATCTTCATGTATGTTTGTAAATTGAGATTCCACAGGTTTTTCTTATATACACATTTTCTCCTTGAACCAAAAGTTAAAATTTAGAATTTGTTACTAAGATGCTGTCTTTGTTCTTGTTTCAGAATTGTGTAAAGGTTGTTTCCTTGCAAGAATTGTGAGTGTTCCTTAAAGAGAACTGGCAGGGTCACACCTCCATGCTGCAGCCAAATGATCAAATGATAATTTTAAAGACTTTTTCATGAGGGATCCAATGATAAGAGACAGAGGAGAAATGTCCTGTTCTAAAAATTGTAGGGCACATAAGTAATGACCAATAAGTAGATAATTTGCAATGAGCGCTACATAATGCTTTTGTCTAAGATATTTCCTTGCAATAAAGTTGTCTTATCCATCAGATTATGAACTGATTTGTAATATGAAATAGTCCAAGGTTAAAATTCAACTACTCAGGCAAGCATGATTAAGTTGGAGTGATTTGAAGTGTGCCAGAAAATTCCACATGTACAAACATTTCTTACTTTGCTGACATAATGCCTGGAACTCCTACCATTATGTCAAATTCTTTCTGAATGATTCATTCAGAAAAACCCTGATAAAAGAAATATATCATCTAGTATAAGCAGTAAGTTGTTAAAAATTTATCTTTCATAGCTAAGTGCAGCATTCTCAGGGGAAGTTGTTGAGGAGAGAAGGATTTAATGTAAGTGAAGAAAAAAGAGAGAAAGGAATGTCATCTAGCATTTGTGGCTCAGGTGGGGATACTGTAGCTTGCCTGGCATGATGAGGTCAAAATCAGTGATGACTGATGTCACAGGTAAGAAGACTGCTAAAGACAAATGACACCCATATCCTAAGGACAAATTCCACATAATTACTCCTGGGCACTTAAAACACGTATTTGAAGTCAACTGTGTTTTAACACATAATAATATTAATATACCTAATAATATTAATATCATTGAATTATTGTGGGAATCAAATAAGACACCTTGTACAAAGCATCCTTTGCAATCAATTCTCAATAAAAGTCAGTTATGTTGTGCTTTTGAGTATCACTTGCACTACACATTAAAAACAATGAACTTTGTTTTTCTTTCTACAACTGAATCTTCTTCATTGTCTTTCTGTCTCCCAAGAGTGAGGGACAAATCTCTCTACTATCTTTCCACACCTACCTACGACCATTTATGTTTTGTCTAATCCAGTAACCTTGTCCCAAACCAATAATTTTAAGTATTTAAATGTACATCTAATTTTCTTTAGGTATTTAATTTATTGTGCATAAATATCCAGACTTTTAGTCACCTCTCAAGTCTTGTTCTCCCTTCCAATACGGTGTCTGCGTCTAAGGAAGGCAGGTAAGAGCTTCTGTGATTTCATAGAAGGGCTTCTTAATTCCACCCCTAGCCATCCTGAAAAATACACTTTTCATCTAAAATTTCTCAGCCTAATGGGATGATACACACATACTGATTCTATGTAATCTAAACCTCTAGACCTATTAAAGCTTTTCTTAAAGAAAAGTTTCATTGTTGAGAAATTCCTCTTTGCCAAAGTGTCTGTCTTTCAAAACCTATTCTTTCATTCAAAAGTCTACTTAGCACTGAGACTCATTTCCCCTAGTATCTCTGATCAGAATGGAATGATCCTCTCATCCCTGGAACAGTAAATCTGATGGCTTAGCCTTTACAGAAAGCTGAATGAAAACGTAATATGGAAAAACATAACCATAAACAAACAGGTTAGTATTTGCATAATTCATTGCTCTTGCAAATATTAATGCTTATTAACAATTATGATATTCAGATATACTCCCTGAGAAAAAAAAAGTAGCTGCTTTATATGAAAATGTAATGATTCAACTTGAAAAACCTCAAGTTACTGTCCTTCAAACCAGCAGTCAAGTGCATTGTCTAACCAAAAGCAGTATAAAACTTTAAAAAAGTCTAGTTGTGTGAATGAATCATAAATTTCTCAGGCCAGATGGTATTAAGTCATAGCCTGCCAAATATCTACATCATTTACAGTACTACAGTAAATGAAATTAGCACTAGTTGGCACTTTGAATTGTCAAGTGTTAATTTGCTAGACATTCACAATCTTCCTTATGCTTGCTGCATTATAGTAGCTGATTTTATAGGTACTGTTTTAAGAGTTTTAAGAATGTATTAACATGTTTTTCTCTGAGATCACGTTAGTCTTTCATAGGTATCTGAGTACCTCTTTAGAGATATACACAAACATGAAGTTACGGGGGGAAAACTTTGGAATGAAGACTCTGACACTTTGAATTTTCATGGTGGTTATGCTACCAACTTGTATCACTTGGGTCTGTCCCTTCAATACTCTGGACTCCAGCTCACCATAGGACATTAATGACCAGGGGAAGCTTCAGTGGTTCCTTTCAGGTATAGTATTCTGTGATTATGAAATTTTATTCTAAGGTTGATTTTGACTCAAGACCAGCCTTGTCTTCAAACATTTTTCTACCCCGTGTCTAAAATGTCTATTTGCTATATAAAAGGCTGTGGTCAGTGCCTTTTGCAGTTGGGCAAGCATGTCAAGACATAATTGAGATTTTATTTAAAAAATATATTTTTTTTCCTAGAAAACTCATGTACATGCAAAATCTTGCATCCTAACTTAAAGGTTTACAAAGTCCCTAAACTCCATATGTAGAGACTTACGGAATCATAAAAACCATGATAAGATACCTTTGGTCTCCTTGTGTGAGGCATTATTTAAAAGAACCTCCAGAACCTACACACACACACACACACACACACACATGCACAAACACACATTCTATGTGTACATATACATAGTATATGCATTCAAAAATATATATGTGATATGTGCAAAATTGCATACACACATATGCACTCTTCGATCAGTTATCATTGCTAAAGATTAGTCAGTGACTACCATCAGCTCAAGAATTTCCTTTTCGGCCGGGCGCGGTGGCTCACGCCTGTAATCCCAGCACTTTGGGAGGCCGAGGCGGGTGGATCATGAGGTCAGGAGATCGAGACCATCCTGGCTAACAAGGTGAAACCCCGTCTCTACTAAAAATACAAAAAAAATTAGCCAGGCGCGGTGGCGGGCGCCTGTAGTCCCAGCTACTCGGGAGGCTGAGGCAGGAGAATGGCGTGAACCCGGGAAGCGGAGCTTGCAGTGAGCCGAGATTGCGCCACTGCAGTCCGCAGTCCGGCCTGGGCGACAGAGCGAGTCCAGCCTGGGCGACAGAGCGAGACTCCGTCTCAAAAAAAAAAAAAAAAAAAAAAAGAATTTCCTTTTCACTATTCTATTAGTGCGTAACAAACAGTAGATAGCTTACTTTATGTGTTCATATCCTGGCACTGTTTTTGACATTCTACATAGATGAAGAGTAAACCTATAATACATCTGCATGTTGCGTATTGTTTTCCCCTGTAAACATATAGAAAACTCAGGAACAAAGATTTTCAGTGATGTTTCCTGTCCAAGGTCACCTGGTTAGAATATGACAGTTGAGTTCATAGCATAGACTCACTGTGACCCAGTGTCTTTTCTTCTCCATCACACTAGTATTTTTAGTTAGAGAAAACTAATGGAATGAACTTTTCTATTGCTTCAGTTCTCCGCAGATCCTATGAAGTAGGTTTGGGATAGGGAGCAGGTATCTATAGGATTTTCTACCTACCTGGTTATTCTGTCATACTGCAGAGCTACGGACTGAGTCTCTGGAGAAGGGAAATAGGATGGCAGGATGCCCAGTACCAGGAGGTATCTAGCAGGGCAGTTGAGAGGCTGTTCTACTGGAGAAGAAGCTGTCTTGCTAATGCAGCTTCTGGCATCTTGGGAAAGTATAGCATCTCCTCAGCAGTTCTGACTCATCCACCAAGCCTCCTGTTTTTCTCCTTCTGTCACCCATAAAAATCTGTGAGGGGTGTGTGTGTGTGTGTGTGTGTGTGTGTGTGTGTAGTTGGGGCCATGAAAAAAGTGACTTGGCCTCCAATATGAACTGTCCCTCCCTCTCAGCCAACCTAAGTGGCACTTCTAAGTGCAGGGGAATATGTATGTGGTTTCTGAGAGGGAGGATGAAAAAATTACTTGCTTATCATTAAGGGATAGGAAGCCAAATGAATCATCTCCTGGAGCTGCTTTCTGCTCTCAGAAGGATAGTTCCGGGTTTCTAGGACAGAAGTCTTGCTTTAGGCAGGAAACCTTGTAAGTTCTCCCATTTCTACTGGCCTTCCTGACAACTTGTGTATCTTCCTAAATTGAATATGACTATATATATAAAATTTTTATTTCACTTTTCTGTGCCTCTGTCCTTACTTTAGCCAAGTAGAAGAAACAGTAATTTCTTCTTGCAGGTATTAGTTTTTTACCATTAGATTTAAACTGGGAATAGAAATTATACATAGTTTAATCATTATCAAATATTTATGTGGCTTATGTAACACTAATGCTTTTAATTTATATTTCATCAGAAAGGGAATTGTTCTTATTTTTTACTCAAGAATTTTATGGCACTTACCAGGTACCAGTTAATGTTTCAAATATTTTACAAATATTAACTCATTGTATTTCCCACCAATCAGGCAGGAAGATCCTGTTCTTATCTCCAGGGGGAACTGAGGCACAGTTAATCTCACTATTATGCCCAGGCTCACACAGTGAGTCAATGGTAGGGCTGGGCTTCAAACCCAGGCAGTTGGGCTTCATTAGGTTTTACACTAATCATGAAATTGAGCACATCCCAATGGAAGTAGGAAACTGTGATAGGCAGAATGATACCCCCTCCAAAGATGTCTACAGCCTAATTATTCTTAGACACACAAATTGCTAGGTTCCATGGCAAAGAGGAATTAAAATTGCAGGTAGAACTCATGGTACTTAGTTACTTAGGTATATTAGTGTGTTCTCACACCTAAGACTGAGTAGTTTATAAAGGAAAGAGGTTTGATTGACTCATGGTTCAGCATGGCTGTGGAGGCCTCAGGAAATTTACAATCATGGTGAAAGGAGAAGCAAACACATCCTTTTTCACATGGTGGCAGCAAGGAGAAGTGCTGACCAAAATGGGGAAAAGCCCCTTATGAAACCATCAGATCTTTTGAGAACTCACTCACTATCATGAGAACAGCAGCATGGGGGTAACTGCCCTCAATTATTTTCCACCAGGTTCCTCCTAGGACAAATGGGGATTATGGAAATTACAATTCAACATGAGATTTACGTTGAGACACAGCCAAACCATATCATTAGGTGCTAACTAATGTTTTCTCAGTTGTCTTTGAAACAGGGGAATTAAACTGGATTAACTGGATTGGTCCAGTGTAATCACAAGGAGTTTTATAAATGAAAGAGAGCACAGGGAGGGTCAGAGTCAAAGAGGGAGATATGACAACAGAAGCAGAGGTCACAATAAGGTGGGACCACGAGACAATGTAAGCAGGAAGCTTCTAGAAGCTGAAAAAGGCAAGGAAAAGGATTATTCCCTAAAGACTCCAGAAGTAATACAGCCCTGCAGTCCTATTTTAGACTTCTAACGTCCATAATTATAGGATAACATGTTTTTCTCATTTCAAGTGAGATATTTTTTTTTAATTTGTGAGATTTTTTCTACAGCAGAAAATGAAATAAGACAAAAAAATTAATTATCTCCAAATGTGTTCAAGTTAAAAACATGAAACTCAAAGTTCAGGTTTATCATTTACCAGGTGTGTGAACCTGAAGCAATTACTTAATCTTTCGGAGTCTTGGTTAGCCTTTCTGTAGAGTGAAGAAAGGTGTATTTACTTTATATGATTATTAAAGCTGGGTTGTCACAAAGTAAAAAAAAAGGCACTGCCTGAAACCCAACTTTACTTTTTAAGTGAAAGTTTCCCTCTGGAATTGTGCAGAAGATTAAAATAGCTAGCATATGTACAGTCTTGTATGATTGTTAAAATAGATAGCAAATGCAAAGCATCTTCTCCAGAACACTGAAATAGAGGATATACTCAAATAATAGCTATGATGATGATAATTACTAATAGAACATTAGTGGATGATATAGGAATTTAATCAGAGAGCTAGGATACATGGTGAAAAGTATCTGTATTAAAGTGTTTTGGAAGCCAACTAGACTTCAAATTCAATTCCAATACACTCTAGTTGTATGATATGGAAAAAGTTTCTTTGTATGTTAAACCTTCTAGAAATGCTAAGCTTTTAAGGTTGATGGAGGTCTAGTAGAGTTGACATAGTAGGGTGCCTAGGATGTAGTAGGCACTCATGAAATGTTTTCTGCAGGATTATAATTCTCTATGTACTTCATGCCACAGTTAACTGTAGATATTACACAAAAAAACTCCCAACAACTATCCACTCTTTTAAGTAATGGCAACATTTTGGAATCTTCCACTATGGTCCCAATCCAGTATGGCTCTTATATATGTTATTTGTTCTCAATAATACTGAATATCTACTAGTATTCAAAATCAAAAAAATATATAGTGATTCTGACAAAACAGAGTGATCTACAGCTACATCAATAGCTGAAAAATATCACTAATATAGTACTGGAATTGGAAGTTGCAATGAAAAGTGACAGCCATTGTAGCCTGGTGCATATCTATCAATAGTTCACCTCATTAATACTGTCAGCTAATATTGATTTCAAGGAGAGTGATTATATGCTAAAATGACAGCTGCATAACTGATTCTGCTAGGGCAGGAAAAGCAGAATGAAAGTCAACTACCCATCCCTCCCATAGCACTTTATGAACGAACTTTCTGATCAGTACTATATTCTTGGCGTAAAGTTCACCTTGAGTTATTCACAATGAATAAAAGAAAAGTGATTTTAGAGAAACGTCAAAATTCATCTGTCCCCAAATTATTTATTTTTCTAGTATTTTGATATTATCTTATGAACAAAATTTTTACAACGAAGTAAATAATCCTAATTATATATTTATAAATGTCTCAAGTTCTTAAGTTTCATTCAGTGCTAATGAATCCACCATGTGACTCATCTCCCAATTACACTTAGAAGTGTAACAGATTTTGTTCAGAATGTTCAATTACTAGATGTTCATTTCAGTTTTGATACCTAGTGAACATTTCATCAGGGACCTGAAAAATGTCTTTGAATGAGGAGAATGTATGTCTCTGTAATCAGCATCATTTGATAACAATAATTAGAAATAACTAATGTTGATAAAAACAGCACAATGTCACTTTCCTATGAAATTGAGTCATTTTAGACTTCTTGACAATGAAAAAAGTCAGCTTTATTTTTTCTGGAATTTTTTAAAATTGTGGTTGTTCTTTTTAATAATGCCAAACTATTCTTTTAAAGTACTTTCATAATAATGAATATTTAATGTGTATAAATATGAAATGTGCGATATTGTCTATTAATTCAGCAATGGCTCCTTTTATAGGACTTCATTATCTATAGATGCATATGAGTGTTTATGTGTTGCAGTAACAGTAGTAGTCACAGACATAAAAACATTTGCACCATCACTCTATCCCACTCAAACAAAAAATAAACAGAAATGCAGGATAGTTATTTTTGTTTGCTCATTCTTAATGACCAATTTCTTTGATTATCCTGTGAACTCAAGACATTTACTGGCATGGTCATAGTTCCTTGTATAGAAATCATAATTAGCATTTACTTGAAATAGCAATGCAACATTCTAATTAGTATGACCTCTTTTCTAAAAACTATCTCTGTGAAGATCTTTCTGATGTGGTGGTTGTGTTATTACCCTCAACATTAAGATGACAGCAATTCCTAGTTAAAATACGAATTTCCTCTAAAATGAAGATTGAGGCTGTCAAGGTCCATTGATGTATACCAGCATTAGTGGCTAAAACCTCAAAGAGAAATTGAGCATTTAAATAGCCTCAATCATCTTCTTCCACAATTATATTAATAACTTAATAATTTTTATGCATGTTCATGCAGACTTTAATATTCTTCTCTGTAGGAGGTGAAGCTTACTGCACTCGCCAGTTCCCTGAGTGTAAGTTGGATTTACGGATAAGCTTCTAAGTACGGAAAGAGAAAAGCAGTAATTTTATAGTGGAGAAACATGGCAGTCATCAGCTTAATGAAGTGATCAAGGTTAACACCTCTAGTAATTACTCATGTTGATATATTACATGCACCTGATATGATGAGATGAGCACACAGAGCATGTTTGACACTCTTCCCCAAATCCATGATCTCACCTCAGTATAATCATTTAAAAAGTTAGACAAATCCAAATCTAGGGACATTCTACAAAATACAAGGTGACTTCCAAAAGTTTGTGAAAAAATAAAATTGAAAGATAAAAACGAAAATTATAAACTTAGTATCTCAACATATTCTCTATCAAGCTCAAGGTACTTTTTAAAACAATGATATCACTCATTTAGTCCACCTTTAAAGAACTGAGGGTCCTAGAATTTTAAACATGTCAATGCAGTCTAGTTTATATTATTTGCTGAAGAAAAATAAATGCCATAATTTTTTTTAAGATTAGAAAACAAAAAGAAGTCAGGAAAAGCCAATTCAGGACTGTAAGGTGTGTGCCTTATGATTTCCAATCAAAACTCTTACAAAATTTTCCTTGTTTGATGAGCACAATAAGCAGGAGCATTGTCATGGTGGAAAAATAATCTCTCGTGAAGCCTTCCCAGGCATTTTCCTGCTAAAGTGTTGGCCAATTTTCTCAAAACACTCTTATAATAATCAGATGTTATCATTATTTGACCCTCCAGAAAGTCATCAAGAAAAATGCCTTGAGTATCCCAAAAAACTGTTGCTGTAAACTTTGCTCTTGACTGGCCTCCTTTGTTGTGACTGGACCAACTCTACCTCTTGGTAGCCATTGCTTTGATTGTGTTTTATGTTCAGGATTGTATTGGTAAAGCTATGTTTCACCTTCCATTACAATTCTTCAAAAAAAAAAAAAAAAAGAGAAAATGACCTTGATTAAAATGTCCTGATTAAAATTGGGACCTTTATTAAAATGTCCATTGAAATCTCTTCTCTTGTTTGCAGATGATCTGAGTGTTTCTAGTAATTAGGAGTTTTTTCTTGAAAAGGGTGCATGTGTGTTTGTTCAGGAATTTATGCCAGGATAAAAACTATGCAAATTAACTCTATCTAGGTTACCAAATCAAAATAGTGAAAGGCTGGGGCTAAGTGAAGATGGTCAGAATCTATAAGGCACTGATAAAATAAAGAATGAAAAACAACCATGCCACCCAGGGAAGTCCTGTGAACTGAGAATCACAGAGGCTATTGTAGTTACCTACTATATAGTATAGGGGCCTGTATGGTGGTTTTAAGTAGAGCTTAACACCACATAGAAAATGGCTTGGAACCAGACGAGAGTGGAAAATATTTACCTTTCCATTTGAAAGTCAAAGAGAACTGAATTTACACAAAGAATGAAGCACAGCTGGATGTAAGTCAGAGCATATGTCCACAGGTCAGTTCATGACCTAGGTATGGAGTGGGGGATGGGTAATGAAGCTTGAATTAAAGGAAAAGGTCCAGCCAAATGTCACCTAGAGCTAGCTTTAATAAGGGTGCTTATCAATGGTGTGTCAGTGCATAGACTTGAAGCAAAAAAAATAGTATCCACTCAGGTCTCAATGCGACCAACTTAAATTTTCTCTTTCATTCTTTCTTTACCAGTAAAAATGTAAGTAAACATATTTCAAGACTTAAGAAAAACTATTAGAACATTCAAAATAGTTATAAAAAATAAGTACATGATTCATAGCTAGACCAGCCAGACACGAAACTGTTAGATTCTGAAAGACTGATAATAAAATATTGTCATGGCATTAGTCAGTGTGTGTAGAATAGGCTAATGCCCAGGTTAACTGGGGTGAATAATCAATGCAATATTTATGAAAACATATGTTTAGCAATAAAATTGACTTTAAGTTGCTTGTGTTAAATAATCTATATGGTAAAAGCATTTACATATTTGGCTGATATTCCTATTCCAATATTGTATTTTTTATTTGCCTACCTTTTCCTTTTTAATTTTTAAAGATAAAATGTCTTTAACACTTGCTAGCCAAATGATTCATGGTCATTACAAAAATTTCCAAAAACACAAGAAAGTAAAAAGCTGAAAAAGGAAAGTTGACTGTACATCTTCCCAGATACGATTTTATACTTATGTAAAGAGAAAAAGAGGGATGCATTGAAAGATCAAGAAATGGAATGTTGAAGTAACTGATGAACAAACTGGTTAGATAGACACAGTCAACAATAGAAGCAACGTATGTCATCTTAATTAAAGCATTTTTATTCAAATTAAATATTTTATAAAGCTAATTGCAAAACAATTTGCATATAATTGAAAGAGTTGCTGGATTTCATCCATTTGTTTCATCATCCTAAGAGTTATTAAATTTTAAGAGATTTCTCTAAGTTTAAGAAGAAAATCACAAAAATATCCTTATGAAATATTGGTCATAAAGCTTTGATTTTAAAATATTTTTGATTATTAATATTATATCCAATATTCATAATTAATATAATTAATTTTCTATAAAATATTTTTGTGTATTAATATTACATATAATATTAACAATTAATATAAGTAATATTATACTAATTATCTATTCTATTATATATTAATATATAATATATTTATATTCTAAACATGAATATATAGAATATTAAAATTATTATACATAATATATAATATACAAGTATTCTTTACAAGTATATATTAATATCATATATGTTTATGTATGTTAACAAATTTTATGTTAAAAATGTGAGAATTCTGTAAAAAATAAAAAAGTAATTATGTATAAATATATATTTTTATATTTATAATTTTATATTTATATTTAATTTTATATTTATATAATTGATATATAAATATTAATACTATTAATTTGTTAAGTTTTAATATGTAATATTTAACACATTAATAATACTGGTAAATATATAAGTATACTATACATTTATATAGTTTTATAATTGATATAATTATTATATATTAATTTTTTATATTTATTTGACCCTTTTAACATTAAAAATGTAGTTAGAATTATGTAAAATATGTAGAGATAAATAAAGAGAGAGAGAGAGAGAGAGACAGCTATGAAAGATAACAAAATTGTCCCACTAATTTTCCTTCTCTATTCCTTGAATATAATGTTTATGATTTTGCCTTTTCATAGTTTACAGCCTTTACATTGTGCTGTGTGGCCATGATTTCTACAATTACTTAGTCTTATTTATATCTAAAAATAAATTCAATATTTATTCCCAGTTTTTTCATGGATTCTGTATTTCTAAATTATTTTTAATATTTACCACTTTATTAATTCTATTGAAATTGTCTAGCTAATATTTTTGTTTATTTTTATTCGTTTCCCCTGAGACTTGCTAATTGTTTTTGATTCACTGAGTTATTGCATGTGTAAAAATGAATTTTTCAGCTTAGAATTAAAATCCTGAGATATCACTTCCTAATCCTTAGAAATTTCCCCGTTATTATGTCTTTCTTCTGAAACTGTGTGTTGTTTTAGAATGTATCAACCATTCGTTCATTCAATAAGTATTTTACTGATTGCCTACTATAGGATCTCAAGTTCCTTGTTCTAGGAACAAGAGGAAAACAATAAACCAAATACACAAAATCGTTTCACTTAGAGGTCACATTCTAAGGAAGGAAAACAAAAACAGATGAGTAAAAAGAACATCAATTTAGGTCATACATGATTAGCTCTTGGCTCCTGTCCTCTGCCTCACCACAATTCTCAAGCTGGACTTGGCTAATGTTTCTACCTTGAGTTGAAGGGTGAAGGGAGAGAGTACAAAGGTGTCCTAGGAAATCATAAGCAGCTCCTTCTCAGAAAGGGAACGGGCAGAATTCCCAGGCCCTCTTTGTTCTCCCAGCCCGACTCTCCAATCAAGCAAATGGTGGTCATCTGAACACAAGATTCTTGAGATGACTGCTCCTCTCCTGCAAGTCAGCACCCATAATCTTTCCTATCCATATCTAAGCTACAGCCTACATATACCATTAGGTGGCAACAAACTCTAACTGAAACCATGGCAGATTTGAAAACCCTACAAGACCCTACAAGATAGATAATAACAAATGTTGGAGAAGATTTTAAGAAGTTGAATCCTCCACACATTGTTGGTTGCAATATAAAATGGTACAGTCACTTTGGAAGACAGTTGAAAAGTTGTTGAAAACAATGAACATACAGTCACCATATGACCCAGAAATTTCATTTCTAGGTACATACCCAAGGAAAAAAAAAAGAAAAGAAAAAGGAAACATATGCTCCACAAAAGCTTTTATACAAATGTTCGTGGTGCCATTTTTCCTAATAGCCAACAAGTGGGAAACAACCCAAAGTCCATCAACTGATGAACAGATAAACGAAAGGACTGAGACACACTATAATGTACGTGAACCATAGAAACACTGTGCTAAGTGAAATAAGCCAGTCATAAAAGGCCAGACATTGTATAATCCTGTTTATTTGAATATTTCCTTTGTTTTCTTGCTTTCATTAAAATGTGTGCTTTCCTTGAAGATACAGTTTCTCCATCTAATATTTTGTAGAAGCTGTTTAATTTCACTTTTCTGAAATAGCTTTTCTACCACTGGGTCTGGAAGTAGCAAAGACATTCTTTGTGTTCTTCATTGTCTGTTCTAGGCTCTTCTTCCTCCATCGTCCGTAAATAACACCAAGAGTGAATCTCCTGTTATCAGATTACATCATCTATCTTCCATCTTTGGTTCAAATATCTTATTTATTACTTCTCTGCCTCTTCAAACTTAGTTTAATTGATGAACATATTAACTAGCATAAAATTGTCATGTAAAATTCTAAATTAATCACTTAGTTTCCAGGAATTGGTGTGTGTGTGTGTGTGTGTGTGTGTGTGTGTGTGTGTGTTTTGTTCGTTCCTTTGGTGGGGGATGGTGTCTCCCTGCATCCTAAACGCATGCACACAGATGACTGAAATAGTTAAAGAAAAAGCCTTGTGATCACCTTAGTACTAGACTACCATGGGTAACACAAGAATTTTACACAATTAATACTTCCAGAGTGTTCCTAAGGTTCTGTAGCAGACATCTGTCCAGCATCATGTAATTGAAAGTAAGGATGTCAGATGCTCATTTATCCTACAGGACATCTTCTGCTCACCCAGACAAGAGCTACGTAAGCCACTGTCATTCTTTCTTAACTCAGAAGGAAGGTAGGACTGGCAGTCTAAAACCTGTTTGCTTATTGTTTGTTTAGTTCCTACTAAATGTCAGGTGCTTTTCTAAGATTAGAGAATATTAGATCATTTCATCATAACAATATGATATCCATTTAAATGTTGAGTTAATTGAGATGCTGATTAATAAAGTTACTAAAGACAAACAGCTAGCTTCCAGGAGAGCAGGGACTTCAACACTGTAACCTAATTCCAGATGTCTCCTTTGTAAATAAAATGTGTCCTGCCTCCCAGACATGGTGAGGATGAGTCCATGTACTTTTAGCTCTACCAAAGAAAAAATTCTTCTCTAAGTACATCAGAGGCCACAGAGATCATGAAATGCAGTGATGAAAAAAAACATTTCTGAGACTCTAAGAGCCCTAATTTCATTTCTTATAAATCACTTGTATTTCATAGTTGGGTTTTTCAGGACTCTTGATTCCTACGTTTATATTTCTGGGATCAGCTAATATGTGGTAGATTTATAGAAGCTGGAGACCAGGGCTATGTATAGTTTCTGATCCACTGAAGTGCTTTTGGTGGCTTTGTGACATCATTTTACTCATGGATTTATGATGAAGGAGATCACAGTGGGCAGGCACCCAATTGCCAGTGGTGTTACAGGTGGGCAGTAATGATGCCCCACTCCTGTCTTGGGCAAACTTCTTAATGTTTCTCCATCATGAATGAAAGTCTGAATGTTACTGGCACTGACAGACACATTCTGGGATAAGTTTCTGTCTCCCAAGTCATACCAATGTCCACTCCCTCTTTGCATATCATTAACCAAATATGAAAACTCAGCCCTGTACAAACCACTGAAGCATTTGTGAGGGATGTTGCAATGGGCTGGCTGCTGACCACATACTAGCCATTGCAAGTGCCTAATGGATGGTATCAAGACCAGAATTCATTAGGCCATTTCAATCCAAGACTTACAATATTGGTTGTGTTGGGTTCCAAGAAGTTCCTTGAACTCAGGTCTGTCCACTGACACACCATGGGCTGGCAATCAAACAAAGCTTGTCTGAGTCACACTTGGTGGGACTATTGCCTTTCATTCCAGCCTTATCCTCCTGTCCTCCTCATGCCTACATAGAATTGGCTTCTGGACTTGTGCCTCTCCCTGTTCTAACTGTGCCTTCTTTCTTTGGGGGTGGATTCAGCTTCTCTATCTTCATCCTTAGAGGGCTGCATAGAGGTTTTACACTTTTGCTTTTAGTTGAAGATTCTGATAGAGATGAAAGGCAAGAGAAAAGAGGAAATGGGCCACTGTATGACCAAAAGTGGTGGGCACCAGCAATAAAGTTACTAACATGATTTAATTGGACCAAATAATTTCCTTGCTTCTGGTAAAATTCATTTTTTTCTTTGACTGTGGATAAGAAGGGCCTGTCTGTCTGTTTATAAATGTAGTTAAGGAAAACTTCCACATTTCTGGAAAAACCCCAGCTACAAGTCAAAACTAATCGAAGGACATCAACATGAGATTTCCTGTGACTTGGCACAGTGATGTGTATTCCCTAGAGGCCTGTTATGTTTGAATTAACTTAATCATGCTTTATAAAAATACCATATAATTTTCATATGTGATAATCTGGCAGCATTAAAAATATTACCGTATATTTTAAGCTAATAAATCTCTTAGGCTGATAATAAAAATCAGCCTCTTATACAATGATTGATAAAACCACAAATAGTATTTCAATAATCATTAAAAGACAAAGTATTAAGATGATTTTCCTTCAGCAGTAGTGTGGTAAATAAATGTTTTGTGGTAAATAGACAACGTATATTTCTACATTCTAGAAAGGTGAATTATTTTAAATTGACTAGTAATTTGAATTCCACATATCTACAGAAAATATTCAACAAGGTATACACAAAATAATGCTCAAGAATTGATCTCAATATTCCTTAAGTTATGCAAAATCATATCAATCTTTTGGAGTAATGTCAACTTTATGCTAATTTACAAGCACTACACAGGAGCTTATTAGATTTTATAAATGGCTCTGAAAGGAAGTATATATTGCTCTGAAGGAACAAAACATATTTTCTTCCGTAATAAATGCAAAATATACTCTTGGCTAAAAACTAAAACCTGGTAACAGAATTTAAATTACGACTGTGTGCTCTTTATAAATTTTCTTTCTAAATATTATGATTTTTAACTTACATCCTAAATAAGAAATCATGTGGATGATTTTTAAAAATATTTAATATTCCATTGTGGGCTAATTACTTAGTAATAAAGACTGACAGTTTTCCTAGGAGAAAAATCTAATTAGACTGAGTTGACTGCCAAAGAGATGGCTCCACAAGTAAAGTCACTTTATTGGTAATGCTATGCAAATTGCCACAAAGAAAGTAGCAATCGAAGGGCTAATTTCATTGTTACATCAACATGTGTGAACAAAAGAGCTTTACAATTATCCTGGCTAATAAACTTAAGGGAAAGTTTGTGGCATGTATTTTGTGATTCTGATACTTGACAGGGCTATAAAGTCCAGAGTTAAATCAATCAGCTCAGTCAATTAAAAGAAAATAAAATGAAACAAATTGTTCTTTGAGTGAATTTTCCCCTTGTTTACTTGTTCTTTACCTTCTATGAAATCAAATGAACAAAACTTTGTATAGATTTGTCTTTATGTGTTACTACTTCATTACTTCAGCAATTGAATGTGGCTTTAAATGAAATGGATTTAATATGTATTATAAGAAATACACCTTGTGGTATATCTTAAATCACCTGAGATCTCTTAAAAATGCTTAGAGGCATAGTACTCATAAAACTTAAGACAGAAGATAAATGTTGGTCAACCAGATATTTATTTATTTATTTATTTGCTACATTTACAACATGTTAACAATTTTCTGGCTGGGCATGGTGACTCACACCCGTAATCCCAGCACTTTGGCAGGCTGAGGTGAGAGGATCCCTTGAGGCCAGGAGTTTGAGTCCAGCCTGGCCAACATGGCAAGAGCCCGTCTCTACCAAGAAACAAAAAACAAAACAATAACAACAACAAAAACAGTTTTCTATGCTTCTAATTAATTTATAGAAGTCTTTGTATAGCCTAAACTTTATATTAACTTAAGGCTTGCTATGTGACAAAGCATATTTAATCATTAGGAATTATCATAAAAAATGGAGCAAAGCTCCCTGAACAATAACAGCCACTACTGCTTCTGTGATAGTCATTCTAATTCTTGATCTTGAGTCAAATCAAGGAAAGAAGCTCACATAGGCTCACTTTGTTAGATCTTCAGTGTTACAAGTTAGCTTAAGGAGCCCTCTGAGGACATGGACAAGCCTGTGTAAATAGAATGAGTCTAATGTGAACTCTGAAAATCCGAGATAGTTCAGCCTCCCTTCAGAGTGAGGTTTGCTAAACACTGAATACCAGAAATGGCAGGACCAAAGGTTAGGCACTTCAGAGCTCTGGAAACCACAAATAACCTGAGTCTACCTCTGTTGGTATTACAGGCTTCAAGATGAAACCAGAGTAAAATTCAATTTTATATAACTAAAAGAGGTTAGAAAACTGTACTTTCTTGATTCAACCATTATCTTTGATTCACTGCACAACTACTAGTTCCAGGCAGAAATCATGTAATGGGATACTGGAAATATTCATTCTGTAACCCGTATAGGTAACTTTAGGCCCTCTCATTTGGTCCCACAAATCTGAAACATTGGCATTTATTTAATGCTTGGTATAAAAAGTCATAGGGCTGAGAAATGGCAGTATTGTAAGAATATCTGGATTTACAGAATCAAGAAAAAGCCTTTACACCGGAAATGGCAAGACAAGAGTTAGGCACTTTAAGGCTATGGCAACCATTAATATGATGAGCTCCTCTCAAAAACAGTGAGAAATGAGCAGGATGCCTAACCTTCTTTAATGAAAGGTTTAATTATGATATCTTCATGCATCTAATGTTTTCCTGCAAAAAAATAAAAGTATAACAATGTGCTATTTTTGAAAAAAAAAATTGTCTTGGTGCACCTGCTACAAATCTGAAGGAGAGGTGTCTTAAACAAAACAAACATAAAACTGGCCTATCAAAAGAGGTGAGATTAAAATTAATGGTCTCTCTAGATCACATTTTATTAAAATTTAAGAGAAGATTCTTAGTTATTTGTTTACATTCCTTGCCACAGCAGATTCATAACCAAGTACTATCTGCCCTACATTTGAAATGTGCTCGAAACCCTCCTCCTCTCTCCACTTCCCATGCCGCCACCTCGGTAGAACCCTCCTCAATTCTCACTGAACTCTCAATAGCCTGCTGACTTGGCTTTTTCCACTTTGGGTGCCTCACATTCCTCATAAGAGTTAGAGTGACTCGTTTCATCTGAAGTAATACCAAATTACTCTTCTACTTAAAACGTTTCATAAGAGATCACAGCACCTAGAATAAAAACCTAAAAGTTATCCCTTAGGACACTCAAAGCCCTTTGCTGAGGAGCAGCCCCTTGCCTGCATCCTCCAGCTTGTCTCCTATAACTTTCCAGGAATGAACTAGCATCCAGCCACACTCCGGCTTCCTTTCTGCTCCTTGAATATCCTCTGCTAGTTCTTGACTCATGGTCTTCTCCGTAGTTCCTTGTGCCCCAGTGCTTCCTGGTTCTCTTTGGGTGAACTTGCATCTTCTCATCTTTCAGATCAGGATGAAACACCCACTCCTTGCAGGAGGATTTCTTCTAGAATTGTCCCATCTCCTCAGTAGAGATGGGACAATTCCCACTCATAAAATCCTGTTTATTCTTTCTACATAAGGTTTCATGCCCTTAAATTGCATGAGTAGGAAGTAATACCTCAAGACTATTCTCCATTGTTTTTGTATGATCTTATTTTTAATTTAATGTATTTGTAATTTTCTTTTATACTTTTGGTATGCATCTACTTAGTAGTCAATATCTAACTTAATTTCCTCCCCCAAATAAGCAATTGTTCTTATATCATGTAGCAATGATACATCAATTTTCATTTAACATAAAATTTAAATTTAGTAAGTATTTGATTCAGATATATTCTTATTTCTATTTCCGCACTTTTCATTCTATTTCACTGATTATTTTTCTTTGTGTTATCACTGGTACACTGCTGTTGAACAAAAAGTAATTTACAATAATTTCACTTTCTGATGGGATGATAAACTTCTATTCACTCTTTTTTTCTTCTTGATTTTTTTCTTTTTTTCAATAGGAAATACTTTTTAATTACCACTTACTTTTCCAGATGATTTTAAATACATATTATCCATTCTTCTTCCTTACAGCACATTAATATACTGCTTATCATTTACATATGTAAACACACATATATATACCACATACATATATAGCAGGAAAATTTGGATAGATTTAACAATATTGAGCTATCTCTTCCAGAGGCATGCTGTATCTTATTTGTTATATTTACTACTAGAAATGTTACAATATTTTGAATTATGAGTATGACTGGAGTTTCATAAACTTTAATAATAATGTTTATATGCAATAATAATAATTATAAATTATTACTATAAAATAATATATAAAATTTATTATTATAAAATAATAAAAATAATTGCTGTTTATATGCAATATAATTATTCTTACATCATCTCATTTCACAGAAATTTGTTGTTTACCCATTAGTTCTAAGTTTTAAACTGAGTCTTTTTTTGTATCCAGCCATATTGACTGTAAATAATTATATTTTGTATTATTCAAGTCTGACTTTTTTTTACTAAGTGGACTATATTTATTCTTCCCCTGAAACAGGGTCTCTCTCTGTTGCCCAGGGTGGAACACAGTGGGGCAATCAAAGCTCGCTGCACCCTGGAACTTCTGGGCTCAAGCAGTTCTCCCACCTCAGCCTTCTGAGTAACTGGGACTACAGCCACCATGTCCAGCTAATTAGAACTTTTTTTTTGTAGAGACAGGATGTCATTATGTTGTCGCAGGCTAGTCTCAAACTCCTGGACTAAAGAAATTCTCCCACCTTAGCCTCCCAAAGTGCTCAGACTACAGTGGGTTCACAGTGGTTCACAGTGGGTGTGAACCACTGTGCCCAGCTGAGGACTAGATTTTTAAAACATTAAAGAATCACAGTGTTGATCCTTACCTTGTGGATGTACTTGAATATTTTTCTGTTGAATATAATTTTTAGAATTAGCTGGTTTCTTATAAATACATGCTTAGGAAGTGCTCTTTTATTTATAATTTCCTTAAATTAAAAAATATAATGGCTAATATTGCTAATCAAAATTTGTAACATATAATGATGGATTAACCAGTTTTCTTTTCACATTGTTAATATAGTAAATTTTGATTAATTACCTAAAATTGAACCAATCTTGTCTTCCTGAAACGAACTCTACTTTTTCTTTTGATGTTATTCTTTAATGTTCTAGATTTTATTTACAAATGTTGTTTAAAAGTTAGTGTATATATATATATATACTAACCCAGCTAATTTTTGTATTTATAGTAGAGATGGGGTTTCACCGTGTTGACTAGGCTGGTCTCAAACTCCTGACCTCAGGTGATCTGCCTGTCTCAGTCTCCCAAGGTGCTGGGATTACAGGCATGAGCCACCATGCCTGGCCTAAAACTTTTATATTTACATTTAAAAACAAATATGCTATGTTTATGTATTTATCATATTTGGAAGCTAGGCTTATGGCCTAAAATGAAGTGAGATGCTTCCCAAAGCATAGTAGTATAACATAGTAATAATCTGTTACTTGAAGGTTGGTTTATACTTGCCAATGAAGCCATATGGACCCCACACTTCTGTAATGTATATCCCCAAAAAGTCTGAATTTTTTCTATGGTCATTGATGCATTTAAAATGTCTGACTTTATTGACTCCATTTTAATAATTTGTGGAGAAAACATGTATTTGTTCTGGACTTACAGGTTCATGACCAGCTGGTCATAAAAATACTCTCAGAAGGGTACTGATCTCTTCCATCAGTATGGTTAAATCTCTTTCTTCCTATTTGTAGTTCTTGTTGTCATGAGCATTTCTACTTTATTTTCAAAGCACCAGCATTTAGCTTTAAATATCAGTTCTATTTTTAACTCTAATTTATTAATTTTAACTGCAATTTTTATCAACGCCTTCCTCTTTTAGCTTACTTAAATTTTTATTTTTCTAGCTCTTAAATTAAACTGCTTATGTACTTTAAATACTGCCAGGTAACAAAATCATTTTCTAAATAATAAAATGGTTAAAAACATTCTTCATAAGCATTATAGACAGTGTTCTCGTTTCTGTCATTTCTAAATTTTTATAAGATTCTTTTTATTTTAAATTTTAAAATGCCTAACAATTTTAGTTGTGGCTGTTATTGTTAATATCTAATTTTATTTCATTGTGGTTACAGCATGCGGCTTTAAAGATCTCTATTTTTTGCAAGTTTCATTGTGGCTAAGTACATTTTGTACATAAATTAAATTTATGCACATATCATTTGACCTGGTAATTCAACTTACAGGAATGTAATTTTTTTATGAGAAAATAATAGATTTGTATACAAGTAAATTTATTATACATTAATTATACAAGAAAAATTGGTAGCAACCAAATTGTCATACTATCCACGATTTTTGGACAGCTATGAAGAGACATGCTTTTAAATAAAAGTCAAGCATCTAAGAATTCCCAAGGATCTATCTGAGAAATAGTCATTGAAAAGTATATGAAGCAACATATTCTGTAGATAAATAAAATTATTTACATACACACAAAAATGACTGATTCAAATACATCTCAAGGCTAACTATAATTGTTTTGCATAGGGTTTTGTATGTTTTGTGTCTCACCTTACTGATTTGGTTATAAGAAAACACTTTGGGCCAATAAATATCTAATGAACTCTATAGAGTTGTCCTCATGCACCAAGCCACAAAATCCAAACACCAAGTTTACTAATTCAATCAATAAAGGTGTCATTAGCAGGGTTTCCTCAACTCCAGCCTTGGATGGCAACATTCAATCTCCAAATGTTAAAGACTTGGAATTCCTAGTCAACACTATTAGAAATCAAACCTAATTAGGAAAAGCTACTCAAAATTATAGTAGATGTCACTCAGTATTGCCATTTTAAGTTTCATATTTGATGCCTTTTTATCCAAAAACAAAAACAAAATTCACAAAATGTGGATGGGCAAAGGGAAGGCTTTGCAGCGAGACCCAGCCCAGTGTGGCATTCTCAAAGGTATTTTAGCTCACAGCTATGAGCTGTGGTTTTTAATGTACCTTTGTTGGGAAATGATCAGGCACAAAGAGCAAATACCAGAATTTTATTAAAGGATTATTATTGGGTTTTGAGGCATACAAACAAAACAGGAGTTCATATATAATCTCCACATTTCCCAGAATATTATGACCCTGTCCTTGAGGATGAAAGTGAGGACATTTCGGGAAGCTTAGATATTGAAAAGAAAAGTCTTAAAAGATATTATATTAAAGTTAAAGTGACTAGAAGTAGATAAATATTCTGAAAACATATTTGATATGTCTCAAGAATCCTAGAGATTATTTCTCTAAGTTTGAAATAGGTTAATAACTCATTTTTCTGTTATTTTCCTATGATATTAGCTAACTTTGTGGATATTTGTCTCTATGCATATAAATGTGTAGTATCTATCTAGCTATCAGTCTATTAAATGGAATCTTATAACACTGAATTTTGTAGGTCAAAAATTGTCTGTTATCAGCAATTTTATATGATTAATATAACAAACATAAGAGAAGTTGTGTCTTATACAAGACTGATCTTTCGCAGACCAGCCTCTGAGAAAAGGAGTTGTCCTCCTTTAAATACCCCAAGAAATTGACTAAAGTCTAGTACCTATAGAGTCATGCTCAATAACCATGCTGGATCCCAGCTCACAACCATATCTTAACCTGCACAGATGAACACTGAGCTGACAAAAGGGCACTATCATAACTCAGTCTCTGATCGTGTCAGGGAAGAGCCTGCTGCATCCATTGCACTCAAACCCTAATCTAGCACACTAGGGCTGGAGTTAAATTCTTGCCATGTTATATTGCTATTGTATCCTAGTGCCTGATGTCACTAGGAGAGGAGGGACCAACACTTCTCTACTTATGCAGTTTAAACTCTCCACAGTCCAGGATTTGAGATGCATTTATTAGAATCCAATGTCCTGACAGCTTTCTGTGTCATCCTAGAATGAATGGGTCTCTGGGGGTCAGTGTGTATGTTGTTGCTACAGATCTTACTCTATTAGCTTCTATACTGCCCCAGAAGGTCTGGTATGTGCTGTCTGTCCTGTATGTACATTTATGCTTGAACTTTGCACTGACTTGACTTAATGCCCAACAAGTACAAGGAACCTTACCAAGAGTGATGTTGGGACTTGGGAGATGTTAGTGGTAAAACCAAATTCTGTGTACTTTCTGTATCCAAAATACCTATAGTCTATTTTGGGAAGAAAAACATAAATATTAACATTAAAAATAGTAAATCTATAAGCAATGTCAGAGAGAATAATATAATCATAATTTGAAAGCTACAGAAAAATGCATGCATAAGGAATGATGAAAAGAAATCATTGGCCTAAAAGAGTCAAGAATGGCTTCAACAAAAATAAATTTGGTCTGGCTAGGGGATTGTAGATAGAGAAAATAGTGTTAAAAGAGGCATGGAAATGATAAAGAAGAAGAATATATTCAAAAAATAGTGATTCAAAATTTTTGTTTGGAGTGCATGGCTCACAACAAAATACAGTGGGAGATCAGGATTAAGAAGAACATCAGGGCGAAACCACATTTACTTCAACCAACCCATTGGTTCTCTGTTGAAATCCATCCCTTGAAGTCTTAGAGAAAGACAACACTGATGAGGAGGGGCCTCATCAGTAAGATGTAAGATGAGGACTCTGCCCATATTACATAGCATGCCCAGAGACTCTCTATTTGATCCCTGATATGGTTTGTCTCTGTGTCCCCACCAAAATCTCATCTTGTAGCTCTCATAATTCCCACGAGTTGTGGGAGGGACCCACTGAGAGATAACTGAATCATGGGGGTGGGTCTTTCCCATGCTGTTCTCGTGATAGTACATGAGTCTCACCAGATCTGATGGTTTTAAAAACTGGAGTTTCTCTGCACAAGCTTTCTTTTTTGCCTGCTGCCATCCACCTAAGATGTGACTTGCTCCTCCTTGCCTTCCACCATGATTGTGAGGCCTCCCCAGGCATGTGGAACTGTAAGTCCAGTTAAACCTCTTTCTTTTGTAAATTGCCCAGTGTCGGGTATGTCTTTATCAGCAGTCTGAAGACAAACTAATACAGTAAATTGGTACCAGTTGAGTGGGGTGTTGCTGAAAAGATACATGAAAATGTGGAAACTACTTTGGAACTGAGTAACAGGCAGGGGTTACAACAGTTTGGAGGGCTCAGAAGAAGACAGGGAAATGTGGGAAAGTTTGGAACTTCCTAGAGACTTGTTGAATGGCTTTGCTGAAAATGCTAATAGGAATATGGACAATGAGTTCCAGGTTGAGGTGATCTCACATGGAGATGAGGAACTTGTTGAGAACTGGAGTAAAGGTGACTCTTGTTATGTTTTAGCAAAGAAACGTGGCATTTTGCCCCTGTCATAGAGATTTGTGGAACTTTGAACTTGAGGAAAATGATTTAGGGTATCTGGCGGAAGACATTCCTAAGCAGCAAAGCATTTAAGAGGTGACTTGTGCGCTGTTAAAGGCATTGAGTTTTAAAAGGAAAACAGAGGATAAATGTTTGGAAAATTTGTAGCCTGACAATATGATAGAAAAGAAAATCCCATTTTCTGAGGATAAATTCTAGCCAGCTGCAGAAATTTATAAAAGTAATAAGGAGGAGAACGTTAATCCCCAAGACAATGGGGAAAATGTCTCCAGGGCATGTCAGAGGTCTTCATGGCAGCCCCTCCTGTCACAAGCCCAGAGGGCTAAAAGGAAAAAAGTGGCTTCTTGGGCCCAGCCCAGGGTCCCAGTTATATGTGCAGCCTAGGAACTTGGTGTCCTGTGTCCCAGCTGCTCCAACCATGGCTGAAAGGGGCCAAAATAGAGCTTGGGCCCATGCTTCAGAGAGTCCAAGCCTCAAGCCTTGGCAGCTTCCACGTGGTGAGCCTGCCAGTGCACAGAAGTCAAGAACTGGGATTTGGGAACTTCCACTTAGAATTCATAGCGTGTATGGAAACACCCGGATGTCTAAGCAGAAATTTGCTGCAGGGGTGGGGCTCTCATGGAGAATGTCTGCCAGGGCAGTGCAGAAGGGAAATGTGGGGTCGGAGCCCCCACACAGAGTACCTACTGGAGCACTGCCTAGTGGAGGTGTGAGAAGAGGGCCACCATTTTCAAGACTCCAAAATGTTAGATCCACTGACACCTTTCACCGTGCACCTGGAAAAGCCGCAGACACTCAAATCCAGCCCATGAAAGCAGCTAGGAGGGAAGTTGTACCCTGCAAAGCCACAGGGGTGGAGCTGGCAAGACCATGGGAACCCACTTCTTGCATCAGTGTGACCTGGATGTGAGACATGGAGTCAAAGAAGATCACTTTGGAGCTTTAAGATTTGACTGCCCTGTTGGATTTTAGGCTTGCATGGGGCCTGTAGCCCTTTGTTTTGGCCAATTTCTCCGATTTAGAATGGCTGCATTTACCCAATGCCTGTACCCTCATTGTATCTAGGAAGTAACTAACTTGCTTTTGATTTTACAGGCTCATAGGCTGAAGGGACTTGCCTTGTCTCAGATGAGACTTTGGACTGTGGACTTTTGAGTTAATGCTAAAATGAGCTGAGATTTTGGGGTACTATTGGGAAGGCATGATTGGTTTTGAAATGTAAAGATATGAGATTTGGGAGGGGTCGGGGGCAGAATAATATGGCTTAGCTCCATGTCCCCATTCAAATCTCATCTTTTAGCTCCCATCATTCCCATGTGTTGTGGAAGGGACCCAGTGGGAGATGATTGAATCATGGGGGCAGGTCTTTCCCATGCTGTTCTCGTGATAGTAAATGGGTCTTATGAGATCTGATGGTTTTAAAAATGGGATTTTCTCTGCACAAACTCTCTTTTTTGCCTTCTGCCATCCACCTAAGATGTGACTTGCTCCTCCTTGCCTTCCGCCATGATTGTGCGGCCTCCTCAGCCATGTGAAGCTGGAAATCTTATTAAACTTCTTTCTTTTGTAAATTGCCCAGTCTTGGGTATGACCTTATCAGCAACATGAAAATAGAATACAATCCCCCAAACTACTGGAGCACATCACCATATTCTTTGTGCAGAAACAAATACCAGTGGCATGGACTCCTTCACTGGACACCATGGCCTACCCTAACAGGCCCAGGTCCATTTTACTTTTGATTTCTATGACATCCTTCTTCCTGCTTAATAATTCTTCAAAAGAAAAAGGAATAGAAAAAGTTAGGAAGCAAAGTGCATATGAAAGAGTTTTCTCATACTGAAAAAGGACTTTGGATTTGAAGTGTCTCATGATGTGCTTTAGCAAAAGCTAAAATAAAGGGAAAATCTTCTCTCTCCAAAAAGCTAACCTTGAAAATCTAAAGTCAGACCCACTATTAAAAGGGGTCACTGAAATTATTCTGTCTTTATATTTTGTTCCTTTTACCAAAGTTAAACTATTTTAACATTTGTTTAATGAATCTAGAAGGAAACCTGAAAATTGTGTGGTTTTGTTCTCCTGCAAGGTAAATCCCCTAGGATTTCTTTGTATTAGTCCACTCTCTCATTGCTGTGAAGAAATACCTGAGACTGGGTAATTGAGAAAAAAAAGAGGTTTAATTACTCAATGGGTCCACAGGCTGTACATAATGCTAGTATCTGCTCAACTATGAATTCTGCTCAACTTCTGAGGAGGCCTCAGGAAACTTACAATCATAGTGGAAGATGAAGGGGAAGAAGGTTCCTCTTACATGGTGGGATTAGGAGCAAGAGAGAGAGTGGGGAGGTGTCACACACTTTAAAACAACCAGATCTCACCAGAGCTCACTATCACGAGAACACCACCGAATGGGAAATCCACCCCCGTGATCCAATTACTTTCCACCACGCCCTACATTCAACTTTGGGAATTATAATTTGACATGAAATTTGGGTGGAAACCCGGATCCAAACCATATCACTATTTATTTAAATATTTTACGTAGTATTAGCAAGGGTTTTTTTTTTTTAGATGTCTTAGTTTGACTATTATTGAAAGTTAGTAGCTGAGTCATTTGGGGGTGGCTTCATTTCATAGTGAGTATTTAAAGCCTATCTAGATGCTCTATATGAATGAATTTTAGTCTTCACTTTATATCACAATTCACAGAGCTTTTAAAAGTTCCAAAGCCCCAGCCTGGTCTGAGACAATGATATCAGCACTTTTGGGGTGGGATCCAGACAGTGAATTTGTTAAAGTTCCCCACAGCCAGTGTGCAGCCAAAACCAATACTACATACCATGCTCTTGGATCAGAAGAATTAACAGCATTTAAAATTGCCATACTGCCCAAAGCAATCTACAGATTCAATGTAATCTCTGTCAAAATACCAACATCATTTTTCATAGAATTAGAAAAAAAAATTCTGAAATTCATATGGAACCAAAAAGGAGTCAAATTGGCTAAATTTCTTATGCCTGAAATACAATCTATACTCTTCCTTGGCACCAGGACACTATATTGATACTTTAGAAAATGTGTGTGTAAATCACAAAAGAATTTTGATCAATTTGTTATGAGACTGCACAAGATAGCAGTCAGACAGGCTCCTTGCTCTGAAAATCATCTACCAAAAAGATTGACATGGTCAACATTTTTAAAAGTAGTTTTAAAAAAGGTATTTTTACTGTCTTGTCTCCTGTGGAATAAGTGATTTATATGATGTAGTGTGGGAGATTTAAACATTCACTGTTCCTACAATTTGTGCACATTAAAATATACACTGCAAAGTCAGGCAGAGTTCTGTAGAGAGAATACTAAGTTGGTGAGCTTCAAGAACGTTGTGTTTCTATAGCACCAGAGCTAACCACCACAAATTTCTCAATAAAATAATAAATCTGTTGAAGCATTTGAAACTCTATAAAAAGTAAAAATAATATGGCTCAGCTTATACTAGGCCAGTTTAATAATTTACATGTCACTTATCTTTGTAATTCCAAGTAAATTGTGATATAGTTATTCCATTTTAAAATTTATAGCAAGTAAATCAAGTTTATAAATAATAAAATTATTAATTTGTAAATCAAAGCAAAAGGCTGTATTTAAAGGCAACAAAATGTTGGAGCTAAGCACATAGTCTCTGGTGGTAGACACCAATAAAAAATCCAGAATCAACCACTAAATAGCTGTGGAAAATTACACAAATTATTCAGTGTCTCAGGACTTTGTTTTACTTATGCTTATTATAGGAATAATAATATCTGCCTCGTAAATGCTTTTTAGGCATTAAATGGGATAGAATGTGTGAAGTGCTTAGAATAGCACCTAACGATTATTTTTAAAAACACGCAAACGATGTTATCTAATGATTATTGTCATATAATCTTTTTGGGGTAAGGGACACTGTAAATAGTAAATGTACCTAATTATATAAATTTACTTTGGATAAAAGGCCACCAAGTAATTTTGCAAATGTACTTGGTTTATTTGCTTTCAAAATAAGGATGAACAAACCTGAAATAGATTAAAAGATTAAAACTTCAAAGGAAAATCAGCATATCCTAGAGGCTCTGCTTGCGCCATTTTATTTAGACTGCCTGAGCTAGAATTCTGATGGTGCCACAGAACTTAGTTTTCTAACTGTGAATGTGCCAACTGTAAGACTGGATTAATAAGAGCCCGTAGTTTGTCACATCATGAGGATTCAATGAGGTGCTTCATGTAAAACATAGGGGAAACTGCCTGCATATATTTTTCTCTGTTTTAAAAATTTTTAATTTTTTTTTTTTGAGACAGTCTCGCTCTGTCGCCCAGGCTGGAGTGCAGTGGCGCGATCTCAGCTCACTGCAAGCTCCGCCTCCCGGGTTCACGCCATTCTCCTGCCTCAGCCTCCCGAGCAGCTGGGACTACAGGCGCCCGCCACCACGCCCGGCTAATTTTTTTGTATTTTTAGTAGAGACGGGGTTTCACCGTGTTAGCCAGAATGGCCTCCATCTCCTGACCTCGTGATCCGCCCGCCTCGGCCTCCCAAAGTGCTGGGATTACAGGTGTGAGCCACCGCGCCCGGTCTATTGTTCTCTTAATAAAAGTGCATTTGTTATTACCAGCATCTTGACCAATAATTGAGTCAACATATCAAGGTCTTTTTTTTTTTAATGTTTCTTTGTAATGGAGTCAACGAGATATCAGGCATACACTTTTCTTATATATACTTTTAGGTAAACCAAAGAATCTGGGGATGCCAGTGGTCAGTGGGAATCACATTTTATATGTTAAAATGCCTGTTTCAAGTAACAAAGATTTCCACATCAAATTGCTTGTACAATGAGAAAATGTGTCATCTCATAGCTACTGTCCAGAGATGAGGCCTGTTTCAGGGTAGGATGCTTCAGAGATGGTGACTTCATCAAAGATCTAAATTCTCCCTGCTTGTCCACTCAGCCTGCTTCTGTGCCACAGGCTTAGCTCCCCCACCATGGAGGTAGCTCCGTGCATGACATCCCAACATTCCAACATCTAGAGGCAGAAATGAACTTCTATCAATGTCTCTGACTCACGAGCCAAAAGGCCTCTCATTGGAGAGACTAGGACCATCTTCACCACTAAACCTATATCTGAAAAGGAAAAAGGCACCATAATATTTGGATTAGAACAACAACAAATTAACTCTAAAAGCAGCCATAAACCCACCTGTCTCTGAGTTGTGTAGGGGGGACTAGCGATCACCAGGAAAAAGCAGGGCTCTATCTCCAGGAGGAGGGGCAAAGACATTTGGGGTATGAAAAAGAGTTTCTTCATATCCCCAAGATGAAATAGTTCTTTTACCTGCTAATGCAGTACAGGTTACAAAGTTGTGCTCAATAAATCATCATTTTTATTCCTGCAAGTGCCAAGAAAATGCTGTCTGAGGGTTAAAGACAAAATGGCGGGCAAAACAACTTAAGAGCGTGACATGTCTTGTTCAACGTCATATGAGACTGAAAGAGTCAAGGAGACTAACTGAAAACCTGACTCTAAGTGTCTCATAATTCATATTTTTAAGGCATTTAATTTATGAGCATATGGCATTTTATTTGCTTTTAAGGTCTTATGTTAAACTGTGCATAAAATTATAATTTATGAAAATTTTTTCATGATTAATAATTTCATGAAGTTGTTTGCACAACATAAAAGGACAAAGTAGTAAAGGTTTAAGGTGAATGAGCTAGCTTTATCCTTATTTATCTGGTACCTGCCCAGCATTAGTCAATCCTGTGGAGGAATTTTGCAAAAATAAATTTCCTAATAAATGTGTCGTACTGTGTTATATCAGCAAACCCCTGGAAAGACTTGGCTAATAACTGAACTCAGCCAGCATGTTCAAGTGAGTGTTTAATAATAAAACGCATATCTCAAAAGATAAACTGTGTGGTCACTAAATTAAGCTCCTAATATCGCTACAACTCTCCAACCCTAACTCTACCAATAGAATAAATAAAAGTCCCTACATTTGTATTTACAAAGATGTTCCCATTATAGTTTAAAGACTTTACTATTTTAGAGCACTTTTTGATTCACAGAATAATAGAAAGGTACGGAAATGTCCCATATACTCCCAACCCCTGCACATTCATAGTCTCCCCCATTATCAACCTCACCTATCACAATTAAACACCCTGTTAAATTGAGGACCCTACATTACACATCACTACCTCCCAAAGTTCATGGTTTACATTAGAGTTTTCTCTTGGCATTGTGAATTCTATTGGGTTGGATAAATTTATAATGAGATATATTCATCATGATAGTATCATATAGAATATTGTCACTGCCCTAAATATCCTCTGTGTTTTACTTATTCACCCTACACCTCTTCCTTCTAAACCCTGGCAATGACTAATCTTTTCACTGTCTGCAGAGTTTTGCCTTTTGCGGAACGTCATATAATTGGAAAACATTATAAAGTATACATATATACATATACAGAATACATATATACATATAATTGGAATCATAGAGTACACAGTATGCACATATAGTCTATGTAGAAATATGCATTTAAGTTTCCTCCATGACTTCTCATGACTTGATAGCTCATTTCTTTTTAGCACTGAATAATATTTTGTGGCCCAATGTATAATACCACAGTTTATTCATTTATTCCTTCACTTACTGAACAGAACCTTGGTTGCTTCCAAATTTTGGTTACTGTGAATAAACTATATACACTATAATATGAATAAACTATATATTATAAACTTTCATGAGCAGGTTTTGTGTGGACGTAGGCTTTCCCCTCCTTTGGGCAAATACCAAGGAGCGTGATTTTTGGATCACATGGTAAGAGGATATTTATTTTATTAAGAAACTGCCAAACCATCTTTCAAAGCGGCTGTAGAACATGCATTCCCACGACCTGCGAACAAGAGTTCTTGCTGCTTCGCATCCTCACCAGCATAACACCTCACCAGTGTTACCAGTGTTCTGAATTTTGGCCATTCCGATAGGTGTATAGTATCTCATTGTTGTTCTAATTGGTTCACATTGCTTTGCTAGTTTAAAGTATGTAAACCCCCAGTCAGGCACAGTGGCTCAGGCCTGTAATCCCAGTGCTTTGGGAGGCTGAGGCAGGTGGATCACAGGTCAGGAGTTTGAGACCAGCCTGGCCAATATAGTGAAACCCTGTCTCTACTAAAAATACAAAAATTAGCCACCGGGCGTGGTGGCGGGCACCTGTAGTCCCAGCTACTCGGGAGGCTGAGGCAGGAGAATCACTTGAACCCAAAAAGTGGAGGTTGCAGTGAGCCAAGATTTCACCACTGCACTCCAGCCTGGGCGACAGAGCAACACTCCGTCTCAAAAAAAAAAAAAAAAAAAAAAGAAAAAAAAATGTAAACTCCCAAAAGACTAAGTTATCTTTAAATGGGATTCATAGACAGTGTATTTATACACAAATACTTTGAGTGCTGATTGTATATCAGCAATCTGATTGGACTCATGTAAAAGGACTTTAATAGTTTTAAAACCTAAAATATTTATTCTATAATTGTGAAGATAATTTGAGGAACAATGCATTTTTAATAAATATTTATAACATGAGGGTCTGAAGTGCTTTATATTTATATTTTTTGGATGAATGGATAACTTTCAGATGAATGGATATCTTTTGGATGAATGGATGGTATATTTATATAAAGCACCTCAATAAAGTCATGGTGCATGGCATGGTACATACATCTGTAACACATAAAAGCTGTTGAGAAGAGTGAGTTTTAATTTCTGAAATGAACTTTTGAAATAAGTTTCCAATGGACTGTTAGCAATCTTTAACGTTTATTTTTGAAAAGCTGATCACACTCTATGCTTTCAATAGTTACATAGCACTAAGGGAGTGCCACATGCTGGTTTTGGTGCTTTAGATATATTAACACTTAATCATACAGCAAATGTATTAGATGAGAGCCATTAATATCCTTAGTTTTAAATGAGGAAAATGAAACAGGGAGAGGTTAAATACACTGCATATAAAAGTATCAAAGCCTGGGCTTGACCCCAGGTAACCCAGCTTCGAGTGAGTGCTTACCACAGTATCCTACTGTCTGTCCCACTCTCTCTTTAGCAAGCCAGAATCATTAGATTTCCTTGATAGAACTATTGCAGTGAAATGCAGCTTTTAATGGCTAGACTGGTATACACTCTTCTGTTTGGGTACAAAATGAGATGAAGAAGATTATGGTTTTGATTTTTATTGAACCATGTTGATAGCCCATTTCTAAAAGCTGATGAAAACATGTACCAAATCTAGAATTAGTAAGAGAAAAGTGAAGCTAGAATGTCTTTTAGAATGTGAAGTTAGTCATCTGCATAGAATGTTTTTTTCCATTTGACAGGTAATTATGATATATTTAGTAGAAGTATGGCATCAATTTTCTTTGTAACATATAATTAATACCCTGGTGTTTTGTCATTTCTGAAATCATTGTCCTCACATTGAAAAAGGAAAGCCTTATTTTTGACCAAGAAGTGCTCTAGGAAGCGAGCACATGAAATAGAGACAGAAAGGAGATTATATAGGTATTCATTTTATATTCATTAGGTCCAGGGAGGAGAATAATAATTTGCATTTTAACAAAAGCCCTGGTGAAGCTGATACTGCTGCTGAGGGAATCACACCTTGGGGAACCACAGTGCACTGTGGTTACAGATTAACACACAAATCTCAGTGGCTACACACAACTCAGCTTTATTTCCCACTCAAGTAAGTCCACTGTTCATCAGGAGGATTTTCCCCATGTTGGAGCTTCTCCATCAGGAACAGGGCTGCTGAGGTCAGAGAGGCCAGAGTGTGGGGGGCCCTGTGCATGAGGGGATCTTAAGGACAGGCCTGAGGGGCTCATACAGTTCCAACCCACATCTCACTGACCAGTGTCCAGTCATGACCCCACCTAGTTAAAACAGTTAGTGGAAATGTGGCCTACCTGTGTGCGCTGGAAGAAAACAATGTTCTGGGGTGAATAAACACACAGCATCGTGTCTACCTCAACGATATCCACTGAGTTAGCATGGCTGAAGTGATTTTCACTCGTTGATCATTATGATTGTCAGACCACCGTTGGGTTTAAAGAAGCACATTAAAAGTCTGTATGTTACAAGGCTTTAGCCCTTTCCTGTAGCTAGCGTAGTGCTTTCTCTATAACACGTGTTCACTAAGTGTCTCCTGGATGAATGGATGGTACTTGCTCTATATGTTTGCTAATCATAAAGACAAAAAATTCAATATTTTTAATACTGTGCCAAAGATACCATATGGAGTTGTATAATAGATAACATTTTTCACACCTAGGACCCAGTTGTGAGTAATTTTCAGGTATCATCTTATTTAATTTTTAAATCTATGGAGGATATATTCTTATAACTAAGATTTCCTGATAAGAAGACAGGCCTCATAACTTCTAGGGGAACTAGACATTCCTCCTTGGACATCAAGGATAGAAAGAGGCTGGGCGCAGTGGCTTATGCCTGTAATCCCAGCACTTTAGGAGGCTGAGGTGGGGGGATTGCTTGAGCTCTGCAGTTCAGGACCAGGATGGGCAACATGGCAAAACCCCATCTCTACAAAAAAATACAAAAAGTAGCCAGGCGTGGTAGTGCACACTTGCAGTCCCAACTACTTGGGAGGCTGAGGCAGGTGGGCTGATTGAGCTCCTGGGAGGTCAATGCTGCAGTCAGCTGTGATCTTGCTGCTGTACCCACACTGGGCAACAGAGCAAGATCCTGCCTCACAAAAAAATAAATACATAAAAATAAAAAATAAAAGAAGAAGAATAGAAAGATGCATGGGGAGAAACTCTCTGCTTTTCACTTGTTCATACTTCCTTGAATAGAAAGTATGCCTTTTAAAGATTAAAAAATAAAAATAAATAATACTTGAACTGAACACCTGTCTTATAGGTAGAGGGTTCATGAACATCCTGACATCAAATGCCAGGCAAAAGAGTTATTGTTCCTAAGCCAAGTTACTGATGCACAGGTTAATATCCATTCTGTCCAGGTTCTCAGCTGGGTAATGGGTTGATTGGTTGTGTGTGTCGATCCACTGTAAGTTTCTCTCTGACTTCCCCACCAGAAGATGATGCTTGAGGCAGCCCTAGAGAACCCGCTTGAGTTCACTGCTTACTCCCTCTCATAGAGTAGATAATAGGTCTTCAGAAATAACTTATAGAGAACAAAGCACACTAAAATCCTATATAAATGGTGTGCAGTTTAATTTTTAATAAACTGAGCACACAGTGACCAATATGTCAGAAAGTACTAATTATTGTCAGCAATAACAGAAATTTGTAGTCAGTGGTTTCCAGGAGAAATATTTAAAAAGCAAAGACACTCATAATAAACTTTTGGATAACACTGTTTATCTTCCTCTTTGTTTTATCTACTGGAACATCTGAAACTCTTCTCACTTCTGCATGCCTGTATCCAACACAAGCAGCCGCACAATGCACCTACACACACATGAAAATATCAGTGGACAGAAATGTAACTCATTATAATCTGAGAATAGCCATTTATATTTTCAAGATCAGAAATTTGGAACAAAAATTACCCCCTTTTCCCATTTACATTGTTAGTAATCAACTGAGAATCTATGCAATTATTCAGAAATTATTCATTTGAGTCTGAAAACAATATTGAAACAGAAAAATAATATTAGAAATAATATATTTAAATAATATTAGAGCTTGAGTGATTATGTTTCTTGACAGCAAAAACAACTTGTTGTCCTTTTATTGTACATATCCTTTATATATTGTGCCTACTAATGTACTTTTTTTATTATATAGTTATTTGATCAAGGGAACTAAATAGTACATATATTTGTATGCAACAAAATTTAATTAGTTTATTAGTTTAGTGTGATATCTCATTTTATTTACAATAAAGTGAATAACTAGTTTAACTGAATTGTGGGTATAACTAAGAAAATCATTTGTTATTCTCTAAATTTTGGCTTTGCATTCTATAATATTCAGGATTAAATTTGAGTCTCCTGCCCTAAAATGAGCCCTGCTATTCTTGCCATTCCCATCCATTATTATTCCACAAAGGAAAATAATAGTGATAATGGTCCTGGCACAAATGCTATTAAATGAAAAATGATTATTTTCTTTTAATTTCTTCAGAATAAACTGAGTATCAATAACACTTTCCAGATATTTTTGTCATACTCCAAAATGCAAAAAATAACTGGGGGATCAGAAATCAGATATGTAAGTTCAGTTCACCTGCAACACAGAGTCATACACATACATGTACATCTCTTTCTTCTTGAATATTTTGTTTGTATACTTTTTAAAATTGAAAGGAGATGGATAACAGGATACACTGGATATAGTTTTGTTCTTAGGAACCAAACTGGCAAGGTGGGAAATATTAACAAATAGGGGTGCTCTAATTATTGGAATAGGGTATAGAAGATAATTTATAGCAGGGGCATGGGATCTTAACTTGTTCAATATTAGGAGATGTACTATAATTCCGGACAGGGTCTAGTCTTTAAAAATACTATATATCAAATTAAATCTTAAGAATCAACCTACGTAGAGGACATAGTACATCTCAGATTTTTTTTTTTTTAATTTCTTACTGGAAGTTAGTTTCTATGAATCTCCAAACATCCAGTAGAACTTCAAATTTCATTATCACAGTTAAAGTATTTTCAATAATTTAACCTACAGGTATTAAGAGCATATATACTGGCGATGGCTTCCCTGAATTTTGACTCTACTTCTAACAATTACTTAGTGGCTTGGGGCAAGTTATTAAACAGCTCTGTATATCAGTATCCTGATCTGCAAAATGGGTATTATAAGCTGATTTGTATGTTGAGGCCCTAACCTCCTGTACCTCAGATTGTGACTGTATTTGGAGATAGAGACTTCAAAAAATAATTAGGTTTAAATGAGGTCATGTGGAAGGGCCCTAATTCAACCTGACAGGTGTCAGGAAATAAGCTATCTTTGTTCTTAGGCCTTTGACTGATTGATAGAGTCCCATTCACGTTATAAAGGTAATCTGTTTTACTTTAAATGAATTGAGTATAAATATTAATCACATCCATAAATACCATTACGATAACACCTAAACTAGTGTTTGATCAATCTTCTCCGTAGCCTAGACTAGTAGACATGTGAAATTATCCATCACACAGAGAAATTAAAAAACATGTTAATTATGAACATTTGTCTCATTTACATAATACTTAGAGGATCAGTGGAAAAAGTGCCATGATACTATTGCGAAACATCTGACTTCATAAATCCAAGGTTTTTGAATTATAGCAAAAAAAAAGCATTTAACTTGATTTTAAAATTGGAGCTATTTTTAAGCTGATAGGTGTAAGCTGACAGTCTAAATGATAACAAATCATCTAGACTTTCCACTTCAATATTCTCATCCTGAAGTAAATGTTGTGATTTATGTGTTGCCTAAATTATGAGATTATTTAATGAACAATGACATTGTGGGTTTAAATATTCCTTGTCTTGTGCAGGTACTTTCCTAGGTAGTTTTTGCCACTTACAACAATTCACTATGCCAAGAAATATGATTTGTTTAGTGCCAAGTTTCCAGAAGACAACAAAGTGTGGTACTAAATGAAATCACGTAAGATCAGAGGCAGAGCCATTGTTCCAGTAACCAGAAAAAATTCTTTGAGAAGTGATTAGTAAAGGCCTCACTAACCCAACAAGAATACCTACAGGGCTGAGGAAGTCACCTGGCTCGTCCAGGTAATTGTGTAGGCTATTTAATGTGATACAGAATCAGAGCCATGTTGGTCACAGTTTGGTGGATTCCTGGCCATTACCTTGGGTCCTGTTTGAAATCACCATTAAAAGCACAGAGAAGGAATGGTTTGGAAGGTTAATTTTTTTTTTAATGAGGGATTTAATAAAATCTGATGAAATACTTTGTACTGTCTGCTTTAATTACGTATTTATAGACTTTTATTACTTGATATTATTTACTCTTGAGTTCTGCTTTTTACTTCATTGATTTTCATTATCTGATAAATAATTAATAGTGATATACTTTGATAAGTTGTGTTTCCTGTTTTTTAGGTAAGAAGAAAATAGATTTAACTTGTATTTTTTAATCATACAAAAGCACTCTTCAGACACTAATTACATATATCTTCTTTGAAAATTAAATATAGAAGTAGAATTTATAAGGATTTATTTATTCTCATCATGAGTTAAACCTTGCTGTGTGTTTGGGAGTCCACTTCTTTTGTTTCATTCTTTTTCAAAATGTTTATATTTAATAAAAAATATTACTTTAACACAAAATATCTGAAAATTCTAAGATATAAATTTTGATTTCCACGGTTACATCGTGGTATCCTCCATCAATTTTGGAATAGGCTCAGGAACTGAACACATTTCTTTAACTGACTTAACTCCTAATAACATGTGTTAATGATCATTTGTCCTGAAAATTCCCCATAGTTAGAATGACAAAATATTTTGTCACTCAAAATATGGCACATAGTTAAATAATGTTCTGAAGGACTGATGATGAAATTGAACATGCAAAATAAAGACCATTCTGAAAAATACAGAACTAATTTTTCCCTACTTAGGTACAAGGGTAACTATTTATCTGATTCAATGTCTTATATGTTAAGGAAACTTCTCAAGAAGTCTCTGAAGAGGAATTCCGTACCTAATTATGTAAATCCCAAATGGGTCATAAAAATCTATTCTATTTTTCATATTTCTTCTAGATTCTTGTGTGAACATTATTGATCAATCGTAGAATACATAGTTATTGAGTACTTATTCTATTACAAAAATGAATTGGCCAAAAATCCCTCTGCTCAAGAAGCTAAAGAGCTAGTGATGAATCAATAATTGTAACTTAACATAAAATATACTCATATCTTATCTTAAAGTAAATAAAGCAAAGTTAAAGCAAAAGAAGCAATAAAAACAGAAAGGAAAACTCTATTTTGCAAATCCTAAAAGCAGAGATAATCTCTGTAATATGTCTTGGAGAGAAAGTAAGAGATTTATTATCTTTAATATCCAAAAGAATAGTAATACCTTTGCAAAAAGTAAAAGTCCTATATGTTGAATAAAAGTAAATTAAGATTAGAAAACACATATTAATTACAATTACTTAAATTTTTCTCTCTCTCTTCTCAGGCAATGTCTGAGATATGATTATCATTTACCACAATCATCAAATCATCTTCATCAAAAATATAAATATTTATTGTAATAACCCTCAGGGTAGATGCTATAATTCTCAGACATAAAAAAGCACACAGATTTGTGGGCAGCAATATCTATGATGCTTTTAATTTTAAAAAGTGCAATCTTATTGGAAACCCAATAATGGCCACTATATAATACATATCCTATATGTATTGTGCCTACTAATGTATATAATAATTATATATCACAATAATAACTATATAATAATAATTGAGAGAATGGTTAAGGATGGCAAATATCTTCTTTCTCCCAAAAGCGAAATGCAGTCCATGATAAAATAATGTGTTAACCATAAATTATTTACATATTTCTCTGATCATTTGAAAAATTATATTTGAATGCAAAATATTAATGTACTATATACAGGACATTTTATTTAGTAGAGAGCGTTTAATGTTTTCATAGCTGACAAAAATATATATAAAGTTATATGTTGGTGCCAAATTGTAGCTCCTCATAATTTTCATGTGTTGCAACATGGAAACTAAATGGACAAAAATTCTACATTATCTCAGGCAGTTTTAGGTGATTGATTGTGTATAAGTTGATTTTAGAAGATCTAGATGAGTAGAATACAAGCAGAAAGCAATTCTCCCTTTTACCACTGCCTTCCACTACCACACTATTTTCACCTATAGGGGTTTCGAGTATCCTGGTTTGCCTGGGACTTGTCAAGTTTTAGCAGAGGGTTTTCTGTCCCAGGGAAATACCCAGATCCTAGCAAACAGGGACTGTTGGTCACCCTGATACTAGGAGTGAAGCTGAGCATCTCAAGTCAGCTTGTGGCTGTGCCTCCTCAAAAAGCTGCCAGATTCATGGGGAAATACTCAACACTACTTAGATGGCACTAAAATCCAGATGCACTGGAACATTATTACAGAAAACTTCCTCAAAGTTGTAACATTGAAACACACATTACCCTTAAAGAATATCTAAGAATAATAAAGAAGAAGCACCATTAGAATAAATGGGGGGTTAATACAGTGTTTCCATCGGTGTTTAAAACAAAATCTTAACTACAACTTTTATTAGGAATACCCAGTAATTAACTATTAATATGGACATCTGTTGAGCATTTAGATGGTAACTAGGCACATAAAATTTTAATCGGAAGTTTCTTCAGTATTTAAGACTGTATTGCTATCAACATATTTTTCATAAACAAAGTCATGCACTACTGTCAGTTATATTTATTACATGAAGGAATGTTTTAATATAATAATGCAGATGTCTTCATTCTATAAATCCCAGTGGTACTTAAAGCTAGGATTTTATTACTTGTGCTGAGGACCAAACAAAGCTATAAACCTGCTCAATTCTAAGTGAGCTACTGCTGTTGAGTTGTGCACATTTGAGTTGTAAATTACAATATAAGGTAATCAAATATGTATACAAATGGTAGTCATGGAAGCAGTATCATAGATTCATAAGATTTCATAAGAAATCAAGAAAGGAATTTATAAACATCAATACTCTGCTCTGGGTTTATGAAATTCTCTTTCCAAAATATGATAACTGTGTTATAATAACTTAAGAAATGATCTGTCAATCAGCACCACCTACATTGTTCTCCTCTTTATAATCTCTCCTTTATCCACGACTAATTTCCAAAACAATCATATGAGCCAGTCTGCTAACACTCAGCTTATACTGAGAGTGACCAAATGCTCCATGTAGTATTATTATAAAGATATTAAAACCATTACAAAGGATCTCTCCAATGACACTTTGTAACATGCAGAGCATTTAGAAACACCAGTAGCAAAATAACAGATTTCAAGGATGGGAAATTCTGCTTTCAGGTAGAAAAAAATAGCAAAACAGCTGAAATAAACCACACTGAAACATGGAATTTACATATGTGTGTACATCAAGTCAGTAATAAGTATGAAAATAAGCAGGCTATTTACTCCTAATGTATTGCTAGTCCTTATGTAATCATACTATGCACTCTTCCATAAGAAAAAATAAAATTAGACATTGCATATCTTGTGAGCATTAAAACTGTACTAATGGAACAAAAAATAAACCCACATTTTTTTCTCAATATTCTTAGCAACTATATTATGAGATATATAATTTCTGGAGTGGACTATTTATTAAAACGAACAACAGTGAAAGAATGTGACAAATATCTTAATGCTGGAAACTGCCTCCAATAATCCTTTACAAAGCTTAGATTTGCCATGTTTTATACATTTGGAGAAAATTTGTATAATTACACTTTTATAAAATATGTCTCTTAATATATATGGACCTTTGGAGTAAGTCAGTTCTCAGATGAACTTCAGTTCTATAGCATATTCAATGGGATACTTTAGGCAAATTAAATTATTGGAGATGCAGGTTCTTTTTATATAAAATGAAGATAATAACAGATTAATTGAACTGCTAAGAAGAAAATATGAGCTGATAATACATAAAGAGAAAAACATCATAAGTGAAACATAGGACATGAATAATTGGTGGTAATTTAGTGTTACTAATATTTTATTATTATTATTATGACGGGATTATTTTTATTGTCCTGGAAAAAAACTGAAAAAGACACTCACCAAATTTTAACAAAGCTAAATATAGGAATTATAGATGGCTATATTTCTTTGAAGAGCTTCTCTGGTATTTACAAATTTTCTGTAGAAAATGTACAACTTAAAGTGAGAAAAAAATATTTTTAAAATACAGGATCAATATGTTGTCCTTTATATTCTCTCCTCTATAAAATACTTACTCATGAATTTTATATTATAAATAACTTCCAGTAAGGAATAATTTTTCATTTTGGTCTGAGAATATCATCGTGTAAGCATACCTTTACTAATTAAAGCCCTCACCTAGCAAATGAATGCCCAGCATTGATACTTACTAAATGCAACTTACTAAATAAAAAGGGCAGATGCTTACTTAGTACTTACTGTATGGCTGGCACTAAGTGCTTTCCATCGTTCTCCGAACAACCACACAAGGTAAGTATTGTTGTCATCTACCGCACATAAAGATTGTGAAATATACCTAAAAGCTATGAAGCAGCAAGGGACTTAAACTCAAGAAATATAACTCCAGAGTCTGTGATTTTAACCCCTATGGTGCATGGGCTTTTCAAGTAGTGGATGCCATTAATCATTGAAGATTATGACTGTGTCAGAACAGTCAGCATGCTTTATCCTATCCCTTCAGTCTCAAAAAGAGTTTATATACCAGGAAAGTGAAGTATCCTGTAAAAATGTCCATAGACAATCCAGTTTATCCCAATTTGTGAAATAATGTTACATACCTATTTGTATGAAAAGATATATCTCAGTTAAATGAGTAATACATTTATATGAAGAGCTTTGCCATTCAGTACAGTGTGTGTGTGTGTATGTGCGCGTGTGTGTTTTAAGCAAAATAATGGTGAGAAGGCAATTATTGCTAACACAGAGACAAGGCATTGGGTGACACGAGGGTACTCTAACTGTGTAAAATGTTACTATAAACGTTGCATATGTTTAGATAGGAAATATGTTAATATTTTCATATCTTTAAAATATTTTGTGCATGTATTCCAAAATATGTTTTGAAACAGTATCAAAATAATTAAGTCAACAGTTACTTGAAGATATTTACTTAAAGACAAGACATGTTGATCATTATTTGCTTTATTTTTGGCGCAGTGCTCTATCCTCTAAGCAATACAAAGGTAAATAAATGTTCTCCCTATATAAAGGAGTTGCATAGATGGAAAATAGTGCCACTTCCTGATACAAATAAGTAGAATGGTGTATGTTTTGCAGGGAAGATAATGAGTTTTTTTTTCCTATGAGATGTCAAGGTAAGAAAAAAGGAGCAGGTTATAATGAGATAGTAGCTTGAAAAATTATTTTTGAGGATAAGGGACACATTGGTGGGAGAATCTACAAAAGCAAGAGGGTAACTGTACAACTAAGGAAAAGAACAACTAATTAGTAAGCTTGGGACTAAATTTTCATCAGAATAATTTAGAAAAGACCTCAGAGAAACTGATGTTAGAAACAGGGTGGAGAAGAGGGTTATAGATAGCTTGAGACAAATATGGGAATCAAAACTCAGAGAGAATAAAGATGCAGAGTATTTTTTAATCAAGACATAGGTAATTAATTCACTTGAATTCTCTTGATTTAAGAAAAATACAGAAATTTGATAAACTACAGTGTGGGAGCAGAGTGAGGTTGCACTTTAAGAGTTTGGAGGTTGAAAACAACTGTGAGCAGTTTGTAGAGTTTACATATATATTGGACAATAGCCTGGCTGAGGTTCATGATAGAATCATTCATATGAGCTTTCCATGATTCAACCATGACAGCAAAATAGTGTCAGGGACACTGGAACTCTATTAGAGGACAGCAGCTTACATTCTGGCTTCATCACTTCTTGACTATGTGAATTTATTCAAAGTACTTAAAATACTCAGAGATTTATCTGTTAATTGAGGAAAATAGATGTGTTTTGTGATTCTTGTTAGATATTTTGAAGATGAAATCAGGCCATATATAAGCATATCTGTATATATAAATACATAGATATACAGATATGCAAACTGTAATGCTTCATTCCAATGTTAGCTGTTATATTCAAGGAAGAGTAGCATAGAGCAAAAATTGAAAAAAAAATAGAGAGTCGATTACCCAGGGCTGATAATTAGCAAGACAGGAATCAAAGAAGGGAAGTGTGAATGAGCCTGTGCAGGAGGAAGGACATGATTGTATGGAAGGCAGAAGCAGCCAGAAAATGGGGATGAACTCAGAAGATAAATATTGGCTGAGGAACTTCACATCTTGGGGGGTACAAAAGGCAGAGGAAATTGGAGACGTAGAAATGAACTGGAAATTGGTGTTAAAATGGCAGATTTCAAAATTTCAAAAATGCTTTCCAGTAGAACAGTGTTAATTGATGAAGTAAGTGATTGAGGTGGAAGTGTTTGGAGATGGAGCCTTTGAAAAGGAGAAAGTAATGAATCTCCCCTCTGGGTTGGTGGATTCAATGAAAGATATTTTTTCTTCCTCTGTGCAAGCAATAACAGCTAGTATTTGTATGAGGCTTTGGTTTATGAACTCATTTTAAAAAATTGTTGATTTTAATATGACTTTATGTGGTCACTACACCTTGCATGGTGGACAGTGTTTCAATGTTTCTTTGGAAAAGAAAATGAAGCTTAGAGAGATTAAAATAACTACCCAAATTCAGAATACCAGCATATAAAGAGTCAAGTGCTTGAACTTAGAAATTTGACCTTCAAATACTATACTATTTTCATGCATTACTTTACTACAACTTATTAAACATAACATTAAATTCTACATAAGAACATATTTTCCTCCAAAGCAGAAAAAAAAAATTAGGGAAAAGCATGAGGAAAGGTATGAAGTGAGAAAAATGATTAAATGCTTACATATCACCAGTGAATTTGCATAGCCTGAGACTAAAGACATAGTTAATATTCTAGTTCACTACTTACAGCCTTCTTCAAGAGATAAGCAGATCATTACAATTCCTCAGGAATTCAAGTGTCCATGCCGGAGCAGCAATTTGCTAAGAATGTGAGCAATGAGCAATTTGCAATACTAAGTAAATGGTACAGTTCTAGGACCAAATTCTTCTTTCATTTTAAAATTAACCATTGTTAGTTTTAGGGTGGGGATTCTTCACAAAAAGTATACAAAATATTTTTACAGTTTTGGGGATAAATGATATATATTTATTATTAGCTGAAAACAAGTAAATTTTTGTAAATTTTTATTAAAGACATAATTTAAGGTGAGGTGACCATGAAGTTCCCTGGTTGTCCCTATCAAATATCTGAATCTCTCTCTCTCTCTCTCATCCGTGCTCCTTTCTCTCTCAGCTCTTGAATGAGAAGACAACACCTTTAACATATGATACAATTTTCTTTATTAAATAAGCTTATGTCAGGTTTGTTTTTCTTGTCTATGATTATACCATGTCCTAAATTAGGTCTTATACAAGTTTTCAAATCTCTTTTCATGTTAAAAGATAAAATTATTAAATGAAAAATATTCTAAGTTTTTAATAACTATGGCCATGAATTCTATTATATAAAGCCATATTGAGTTGCTAATTCAATCATTAAAATGAATTCATAAAGACAAAGCAAAAAAATTCCTTAGGAGTGAAGTCCTTCCTGAAGTAAAGCCATGGAATAACATTTCTCAAAACTGCAATTACCTGAAGAGAAAATTAAGAAAAGAAAAAAAATTACCTCCCCATATTTGAACATAATATATTTAAAAGCAAATATGTGATGTTTTCCTAGTTCATTTTGCAATCTTTCTTCATGATCTAAATTAGACCACCTTATCACCACCTACTTTCATTTTCCTGTATAGTATGTCACTGTAACAAAGACATCAACCAGGATTTTCCAATTCATTTAGAATTATCCAAATTATCTCACACCTTAACTTTTTTGATCTACATAATTTCTCTTTTCTAAAATCTCTAAAAAGCTGATTGCATACCCTTCCTCCTATGAGGAAGCCTATAAATGGAGTTTCTCACAATGTCCTCAGATATTCAGCTCAAGATATTCATAGATAGTTACTGACTAAGGCAGCATATCTTGTTTTTGACACATGCACTGTTTAAATGATATGTGAGTTCACCTACCACCTAATTTCCTAAGTGTATGTATGTAGGTGTGTGTTTAGAAATGATTGTGGCAGAAAAGATGTCTACGATACAAGCAAAAAGAAATCATGGAGAAAAAAATATAAGGAAAAGGAATAGAGTTACTTGTGCTATTTTTTCTTGCTTTTATTTATTCATTTATGTTTGCAGGGTGGAGTTTTAGACATTATTTTCTTTCTCCTCAAATTTTTTTAAAAAGCCGCAATTAGTTTAAATAATTCCCTTACTAATAAGTATTAGTGGATTATAAAAGTTAAACACACATCAGCAACTAGGAAAGGACCCTTCAAGCTCAATTCCCTCTGCCCTACCTCTGCTCACCTCCTCAGGACTTTATGCACTTTCCTACCAGGTCCTCAACTATAAAAAGCTGAAGAAAATATTTCAGAGAGCGACGGATAAGTAGCAAATGAACGGACAGTGTTTTTACTCCTGCACATTCTTCACCTACTTGACACTGTTTTGATTTGCATTTCCTTGTTTCGTTTCGTTTCATTTTGTTTTGTTTTCTTTTGCTTTACTTGTTAAGTCTTCCTTCTTTGAAGGTCTTTTCAACATCAAGCTCAGGCTTTGCTGGAAAAACTCATTAACCTTTCAAATCAGCAGAAGAAAATCAAATAATATCTTAAGACCATTACAATATTTTACTGCTACTGATTCCAGGTTAAGCATTGCCTTTTATTTTTCTCCCCTAAAATCATGATGATGTCACTTCGGGGCGGAGAGGAGGAGGGAGAAGAGCCCTCTTTTAGAAAGTTTCAATAATGAGTTCTCTTCAAGTCCCAGTGTTACCGGATCTTTGGGGTGTTGCTTTGCTGACTGGAAACTTCTATGGCTGGTTGCGCCTTTGCCGGAGTTATTGTCCTGCGTCCAGGAAGAATGAGTTACACAGACAAGTGGAAGGGAACAAGATAAAGAGGAGCTTTACTGAATGTTACAACGAAGAGGAGACCGCAGTGTTGAGTTCCTCTCTGTAGGAAGGTGGTCCCGTCGTCTCTGCTGCTCTCAACAGAGAGGGCAGCTCCTCTCTACAACCGGTCTTCCCATCCTCTTGAGTCCTGAGCTTTTATGGACCTCAGAGAGGAGGAAATGTGTGCCCACTTGTCCATGCGTGGCCATGGGCAGGCCCAGGAAAAAGCACCATGAGTTACCCCTCCAGTGGCCAGGACTGGCAGCCCAGTCCCCAAGCTTCAAGCCTGCCCTGGCCTGAAGGTGGGGTTTCACTGGAGACCCACCCCCTTCTGCCCAGGAGCCTGTCTGCCTCCTGGGGCCATCTATGGCACCCAGGCTGCTGGCACCAAGCGGCACCTTCAGGCCAGTACCCAGCCACCTTCAGCTCCCCGTCAGCTTCCCCTCTCGGGATCCTCAGTGTCCAAAGTCCCGAGGGGGTCAAGGCTGCATGGGGCTGGCATGTCAGCACTGCTTCAGGGGTGCGCATAGCCGGCCAGGCTGTCACAGTGTCCGAGCTTGGCCCCAGACCTGCTCCCAGATCGGAAGTGGGGCTGGGAGATGGGAGAGGCTAGGCAGCGGAAGCAGGCAACTCTGATCCTGCAAGGGCAAGGGTGGCCTTCCCAGGACCCCAAGAGTGCAGGGATGCCTGGGTGTGCAGCCCTAGTTTGGGTGTGGTGGGTTGGAGGGCTCCTGCCTACTCCTGGCACAGGGATGCCCGGGTTGCATCAGCAGCTTGGGCGGGGTCAGTTGCACCTGGGGAGCTTCCACCTCACCAACTTGGAAGAGGCATGTCTCCTGCTTGTCCTCGGCTCCCACCTGCTCCTGGAGCACTGCACCTGCTTGCCTTGCCCCCTTGCATACTGGGGCGGGGGATCCAGGTCCTCGCTGGACCTGGGCCAGCATCTGGGCAGAGGTGACATTGCCAGGAACTCCCTCTGTGGCCTCTGGCGCTCAGGGGTGGCCCAGAGCTCCTGCAGCGGTCCCCCAGGGTGGCGGACTGGGGTGGGGAGGGCTGCACCCATGCCCCTCCATGCAGCTGCCAGCAGGATGGCAGCGAGACCCCAGACCGCCCACTGCGGCTAGCACCAGTGGTACTTACTCTTGTTTGCTTAATTACCCACCAGCATGAGTATTAAACTCTCTCCTCTGCATTTGTTTCATCTTAAAATGGTAAAGACTATGTCGTATCCATCCATTCTAGTCCCTTCAGCAACTAGCAGAGCTATATGTACTTTGATTAAATAAATTCCATTACATCATATGCCTAGTTTTCATAGAGCATTGCAAATGAGAAACATTCTCCATGTGATTCTCGCTGATCTTTCTCTCACACGTAGGATGCAATTGCACAGTGACAGGAAAACCATGTCTGAAAAAGTGCCCTGTTCACTCTTTACCCATCAGAATTCTAGACAAGGTATTAGCCAAAAATAAAAATAAAAATAAAAAAGTTGAGATAAACAAAGAAAGTTTTCGTGTAATGGTGCATAGACTTCTTTCATGATCCTACTGTTCAGGATAACTTTGTCATCCGTATCTTTCCTATTCCTTCCAACTCCTTTTTCAAATTCACTAAATAAAGCATACCCGCATTTTTTTCTAACATATTCTAAAAGTTTAGTAGTCAGTTTTCTGCTATTTGCTCACTTTCCTCATCTAATTCATCAACTTGCTATGAGATAATCTGTGAAAAATATTATGCATAGTAATTGGCTAGTTGTTGGCTGAAATTAAATATGTGTTAATGTCATTTATTTTATATTACGCTTGATAGCATCTTCTCAAATGCAACTTTACTGAAGATTTATACGTAAAAAAGGGAATTAAGCTGCCTACAACCTGATTCCATCTCTTGTGGCAAAAGGAGTTTGTTAAATAGCAAAATTACTAGTTTAAAGTGAAAAACACAGTGAATTAGTAGTTTACACTTTAATATTTAAATACAATAAATATTTAAATATAATAAATACATACAATAAAACAGCATGAGCAAGTCTTTTGGTAACAAATTATTCTGATCAACAAACTTAGCATTCATGAAATATGTGGTAGAAAATTCTATGTACATACTATAAGAATAACTCTGAAACAGATAATATTTTGGTGAAGGCCCTTCATGTTTTTTGCAGGATCAACCCCATGACTTCATTTCCAATGTATTGTTTTAAGTAAAAAATATCAATACCTTGATTTGTAATTGCATTGAGTAAGTTATTAAAATGGATGATTTGTACATTCAGGCATAAAGTAAAGAATTAAAGAAACACAATGAATAAATTTGTCAGAATAGACTAAAGACATGAACAATATTATTTTTAGAGAGGCTAATCTGAAAAACTAAAATATCGGGAGATATCCAACATCTGGGGAGAGGACCAAATATTATTTTATCCATGAAAGTTTTGTCATTCTGACTTTATTAAATTATATTCAATATATTTATTTACAAAATTGATAAGCGTTAGTTTTTTAATATTAATTTTATTAATTTTACCCTGAATTCACACATCAGGTTTTCTGGACCAGAGACAAATATTTATTAATAAATGCAAGTCAGACATGCTGGCTCACACCTGTTATCCTAGAACTTTGGGAGGCCAACGTAGACAGACCGCTTGAGCCCAGAGGTTCAAGTCCAACCTGGGCAACATGGCAAAACCATGTCTCTACATAAAATACAAAAATTATCCAGGTACACTGGCACATAACTGTAGTCCCAGCTACTCAGGAGGCTGAGGTGTGAGGATCACCAGACCCTGGGGAGGTGGAAGCTGCAGTGAGCCGCGATTGCCCCACTGCATTCCAGCCTGGATGACAGAGTGTACACTCTCCCTCACTTACCTGACAACCTTGGCCCTGAGGCTGTGCCATGAGAGCCAGGTCAACTATCTCGTGTGAATAGCCAGGCACTCCACAGGTGAAAGACAAGGAAAAATGACTTTGCCTGCTTATAAAGGGGGTGAAAGCAGCAGTACCCCCTCTCTTCTGAAAGGATATCCTAGCAGATGTAATAGGTGTTGAGTTCCAACTCCAGACCTTTGGTAAGTAAATAAAATCTCTCCAGGATCCAGATAGTGCCAAGTGTATCCAAATTCTAGGGTATCATCTCCTGAAACCTTTAAATGCCTGGGAAGGAAATGCTCTGGTCTCTGGCCTCCTGGTATCTAGTTCAGGCTATAAACATTCAGCCCTACCTCGAAAAAAATAGTTTTATTGTCTTTTCCTCTCAGGGTCAGAGATATTAACTACACAAATGGCCACCGATGTAGACCTTTTAGTATCTGAGGAGCCTCAGCAGGCTAAAGATTGTACAGGAACACTGGAAAACACAGGGAAGTGTTATTTCCCCATAGTATTTCTCAATATTAATTAATTCCACTTAATGGATCTAATTATATTATTAAAAATAAGAGTAATAACTCTTTATTTAAATATTTCATATATAAACAACAATGCAAATTGTTAAATATGAGAAGCATTCAATCTTTATGCAGAAAACTGTGATCAGTTCACACATTTTTTAACACTTAGCAAACATATTTTTAAAATCATATTAATGTCAAATCAAGAGCTAGATTCTAAATCTTGCTCTAACTTTTCCCGAGTGAAATAACTGTTCCCTTTTTCCTCATTTGTTCATTCATTACAAGTCTGTAATTTTTAAAGAAAGAACAAAAACAATTATGTAGGCAGTACAAATTAAGTAGAGTGTGTTTGCTTGGCTTTCTATATTAATGAGAAAAAATAGGGGGTCATGCAATGATAATTTACTATTTTACTAATTTGCAGATACATTGAGGGTATGTCTCTGTTCAGGGTTCCCATATTTTTAAACATTTACCCATAACTATGTAAGTTGCCAATGATACGTCACAGAGATCAATATTGGAACATTCATACTTAGATGTCATATGTTTCATCCAATATGTCTCTCATTATTTTCAAATCTTAATACCTAAAAGTATATATTAGTCCATTTCATGACGTCCTGTCATTAGAGATAATATATGTGGAGCAACTGTACCATGTCTGGTATATCACTAACACATAATAAATTGCAGCATTTGTTGTTAGGGTATTGTTTGCTCATGACCTTTGCAAATCAGGGGAAGAAAGTACAGCCATGTGCAGAAAAAGGAAGGATTATTTGTGAAAAACATAGCTCAAGACGCTAATGATGTATCATCTAATTAGGTGAGTCATTAAACTCCATGACACTAAGGCTTACTTACCTAAGTGTCAAATGCATTTAAAAAATCAGGACAGTTTTCTTACACAGATAAGTAAGATAAGGGAAAAATATTTTAGAATCCTCACATGCTAAAATTATTCTTAGTTGCTGAGTAGGATGTAGAAAATAACCCATGCATTCAAGTACTATATACCTAACAAGCTTAATGAAAAGTCATCTAGTAAATACAGATGCCATCAGTCTATTCTCTTAACCTCATAATTGCCTCCAAAACTGCACCTTTACCATTGAACATAGATCTTTGTCTTCATTATGCTGTGGACTGTCCTCCTGACTCCTAATATCATTTAACTAACCTAGAAATTGATGTTTAAAGTAGAAGGCATATGAGGCTTTCCTATTAATTGACATTATCAGCAGAGTAAATATTTGCAAGAAATGTTTTAAGTCTAACCATAAACTCCAAAACATAGATTACAACTCCCAAATATGGAATGGAATTAGATATGGAAAAAAAAAAATATATATATATATATATTAGATAGATAGGCAGGAAGGCAGACAGACAGACAGACAGACAGATAGATGATAGATAGATAGATAGATAGATAGATAGATAGATAGATAGATAGATGATAGATAGATAGGCAGACAGACAGATAGATAGATAGATATGGAAGTACACACACACACATATATATATATATTTGAGATGGAGTTTTGCTCTTGTTGCCCAGGCTGGAGTGCATTGATATGATCTCAGCTCACCACAACTTCTGCCTCCCTTGTTCAAGCCATTCTCCCGCCTCAGCCTCCCGAGTAGCTGGGATTACAGGCATGTGCCACCACACCCAGCTAATTTTGTATTTTCAGCAGAGACTGATGTTGGTCAGGCTGGTCTCAAACTCCTGACCTCAGGTGATCCGCCCGCCTCGGCCTCCCAAAGTGCTGGGATCACAGGCATGAGCCATAGTGCCCAACCAGATATGGAAATATTTTGAATGTCTTTGGAGCTCATTGAAATGCTTAGTACACTCTCTTTTTATCCATTAGACAATTGGCTTAAATGCTTCAGGAAGAGATTATGAATTGTGACAGAGGACAACATGATAAGACAAGATCCATTGCAGACCCGGGCATGACACCAGTTTATCTGTCATTAGATTCTGAAGTTTTCTATACAATATCTCACATGTTAACCGTGATAGCTTTCATTTTATCCACATCAACTTTTTAAAGGTTAGCGGGGATTATTTTAACTAAATGTACTTGTAGAGGTCTGGAGATGAAACATTTGTTGTTTCTAGTTTACCAATTACTTCATGAAAATTTTCTCATTAATTTTAAGAAAAGGAAAATCATGACCATTGGCTCTCACTGGGATCCTTTGTTAGCAGCTCAGCAAAACCCAAGAAGTAGGGAGAGCTATTCCTGCCCAAATTAATCCCTTCAGCTTGGCATTGATACCCTGTAGAAGGTTTGAGGGCTTTGGGGACTTGATCACGGAAAAAAAAATAAAAGGCAGTAACACACAAACTTTATCAGGTGGGGCTTGAACAGGGAGAGTTGCATGAAAGGGAAGCTCCCACAGCATGAGATCATGATGGGCCACACAACACGGGCGTCACCATCCTGAGGAGGAAGTGAAGGAACTTCTAAACACTGGACAGGCTTCTGCATCTAGGTGATGTTGCTCAGCAGCATAATGAGGAGTGTCTGGGTCAGGGAGCTCTGAAGGACAGAAGCCGCTTGGATCTTCTGACCACAACACCATCTTCCAGTGACCAGCAGATGTTGGGCACAGTTTCACAGCATGGGCAGAGCTGCAAGGCACCAACTAGCAAAAAATCATTTGTGCTAGTTTTAAAACAATTGGATATTTAAAAATTTGAGTTTGGTGCTGCAAGCTTTGGAGCTTTGGAGCATGCTGTGAAGATAAAACAGTACCTAGGGGCCAATACTACGACCTCTTTGGCTCATTTGTATAACAACCCAATTTCTTAAAACCATCAGAAGGACAGTCCTCAGTATCACATCTTGAATTTGAGGACTTTTCCAGAAAGATAAAATACTGATAGAAATGAAGGTCCAGAAGTCATAATAATACAAGTACAGGCTAGACAATAACCAATGTTTATTATTTCAGAAACTAATGACCTTTTCTTTGACTAAGCATGTAAAAGAGATGACTCCCACATATGGTTATTCTTATTTGGTTGCTGATGCCCACCTGCTACCTCATCCTTACTAGTTTATTTGCTTTCCAATATATTTTACCTTTCTCCTTTCTGCTATTGTCTCTGCAGAACAATTTCACTCTTCTGTTCCTCTAAAACTGCTTTGTGTATCTTCTCTTATATTATCCTTTGTGTGGAATCTCCAGAACAGTCTTACTTTCTCTGCTCATAATCAGTCAAAAGATGCTCAGTGGAAGACATTAGGGTTTCCCTTCTGCTCCCAAAATGACACAACGTATTTGTTCCTTGTCATGCTGCTATGAAGAAATAACTGAGACTGGGTCATTTATAAAAGAAGGAGGTTTAATTGATTTACAGTCCTGTAGGGCTGGGGAGGCCTCAGGAGACTTACAATTACGGCAGAAGGGAAAGCAAACACACGTCCTTCTTCACCTGGCAGCTGGAAGGAGAAGAATGAGAGACAAGAGCAGAGGGAAGCCCTCTAAACACAATCATGCCTTTCCAACAGTCCACCAAAATCTTTGCTCACTCCAGCATTAACCCAAATGTCCAATTCCAAAATCTCATCTGAGACAAGGCAAGTCCCTTCTGCCTATGAGTCTGTAAAATCAGAAGCAAGTTAGCTACTTCCTAGATACAGTGGAGGTACAGGATTTGTACATCCATTCCAAATGGGAAAATTGGCCAAAACAAAGGGGCTACAGGCCCATGCAAGACCAAAATCCAGTAGGACAGTAATTAAATCTTAAAGTTTTGAAATAATCTCCTTTGACTCCCTGTCTGACATCCAGGTCATGCTGATGCAAGAGGTAGGCTTCCACTGTCTTGAGCAGCTCTGCCCCTGTGGCTTTGCTGGGTACAGACCCCATCCCAGCTGCTTTCACAGGCTGGTGTAGAGTGTCTGCAGCTTATCCAGGTGCATGAGGCAAGCTGTTGGTGGATCTATTATTCTGAGTTCTGGAGGACAGTGGCCCTCTTCTCACAGCTCCACTAGCCAGTGCCCCAGTAGGGACTCTGTGTGGGGGGTCTGACCCCACATTTCCCTGCTGCACTGCCCCAGCAGAGGTTCTCCTGTGGGCCCCACCCATGCAGCAAATTTCTCCCTGGATATCCAGGAGTTTTCATACGTCCTCTGAAATCTAGGCAGAAGTTCCCAAACTTCAGTTCTTGAAGACTGTGCACCTGCAGGCCCAAAATCACGTGTAAGCCACCAAGGCTTATGGCTTGCACACTCTGAAGCCACAGCCTGAGCTATATATTGGCCCCTTTTAGCCACAGCTGGAGCTGAGGTAGCGGGGATGCAGGTTACCATGTTCCAAGGCAGGGAGGCCGCAGCCTGGCCCAGGAAACAATTTTTCCCTCCTAGGTCTCCAGGCCTGTGATAAGAGGGGCTGCTGTGAAGGTCTCTGACATGCTCTGGAGATATTTTCCCCATTGTCTTAGTGATTTGTTCCTCTTTACTTATGCAAATTTCTGCAGTGGGCTTGAGTTTCTCCCCAGAAAATGGGTTTCTTTTCTATCACATTTTCAGGCTGCAAATTTTCCAAACTTTTACACTATGCTTCCCTTATAAAGCTGAATACCTTTAACAGCACCCAAGTCACATCTTGAATGCTCTGCTGCTTAGAAATTTCTTCCACCAGATACCCTAAATCATCTCTCTCAGGTTCAAGATTCACAGATCTCTAGGGCAGGGGAAGAATGCCGCCAGTCTCTTTGCCAAAGCATAGTAAGAATCACATTTTCTCCAGTTCCCAGCAAGTTCCTCATCTCCATCAGAGACCACTTCAGCCTGGATTTCATTGTCCATATCACCATCAACATTTTGGTCAGTCATTCAACGAGTCTCTAGGAAGTCCCAAACTTTCCCACATTTTCTTATCATTCTCTGAGCCCTCCAAACTGTTCCAACCTCTGACTGTTTCCTAGCTCCAAAATCATTTCCACATTTTCAGATATCTTTACAGCAGCACCCCACTCTCTGAGGTACCAATTTACTGTATTAGTCCAGGACCCAACTCACCATCAACCCTAGTGACCCACTAGCAAATTTTTTTCTTTCTGTTCACATGATGTTATACTGGCCTAGACGTCTTAATTCCAGAGGGAAGAATGCTGCCACCAGGAGACACAATGGTGATTTCATTAAATTGGATGTTAATATTCCCACCTGGCACTTTGGGCTCCTCCTACCTCTAAGTCAACAGGCAAAGAAGGGAGTTACAATGTTGGCTGGGGTAACTGACCCAGACTATCAAGATGAAATCAGTCTACTACTCCACAGTGGAAGTAAAGAAGTGTATGTATGGAATAAAGGAGATCCCTTAGGACATCTCCTAGTATTACCATGCCCTGTGATTAAGGTTAATGGGAAATTACAACAACCCAATCCAGGCAGGACTACAAATGGTCCAGACCCTTCAGGAATGAAAGTTCGGGTTACTCCACCAGGTAAAACCCATGACCTCATTTAGCTAGGAAAGTAGGTTTCTAGTAATATCTGTAGGAACCGTGCCCTAATGTCAAAAAAAATATTTATTCCCCCCCCATTAAACCCAGGCTGCCTTCACCAACTACTTGAAACAGAAACAGAAGCAAAGTAAATGTTTATCTCCTTTAGCAAGCAGAAATCTCCTGAGTAGAAATGGTCATTCGCCTCCCCTCTGCCAAACTCAGTTACTAATCCCAAAACTCCATCAGACCTAAAGGTGATGAATACATCATTACACAGGGAGGCACAATAATGGCCAATAAAGTTTGCCTTTTCCCAGTCTAGTTCAGAGTAGACTATGCCTGTTTTAACAAGTTGAAGATGAAGGTTTTAGTGGGCTTTAATTTACTTTTTTTTTCACCTTGTATCAATTTCTTATTCAAATGAAGTTCCAGGAATGCAGTGTCTATGGACTTTACTAAGACCAGGAAAATAAATATAGAAGGGGGGAGAGTTTGTATTCATGTGTTATCAAAGGTTGTGGATTTTCACAATAATCTTGCTGAGAGATTAAGGGTAAAATAATGTCTTCTAAATCTGAAAGATAAACTCCATTCAAACTGATCTCCTAATTTTTGTTACCTTGTTCTGGTACTTTATTTTGCAAGTCGCTATAATAACGTTACAATAACATATTTGTTTCAGCTACAATAACAAGAAAAATGCCTTAGACTGAATAATTTATAAGAAAACAGCAATTTATTGCTCAAAGTTATAGAGGTTAAAAAGTTCAAGATCAAGGTGCCGGCAGATTCAGTGTCTGGTTGGAGTCTATGGATATATCTGTAATAGATCATAGGGGTAATTTCATCACAGAAAACTTATAATAAAGCCTCAAATAAAAATATTAAAATGAAAAATAGAAACAGATGAAAAATGCCTTTCATAGACTCATCAGTTAATTCAACATAGTCAAAATAAGAACCAGGGATTTAAAAATATTTTAATAAATATTGTCCAGAAGTAAAACACAAGGAGGGAAAAAAATAGTAGGAACAAACACACAAACTCATGCATGCAGACATGGGAAAACACCAAATATGACTGATATACATGAAATAAGAATTTCAAAAGGTAAGAGAGAGAAAGAATGAGAATGAGGGGAAATATCTGAGGAAACAAGGGCTGAGAATTTTCCAAAATTAATGATAGATACAAAACCACAGATCCAAGTGTCTTAGAGAATACCAACAAGAAAAACAAAATGCACACCTAAGCATGTCAGATTCAAATTTCTGAAAAGCAAGGGCAAAAAGAAAATCTTGAAGTTAAATTTAAAAATAAGATTGTGAAAACAGGAACAAATATAAAAATTGTGGAACTCTTTTCATAATAAGTCATACAAGCCAGGAGATAAAAAAGTGATATCTGTAAAGTGCCAGAAAACCAAAAAAAGCTACCAACCTAAGTTCTATTCCCAGCGAAAGAATGTTTTATAATAAAGAAGAAATAAGATCTCCATGACAAAGATATGTTTTGTCAGGAGACTTCATTGCCAGAGGCCCGCACTACAAAAAATGTTAAAAGAACCCTTCAGAAGGAATACAAAACCAGATGGAAATTTGGATTGACACAAACAAATGAAGTGTGCAGGAAATGGGATAAATGAAGGAAATTTTAACATTTTTATAGTACTCTAGAAGATAATATCCAAAACAAATACAGTTGCAACATATTTTAAGTTTACATTATATGTAAAAGAAAAATATATGACAGGAGTGGCAAAAAAATGGCAGAGAGGAATTGAAAGTAACTGTTACAAGATTATTAAACTACATGCAAAATAGCACAAAAGTATCTGAAGGTAGTATTTGATTAATTAAAAGGCATATTTTGCTGAGGATAATGGTTTCCAGCTGCACAATGAGAACACATGGACACAGGGAGGGAAACAACACACACTGGGAGCTGTCAGGGGGTTGAGGGGAGGGAAAGTGAGCATCAGGACAAATAGCTAATGCATGTGGGACTTACTACCTAAGTGATGAGTTGATAGGTCCAGCAAACTACCATGACACATGTTTACCTATGTAACAAACATGCATGATCTGCGCATGTATCCTGGAACTTAAAATAATTTCTTTTTTAAAAAGTGCATATTTTATTGCTAAGGAGTAGATTTTCAATATTCTCACAACAAAAAAAAAATATATGAAGTGATAGATAAGTTAATTAGCTTGATTTAATCAGTTTACTATGTATACATATATCAAAACATCACCTTGTACTTCATACATAGATACAATTTTTATTTGTCAACTATACCTTAATAAAAAGGCACATATTTTAAACCATAGAGAAATCACTAAGAAAATTTTTGTGATAGATAATAACCCAAAAGTAGAAATAAGATTAAATCATAAAAGTTACTCAATCAAAAAAAGTAGAAACAAATGAGAAAAGGAGAGATAATAAATGTAAAACTCTTAGCAAGATGGTATATTTTAATCCAATTAAATCAATTATACAATTAATATTATTGTTCTAGAACGACAGATTAAAAAACAAAGATTGTAAGGTTTATTTGTTTGTTTGTTTGTGAACACCCAAATCCCAACTATATACTCTCTACAAAAAAGTAAACTTTAAATATGAAAGTATAAATGGCTTAGAATAAAAAGATAGAAAAATATGTACTATTCTAACACAAATTAAAATAAGCTGAATTAGCTATATTAATATCAAAATAGTCTTTGGAGCAAACACCAATGGGATCAAGAGAGATATTATATTATGATAAAAGAGCCAATTCTCTAAGGAGACATATCATTCTTGAGTATATATGCACAGAACTTCAAAATACATAAAAAATAGACCAAAAGAAAAAATAAGAACTATAATAGCCAACAAATGTTGAAAAGGAAGAAAGAAAACACTATAATCATACATACTTCTTGGTCTTTACCTAATATAAAACCACGCACACTAGTCCAAACAGTGAGGTATTAGATAAATTTTGATATATAAATTAATGAAATAGAATACAGAGTCCAGAAATTGATTCACAGATATATAGTGAGTTTATTTTCAATAAAGACATCAAAGGTAGTCACTGAAGAAAGCATACTCATTTGAAGAAATATTGCAGGAACTAATGGATATTCATATGCAACAAAATAAACATCTATCTATATCCATACCCTGTACAAAAACTAACAATGTAGAACATAGAAAGTGCTATGTATGAAAATGCATATCAACCAGCTTTGTGGGGGAAAAAAGACTTGAATTTTTGCATTTGCTGATTTTTACTGTGTAAATAACATGGACACGACTGATCTTTACCTAATAATGTGACATCAGCAATTGCACAAAAATTTTAGGTTTTTACAATTGACTCTTAAGAGCCAATAGCCAACTAGCTGGCTAGAGAACACAACTGATTTGAAATTGTAAAATCTATATTATAAGCAATCCAGATAATCTGAAGGAAAAATCTTTATGGCCTTACATAAATAAAAAAATTAAAATTTTACCACAAAATGTGATCCATATAAGAAATAATCTTACACTGGAATGCATCAAAATTTAAGATGTCTGCTCCCCCCATAAAACAAGAAGACAATGTAAAAAGAAAATACTGACTGGAATAAAATTATTTCTAAGTCACGTATGTTATTAAAAATCTGTATCCAGCACCCATAAAAGACTTTCAGAATTCAACAATAATCACTGCATTAGTCCATTTTCATGCTGCTAATAAAGACATACTTGAGACTGGGTAATTTATAAAGAAAAACAGGTTTAATGGACTCACAGTTCCACATGGCTGAGGAGGCCTCACAATCATGGCAGAAGGTGAAGGAGGAGCAAAGTCGTGTCTTACATGGCAACAGGAAAGTGAGTGTGTGCAGGGGAACTGCCATTTATAAAGCCATCACATCTCTTGAGACTTACATGCTATCACAAGAACAGTAAGGGGAAGACACGCCCTCATGATTCAATTACCTCCCACCAGGTCCTTCCCACAACACATGGGAATTATGGGAGCTACAATTCAAGATAAGATTTGGGTGGGGACACAGCCAGGCCATATCAATCATTTTGGTCAACATAGCAAGATACTGTCTCTATAAATTTTTTTTTTTTAATTAGCTGGTCATGGTTACTTGCACCTGTAGCCTTAACTAGTTGGGAGGCTGAGGTGAAAGGATTGCTTGAGCCCAGGAGTTGGAGGCTACAGTGAGCTAAGATGGCACCACTGCACTCCAGCCTGGGTGACAGAGAGAAACTCGGTCTCAAAAAAAAAAAAAATCAATAATAAGCAAACACTTCCTCAAAATTCATTGGCTATTTACAGCTCTTTTTTTTTTTTTTTTGCCAATTTTAAGTGTGTTTTGAGTAGAATTTCCCTACAGAGTAGTATTTCCACTCTCACTTATAATGTCTTAAAAGCAATTGATATTAATTGCTTCACTCTATTAGAATGGGGGCAAAACAGTCACTGCGAAGTGCTGATGAAGATCTACACAACTGGAACTCTTAATCGTTACTGGTAAGAATGCAAAATTGTGCAGCTACTTCGGTGGCCAGTTTGACAATTTCTTATAAAGTTAACCAAACCCTGAAGAAGACAGTCAGCAATCTTACTCCTAGGTACTTACTCAAATGTAATGATGACCTGTGTTCAAACAAAACCTGCATATAACATTTATAGTGGCTATATTTGTAACAGTCAAGAAATAGAACACAATAATATACTATTAATACTCAGCAATTAAAAGTAATGAACACTGATACACACAATAAAACAGATAAATATTAAAATGCATTACGAAAAGTGAAAGAAGCCATACAAGACTGCCTGCTGTAGGATTATGATATTCTAGAAAAGGCAAAACTATGAGACTGTAAAGAAATCCATGGTTTCCAGAGGAAAAGTTTGGCTACACAGAGGAGGAATTTTGGGGGAAGGATGGACCTATTCTCTATCTTGATTGTTGTTGCTTGACTCTATAACACTTTCAAAAGTTGTAGAATTGTACCCTAAAAGAGTGGGTTTTACTGTATATAAATTATTTCTGAAAAATTGGAAGATATTTAAATGTTCTACGAACTTTATTAAAAGTCAATAAATCAACCATGTAAACTAAAATTAACCACTATAAATATAACAGACACATTTGTTCAGGAAAATTATTATAGCATATATGTTGCCCTGCAAATTATTTCAGAAATCAGAATGAATTTATGTTTTTAATATAGCTATTCTTTCCTTAAAAATCTCTATATCGTGCAGGTGGGAAATAATGATAGGCTAGAAACAAATGAGTGATCCCTGGGCATTTCTTTTATGCCTCTGTAACAAACCAATGTTCAATTATATCACTAGTTAATGAATTTTCATAAGGAACTATGGAAAGATGTGCAAAGGCAGAAAATGTTAAATATCAACATTACATAATACAGTTTCTCTATAGGTTTTTCTATTCATATAATAAGAGCCTCATCAGAGTGATTTAAGTTGAGTCATAACACTTGTTAAAACTGTAAAGAATTTACCTTTGAGCTAAATTCCAAGTTCTTCTTTATGTCCTAAAAGCTTTTTCTATGACTTTCTACCTCTTTTCCAGCACCTTCACCTCTCCTTTTCCTCCTCCCCGCTCCTCTCCTCACTTAGACCCATCTCTCTGAACCTTCAGAGGAGCTTGAACATCACCTCCCTATGACAGCTTCCTGAGAGATGGGATCAGATGCACCCCTTGTGTTTCCACTCTGGGAGTTCTAAGCTTGCCAAAGTCCTAACACTTCCTGTAAGGTGTGTTAGATTCACATATGCTTATCAAAATTCCCCCAAACCTCACGCTTCATGAACTGTGACTGTTCATGTCATCATATCTGCAGCACCTAACCCTAATAAATAAATGAATAAATTGAGTCTGGTTGCAGATATATTAAGCCATCAAGATAAGTACTCCAGGGTTTGGATTTAAATTGGCATTGTACACTTGGCCAAAAGATATTATTAAATATATAAATTAAATTAACTTCAGAGATACTTGAACTTACAAATGTGATGAACAACTGATGGAGTGAAAAGGAAAACTTTTGTAAGATAGGCATCTGACCACAATAATCAATTAAAGAAAGAAAGTTTCAGCCTTTATCGACATTTTCTGATGCTCCCAACAGTGCATGATGCCATAATCCACAACTGTACAGATTTTGAGCCAGTTAGGCTGGGCCCAGACCTTGGCTAGGACAGCCCTCAGTGAGACCCTGAACAACTTCACTAACTTCCGTTCTTCAGTTTCCTCAGCTGTAGACTAGAGAAAATGGCAGTATAAGGAGATGTAACAGGAGTCAAACACAGAGTGACACCTGGCAGCAGGTAGGCTTTCAGTAAATGTTAGTCATTTCCATTAGTGATATTATGTAGCCTCTAAGTAACAGAATTCTCATATAGAGGTCAAAAAAGCAAATCTCCTAGTTAACATTTGCTTTTCTTCAGAAATCTTTTAGGTATAGCCTGAAGCAGTTTTAGAATCCTAAAAATAAAGGAAAATGACAGATATGACTATAACAATTAAGATGTAAAAAGCACGTTAATGCTGTAAATAAACTTTATTCTCCATGTGTCTTCTGCATAATACATTAGAGGTTTTCTGGATATATTTTATGGTATTTTATCACTTTCTAGTTCCAAGATTGGTGCTCAATCAGCCCCAGGAACTACTGAATTAATCATCAAATTAGATTTCATAAATAATATTAAATCGACATTGTAGCAAATTTAGTGCTATGTTTTGAAACAAAAATGGTGTTTATTTTATGTAAAATAACAAAACCCACTAATCATACATATTAACTTAAAATAAACCAGTCTTGACAGATGAAATTTGTTCGTTTGGAATGCTTCATGGAGGAAAACAGAGATAAAACATCCCATCCCTGGCTACCCCTGAGTTACACCATAAATAATTTTCCCACATGTTAGAGGTCCCTCTTTTACAAATAATAGCTTACATATTTCTGAGGTGCAGAAGATTTCATTAAAAGCAATAAATTTCACTACGTTGTAAATCACATCACATTTCTGATTCCCGTGATTTGCCATAGGTACCATTATTTTGCTATTCATCTAGATCCAAAAACTATGGCAATCAGTAACCAAGTGTTTATTTTACCACCAAGTCTCTTGCTTTGATCATTTTCTTCCTATTCCTAGATTTTGCATGATTTTCAAGTTCCTCGGCCACCTGGACACCAGCAACAATCTGCCCATCAACCTCTGTTCCTTCATGTTTTGCCTTTTCACATGGGCTGCACACCACTGATGAACTGACCAATCTAAAACCCCATCTTTATTGTTGTGTTTTTCATGGAAAATTATCATTATTTATATTGGTTGCCTCTTGCTAAGACTGGCAAAAAAAAAAAAAAGAAAAAAAATGAGAAAAAACAGAAAACTGAAAAGTGATAGGTGTCTGCAGGGGTATGGGGCCGTAAAACGTTTGAACACTGCTAGAGGGAGCCAACTGGAGCTGTCAATCTGTAGAGAAGTCTGGCTGAACTCAGTTAAATTTAGGGTATCCATTGTGCGTGTGTGTGCATGTACAAGTGTGAGCATGCGAACACATGCATTTTCTTGAAATAAGTTTATTCATCTTTTCACCTAACCAAATTCTAATCCTTCTAGAGTTCTTACCACTTACTGGCTACTTAATTGGAGAAAGTCATTTAATCTCTTCTGAAAAATGGGAAAAACAATGCTCAACTTATAAATTTATTGATTATTACTTTTAGTAATATGGATCAAAAAATAGATAAACATGCTTATAGTGGCTTAATTAATAATCACTGAAAACCAGAAGAAATCTGAAGGTCCTTAAGCCAGTGAATTAATAGTAAACTTATGCTTATAACGAAATACGAATCAGAATTAAAAAGGAAGAAATAATCAAAACAAGCAGTAACATGGACGAATCTCAAATACATTAGGCTAAGGGAAAAAGCCAGCCTCAAGAGATTGAGTTTTGTTTTACTGTGTTTGATGTTCTGGAAAGCAAAGTAGATCAGGAATTGCCAGGACTTGTGGAGCAGTTGACTGCAAAGGATCCTGTACTGATGGGATAGTCGAATGTACTACATCTTGATCATGGTGGGCTACAGGTCTGTTTGAGCTTGTCAAAACTAAGAGAACTGTGCACTAAAAGGGGTAAAATTTACTGTAATCTGTTCCTTAAGAATTCTTACTAAAACAGAAAGTTGATTGAGCTGATGATATAAAGTAACAATTAAATTAAAAAAGTAAACAAGGCACTTTGTAAGCTGCAACGTGATATTTGAATTCAATAGATTATTAAAAGAATCATTCATTACATATTTAATAATTGATTAACTGAGTGGTTACACACATATATAACATACAGATAAATTGCTATTACTTAATGAAATAAAATACATAAAATATCAAAGTAACTCAACCATTAAAATTTATTTACTCTGGGGCTATGAAACATCAAAAAGAGACAAGGTAGTAAACTATATACAATTTCAGTAAAATTTGGCACTCACATATATGACTGTGCTACATTAACTATGGTTGTTCTTATCCCATCTTGGTGAATATGACCACTGTCTCTCTGTGACTGTATAGCCAGTTATGCGAACCCTCTGTAATGCTCGTCTCTCCTCCATTCCCATCTACAAGCAGTGAACACATAATGTCAAGATTGCCCCCTTTGCATCTCCCTAACCCATTCATCCACATCGTTAAACTAATACTATCTGAGCTTCAATTCTCATTGTTTCTTACTGGACTACTGAAATATGCTCTCAGTTTTCTGTGATAGTTGATAGTTTGATAGTTTTCCGTTTTAAGGAAGATTGTTTCACTTTTTTTTTTTTTAAACGGAGTCTCGCTCTGTCACCCAGGCTGGAGTGCAGTGGCGCAATCTCAGCTCACTGAAACCTCCGCCTCCCGAGTTCACGCCATTCTCCTGCCTCAGCCTCCCGAGTAGCTGGGACTACAGGAGCCTGCCACCACGTCTGGCTAATTTTTTTGAATTTTTAGTAGAGATGGAGTTTCACCGAATTAGCCAGGATGGTCTCGATCTCCTGACCTCGTGATCCACCGCCTCGGCCTCCCAAAGTGCTGGCATTACAGGTGTGAGTCACCGCGCCCAGCCCACTCTTTCTTAAAAATGGAAGAGCTTCCAAAAGAGATCTTAGTAAAACAGTAGCAATTATGAAGATTTAAGAAAAAAGGTACCGAGGGATAAGATGTCCAGGAACAAGAGATATTTGGAAATCTGAGGAGCAAGCAAGCAGATAAACTGGGTGACCAGCACTCTTTGACGATTGGAGAGGTCTGTAAATATACAGCAGGAGACCAGGACCTCAGGAGAATGACATTTTTCTCAGGAAAAGCAACTGGCAGGAAGAAAATTGGGGGTAGCTAGACATAGCGAAATTCGAATAAAAACAAATACTAATAAGGCACACACATAAGCAAAAGGTCAAGGATGGAGTTATTGAAATTAGGTGGACGTTGGAAACCAGGTCTTAAGAACACTTTATTCCTGGCTGATATAGAAGCACAAGCCAGACCAGAAATAATCAGGATTCAAGGCTCAAATTTAGGCTTCTGTGCTACGGCGACTGCAAGATATGGCTGGTAGGAATTTAGCAGATAGCGTAATGACTTCTGCTTTGGAAACGTCAGGAGTGCATGTCTGGGAAATGAGTGGAACTTGGTAGCTCAGTTGGGCTGTTCTTGGGAAGGACTAAAATAGCTTGCTGGAACCCTCTATGACTCAGGTGTTCACTGAAAGATTCATCATCCCGATTGTGGCATTGATTTATTTTTGCTAATCACTAAAGTTGATTCAGCCATCACAGTGGCACAGTCTGCTTGCCACATCATTGGAGTTTATGTCACAGTCATCCAGAGGGATAGTATAACATAGTTAGAAGCAGAGACTGGGATCAGACTGGCTAGGTTTGAAGCAGAGCCCCTCTACTTACTATCTGTTTGACCTTGGGAAAGTTAGTTAAATTATTAGTGTTTGTGACCTTAAATTGTTAACATTCAAGCTGGAGATACGAATAATACCTATGTTATAGGGTTAATATGACTAAATATACTTTAACCACTCAGAACACTGGCTGGTACACAGTAAGTGCTGCATAATTGTTACACTCACCTGATAAGCTGTGTGACTTACCCGAGTTTACATCATGTATAGCAGGTTCTCATGCAGAAGATTAAGTATTCTGAGAAGATGAATATGTTTCATAAGTATTTTTGAAAAGATGCATTTCTTCTTTGAATGGTAGTTTTCCTCATTACTCTTTTTATCCCTATGGTTTTATATCTGTGTGATGGTATGCTATATATATATATATATATACACACACACGGTTAAAATGTTTATAAATTATATTTATATATTTATCTAAATATAAATTATATTATGCATACATTTGTCAAATAACATATTATTCTGACAATAGTTAAAATGGTAAGGGAGATTTTATTTAGGGCTATCATATTAGGCGTCAAGACCATCGGACAATGGTGAGACTCCAAATACAACAAAGACAGCTGGAGATGTGAAGCCTTACAGCAGAGTTAGTGGACAGAAAATTACTAAGAGAAGACTTCAAGTGCAGGGAATCTTGCTAAACCGATTTAAACTGATTCTTTTTCCTAAACTTTAATTTCAGGTTTAAGGGTGCATGTGCAGGATTGTTATATAGGCAAACAGTGTCACGGGGGTTTGGTGTACAGATTATTTAGTAAAAAAGGTATAATAGGCATAGTACTCAATAAGTATTTTTTCTTTCAGATCCTCTCCTTCCCCTCAACCCTCCACCCTGTTGTTCTCCTCTTTGTGTTCATGTGTTCTCATTGTTAAATGGACTCGTGATAAGACAAGTCAAGTGATCAGGTATCAAGGGAAGGGAGCTTCTCCTTAAGCCAATTCAGCAGGATTCTTGCTACAACCAGCTAGGCAGTACTGAGAACAAAGCCCAAAGACCAGGCCTCATCAAAAAGAGGGTTCAGTAGAGCCTGTCTAAAGTTTGGTCAAGAGAGAGTCTTTGTAAGTCTCTCTTCTTATTCAAAGAAGAGGCATTCTCTTTTCCTCTGAACAATATAAGTCCATGTCCTGTTTGATCACCTTTATTCATTAAAAACAAGCCCTTCACAGTGGCTGCCAGACACAGTGGCTCACACCTGTAATCCCAGCACTTTGGGAACCCGAGGTAGGTGGATCACTTGAGATCAGGAGTTTGAGACCAGCCTGGCCAACATGGTGAAACTCTATCTCTACTAAAAATACAAAAATTAGCCAGGCGTGGTGGCAGGTACCTGTAATCCCAGTTACTTGGGAGGCCGACACACAAGAATCACTTGAACTCAGGGGGCGGAGGTTGTAGTGAGCAGAGATCATGCCATTGCACTCCAGCCTGGGCAACAGAGAGAAACTCTGTCTCAAAAACAAACAAACAAACAACAAACCAGTGAACCATTTGTCCAGGCTTAGTGGTAGAGCAGTCAGCAGAGAATATTTGTAGATGTTGGACTGGAAGCTTCCTGATTGGCAATTACCACACGGCAGCGGCTCCACACACAAAGATCTTCCAGTGGCAGCTGGGACGGCTGCTTTATATCCTGGGGTTGGGTGGGGGAGGGTCGGGGAGAGGGAAAGTGAGCTATCAGATAACCTAACCTTCCAATAAGGTTGTGGAAAGTCAGGTTTTAGTTATTAGGGACACCACGTCAGGAGAGTGGAATAAATATTGGAAAAATTAATTTGAACAATTGTAGCCAAATATTGAGGAAATGGGAGAACTGAGAATTTTGTAAGGACTGAAAAAATGTGCAAGATGTAGAATCCATTCTGATTTAGAGATGGGTAACAAAATCTCAAAGACAGTGAATGGGACCAGAACCCGATAACCCACATGATGTGCGACAGTTTTCTACGGAAACAAAATTTCTCACTACAGTCACCATCATTTTTGATCAAAGATAACCAAAGTTAGGTTATTCTTGCTTACAAAATAAGTGTGGTCTCATTACATTTGGCCAAATAATTTACACAAGTGCAACAAAAATGGTAACTGACCACACTGGCCTTTTTAAGTTTCCCTTGCTAAAACTTTACATACGGAATTTCAGATTTGACTTTCAGAAGCCTATTGAGCAAAGAAAAAAGCCAAGAACCTCCTAGCATGCTTCACCTACATTACCTATAGATGTGGGTGAATTCCTCTCTTCTCAAGGTTCCCAAAATTTCCTTTTTCTGGAATCTCCCGGAAAGTGATTTTCCTCACTCACCTCTAAAGCTGGAGACCCTGTGAGCCAGGGCCAGGCTTGTTTTTCCAAGGCAGCTTTGCAAGCATTGACTCCACAAAGTCAATCTTAGTTTCTTAAAACTGTCTGATCAGACCTTATTTTATGCAACATCATTCTGAAATATGACTTTCCAGTAAAAGCCTTTGTTATATAACCAATTTGTCCAATTATACCCTGCTATGAGGAAGACAGACTCCTATTGAAGTATATAAATATTTATATTGCCATGAAACAGAGAACACTCAATAAGACACACCAAATTTTTCCTTTGGGAAGGCAAAATGTTAATAATGTTAATATTCCTTGTTTCCTAGGGGGATTAGTGAGAAAGAAAAAGATAAATGTTTTTCTTCTATTTATACTACATTTTTATGAGTTATAGATAGTTTAATACAGAAGGGAAAGGAGTTATCACATCCAGAAAATAGAACATTGAATAACCAGCAACGTTCCAAACAGAAGCCATAAAAATTATTATCATTTTTTATCAGTTCATTCAGTCCCATGTAATTCATGATTATTCTACTTAATCCGGGGTTAGCAGTTTTACAAATCCATCAGCTTCTTCACTAGAGTTCTGAAAATCTTTATTCAGTCTAGTGGGATGGTCTCAAAATAATTTAAAGACTACCATCAACAGCCTGTACCCACAAGTACCTATTATAGCTTTCGAAGTTTCTTTCAGACCATCCCTTTTTGTTTAAGATAAGCCCTCTGGCCTGTAGCTGACTGCGAATGCTTTTAGAGAATAATCAGATTAAAACAAAAACTATCTGTGAATTAAAAAAAAATGTAAATGGCCATGGTGAAAGATCTGATGAGAATTCATTTGACAAGGAAATGTGGTTATTTCTGTGACATGCAATATTTTAAAATATTATCTGGAATTATGACAATAACATTATAACCAGAAATAGCATGGACAATGATGTTACTGAAATATTTCTATGAACTTCATACAACTTTTGAAATTTTTATGGTAATAATATTTACAAATGTAACATAGGAAAGATTAAGCATCTCTTCTTCGACAATCCTTTTCATGCAATTAAACATATCAAACAAACCTATTTTTTAAAGGATGTTAAAAAAGACAAATCTTTTGAGATTTTCTAGGCTGCTTCAGAGGAATCTCAAAGTCAGTTCAATATCAGTAATATTTCATTTGGGATTTGATTTTGGGAAGGCAAAATTTTAATAATATTAAAACGTTGACACATTTGATTAAATGGGATCTTAGGTCATTGTGAAACAATATTAGCTACCTATTTAACCAAAATGTCCATTTAAAAATTCAAAACTAAACATAGGAGGAATATAATCATAATAAAATTTTAATTTTCATTCTTTTAACAAGTGAGAAGACTCAGTTCTCTTAAATAATCAAGAACATGATAAAGTCAATATAAAGCACAGGAAATTATTCTGATAAGAAACAGAATCTTTGTTGCTCAGGCAGATTGCTTTAAAAAAAAAGAAAAAATCTTTTAAAATCTCTTACTAAGAACAGACAAATAATCTGAGAAAACTTTGTTATTTTAACAAAGAAAACTAAATTCTAGTTTGTATTCATGTACTGTTAATAGGAAACCTTAACAAAAGAAAGTAAACAAATCTTATAAATAAATTCATGCAGCCTTATCCATGAGGTAAGATTGCTTTTCCAAGATTCATTTTCTGTAACTTTATATATCCATTAAGTTTTTCCCCTATATTTTTCATTGCTTTTTACCTAGAACAAAATTATACACTTTTTCCCTTAACAAAAATACACCTTACATTCCTGAATATGTTGCATATCATGTTGTTTCCCATCTACATATTTTTACTACTTTTGTTTTCATATCTTGATTAGCATGTTTACCATTCGTAGTTTTTTTCTTTCTCTCACAATGAAAATGAGGAAATAGACAATTGTGAATTGTCTTTTACATATAAAATTCTGTAGCCTAAGAGTAAACTTTATGACTATACTATCTCATAATTTTTATAGGTGTATGCCTCTTCATAGTACAATTTTTCAATGCAGCATAAAGAACATGCTTATTTACAGACCCAAATATATTTAATCTCTCATTACCACATAAAAATAAGAGCTAAAATTATAAACACTTAAATGTAGGCTTAATAATGAATGCTTCAGGAATTTATCCTACTTATTAGTGAATATTCATTACTTAACTTTGCATAAATCTAAGGCTCAAAGTTAACAAAAAAGATTTTGGAAACTATTTTTTGGCAGACATATTATAACTTAAACTAAGCCAGCTATTATCTCAAGTTGTTTTCCTGTCAATTGTCTTTAATAACACATGGATATTAGGCAAGTATCAGAAAAAAAAATCTAAAAAAGTTATGTATATGGGTTTTTTGTTTCACTGCTATGGTTGGTATGAATGAAGTGATTCATTCTTACTGCTTCTTTGTACATTTGTCCTTAGGTTGAATTCATAATTTTCATACTCTTAAACATGTCATAAATATTACCTCATTTGACAAGTAAATCAAAGCAGAATAGAAATGTATGTTTATATTTTACTTAATTATTGATAATTCAGAAGACATACTAATTTTTATTAAACCAGTAATACCAAAGTCTTATTTATCAAAGATTTACTCAAATCTTGTGAACTAGAAAAACATTTGGTTTAGTTACTATATTTCTGAGAGTTTCAGGATTTAATACATATGTGTGTGTGTTTATTTATCTCTAAACAAATTTAAATAGAGCTTCCTACAGGACTTAATGAATTTATTTGCTAATACTATCCAGATGCAGAAAGATGTCACATATATGTATACATAATATATGTATACACACACAAACATACAGACAGATGCATGTAGATACTCTGTGCCTTTCATTTTAAAATTCTAGCTAGGAGTCAGGTAAATATAATAATACAAAATTCACTAGCTGATATAAGTTAATTGGTTCTCTCTTTGCTTCACTTTGTATTTTTATCTAAATTGTGTTTCTGGTGGAAGAAATGTGTTAAGGTTACTTGTTAAAGATGATAGCTTATGATTTTTTAATATTTTTTTTATTTCAATAGCTTCAGGGTGCAAGTGGTTTTTGGTTACATGGATGAACTGTACAGTGGTGAAGCCTGGGATTTTAGTGTACCCATTACCCCAATAGTGTACACTGTAACCAATGGGAAATTTTTCATCCTTCACTTCCCTCCCACCCTCCCTGCATCTGAGTCTCCAATGTTCGTTATGCTACTCTCTATGCCTTTGTGCACCTATGAGAGCTAATATTTTCACCAATATTTATGAAAAAAACTTGATATGGTTTGGCTGTGTCCCCACCCAAACCTTGAATTGTAGCTCCCATAAATCCCATGTGTCATGAGAGGGACCCAGTGGGAGGTAACTGAATCATGGGGGTGGGTCTTTCCCATGCTGTTCTCATGAGAGTGAATAAGTCTCATAAGATCTGATGATTTTATAAAGGGGAGTTCCCCTGCATAAGCTCTCTTGCCAGTGGCCATGTAAGATGTGACTTTGCTCCTCCTTCACCTTCCTCCTTGATAGTGAGACCTCTGCAGCCATGTGGAACTTTAAGTCCATTAAACCTCTTTTCTTTATAAATTACCCAGTCTCAGGTGTGTCCTTATTAGCAGTGTGAGAACGGACTAATACAACACTTTAAGATTGCCTTTTGCACTGGTATGTAGTGGCTTTGGTGGTCCATGAGATCCTTGAGGATCCTAAATGTGGAGCAGGGGCCTGAAGTTCAAGGGATAGTCAGGAGTTGAGGGGCTGGAATGGGAATGGAAAAGCCTCACAAGAGTGGGTGGAGGAATGGAGAAGGTAGGGGTTGGGATGGGGACAAATTAAAGGATTCAAAGTGACCTAAGCTGGTAAGAGGAGGGAGGAGCGTGGGCACTGGGAAGGGAGAGGTCTGAGAGGAGCCTGTTAGAGGGCATCTCAATTTTCCTGAAGAAGCCAGTGAAGTTCCAAAATATCTAGTAAAGGCATGCCAATAAGAAAAGAATAGGACAGAGTTAGCATCTTAGTGTAGAGCATGTCAGTGGGGATTTGAGAAGGATGTTGGGGCAGGAATGGGGAGTGGAAGGGTCTAGTCCACTGAGAAGCTCCCATGTTCTTAACTAGTGGTGCCTTGCAAACAAAGAAGCCTAGGACTCTAACCCAGCCTTTATGTCTTATAAACAGAAAAACTTGAGACTGTCACCCAGCTTCTAAAAGAGTGGCATGTATCAGTCTATTTTTATACTGTTATGAAGAAATACCCAAGACTGAGTAATTTATAAAGAAAAAGAGTTTTAACGGACTCACAGTTCCATATGGTTGGGGAGACCTCGCAATCATAGTGGAAGGCAAATGAGGAGCAAAGGCACATCTTATATGGCAGCAGACAAGAAAGCATGTGCAGGGGAACTGCCCTTTGTAAAACCATCAGATCCCTGGGACTTACTCACTATCATGAGAACAGTGACAGTGTTCTCACTATCACTTCTTTTTTCTTTTCTTTTTTTCTTTTTTTTTTTTTTGAGACAGAGTCCTCCTCTGTCACCCAGGGTGGAGTGCAATGGCACCATCTCGGCTCACTGCAACCTCCACCTCCCAGGTTGAAGCAATTCTCCTGCCTCAGCCTCCCACATAGCTGGGATTACAGGGAAAGACCCATCCAATGATTCAATTACTTCCCACCAGATCCCTCCCATTGCACGCTGGGATAATGGGAACTACAATTCAAGGTGAGATTTAGGTGGGGACACAGCCAAACCATATCAAAACCTCACAAAAGAGCCAGAAGTTTCCACCTCAAATGTCAAGTCCTTACTACCCTCCCCCACCCCACCAAAAAAAAAAACAAAAAAACACAAGACAATTTCCATCCATGAAGATTTTTGCCCAGAGCCTGGAATTACAACCCATTCTTGAGAGTATGTTCAGAATCTTAAAATCAAAATCCTTCTTACTGTGCTTCCATGGACTGTAATTTGGAGCACTGGATTGGATCAGGAATTGGACTCACCTCTCCTTAAATATTAAAGTGACTTAACAGGAGTTTTGCTACAACTGGGTTGGGCAGGCTCCAGGAAAAGGCCAAAGGACAAGCCCTCATAAGAAGAGGGATCAGAGGAGCCTGTCTAACATTAGGTCAAGGACAGAGTCTTTGTCATGTTCAAGCTACCATATATTGAAAGTATCTGTCTAACTATCTATCTATCTGCCTTCCTATTCATGTGTACATTCATGTGCAAGTTAAAAAAAATGAGGACTTTTATTCTTTGTTTAAAATATTAAGAAAATATGTATTAGATTAAAACGCTTGGTAATAAATTCAGAGTTAAAAATTTTAAATGTAATCAATTTCCCATCTCTAAGCTAATATGTGGGCTGAAAAAAATGTAATTAAAGGCAACAAAATATATACATATATACATATGTATATATACGTATATATATACGTATATATACGTATATATATACGTATATATATTATATATATATGTGTATATATATATATATATATATATATTCATTCTTGGCCATGCATGGTGGCTCACACCTGTAATCCCAGCACTTTGGGAGGCCAAGGCAGGCAGATCATCTGAGGTTAGGAGTTCGAGATCAGCCTGGCCAACATGGCAAAAACCTGACTCTACTAAAAATACAGAACATTAGCTGGGCGTGATGGCACACACCTGTAATCCCAGCTACTTGGGAGGCTGAGGCAGGAGAATTGCTTCAACCTGGGAGGTGGAGGTTGCAGTGAGCCGAGACGGTGCCATTGCACTCCAGCCTGGGTGACAGAGGAGGACTCTGTCTTCAAAGAAAAAGAAAAAAAAAAAAGAAAAATATTCTCAAAAAAGCTTTTTTAGACATATTTTGTTTTGCCATTTACTACCTAAACTACAAAATGTGTTTTCCTCTGGTATAAGAATGCAATAAAAGGATTTAATACAACCAAATGCTGCTAATCATCGTTAAAATCTATAATTACTTCATGTAATTGGTTTTAATTTTGCTTAAATAAATAATTATGCTTTCAGGGAAAGGCATCTAATCTCTGAAGGAACATCCTGACTCCTGATTCTGAAAGATATTTCTCAAACCAGAGTTTAAGCTTAAAGTTTCAGGACCAGCTTTAAAACAGCAAATTGTTCAATTTAAGGATAGCTAATTTGCGTCTTGCACTTGATTTCTTAGGCTAAACTTCAGAATTCTAAACAGAGAGGGATCTCTGGCCTTTATAAAATATACATTACATGGAAAAATGAACTATTTGTGTTTATAGGTTCGAGTATTTTGAGTTTATCTTTGCAAAGAGTGCTGGCAACAGAAACAGAGGAAAAAATATTTCCATTATCATTTTCTGCATGGGGATGATGACTAAACATGAGAGCCCAAACTTTGGTGTTTCCAATGTAAGCAGTTTAGTAAATTTATATCAGCTGTTGCAAGACTTCTCTTATAATTACAATGGAACAGATTTTATGTGTGCAGCATGCAAATCTAAATTGTCCTTTTTAAACAATGTGTTATATTTAAATAACTGTGATAGAAACATTTATGAATAATGAGAATATATAGATTTCTGGATGAAATTGTTTTTTCACACTGTATCTTTTATACTGGACATGTAATATAATACATATTCCAATAATATAATATAATAGTTCAAAGAATAGGTTCTGAAGTTAGAAAGTTCAGGATTTGAATCCCACCTTTGTAATTTATTTACTTTGAGACTTTGACCATATCATTTATCTTTTTGAACATTATATTCATCATCTATAAAATGGTAACAGTATACCTTGTATGGTTGTCATAATGATTAAATGGAAAGATAATTGTTCAGCACTCAGTATCATGTCTAGCTATATTAAGTGCTCATTGTCAACATCAGTGGCAGCATCATTCTGCCAAAATGCTTCTTGCATCTGCAATTTTTTTTCTCATCAATATGAAGCAAGAATCTGTTATACTTTGTACTATAACCTTCACATTATAGCTTCACTAATAGACCCTTGAAGCGGTATGCAGGAAGAAACTTGGAAGGCCTCTCAGCTCATCTTTTGCAGCATTCAATTGTGTTTGCATTTATGTTTCAAAGATATTTGAGATATGAACAATGAAACGAGGAGTAATTTCTTGACCTCAAAACATCAAGAAATATTTCTGAAGTTTTCAAATTATACAATTATGTCAATTTGCATTTAGCAAAAATAAAGCCACATTCTTGTCTTTCTATAACTTGATGTAAGGGAATTCCCGGAGGCCTCTCTCTGGAGCTTTTTTGCATACTAATGATGCAGTGGTTTAAATCACAGCACCAGCACCATCTATTGGGGAGTTTTTTTTCCTGAAACAAATGTTTCTGCAATTTTGGAAAAAATTTAGGTTCATTTCAATTCTCCATTAAGATAAAAAGTATCAAAAAGTAATAGGCCTTAGGGGAGAATAAGTCTTCCCTAATTGTCACAGTCTGATGCATGCATGCCTTTTGCCTGCTAATGACTGGGGAGATGTGGCAATTTCCTTTAAAAATCCAGCCCCTTGTCATTCTTTTGTGCCAAGATAATTCAGATGCAATGGATGAAGAGCAGATTAGGCCATGATCCACTGATCATAACTTTCCATTGGATTTATAGCACCAGATGGCCTAATTATTCTCAAAAGTTCTCAATCTCTGTCTGTCAGGGAGACCAGATGTAATTTCTACCTTCTGGTGAAATAAACTCCTAAGATTGAACACAAGAAATAAAATGTGAAACATGGACCAAATACTTGAGATTAAAAGTTAGAAGTATGTAATGGGTAAAGGCCCTTGGGCCCATCATCTCCTCATCTGCCGAACGCAAGTTTCAGGAATGGTGCAGCTTCAGGGACATGAGAGGCATTTTCGTAGTGGGTACATTTTGACTGTAGGTATTTGTTTATATTCAAACACACACACTCACACTCACACGTGTGTGTCTGTCCCCAAGTGTCTGGACCCTAGGCTGCTACACTTAAATGCTGTATAAAACATACAGAATTCAAACTTTCTTCCGGTGCCATTTGGTCTCACATTTATCTTTTGTTTCTTCTTAAGTTATTCTTTATTCAGTAAGTTAATATCTTGCAAAAAAAGAAAAAAAAAATCAATGTGTTAAAATGGTCCCCAATTCAGTTCTGTTTAAGATAGCCTTCAAATCATGCCTTATTTGCATCTTGGTACATGACTGTCTTCTAAGGATTCGACTAATTCTAGCATGCCTTCTGTCTTTCGAAGTAATTCACTAGATAGAAGACAAGAAAAAATAATAAACTGCAAAAATGGCTACTATAGTTTACCCCTCATGTTTTAAAATGATGGGAATTCTCTGCGTCTTTCCCTGTCCACTTCAATTCTTCCAAGGTTCACAAGCCCTAGTTTGCGATTGGTTTGCTAGACCTGTGGCCATATTCAAAATGGGGGGCCCTTTCAGTCAGGATATCAACTGATGTTCAGTATTCAATGTCAACGTCAAAATAACATTCTCCTCCTCATATGTAAAAAAACGAAATTATATTATTCACTTCAGTAAACACGCATTTACATTTCCACCCCACCCACCCCAGCCCACCCCCTCACCATCAGTTTAGCTGAGTATCCTCCAGGATTATTCTGAATGTTATTTTTTAAGAAGGACTACAAGCTCTTTCTGCACATCGAGGGCATCTTCAATTTTCTGTCACCATCCTTAAGCACACTGTCTGTTCCTTAGGCTGCTATACATAAATGTTGTGAAATGAAAAGAAAATATCTACACTCTGTTCCCAAAAGAATAGATCATTTTTTATAAGTCCTATAACTGCTCCTTCCACTTAAGAGTTTACAATTTCAGAGCAAAAACTGTGCTATGACATCCTGACATGGTGCTTGGGAATTAGAAAAGAAGATGGTATCACATTTTCATGTCCTAAATTTGTTTTTCAGTGATAATCTCCTCTCTGAAAGAATTATAAAAGAAAATTAGCAATTTGAAGATAAATACTACATAGAATAATATACTTTTAAGACTGGAGGGAATCTTTAAGATCCATGTAAAAATATTGCAAATGAGGGATTTTAGTAGTAAGAAAAATTTGCCAATTTTTACTCGATTAGTTTGGCTATTTTTATATATTCTTTTTCCTATGATAATATTGTCATTGTGTCAGTTCCACAATAATGCTGCACCCAGAATCACAAGAAATGTTTCTTTTTGGTATAAAGTGAAGAAAATGCCCCTTTATCCTAGAGGACTTTTGAAGACATAAGAGATTAATATAAGTATTTTTAAATGAATAAACTTAGATCAAACAGACTTCAGCAAAATATTCAGGAGTTTCACATTCCAGATTATTACCAATATTCTTCTCCAACTCAGTGTTTATTGCAACCTGATATGAATTCAAAAGAAGTCAGCATTCCTGAAGAAAGCGGGTGAACAACAATAAAAGTTACATTCATTACTAGTCAGGTTGCAAGACTAGTAGTGGCTCATTAATTAGTAGCTTCCATTTTGCTAGGATAGCCTCAGTGCAAAGCAGCATTCTAACCCTGGGGAGTCCTGCTGTAGGCATTAAGAAGGGAGAATGAAGATTTCTTTTCCAAATTAAGTTGTCAAGGAGCTCATTTACACTACACAGTGAGTGTATGTGGGCGAGCTGATGAAGATGATGATTTATGATGCTATAGACACTTGAGTAATTCTGGTGATGGAAATCCACAGCAAAACCCACTTAGGATGATAAAACAGAACTCCTATTATCTGTAGGAGGCAAAATCACGTGGCTTTTGCCCTTACAAATTTCAAGTTACCCCACTGGGTATGGGAATGCAAGGAAAGCTCATTTACTTATGATTCATGTTTTGGCATAATGCTATTATACAGACTTGCATACATGCCCATTTTTTAAAGTTTACATCTATTGGATCTTATAAAGGATTTTTAATATGATGTCTTCTTTTGGGGACTGGAGATTTGGGGACTAGATCTGTCCAATCACATCATGGATAGCTATGTAACAAAGCAGATGTTTAAAATATCTTCAAAAATTGTAGCCATCCATCTGCAAAGGCAGTAAATATGCCTTTTGGTGAGATCTCTCTGCAAAAATAAGTTTCAAAATGCGGGGCAAATACACAGACACATTTGACTAATAATTGTGGACATCATCAGCTAACTTCTTCATAGTGTATCATAGGAAAAAAGATAGAGAGCACAAAGAGCATAAAATGATAAAACCAAAGCAAAATTTGTATTTTAACATACTTCAGTATATTTGGTGTGCTTGCTCTTTAAATGTCAAGAGAAAATAATTTTAAGAGTCTCATGAGAATTAACAGGCTTTGATATTAAATTTAAAAATATGTTTGTAATATCCCATTTTAGTAGCAAAGTGCCAGCTTTAGAAATAGAATCCCAATGACAAATAAATCTCCATATAAGCAAGGCGAAAGGGCAAAACTCATTGTAGTTCTACAGTTAATCTTTCTATATTTTTACAAGAGTTTTTACACAGTACTCAATAAAGCCTTCAGAAGGATTCACTGTAAGCTACTTCTATGAGTTCCCCATCTTAAATATAACGTAAAAGAGCCTTTCATTCATGTGTATCTGTGCGTTAGGTTATTATATACTTCTTATGCTGTCGAAATATAAACAAACATTCACTACTTTATTCACACAAACATTATATCTCATTGCAACATTTTTCCTTATAAAAGATTGCAAAATTATGGTCCTACAAATTGACAGAACATTCTTTGCTCCTTTCGCGACATCTAAAGTATTCTGGAGCAACCAGCGCTTTTGTTTTGCTTGCATAAAATAATTTATCAAATTTTCCTCTCACATATTTCCAGATTCCAGGAGTATGTGGCCAACCCATGTAGTTTATGTTGTATTTCTATGCTAAAAATTCAGAGGGGGAAGTTCACGTATTTACAAGCAAACAGTATTTATGTGGCAGTTACTAAGTATGTGACCATTGTAATTTCTTGATGGTAAGAAAATACTACAAATAAAGTTAAAGATTCAACAAATATTTTTTGCTTTATATATATTTTCTAATTCTTCTGATGCTTAATATAATTAGATTTAGCTTTAAAATTTAAACAGGTAAATCTATGAATCTATGTAGTCTCTACAGGATTCTGTGAGTTTTTATACTAATATTCAATAAGTTTTTATCACTTTTACTCTGAGCAGCTATCATAAGCACACACTTTAACACTGTAATTTCACATATACATGAACATATAAATCAAAATTATTAGGATGCAATGAAGGTTCAGAAATTACAGATAGTAAACATAGTTTCTCAGGACCTAGAGTTGACTCACCAAGGTTGCGATTTAAATTAGAATATATTTTAACTTAAAAAATTGTGTTTTATAAGCACTTACAATTTAGTAGGGCTAATATTTAATCAGCCAAGGCAATTTACTGTTATAATGCCATAACATTACTACCTCATTTTTTATTTGTGTTAAAAATGTTACAGTTGTATATTTTTATAAAATGTTGGCATTCCACACGGAAGCAGAGAGCTGAACTTGAACCACACAAGACAGCCAAAGAATATAATTGAGAATTGAGTTAATATTACAACATATAGATTTTGGTATCATCATCCCTACAATCAAATGAGACAAAATTCTAACCCAGTGCTACAGTTTTAATAGTCTATTGAGAAGTATGGATATTTACTTTCATAAAATTGTCCTTCTGTCAGTCATATTAAATTTTTTCATAAATTGCATGTTAAAAATATGCTTTTGCAGAAACACCCTCCCTGCCAAGAACACACACCATGTTATCCTGGTGCCTTCCAGCTTTCAAAGAACTTCTGTGCGGTCCTCACAGCTGTCCTGTGAGGTGGGGGACCTTGCAGGGCCACTGCCCTCACCCAGATGAGAAAACCGAAGCTCAGAGATAGGGCTCAGATGGCCTTTCGGATGTTACAGAAGCCTCTCTTTTTTTTTCCAATTAAAAAAATACATATTTTACATTTTGATCTGACCTATATATTTTTGTAGACAAAACACAGGAGCTTCAGATGCCTCATAGATCCTCAGCCAAACAGAACCTTGGCAGATGCTGCAGGGGATAAGAAACCACTTTAGAGACACTAGCAGCATGGCTCCTTCCTGAGGCAGGTTTTGGAATCCATCTCAAGAAAAAAAAAAAAAGAAGAGGAAGATGAATAACTAAAGTAGAATCATCAGGATATCATGTTTTTTTCTAACACAAAATAAACTCCTGAAATATACTCTTGTTTAAATTGGTCTACTTAATAGCTTATTATTAGACAGGATAGCCCAATAACAACCTATATGTAATAAAGGTGTAAATACAAACATACATACGTTATATATGATTAAGTGACGAAAGTAACAAGTACTCGTATACGCTTCAATCTGTGGCATATTACATTGCCCTCTAACAAGGTTTCCTGTTTGTTTGAAATTGAAGATAAGTTTAAGGAAATGAGGGAAAAAGGACCAAAATAACCAAGAGCAATAAACCATATTCCAGCATTCTTCTTGTTATGTTACCAGCCTTGATAAATAATGTTCTTATTTAGAAGTATGTCTCCTAATCACAGAGCCAAGGTACCCCTAATGCTCTTTTATTGATGTTTTTCCCTCATAAAATGCACCAGCATTTTAATTCAAATAAAATTCTGCATCCCATTATGCTCTTCATCTGAGGACAGTAAAACTTAGACCCTTAGTCAAACTATACATTTTGTCATTTATGTAATCCCCACTGAATTTCTTCTTCAAAAATGGAATCTAATTCCTCTCCATCCTCACACACACATTTTTGGAAACAACTTATGCGCTTAAAATGTTAGTTTCTTTTATATCAGTGTTCACTGATGAAAATACTGGATTGGAACTTGCACCACATCAAAGATGACATGTGATAAAAGCAGACTGCCTAGCCCTAAAAGCTTCTTAAGCTGTCTTTTTCACATATCTCCCCCAAGATCTTCCTTTTCAAAAAATCTATATGTATAAACTGAAATATATCTAAGTGTACAATATCCATCCATACCCACAGCCAGGTCTGCACATACCAGTGTGTGTATGTTTGAGAGTACATTTTTTACAGAGGCACTGTATAGATTTATCTTCCCCAGGTCCTTGACAGTTGGCCTTTACATCCACACATTTTGGGAGTTGGGAGACAAAGTGGAGGATGACAGCAAGCCAGACATCAAACCCATTTATTCTGAATCTTAAATTATGACTTTTATCATCAATATTTTGGTTACATTGTTACACAAAGAACAAATTAACATCTGGTTTGAGGTCTCCTTTTTGATTGCTTTGGGATTAGTGACATTTCCTTGGCATATGCATTACACACCCATCAACTCTCAGCTGTGTCTTAATAATGTTGTACGAGATGCCAAAACAAGAAGGATTTGTAACAGTGCTCCTGGGGTACCTCCACCAATATCTTTAACCACAGTGACTTTCAGGTGGCTTCTCGCCAGGTGCATGCAGGAGAGTGTCAATGCATCCCTTTCCTGGGCAGATCAAAAGAGGATCCGGAGGAAGAGGAGCTGGTCTGTTGGCTTTGAAGCACCTGATCACTGTGCGCTCACTCAGAGGTGGATCCAAATAAATTAAATCACCCACAGAGAAGTCACAGCACACGTGGCAAAGACATAGTATGTTTAGGGGACTTGGTCATTACAGCTTCCATTACCAACTTATATGATTCAGGACCACTCAGGAACACCAGGTTCTTAAAGGATTCTGAAGTATAAATTAAAAAAAAATGCAGGTTGCTATTAATAGTTCTAAAGGTGCATCTTAGAATCTCTTTGAGAGAATAAGCAGAATTGTCCATTGTGTTACTTTTACTTTGATAAACAGATACTTTTTGTTTAGTTTGGTCTCGTCTAAAACAAAACATACAGGTATTTTAATGTTTTGTTTTGTTTGGTCTTATCCAGGAATTCTATATTTTCTCTCCTCAACCCCAGCAAGAAAAATAAAAGTGGGGTTGAGGAGGGAGAGCTGAGTGTGGAAAGAAAAGTAAAGCTTTTCAAGAAAAAACACAAACAATACAAAACAAAAATTGCAGTCCAATCGTGCAAAATTTGCTTCTCTGGATAAAGCACTTCTTGACAGGTTCCCAATGTCCCCATCCCCCTCCCAAGTCCTCCCAGCCACATGGTGGGGGGAAGAATACAGAATGAAAGTGAAGCCATTCTTTTTCTTAAGGCTATACAGACACACACAGAACACATGTCAAGGACTGTCCAGCAGGTGGTTCTTTGCTGGGCTCCTACTTCAAGCCCTGACTGCAACCTGCAGCCCATCCTGGAGTCAGGAGCTCTCCTTCCGTTGGGACGACAATACAACATACAAACAAAAGAGGTCCATGGTCCCAACAATAAAATCCGATATTGACTTTACAATCACAGGTACAAATTGCTCAAATCGATAATTTCATTTCTCCTTAAGACCTTGTCATCTAAAACTAATTAGAGGCCAGGTTCCCGAGGAATTGTCAGTATTCCAAAAAACAAAAACAAAAGTACTGGAGGTTTCAAAGGAAATCATTCTTCTACTGCAACAGTCTGACGGAGGTTGGAAACAAGGTGTCCAATTCCAGTAAGTTCAGGGTGTTTTAAAGGGCGGAGTCCTGGGTCCAGTTTGCCATTCCCCCACCATCTAGGGGGCTCTGTGTTTATAGAGGAAACACCAAGAAGCCCGAGAATGTGGAGTATTTCCAGCCCCCCATGAGGTTGCCTCTCTCAAGTTTGAGATGCACTTTGTCTTCCCTTTCCATGAGCAGCAGCACGCCATTGCTAGCAGCTTCTCTGGTGACATCCTGGTCTCCTGCAAAGGCCGAGATCACTGGGTAGCCATTCTGCATTAAACTGACCTAAAATGCAGAGAGTAGAGCTCAGCAGACCATAAAGCACCCAACTCCCACACACTGTTCTCTCCTTTGCCAATATCCCCACTCCCACCCCCATCCTTCCCTTAGAGTACACATCAGGGGAGCCTGACAGTGAGCACTCCCAGCTAGTTCAGAGCCACATCACCCCCTGGACAGACCAGTACCCTGTCTCCCTCAGCCTCAGAGACCAGGTGAAGGGGCCTTTAGCAATGGGGAACTATTAACTCAAACCTGAAAGGATCCAGTTTCAAATCTACCCACCTGGATGGTTTGTCTGTTATACACTTTGACCACGTGGAAGCTGAAGCTATAAATCCCTTTTCTCGGTGCTACAAATATACTGGAAGCAAGATCAAAGTGGTTGCCAATATTTACTAATACCTGAAAAAGAAGAGGGAACACAGCACACAATGGCAAGCCCCTCCTCGGTGTATGTTTTCATCATCCTTGGATAACCAGCAACACTGCCTCCTTCATCAGCGGCTGGGAACACAAATTCAGCATCCTCAGCATTCTGGCTTCCCCAGGAAGGAGGCAGTGCTGAAGTTAAAAGATCCTATAGCAGGAAGTAATCTCAAAGGTATTTTAATAAATTGTAACTAATCAAGATTTCTAAAGCATATTTTAATTATGCATTCAAAAACTGGCTGTGAATTTTGTAAGTTGAGGGGCAGGGCAGAGAGAAAGGAATCGAAGATGGTAAGCTTGTTAAACAAATCCTAAATTGAGTCCAGGGAGGTCTGTGGGAATATGGGGGCATCAGCATGATGCCTTGTTTGACAAAAAAACGAACAAACAAACAAACAAACAAACAAAAAAGTTCCATTCTGAATGGGTAGAGAAGCGGCTATGGGGCAAGAGGCCAATTAAAGGAGATCACTTCTGTAAGTTCAAGCTTGGGACCTAACTTCACGTGCTCCCAGAGACAATGGTCTCTGTGAGGTTTGGATCTCCAGTGTTTCTCAGTTCCTGGCACACTCTGGACTCACACAGTAGGTGGTTGATGATGGGTGGTGAATGAAAGACCTTTGTAGAAAAACATTTGCTACTCCTGTTTTTCCTTAATTTTCCCTGAGCAATGTGCTGCTCCCTTGCCTGAGCCATGGTGCCCTGTAAATGAGCTTGAATAAATAGAGAACCGGCAGCTTGGACATCCTTAGCTTAAGCTAATGGGAACTCTACAACATGCAAAACAATGACAAAATTAGCCACCTGGAATGTGCGCATGACCCTGCAGATGGCTTTCCTCAGATAAAAGGGCAGGGGTGAGTGTTTCATAAGCAGAATTTCAAGAGTGGCGGGACCCCCGTGATGACCCAATTTCTTTCAGATGCTCAACACAGACTCTGGCCACTTTGTCTGGATGCTGTCTCCATCCTCCTCATCCATAAATGCACAACTGCTTTATAATAAGATGGCCTGCCTTTTAAAACAAACAGCCAACAACAACATCAAAATCCTGGGTTTAAGATTTTGTTACCTAATGGGAATACAAACTTCAACTGGAATACCTTTGCTGTTATTTCTTACACACTCATTATAGATGAATAACATGCAGTTCCCAGCGCAATGTGAAATGCTGCCAATGACAATCGCCGAAATGACTTGTGAAATATGCCTGTTTCAGCTTCTTCAACCCAGCTGTGAGCACCACTTCAGCTCCACTCAAGGGCAGGACTGAGACAGACACTCTGGGTTCCATTGTTAAGACAAACACCTCGGGATGCCTATTCTCAGTCTCACAAGGCTATGCTCGCTGTCTTCCTTACAAAGCTTTTAGAAAAGAATAAAGCATTCTCCATTTAAGCCTCTGGAGCTGCTTCTTCCTTTCACCTCAACTCCTTCACCTCAATTTTACATTCTGGAAACTGATAAATTCAGGTAGAATTTAGCCCTGCTGTAGATGAAAGAACACCCAACCAGATCCTGAAAAGCAGACCTCAGCTCCTCATTAACTGGGGAGCCAGAGAAAGGTTGAACGCACCCTGCCATAGTTTGCTCATGTATAAAATTAGAATCCTGCTACTACTTATCCTGCCCTACATCACAGAGCTTTCTTGTTACACAAATGCAAAGGTGGATATAAAAATGCTATGAAAACTTTGCAAGACATTGGTAAGTGAATAATAATAATATAACAATAACTGCACGTAAAGGAAACCTTACTAATAGAGTATTAGTTCCCAAATGCCTATTCCATTGCTGTCTCATTTGGACATAATCAAAATAAATAATTTTACATTTTGTAAATAAAAATGAATTAAAGAGACACATGCCTTCCCCTGCCAAGAAAAAAAAACCTCAAATACTTAATGCCTAACAATAATTGAGAAATAAATACGCTGACTTAAATAGAGTCAAGAGTGTGTGTGTCTGTAGGTTTATGGTTATTAAGTTTAAGAGTTGCCTAACAGACCAAAGGAAAGTCAATTAAACACGTACAGTAAGCCCTGGTAGGTTGTCAGTGACTGCCAGGCGCCCCATTCCGTGGGAAACACTTTGGTAAAATGATTAGGTAATTAGCTAATTAGCTAAAGCTTGGAAACCTCTATAATGTTTTTAATTATTTTTCTGAAAAACAACAGAAACCAGGCGAGCAGGACACAAAAAGAAGGTCATAGCCTTTAACCCTGAGCACCAATAACCCAGAGAAAGGTTTAGAAAGGCCTGATCATATCTCTGAACCTTCTGCATTGAACCAAATGGCATAAGTTAAGTGGCTTAAGGTGACGTAAGTCACTGCTCTTTTAAAAAATTTGTACCAACACACTGTTCATGTATACATTATATATATTGCATTTGCTTATGGTATATATTTCATTTACTATATATTTTACTTACACAATCACAATATTTTGTTTTGTATTTATATATCCATCCCTGTTCTTCCTCACTTTTTTTTTTTTTAAGATAAACATCCCTTCCCCAATCCATTCCTCAAAATAAGCAATAGGAATGTATTTTCCAAATGCTGTCAGAGACTTGGGAAGACTCCTTTCGTGAGCGTGGAGAGTTTTAAATGCACTCAATCCTTCAGGTGGCCACCTGGGTGACTGAAGACCATCAACCACACCGCCGTGAAAAGTAAAACGTGCAATGCTTCCTTTTGGGAAACATATTTCAAATCTTTAGGTTTACGGAACTCTTAGAAAGCTTAGACAGCCTTAAGGGACTCTCAGTCATCCAAGTGCCAAGTTAGCTGATCATTTAAAAGTTTTTAAAAAGCCAAAATGTGGAAAAGGGAAAGAGTAGGAGTGCGTTCTATGAAACGGGAGGAAAGAGACTAGCAGGGCAGAGGGGGAGGACAGAGCCTGGGAACTCCACGTCCAAGAAGCCTGAACCCCAGCCCGCGCGCGCAGGTCCCCGCCCCTCTCCCCGGGCTGGGGGCGGGGTGGGCAGGCCGACGGCTGACCTGGTCGAAATAGATGGTCATGGTGCGGTTGCTCATCTCGGACGGCTCGTGGTTGGTGCTCCGCGTGGCGGAGAAGGCCACCTTGGCGCTGCCGGAGCGCACGGAGATGCCTAGGGAGGAGGTGACGGCGCCGTCCGCCGACGGGCTGGAGTCGCACACCACCAGGCACTTGCCCTCCAGCACGATGGGCTCCGTGTCGTTCTGCGCCCGCACGGGGCAGCAGGCGGGCAGTAGCAGCAACAGCAGGGCCAGCGCCACCCCCAGGCAGGATCCGCAGCCGCCCGGCTCGCGCAGCGCCCCCCGGCGCCCGGGCATCATCAGCCGCAGCCCGAGTGGCCCCCGGCCGGGCGCCTGCATCGGGACTGGTGGGAGGCGGCGCGCGGGGGTGGAGGCCGGCGCCGGCGCGAGCGGCGCGGAAGGGCGCGAAGGAACGCGCGGAGCTCGCAGCAGCCTCCGGGGGCCTTCGTCCCCGGCTCTGACGTTCAAGGCCAGGGTCGTTCTCAGAAGAAAGGCGCCTGTGAACCTGTCAGGGCACAGAACCCAAAGCCTTACACCGGGAGGTGGAGCCACCGGGAAGAAGGGGGACTGGGAGCAGGTGCCTGCGGCTCGGGGGTTCTCCCCGAAGGCCACCCCCTTGGTCCCGCGCACAGCCAACCCGCTTTCCGATCTGGCACAACAGGTCCGGAGAAACGCCCGGGCGCAGCTGGCAGCGCATCCCTGAAGGCTCCCGAGCAGCGCGCGGGGCTGCGACGAGGGAGGGGGCCGCGCTTCTGCAGGTCCTCGTCGCTAAGACGGGCCCCGAGACCCTCAGAAGGCGTCACCGCCACCCCGCCCATTCACCAGCGCGGAGGGGGCTAAGACGCAGGCAAAGAAAAACCTACGAATGCTTGCCTTCTCGCCTTCATCTCACAGCATTTCCTTGGAGCAGCACCAAGGAACCCTTTTCCTATCCCTTGTTTCCCTGCTATCCTCTATTTTTCAATCCTCGAGATGTTTTTAAAGTCCATTTAAGTCCCTTTGGTACAGATTTTATCTGTTTTCCACCCACAGAACAAATCCCAGGAATCTCCTTGGGGCGAATAAGATTACTAGGGGGGAAATGACACCACACACACACACACACACACACACACACACACACACACACACACACACGGGCAGTAAAGCCAAACACCTACTTCCAAGGTCCCTGCAGCCACTAGCGAGCCCCCTTGGGTGAAACCCCTGGGATTCCTCTCTTAGGCGAAGGACCGATTCCAACGACGGAATCCCAGGCTTGGGTTATTCTCCAGCTCTGGTTTCCAGACCACGGGGATTCTCTCTTTCTCAGCGGGGCGGCAGCCCCTGCAGGTTTCTGCGAACTTACGCGCCCGTCTGCACTTTTGCCCCGTCCCCGCTCCTCCCAGGAAAGCAGACAGGCCATTTCAATACCAGCCCAGAGACACGCAGAGAAGCCGCCCCCTCGCCGCCCACAGCCTCCCATTAACTCTTCCAGTATTCTTTCTAAGAACAGAGAAGTTGGCTCTTGATAAATATCCGCTGTCCGCAGCCCCGATCCTACATGATTTCCCTTCTCTCTCTCCACCTCCTCCACCCCTCGATCTGGACCAGGGAGAGTCTTCGTTAAAATCCACGCAGAAGGCGCTTGCATGCGGAGGGGAGGGCAGGTCGGGGGTGGTTACCTGGAACATCCATGCTGGGCGAGCTCCGCTGTCCGCGAAGTTGCTCTGCTTAGAGAAAATGAGGCGAGTGGGAGCTGTCGGGAGGAGGACACGGAGCGCGACCCTGCTCCCAGCGCGTGGCCAATAACCGCGCCGCCCCGCCCTGCCGCTTTCCCGCGCCAGCCTGCGCCGCTTCAGGGGTGCACCACGCCCCGCGCGCCCGCTTAGGCGCCGCGCCCGGGACCGGGAACCCCGCGTCTCGCCCGGCTCAGCGCCCCGCGCTGTGCGCCCAGGTGCCTCCAACCCCTGGGCTTCGCGCCCGCACCGCTGCCTGGGGCCCCTCGAGCTCCCGCGCTCAGCGCGTCCGCAGCGCGGCTCCCTCGCGGGTCCCCTCGGCCCCGCAGCCCCGCCAGTCTCCAGAGGGCATAGCCGAGCGCTGCCGCCTCCCTAGGACTCGGAACCTTCCCTGCTCCCAAGCCCGCCGCACCCTCCAACGCCCCGGTCCTGCTCACCCAAACGCCCAGAGCAAAATACTCCCAGACGTCTCTTTTGAAAATTAGACACCCTTAAAAGCACCGGTCGCTTCTCTTCTTTTAGATTCTTTCTTTTCTTTCCCCAATTCCCTCCAAGTCTTAATATTGAATGGCGTGACCACTTTCATAATGACAGGAGCGAAAAAAACAATAAGTTAAAAAAAAAAAAAAGAAGAAGAAGACTGGGATGGCTGGGACGAAGAGAGGGAAAAAAAAAGCTTGAGAATTTGATGATTTAGGAGCTGTGGTTCCAGAGTCCCAGTTGGGGAACTGTCCGGTTCCCGCAGGGCTAGAAGAGGGGCCTCCGGCCCGGGTCTGTGTGTCTGCTCCTCTGGACCTCGGACTGGTGGAGCGGCTGGCGCTTGCGCTTATTTATTAAATTGCGGTGTCCGCGCTCGCTCAAAGGACCCGGGGAGACGCGCTGGGTTTCCCAGCTGCGCCTGGAGCTCGGCTGAGGGCGCAAACACGGACGTGGGGCGCCACCTGCGGGTGCCCGGGCCTCCCTGCCGCAGGCTGCGGACCGGCGGACTCCGACAGAAGACGGGGGAGTCCTGGCCGCAAGGCTGAGGTTTGCTGATGGTCTTCTTTCACCCCAAAAGCAGCGCTGACCTCTGCAATAATAATAATATAATAATAATAATAATGATAGCAACCACAAGAAGAACAATAATGACCAGTCTTCCCGGTATCCTTCAGTACTTTTACTCCTGGCAAAACCAAGCAGCACGCCGCCTGATTTTCCGGATCTTCACTGATCTAACAAACAACTCTGCCAAGATGATAAATGCTGCGGTGAGGTTATCATCGGTTATTATCGTCGGCACAACGTTTGCACAGACAACTGGGCCGTATAGTTTATGCTGGTCTAAAAAACAATCAATATTTAAATCTACACTCTATAGCCTGATTTTTTTTTAAAACATGGTTAAAAAATACTTTGTCCTTTGACATGCATTATACGTCTTTTCTGATAGGCTAATAATAATAATAATAATAATAATAATAAAGTTAGCCAGTGCTGTTCATTAGAGCATCTGTATTTCTTATTCCTCCAGACTTCACACCGAACCCTCTCCCCTTTGAAGATTTCAGCAGTGTCTGATTCCACCTTAACAAACGGAGGTCTTTTCAGGTAGGGGGTTTTGAAGGCCTTATTTTCCCATAGGCCCTCTCACCGCTATTCTCCCCATTTAGAACAGAACTGCCAAGGCATCATCTCTAAGCACTGGAGATGAAATTCACGATCAGTTCAACTGGAATGGATATGCAGAAAGTCATTGCACACTGCTGCGTGAGACAAAATATTTAGTATGGGTGTAAGGATGTGATTAAAAGTACCTCTGAGCCAAATGCTTCCTGGTTAACCTAGCATGCAAAATAGTAGAAAATATACAATACTTCCAAAATCTCTCATCCTCCTAAGCTATACTCACTGTAAAGTAAATGTCATACTTCAACACTTTTGTACCATGCTGGAGATAGGTACTGGCATTTGCCAGGATGCTTTTTCAAATCCACCACAGTTTGCCATGTTTTGTTACCATTTTTGTGAGTTTAACAGAGTGGAAATGCACTCTTACTTTCAAATAGTTATTTTATTCCACTATTTCATCCATGTGATAGTGTCTTACTGTCAAAATAAGCCCCCATCCATCATTCCACCATAGAGAGAACTGATTTAAGTGTAAGCATAGATAGCAAAGAACACTAGATATTTGAAAGACATGTGAGACACAGACATAATTAGACCAATCTGGGGATGCTAATTTATAGCAATACCTCTCACACATCTGTAAGTCCTTAAATAGCAACTCTACTCAGCATCTTTCCTCAATACTGTAAGCATTCCTTTTGACTAATATAAATGCAAGCACACATGAACTATCGTCATCAACACTGGGGGAAAAAAGAAAACCACTTTCTATGTGGCAACATAAATGTTTAGATTATATATATGTAGAGACACCTTTAATCTATGTGACTTATTGGACTAAGTTATTGAAAAAAGCTATAAGCATTCTTATATAATAAACAGGTTAGGTTTAATTTAGACTAGAGATTATTTTAGAAGAAACCATAAAAGATAGCAAATTGACAGAGAAGCAGATTATTTATTCATTGATTAATTAGTTGTTTCACATAAGAAGATATTAAAGTCGGCCGGGCGCGGTGGTTCACGCCTGTAATCCCAGCACTTTGGGAGGCCGAGGCGGGCGGATCACGAGGTCAGGAGATTGAGACCATCCTGGCTAACACGGTGAAACCTTGTCTCTACTAAAAATACAAAAAATTAGCCGGGCGTGGTGGCGGACGCCTGTAGTCCCAGCTACTCGGGAGGCTGAGGCAGGAGAATGGTGTGAACCTGGGAGGCGGAGCTTGCAGTGAGCCAAGATCGGGCCACTGCAGTCCTCCGGCCTGGGTGACAGAGCGAGACGCTCTCTCTCAAAAAAAAAAAAAAGATATTTAAGTCAAGTGTTGGAATTTTAGCTTGTAAATATGCTTAGAAATTTTTTAAGAAAATGTCTAAGATTTAAAAGCAAAAGTTTTTCTAGTTATCTCAGGGATTCCTTTTTCTCTCCCTTTTCCATGTTAATAATTGTTGCTATTACTACTAGAACATTAATAGTGGACATTCCCACAGACAATAACAATGACAGCCATTTATGGAACACCTGTGGTGTGTGAGATATTGCACCATGTCTTTTGTCTGGGATATAACACGATTTAACACCCACAGCAACCCTGTGGTAAAGACAGGTGTTCACACAGAGCTGAAGAGGAACATATTCTAATATTAGGGAAAAATGTGGGAAGGGAAGACGCTGGGATAATTCAAGTACCCTTCCTCTCATTTTTTCTAAATATCTGTCTCTCATGGAACTTAAATTTGAGTTCTTTGGGTATAACCTATCTCTGAAATGCATCTTCAGCGTGCATTATAGATTTGCTGTTGGATCCATCAATTCCACTACTGAGTATCTACTCAAAGGAAAAAAATCATTGTATGGAAAAGGATACCTACACTGCTAGGTTTACTGCAATACTATTCACAGTAGCAAAAATATGGAATAAATCTAAGTGTCCATTAACAGATGATTTGATAAAGAAAGTGTCACACACACACACACACACACACACACACACACACACAATTGGAATACTACTCAGCCATAAAAGGAATGAAAAGAATGAAATCATGTCTTTTGCAGCGACATAGATGGAACTGGAGGCCTCTATCTTAAGCGAAATAACTCAAAGTCAAATACTGCATGTTTCCAGTTATGAGTGGGAGGTAAAAAATGCGCACACACGAACAAAGAGAGCAGAATAACAGATGTTAGAAGCTCAGAAGGGCAGGAGGGTAGGAGGATGGTTGAGGATAAGAAATCACTTAGTGGGTACAATGTACACTATTTGGGTACCTGTGTAAGAAAACGGCACATGTACCCCCTAAATCTATTTTTAAAATTAAAAATTTAAAAAATTCTATTATCCAGGAGGTAGTAGAAAATCAGTAATATGTAGCTAAAGCAATTTCTAATTTTTATTTATTTTTTTCTTTTAATGTAATTGTATAGCTTTAGTTTTAGAATGAGCTACAGGTATGATTTTAAGGCTTTTTATATTTGGATTATTTTGAGTAAACATAATATACATAAATAATATATTTTTATCTAGAAGGGAATTTCAGAAAAAAGAAAATGCATGATTTAAGGAAAAAACTTGTGCTTTTGTATCTGAAAAAATTTATATGAGGTGATATATCAATGTGTATTTCCTTCTCAAGTGTTCTCCCGTAGAAATAAAATATAAAGGTATGCTGTATTTTTGATCGTTTAGTAAAGTTTTAAGTCCAACAGTTGGAAGCTAACTTTAAGCACATACATAACCATTTCAGCTTTCCAAAATATGTTTTCTTTTCAAATTGTCCTTTAACATCCGGCGATTGTTCTGCTCGCTCTTACCAGAAGACATACCTACATCCTCAAGAAGCAACAGATCATAGGGTACGATGAATTAAAGGAGTGAAAAGCTGAAGGTTTAGGAAAGAACCATCTGAGAGGCTCTGTTTTTGAAGAAGCTTAGAGATCTGAGTGTGGTATCGGTGTCTGGAGTTGTTGATTTGGAGGCAGCAGAGTTGAGAGGACTCCTTGTCACCATCTCCTCAGTGCGTGCCACTAAGCTGCCTTCCATTGCCTTAGGGATCTGCCATCAGAATGTATTCTGACTGTGCTGCAGCCACAAACCAGATTACAGATGTGACTGTTAATCCAAGTCAGAAGAAATGTAACTCAAATATTGCCTAGATCTAGATCGAATAGGACCTTTTTGTTGTTTCCAAAACTATTTGCTAGCACTAACTAGTTATTTTATACTTGATATTAATTCTTGATCTTGAGACTACTCTTTGAAAATAGAACATCCAAAGGGAATATTAAGGAAAGATTCATAGGACTATTTTGTTTTTAAACTGAGCTACTATAAGGCTAGTGTTTCATAGAGTTGCTCATTGCCCAAACTAAAAATACCTGGTTATCGCTCAGGATCCGTTCTTCTGATGTAATCCACTATAAAAGCCATTTTATACTGATCATAAGTTTTTAAGAGAAGTATGGTTATCCCCTGCACAGAGATCAGAGTCCAGGACCAAATATATTTAAGAAATATTATTGATCTGAAAATGAAGCCCGTGCAGCCTGGTCATTTGAGCAAAGCCACAAGTCAGCAATGGCTGAATTTTATTTCTGACCTTGTGCACGCAGCATCTGTTTTCCATGGGCATCCTCTGCATACTCTGTCCTAGCTTCCTGCACCATAAATGCACCCAGGCTGCGAAGATATGTATTAACACCAGATTCACATACGAGAAAAAGGTAGTGAAATTGAGGAAGGGGATCCAAACTGTAATGAGCACATGAATTATTGGGAAATCCTATTACAAATGCTGGGTGGAGCCTGAAATTTTACATGTCTGCATTTCTGTCTTTCTTTCCTTCTTTCTTATTTATTTATTTATTTATTTTTTATTTTTTTAATGGAGTCTTGCTCTGTCACCCAGACCGGAGGGCAATGACACAATCTCAGCTCACTGCAGCCTCTGCCTTCTGGATTCAACAGATTCTCCTGTCTCAGCCTTCCTAGTAGCTGGGATTACAGGTGTGCACCACCATGCTTGGCTAATTTTTGTATTTTTAGTAGGGAAGGGGTTTCACCATGTTGGCCAGGCTGGTCTGGAGGTCCTGACCTCAAGTGATCTGCCCGCTTTGGCCTCCCAAAGTGCTGGGATTACAGGCGTGAGCCAACGTGGCCAGCAACATTTCTAACAAGCTTGCAGCTGATGCTGATGCTGCTGGTCTATAGGCCACACATTGAGTAGCAAAGATCTATTTTTTTCTATTCTTGTGGGAATATTAATACCTGAAAAATATTCTGAAGGTTTACTGCAGACACATAGGAGGAAAAGTGTGATTAAATATATGATGTTAAACTCACATCAGAAAATGGTCTAGTGATCATATAATAAACATGGAAGCCAGTATCCAACAGTATGATTATACAGCTGTTCTTTTTCATTAGCATCTGGTGTTTTGTGGCTACTTTCTCAAGTTGAATGTGCTATATTCTATACAATTATTCCAAAAAGAAAAGAAATCATGATTGTGTTAAAATGTTATACTTTTTTTCACCTGTCTAAAACCCAATTTGGGCAAGACAAATGAAGCATTACTGAGAAAACAGGAGAAATGGCTTTCTAAAGGCATTTTTAATTGGTAGCTAGGGGATTTTATCATCCTGTATAAGATTATTCTATCAGGGGTTACTCTGTAATTGTCATGGATGGAGTTTCAGTTCATCTGCACATTACTGGGCAAATGCTTACCTAGGGTTGAAGATTTTACGTGTTTTTGTGAAAAAAATGAAACCCTCTGGCTCCTGGGTCAAAGGTATTGCGGTTCCTAACAGCAATAGCAGAGGGAATGGTGAGATTTATATTTGGATCTGCTAAAAACTGGTAGACGTAGAAAGCCTATACACATATACAAAAGCAAATATTCTCCTGGTTGTAATATCAACATATTCTTCTTTATATGAAACTTGGGCTTTTCTTACTCACTGCCAGAAATGTTAGGAAGTTATAATTTGACTTTAAAATAAGGAAAATGAGAAACAAAGTTCATCCCTTGGCAGGTTTTCTGAATGCATGTTTGATAAGTCATGGAACTGCTATCTCATTGTAATCTACAAGAAAGTATATGGATTTCCCCTCAGGATCTCATCCTCTCCAATAAGCCTAAACATTTGTGAAATTTCTGATATATCTGAAGAATAGATTACATTGCACCATCATTTCTCTTGAGCAAACTTGAACCATACAGGGAGGTAAGGAAAAACCTCAATGAATCAAAATGCAGGAAGGCTCAGAAACAGCTGATAGCAATCAGTGCTGATAAGTCAGAGGGTGGTGAGAGAGCTCAGTTTAAGGGCTGGTACTATTGTACAGAGTTTATGGAGAAGATGGGCTACGGAGGCGGCGGAAAGAAAAGCACTTTCATTAGTGAAATGATATTCACACTAAATTTCCTAGACGTTGAAGCCTAAGCAACTAGAACTATTTTACCTACCTTTCAAAAATACTAAAATAAAAAGTTTGTATCATGGAAAATAACATAACACACATTGCCTTATTTGAAAGAGAAATTTTCTTTTTCTTTTTTTTTTTAATTTTGTAAATCCTCTATGTGCCTTTAGGGAGATTTCAGTGAATATTAAGTATTAAATTAAGTTTTGCTTTAATTCAAAATGTTATTTGAGATGTTCTGCACAGAATAGCTTTTAAATGATAGACTAATACTAACCTATTCCATGATTTATTTTTGTGCATTAAATATTCCCCTAAAATGATATACGGCTATATTCTTAATAGGTACCTCACGTTGTTTGCAGCTCTGCTATGGTGCCTATATTGTGTCCTGTATGCCGATGGGTAATGCAGGGCACAGTGTAAGAGTAACACATATACATGTCTTTCACACCCATAAACTGTAATTTCATTGCAAACAAGTACCGTGACATTTTGTTTTGCTGTTTTTCAACACATCTAGTATAGCATCTTTACTTTTTGAGAGTCCTCTATTTAAACATTGATAAATTTATTCCGATGCTTATTAAATACAAATTTTAGGTGTTTCTACCATGTATCTTCATACTCACTTTCAGACATGTCTAATGGGTAAAATGTTTATATATATACACATCTATACATATATATGAAATGAAGAGAAAATTGTTGTTTAGTTACCCTACCAGATTGAAGATACCTTTATTTTATTGGTGTATGTTTTGGTTTATAGAGGTTTCACATTCTCTAGACTGGTCTGGGAGATTCTGGGGTATAGCCAGAAGACTGGACACATTTTAATCCTGTGCTTCCTTTTGTTGTCTTTTATATTTCTGAGAGATCTAAATCTTGCTTGAAATAGAATTGACTAAAAACCGACAGAATTAGGTGGACTAAAAGTGTCACTAAGTCTTCAGAAATGGAAGATCTACCATCCTTGCGCTCCTTGAACACACCCCATCACTGAAGTCTATATGTCTGCATGGAGCTGGACTAATGTGTGGGTCTCTGTGTGTATACACAGGTGAGGGATCTGTTTCAGAGAAATAAGTCAAAAAGTACCCAGCATTAATACTGTAACCATGCTGAGATTATTCAGATGCATACATTACATGAAATTATATGAACACCATTATACATATAAACACATATTTATCATTTAGGTTAATATTAATTAGCACGGCTTAATATTTCATTAAAGAAATAAATTGTCCTTACCTTCTTGACTCACCTTAGGGAATGTGAATGCTCATCTGAAGCTTTAAACTTAGAAGGCCAACTTTTTCTTTTGTGATTTTGAGATTGTACATTTGTGTTGACCTTTCATATCAAAAAGTTAACTACTGGTTGTTTCTTTGTGTATGTGATTGTGTTACCCAGTTCCTATGTTCTCTTAGCCTTTTCTTTCCCATTTATCTAACCTGTTTTGTCAGCGTTTTCTGAATTTCACTGTTTATTAAAATGTCCAACAGAGCAAGATACTTTTTTTTTTTTTTTGAGACAGACTTTCGCTCTTTTTGCCCAGGCTGGTACGATCTCGGCTGACTGCAACCTCTGCCTCCTGGGTTCAAGCAATTCTACCTCAGCCTCCTGAGTAGCTGGGGTTACAGGCATGCACCACCAAGCCCAGCTAATTTTGCATCTTTTAGTAGAGACAGGGTTTAGTCATGTTGATCAGGCTGATCTCGAACTCCTGACCTCAGGTGATCCACCTGCCTTGACCTCCCAAAATGCCAGGATTACAGGCATAAGCCACTGAGCCCGGCCAAAATACTTTTTTTTTAATAGAAGAAATAGATTTAAATCAGCTTATCATACAAATATCTAATATTTATATTTTTTCAAAATACATAAAAATCAACAAACTCCTTCCTTAAACATGTCATTCAAAACAACCCTTCTGTAATACAAAAGCTAACAATCTTGGTAACAGAAAAATAAAAGTGGAACTCACAAAACATGAAGTGAAAGCCAGTGACATCCACGTTCTCCTTTTTCACAAAAGATGTTGAGATGCTCACTAAAATTATGAAAAAGAAGTACATCATTTCCAGGTACATAGCGAATTGATAATATAATTTTAAATAATATATTTCCTTTTAAATTACTGGAGAAAAAAGAAATAAAGAAGGCTAGCGATAGTGAGCTAAATCCCCATCTTTTAAGCAGAAAATAGACATTGAATAAAGTTGACATATTTGTAAGTAGGCATATAATCATTTGATTTTGACTTTGGGAAATAGTAGGAGAAAGGGAAACATTGCGAAAATTGTTTCAGAAGAGGTTACTAGTGGAATTAGGAAAGTGTTAGGCAAGAGATTGTTATTACTATTATTCAATCCTATGTGTCTCTGTATTTTTAAATTTTCCACCACATGGATGCCTTACTTTGGAAATATTTGTTTAAATGACATAAAATTATTTTCTCATATATGTGCATATGTGAACTTTGTGCAAAATGCTGCTGAGAGGAAAACATTGGATTTTACAGAATGGATTACACAGGAGCAGAAGAGGAGGACTCACAACAGGAGACCAGAGGGGAGAAACTGTCTTGTCTCTCCCTGGGCTTCACTACTCTGATTTACGTGTTCACAAACAAAACACTGAGCTGGATCTCAGGGCTCAGCAACTCCAAAGAGGACTTTGGGAAATACAACGACAAGTGCACGTGTGGAGTGGGAATCTGCCCCGGTCCTTCAGGGGCTTTGTCCAACATGTCAATGAGGGAAGGAGCGATAAACTTCTTTTTGTGGGCATAAACAGAAAATAAGAAATATAGCTCAGGAAAAATAGTAAATATCCCAACAGACAAAGGTTACTACATAGACTAACAATTTGTGATAGATAGATAGATAGATAGATAGATAGATAGATAGATAGATATGAAAACAGATTATACGTGTACATATATATTACAAATGTGTGCATATTTTTGGTTAGGTTACTCAACAAAACCTTACTTTAAATAAATAAGTAGAAAATATAATTTTAGTGATTGGAAAGCTCAGACAAATCCTTATGTTTAGATAATTTCAGCAAAAGAGCTAACTCATCATTTGGTTGATACGCAATCTAACCGTAGGAAATTTCCTAATCCTGGTCATAGAATGGGGGAAACCGTGGAGCAATGAAAAGAGGACAGGGTTAAAGTCCATAATTCATGCCTCGAAAGCTGAAAACATTATAGAGTGACAAAAATCATCAGACTATTAACTCTGATTGATGTTATAAACTCTGATCAAAGATCTGAACTTGGAGAAATTCGAAACATTTGGCTAAAACGAGACTTGAAGACAACTGTCAGATTCGTTTTTCAGCTTATGCCTAGCCTTCATTGCCATGCCTGGGTGCAATCTGATTATATTACATGAAGTGCATATTTCCATAATGAAGAACTAGTGTAGCATCCTTTGGTTCTCAATCCTGCAGGGAAAGAATTAATAACGAATCACATAATCTCTTCTATAATTTATTTTTCATAATCCTTAGAGTGTAATATGATGAAGAATGTTTAACGAATTAAAAATTATAAGATTATTCTTATTTGCTGTTTTCATTACCCTTTTTTTTTGTTTTGGTTTGACTCTGATTAAAGCAGTCAAATTGAAATGTATTATAAAAGTTGTAATCTATTATGCCTGATTTACCTAGAGGATGTTTGCAAGAAAGTGACAAGAATAATTTTTAAGAGAAAAATAAACATTTTCTTTAACCGGCCTTTTAAATTTCTGCAAAACAAAAAAAGCATATGAAAAAGGGGTTTTTTGATGATTATTTTTGAAGTTATTCTAACTAGAGAAATTGTTCCCTTTCCTTTCAAATTTCAAGTACTGGAATTAAGTTCTGGAGTTTAGAATTACTATTTTAAAATGGTATACATTACGTTAATTAGCCTAACGTAATCATTCCACAGTATATACACGTATCATAACACCATATTATATCCTATATTTGTCAATTAAACATCTTTAAAGTGGTTCATATTAAATAATTGTTCTAAATAACACAAAGTAAAAAAAAAAAATTGAATGCCTGCAAAGAAAAAAAAAACTAAAAACTCAGTGACAAAAAGTTACATACGATCTCTAAATACGCTTAGCCAAAATTTCAGGCAAAGTCCTCAATAAAAACGTTAAAGAAAAAAAATTGAAATGTATAAAAGTTCATCTCTTACCATTGCAACCCCTGTTCATTTCCCCCTTGCTGATATTGATTAAAAAGAAAAAAAATTAGTGGCCTGGTGCGGTGGCTTATGCCTGTAATCCCAACACTCTGGGAGGCCTAGATGGGCGGAACACTTGAGATCAGGAGTTCCAGACCAGCCTAGCCAACATGGTGAAAACCCGTCTCTATTAAAAATACAAAAATTAGCCAGCATGGTGGCACGTGCCTGTAATCCCAGCTACTTGGGAGGCTGAGGCAGGAGAATCACTTGAACCCAGGAGGTGGAGGTTGCAGTGAGCCGAGATCATGCCACTGCACTCCAGCCTGGGTGACAGAACGAGATTCTGTCTTTAAAAAAAGAAAAGAAAAACACAGAGAGAGAGAGAGAGAGGGAAAAAAAAGCAAATAACTGAAGGCACAATGCCGTGTTTAAAATAGGGACAGGGCTTCACTCTAAAGGTGCCCTCGGCTGGAAAGCCTGCTGGTGGTCAGAGATCTCAGAGTGCATGCATCTACTTTCAATATGTGTTCAAAAGTCTGTCGTGGTTGCTAAGGTATTCAGTTTAAAGAAACTAGATAGTTTTTGAGGGGGAGGGAGAATTTCCTATTGATGAAAATGAAAGAAATTCACGGTGAATATGTGTTTGACTATGTGTGTGTGGGCGTGTGTGTGTGTGTGTGTCAGGGAAGCAGAAAACGTATGAATATTAGGTTGAGTTGTTGCCGTTGAAAGTAATGGCAAAACAGCAATTACTTTTGCACCAACCTAATACAATCTTAATTTATGAATTATAGAATTTTATATACAGTAATCTACTTTTTCCATTTAATTTATCATAAGCATTTTTAAAATGTACTTTATGTTCAAATCTGAAATTAATCAGTAACAACTTGAAAATTCCTTCTCTCTACAGAAACTGGAACTTAAGCAAAATAATGTGACTCATTCATGACCTTGTAGCAAAGTGATAACCATGTTATCTAAAATTCAACGAACACCTACTATGAGCTCAGCACTTTAGATAAACATCTTACAGAGAAAGTCAGTAATTCTAGTCCCTGAACAAGTTCCCTCTGAGCACAAGGTATTTGCACTGTGGGGTATCCTGTTGGTTATGTGGAGCAGGATGGCTTCAGGTGAGGCTTGAGGGAAGTGCTTCCTGTTTCTGTGGCTCTGGGCTGGTGACAAACACCCCCCAGTTGAACCATTCTTCCTACCACACCCACTGGCAATGTTTGGGATGGCAGGTGCTCCATTAGTCTGGGTCCCAGGCTGAAGAGGTAGGGGATAGGATCCCTAATTACCTGTCCTGTGCATGTAGCATAAGGAAAAAACAAGTTGTTTTCATAATGAGTTGTTAAATTGCAGCACATCCCACTCCATGCTGACTGGAACACACATGTTACTTCACTTCCTCTTTTTAACCAGCGAATAAATGTGGAATTCTTTTACTAATTGTAATAATGCAGACACAAAAAAGAAAAAGAAAACACTTAGGGAGATAGGATAACTCTTCCAAATAAATAAATAAGAATGTCAGGTCTGCAATTCTAAACCTGGCATCAATATTATCCATTTTCTATCTGTCTATCAGTGAATTTTCTGCCACATAAGTGTGAAATTTCAGTTAGCAATAGCTGTTTACTATTATCTGAAAGAAAGAGCAGAAGGAAGGAAGGAAAAACACAGATAGAAAGAAAGAGAAAAGAAAAGAAAAGAAAATTCCTCCTGCACACTTAGAAGGCCTGTTGCCTGCATTTGGTGTGGTTGGAGGAAGAGGTGGTAATTGCTCAGCATAAAACAGTCCTTTCCTGTCTCTATTTCTGCTGCACAGCAGTAAACATGCGGGAGAGTTATGGAGCAATGAAAAGACTTTACTAGTGAGACTACTGGTTCTAAGACTCAAGGTAAATGAGGGTGTTTCTTTAGCTTATCTTGAAAAAAATAAGAAAAGTGGAAATTAAACCAACTTAGAGCAAATTACTGATAGGTAGATTCTCAGCGTATTATGATGCCCAGGAGTGGAAAGTAGAGAACCATAATGAAAGGCTTGAAACAAGAAGCAGGGGTCAGGAAAAAAAAACTCTTAAAACCAACAGAGTAATAGCTAAGGATCTGAGAAAAAAGAACCAAATTATATGCAGACATAGGCTTTTAAACCACCTCATAAAAACTGAAAATGTTTTCATCATTCTTATGCTGACATCTAAGGAGTAATTGAAGAAGAGAAATATATTATTTTCTATCTTCTATCATGTCAAGTGCTTTGAAATCTACTCAGTTTTTCCCCTACAATATCTCGAATGCAGTGCTTACCATTGTTTACCAATGTACCATGCAAACAAATAAAAATATGACAAATACAGTATATGCTATTTAATTTGCTTTAATTTGAATTTTAAATCTTTGATTTTCTCATAAAATGAACTCAAACTGAATGAAAATGATAAAGCAAAATAAGATGCGTATGTACCACATTTTCTTTATCCAGTCTCTCATTGATGGGCATTTGAGTGGATTCCATGTCTTTGCTATCATGAACAGTGTGGCAATGAACATACATGTGCATGTATCTTTATAATATAATGATTTATATTCTTTGGCTATATGCCCAGTAATGGGATTGCTGAGTCAAATGGTATTTTTGTTCTAGATCTCTGAGGAATTGCCACACCATCTTCCACAATGGTTGAAGTAATTTTCATTCCTACCAACAATGTAAAAATGTTCCTATTTATCTGTAACCTTGCCAAATGTGGTACATATACACCACGGAATACTATGCAGCCATAAAACAGTATGAGATCACGTCCTTTGAAAGCACATGGGTGGAGCTAGAAGCCATTATCCTCAGCAAACTAATGCAGGAACAGAAAACCAAACACCACATGTTCTCACTAGTAAGTGGGAACTGAAAAATGAGAACACATGGACACAGGGAGGGGGAAGAATACATACTACTGCCTTTTCAGAGGTGGGGTGCGGGGAGAGAGCATTAGGAAAAAATAGCTAATGCATGCTCGACTTAATAGTGAGGTGATGGGTTGATAGGTACAACAAGCCACCACGGCACATGTTTACCTACGTAACAAACCTGCACATCCTGCACATGTACACTGGAACTTAAAATAAAAATATGTTTTTTAAAAAAGTAAGCACAAGAGTCCAAGCATAAGAAAAACAGGCAGGCTGGATGGGTTTTTCCAGCACAGAGTGCTGGCAGAAATGAATAGCTCTCATGAAATATGTCACGGAAGGTTTCCTAAAGGAGCAGAGTCATACAGAGGTGAACACCCAGGTCTTCCCTAATGAATGTAGGATGTAAACAACTTTTAAAATCCTCCTAGAGAGGATCTATGCTGACCATGTGACTTAGTGTGGCACCTTGGGCCGTGTGGCATCAGCTTGACTCTGGAGGGGCTAGAGACTAAGGTTAGGCACATGGGGGCTCAGTCATGTCTATGTGACCTGTACCCCATAACATCTCTGGACACTCTGGGTTTGGTGCTTGTCACTGATGGGGGATACCCCATGGTGTTGTCACACATCATAGCTAGGAGACATAATACTCTGGGCACCCGGAAGCTCCACACTGGGTCTGTCCTGCCCCTGTTTGATGCGCCTTTTCCCATTGCTGATCTTAACCTGTGTCCTTTCACTATGAGTCTAACAGGTTAGCTGAGCACTGCAAACCCTTCTAGTGGATCCTTGAACCTGAGGGTTATCTTGGAGATCTCAAAATGTGCAGTTGTTCTAAAGAAAGGGTGTGCAAAGCTTCTGTTCTTTTCTCTGGAAGTAATCCCATTACTTCACTCCCCATAAATTGTGACAATACTGCTTTTTGTAGGAGTAAGAAGGGAGAAGCTCCTGTTTGAGGAAAGGGTCGACACAAAATCACAGAACATTCCAGGACCAGAAATCACTTTGTAGGTAACTTTATAAATATTTTCTATTGTATAAGCATATGAGGTTTTAAAATATCACTAGAGGCCAGGCATGGTGCCTCACTCCTGTAATCCCAGCACTTTGGAAGGATGATGCAGAAGATCACTTGAGCCCGGGAGTTCAAGACCAACCTGGCCAACATGGCAAAACCCTGTCTCTACTAAAAATACAAAACATTAGCCAAGCATGGTGGCACACATCTCCAATCCCAGCTACTCTGGAGTCGGGGTGGGGAGAATCACCTGAGGCCAGGAAGTCAAGGCTGCAGTAAGCTGTGATAGTACCATTACACTCCAGCCTGGGCAATGGGAGTGAGACCCTGTCTCAATTAATAATTAAGGAAATATATTACTAGAAATAAAGGATATAAAGTACACCCTGAAGCAATGTGGCATCCCACAGCCCACCAGCACTCCCCAGGTCTGGCAAAGTCAAGCATCTTTGATGTGATTGCTCCGGGTCTCAGGCAGCAATGCACTTGATGTTTTGTGACCTGCAATACAATTAACCAATCAGCAGTGGGGCAGCCACTGACTTCCCTTCAGGATTTGCAAGTTCCCTTTTCAGAGGTGAAAAGAACAATTTCTCTGTAGCTGTGGAGTCCATGTGAAGTCAACATTTGATGAATTTGACTGAGAAGTATCGTGTTCCCTAACCTATTAGGGGCTTCAAGAAAGGCCTGTGCCAGGCTCAGAGCACACATCCAAGTCGCGCCATTTTGGATTTGACTCTGTTGGTGAGTTTATGGCTTGCTTTCATTTTCATAGAAAGGATAACTTATTATCAAATATTTATATTAAATAAAATATTTTATTGATAATCACAGCGGAGTATGAAATGAAATGCAATTAGATAAAACATCTTGATCAATATGGGGTTGATTGTGTATTTGAAAAGAGATTTGAAGAAAGCACTTTTCATTGCCAGCCGGTGGCCGGCATTTAAAATGAATTCACCGCTAACATATCCGTTTGATTTTTTCGAGGATAAGGCAATGCTGAGTGACATGGACACAGATGACATTATTGTGTTTAGACTTCTAAAGGGCGCTTCATATAGCATTGGAGATAAAAAGCCATTTTGAAATGCAGTCTCTTGGGGTTTCTGAAATCAAATGAAGTGCAATGAAAAGTAGCAAAGAAAGACACAGAGCACCTTGATTTTGTAGTCAGCTGCAAGGCAATCACCTCGGTGACACTTGTTAATTTTTTATATATCCATTGATCAAATATCTATTATTTTTATCCTTTCTTTCCATAGGAATAATAATATCAGCTCTCTTCTCACTGAACCCAGGAAGGAGCTCATCAAACAGGGAACAGGCAGAGGAGTTTGTGTATTTCCTGAGCTCCCAATTTTTCACTGTTTACTTGCTGCTCACTGACAGGCCTTAAGAAAGCCATTGTTCTTTGTAAGCACAAGGGCTGTGTCTACACAGATCCAGCTGCTCCTGCCCCTTGTGGGTCTAAAGAGGGAGGGCGCAGGATGGCTGGGTTCCTTCTTGCACCCAGATGCAGGCCAGTCATGGACAGAGATCATCTGTGCACGTAGGAAAATAATTCTTCTGTGTTTAATAAGGTGCATGAGTGATCACATGGCTTCAGGAAAAGGGGCAGGCTTCTGTATGCCTCTTAAGTGGAAAAGTGAACAGCTTTATCAGCCTACAATGGAGAATTTCCAAAGCCTTCAAAGCATGTTAAGACAACCTAGAGAATTATAGAAAAACGTTTGAATTAACTTGCTTTTGGATCAATTTTTCTTTGGGACAGGGGTTTGCAAACTATGACCAATAGAACAAAGCCAGACTCATTCGCAAATTGCTCTCTGATTTCAATACAGCAGCAGAGTTGAGTGGCTGTGACAGAGACCGCATGGCCTGCAAAGCCTAAAATAGTTACTCTCTGGTCTTTTATAGAAAAAGTTCGCTGATCTCTATTCTATGATACATACATAGATTCCAAAGGCTTACATTGGTATGAATTTAAAAAATAAAAATAGGCCGGGTGTGGTGGCTCACGCCTGTAATCCCAGCACTTTGGGAGGCCGAGGTGGGCGGATCACGAGGTCAGGAGATCGAGACCATCCTGGCTAACATGATGAAACCCTGTCTCTACTAAAAAATACAAAAAATTAGCCGGGAGTGGTGGTGGGCGCCTGTGGTCCCAGCTACTTGGGAGGCTGAGGCAGGAGAATGGTGTGAACCCAGGAGGTAGAGATTGCAGTGAGCCAAGATCTCGCCACCGTACTCCCGCCTGGGTGACAGAGCGAGACTCCGTCTCAAAAAAAATAAAGAAAGAAAAATAAAAATAAATAAATCAAATGACTGTGAATAATGTTGTGATAGGTGTAAGTGGTACTTAGATAAAACATATAGATAGCTGTGATAAAAGCTATATATATATACATATATACACATACACACAAACACACACACATTAGCATTTATTTTCATTAAGTTAAAAAAACAGTAAACTTGAAATCACTCCCAGGAAACCAAAATAAAAACAACAACCCAAAAAAAAAAAAAAAAGATGCTTGACATTTATCTCCATAAAATTATAAAGAATATGAGAAGTTAATTTTCAAACCAGAAGAAAAGTAAAATACAATATTATATGAGAATACTCAATGTATGAAACAAAATGTTCTGATTACTTAAACCCTGTTAGTTTTAGGGCCTTACAGTAAACAGCATCCATGACTTTAACACATCTTTATTTTATCTCCTTCTCTCTCTTTCCTCTCTGTCTTCCCTCTGTCCCCTCCAATTGAATATAGCATTCCTCTGAAGATTTGGCACAATTTCTCTCTCTAACAGGAACTTGAGATTTTAGATCTATTAACAGTGCATACATTATTTATTAACTTGCACCAGGAGTAATTTTGCAATTGGCAAGCTTCAGAAAGCAGCAGAAATTATCACACCACCACTATAGTGCGTATTACTTCTCAGCACTTTATGACAGATAAAACATTTAAAAGGCAGCCTTCTTTTCTGAGAGTTGGATATGGAAACTATAACGTATTGCTTATTTCATGCACAATTTTCCCTCTGTCCGTGCGGCAATAACATGTGCATTAGCATGAGGGCTTAAAATTACGTAAACATTAATCTCAGAGTGCTCTGGAGGCTCATGTGAATTATTATATGTCAGGGGTAAATAAAAGATATCTCAAGACACTAGGTGTGATTTTATAAACTTTGGCAGGTGGTCTATGTGATAAGTCACCTTATCATTTAACAGAATCATTGCTAGGTTACACAATTCCCCTGTGATAATTGATTATAAACAGAACTAACTCACAGAACAGTACCTCCAAATTTATTGTTTTATGTGTCTGCTACTACCCTTTAGGGAGCAGTAAGCCATGCACACGTTTGGGACTTCATTTACAACAGATGACAGCTATTTGAAGCCAGCTATGTATCACATAAATTGAGCGTATATGTGTGATAGGTGAGGACTGATACGGGGTGTGAGGAGCATGAGTAGCATTAGGGATGACAATGTAGGCCATACAGGGACAAAATTATAATTGAGAGATGGTGGAAAAGAGGATAAAATATATATCAAGCACAGGAATGAAATCATATAGGAAGAAAAGTAAAACATTTAGATAAAACGGAAAAGAGGATAAAGTATATCTCAAGCACAGGAATGAAATCATATAAGAAGAAAAATAAAACATTTTGTTTGGGAAGAATGTTTTCTCTCCTCCAGAGGTAAGATATGGTCCAAATGACCCATTTAAGTATGATTTCTCAGTATATCATTTGTCGTACTAAAGTGATAGGAACACATTTGACCTAATTTGACTGATGTGGTTAGACGAGTCTCCTTGACTAGCTTTGGTATAAAAATTGTGGAAGATTATTTTATCTCACTATTTTGTTTTACTTTTATTTTAAACCCGGATAACACAAATGCTGAATGCATATTTAGAGTCTTTGGAAACAGACAATAGTGGAAAATGAATCCTACTTTTAAGGAGGCAGTTTAAAATGTTAGTCTGCCAAGTATAATTTAGGTTTGATGTTATGTAAAAATGTCTTCATGATTCACGGGGTTTTTAGAAGTTGGTTACCTTAGTGATTTTATTTATCTCTCTGATACTGTCTGACAGTTGAAATGTGCTTGGATACACCTGCTGGCAGTTGCTAGTTTTAAACTACAGGAAATTGAAAGCAAGTTGCTTCTAGGATATTGAACCTAGAATTCCTTTTCCATTTTAGCGAGAGGTGCTCAAATAGTGGAAGTAATACCATTGTAAAACTTTGTCTTAATATTTAGAGAAGTCTCTCATTAAAATCAGCACATATAGATAGTTACATAGATTTAGATACAGACATAGACATACATACGCGATGCTCTCTCACACAAAGACACACCTATAGAAAATAATGAGCATGTGCTATGAATCCAGAGATTAAATCACAATGGGGTAAAGCCAGATTTACATTATAAAAAGGGAAACCTAAAAGATGCAATAAACTCAGATTATGTTTTTACAATTAAATTTAAAAAATACTAAATGGTCAAAGTTTTCTCAAAACAACCAATTTAATGAGTTATTAATATTTGCATTATTTATATAAGTTTTATTCATCTATAAGATGAGTGGAAATGGTTCTGAATGAAGACTTGTCAAAAATGTAGCTTTATTTAAACTAGTCTGTCTCTAGGACATCAACAAGATAGCTGATTAGAGATGCCTAATTTCCCCCCACCCCATAACACAAGGAGGAACAAATAAAATAAACATCTTGACTTGAGTATCTGTACGAGAGCACTGGCGTACAGCAAGGAAGTGGTAAAGATTCAGGATGGCCACATAGAGAAAAGAAAAAAAGACTCTGCTCCTGCCACCTCATCTTCCCAGTCAAGATCAGCTTGGAAACAAGAGAGTTCCAAGTGCACCACCCACAATTCAATAGGCCATTCACATGCTCCATTTGTTTGTACACCAACCAAGAGTAGCTGTGGCCATCTGGTGGGCTAGCTCAGGTCCCCTCTGCACATGAACAGAGTCCAGCAATTCACTGAAAAGGGAGCAGTGTCCAAGCCAGTGGGCCAGGCTTGCACTCTCTCAACATCCATACAAACCCAGCAACTCACTCCCAATGGAGCTATGACTGAGCCAGCAGACCAGTCATACAAACTCCTACAGAGTAGGCTACTGAGGCACTCACAGGCATTTCTGACATTCTATGAATGTCATTCTATGACGTTCTAAAGAAATTGCATTGAAACCATGTCCACTCGAAACCAAAGCCAACACACGTTACCCAACTGACACTGTAAAACGTACCTGCAGGTGGAAGACTTGCATTATGAAATCCATCTTATAAAACTAGAAAAGCTGACTGTTTCACCAGATATGCGGAAATCAATGCCTGGACACACACACAAAATTAAAAACAAGGCGACATGATACCACAAAAGAAACACAATTCTCCAGTGACTGATCCCAAAGAAATGGAAATTCAGAAATCATCTGAAAAGAAATTCAGAATAATAATCTTAAGAAAACTCAGTGAGATGCAAGAGAATGCACATAGACAGTTCAATGAAATCATGGAAATAACTTATTATTTCAATGAAAAATCCAACAAAGGGATATCATAAAAAGGAACCAAACAGAAAATGTGGAGCTGTAGAATTCAACGAATGAAATAAAAATACAGTCGAGAGCTTCAGCAACAAAAGTTCAAGCAGAAGAAAGAATTTCTGATTTTGATTCTGAAGACAAGTCTTTTGAAATAACCTAGTCAGATAGTCAGAGATACAATTAAATTAAAAAACATACACTATATGGTCAAATTTTCTCAAAACAACTGATTTAATGATTTATTAATATTTGCATATTAGTCAGAGATACAAAAAAGAATGGAAGAAAGAGAAGAAAATCTACAATATTTATGAGATACCATTATGTGAACAAATATTTGCATTGTGAGAATTTCAGAGGGAGAATAAATGAAGAAAGGCATAGAAACCTTAATTAATAAAATGATAGCTAAAAACTTCCCAAGTTTTGGGAGAGATGTGAACATCCAGATCCATGAAGTTCAAAAGTTTTCAAATAGATTCAACCCAAAAAGATACTCTCCAAAGCACATTATAATCAAGCTGTCAAAACCCAAAGTCAGAGAGAGAACTCTAAAAGCAGCAAAAGAAAAACACTAAGTCACATATAAGATTTTCAATAGACTATCAGCAGATTTCTCAGCAGGAGCAGTTAGGAGAGAACGAGAAGACATAAAGTGTTGTGAGAAAAAATCTGTCGGCCAAGAATAGCACTCAGCAAAGCTATCCTTCATAAATGAAGTAGAAATAGTCTTCACCAGACAAGCAAAAGCTGAAGGAATTCATCAGCAAAGATCAGCATTACAAAAAGTGTTTAAGGAAGTACTTTAACTGAAAGAGAAAGGATGGTAGTTACTATCCTGAAAACATATGAAAGTATAAAATTCACTGGTAGAGATAAATTCATAGACAAATTCACAATAGTCTATTACTGTCATGGTAGTAATACATATTACCATTACATTATGGTAGTACTACCATTACAGTATTTAATATTATTACTGTATAATATATTACAATATGTAATACCACCATTATAGTATTTCTAGTATAAATATTTCTAGTATGAAGGTTAAAAATCAGATTTCTAGTATGAAGGTTAAAAATAAAAATGGTCAACAATAGCTGTAGCTAAAAAACTTGTTGAGGAACATATAACATAAAAAGATGTAAATAAATGAAAATTATAAATTGTGGGGCAAGGGCTGATGTCTAGAATATTTGTATGCAACCGAAGTTAAGTTGTTATCAACTTTAGAAAGTCTATATGAGAATTTTTATGTAAGCCCCATAATAACAACACATAAAAGGTACAGTAGTTACACAAATAAGAAAGAGAAGGGAATCAAAGCTTACTGCTACAGTAAATCACCAGAACACAAAGGTAAATAACAAAAGAGGATGAGAGGTTCATGGTTGCATGACCTTGGTCTGAGCAAAGATTTTTTGGCTAAGTCCTCAAAGGCACAGGTGACAAAAGCAAAAATAGACAATTAAATTTACATTGAACTCAAAAGCTCCTGCACAGCAGAGGAAACAATCAATAGAGAAAAAGAAACAACCTATAGAATGGGAGAATATATTTACAAACTATACATCTTATAAGGAGTTAATATCCAATATACACAAGCAACTCAAATAATTCAATAGTAGGAAAACACATAACCAGATTTTTTTAAATGAGCAAAAGAGCTAAGTAGACATTTCTCCGAAGAAGACATACAAATGGTCCGCAGGTATACAAAAAATGCTAAAAGTCACAAATCATCAGGGAAATACAAATCAAAAATACACTGAGATATCACCTCATGTCTGTTAGAACAGCTAAAATTAAAAAGACAAAAGATCACAGGTGTTGGCCAGGATATGGAGGGAAGGGAACACTTGCACACTGTTGGTGGGAATGTAAATTAGTGCAGCCATTATGAAAAACAGTATGGAACGTCCTCAAAATATTAAAAATAGAACTACCATGTGATCTAGCAATCCCACTACTAGGTATATCATCAAATGAAATGAAATAAGTATGTCAGAGACATTTGCACTCTCATGTTTATTGTGGCATTATTTACGGTAGTCAAAATAGAGAATCAACTTAAGTGTCCATCAACAGATAAATAGATAAGGAAAATGTGGTATACATACACAAATTCAGCCATAAACAGGATGAAATCCTGTCATTTGTGACAACATGGATAAGCCTAGAAGACATTATGTTAAGTGAAATGTCAGGCACAGAAAAACAAATACTGCGTGTTGTCACTCATGTATGGAATCTAAAAAGGTCGATCTCATAGAATTCAATAGAGTGGTGGTTACCAAGGCTGTGGAGGGTAGGAGCAAGGACAAGAGAAGAGATTTGTTAATGAGTACAATGTTACAGTTAGATAGGAAGAATACGTTCTGGTATTCTATTCCACAGAAGGGTAGTTAACAATGATGTATAATTCAAAATAACTGAAAGAGAGGAATTTGAACATTTGCACCAAAAAGAAATGTTGTTGTTATTATTATTATTATTATTACTTTAATGGAGACAGAGTCTCGCTCTGTCACCCAGGCTGGAGTGCAATCACAGCACACTGCAGCTTCCACCTTCTGGCTCAAATTATCCTCCTACCTCAGCTACCTGAGTAACTGGGATTTCAGATGCTTGCCACCCTGCCCCGCTAATTCTGTACTTTTTGTAGAGATGGAGTTTCGCCATGTTGTCCAAGCTCGTCTGGAACTCCTAGGCTCAAGCAATCCACCTGCCTCAGCCTCCCAAAATGCTAGAATTACAGACAGGAGGCACCGCGCCTGGCCAAGAAATGTTAAATGTTTAAGGTGATGGATATGCTGATTATGCTGATTTGATCATCGCACAGTGTGTGCATGCATTGAAACATCATACCGTATTCCATAAATATGTATGATTATCACATGTCAATCAAAAATAATAATAAGAAGAACTAAACTAGGATATTTCTGTTTCTGGAGATTAAAATGTGAATTCTTTTTAAAAAAAATCCATTATGTATTCTATGAAAGTCCAAAGCTCTTCCTAAAATGTATGTGAGTGGTTTGGAAGCTAGCATTCTGTCAGTCACCTCTTGTTCTAAATTACTGCTTGTCCAGAATTATTATTTCTGTTATATGTCATCCGGATGCTGTTATCTGAGTTTTCTCTCTCAGGCATGTCCATACACATACTCAAGCACGTTAGCTGATACCCTCACACAAACGCACATGAAATGTAAAGATACAGAATATGGAGAAGTCGAGGGTTACATAGACAAGTCAATTTCAGATTAAATATTTCATATTCTTATGCATTATTTCACAAAGTCTCCAGCCTCTAAGATGAGTTCTCATCTTCCCTCTTTCCTTTTCTCTTTCTCTTCTTCTTTCTCCTGGATTACTCTCCGAACTCCAAAATTCCTGTTACACAGATGCTCTCCCATGCCTTCAGGCTCAGCTTAGGCTTATTTTGCACATCAGACCCCTCAAGAAGTTTAACAGATCAAAAGGCCTTTCTTGTAATAAGATCTTAGAAAGCAGTTGCAAGTATACATTGCATTTATATTTATCTATTGCACAAGTTAAAATCACACAAGAAGCAATAATTTTCCATTAGAAATAAAAGCCTATAATAAAACTATTGTTAGGATTAACATGACATCACAGTTCTTTTTTGTTGTTGTTGTTTACATACTCATTTTCACCTCTTTTCTCACTCAGAAGCTTTGATTTCATTTCTTGTCACTTTTTATTTCGTTTCAGTACTCAGTTCCTCTGTCAAATGCCGCTATATCCATTATTCATTCTGTAAGTTTGACCTGTTGTGTATAACCAGTCACGTTCTAAGCCACTGGGACTCTCTAGGATCACTGTCATCCATGCACTGGCTCCAGGGTTAAAACGAATGACCTCTCTATACTCTAACAGGGTAATTCTCAAACTTTGGTCTCAGGATCCTTTAACCTTCATAAAACTATGGAGACCCTCAAATAGTTTCTGTTTATTAAGGTTACATCCATCGATGTGCTGGAGCCGAGAAGCATCATCAGCCAAAACTGATTCTGAACATCTCTCAACTGTGCTTGCTGTGACTTCATGTCAGTAGCTTCCAAATGACCACGGCAGGCATATTTCAATAGTGTGATGGAGTCAGCCAGCAAAAATGATTACTTATTAGATTTTCATGAATTTTGCAAGCCAGTCTTTAAAGTAATTATTATTAAAAATTAAATTACATAAACTAAAAAAACTAAAATAAAAAATAAAAATAAACTAAAAAAATAAAATATTAAAAACAAATGTAATAAACATTTCTTATTATTGCACTATTACCTATTCTTTTGAGGTTAGTTTCTGCTATATTTGCACAGTGGAAATTCTATTTAATGTTGTGTTATTGTGCATCCCTGTAAGACTCCCTGTTCTGTGATGTTAGGTCCATGGCTTGAAATCAGCCATGGTAATATTTATACCACAAAATTGGCAAGTGCTACAATGCAGGGTTTGATTTGTTGTTTTGTCGATTTAAGAAAATGTATATTAGGCAGATTATATTTAAAGTGTTTCCAGTCTCTAACAGTTATGTCAGGAAGAGTGAAAAAAAATCTGAGGAAATAATCTAATATTCAAAACATATTATCATATTCAGCTTAAAAGTCAATCCTTATGAATGAGTGAAGTTCCAATTTGTGGATTTGCTGTTTCCCATTTGTTTCACTTGTTAATGCAGACATTCATGTTGAAACTTCTTTTGGAAAACTAGTTGTTAAATATTTACTCTGATACCACCGGAGTCGTTACCACAGGAAATCAGGACTTTTTATCTTTTTAAGAGAACCAGTTTACCAGCATGCCACTAGTGATACCATTGACATTTTAGGCAAAATTTTATTCTTTTTAAAAATAATAATAGTAAAATGTTTTAGATGTTAATATAACAATAATTTATAACCACTAAAATTGTAATATAGACATCATTTTAAGATAGCTGTATTTACTAAAACAAAAAACAATTTAATGAAAATAATGATATTGTTTTACATTTTTTCCAAATCTTTTCAGTATCTGGTTTAATAAAAGACAGCTAGATTTTTACATCTGCCTCTGGAAACAATCAGTTATGATAAATTATTTTGATTTAATATATGAAAACAATTATCTTATTCTGTGTTACAATAAAGGAATACCTGAGAATGAGTAATTTATGAAGGAAAGAGGTTTAATTTGGCTCAAGTTTCGGCAGGCTGTACAGGCAATGTGGTGCCGGCATCTGATTCTGGGGAGGCCTCAGGAAACTTCCAATCATGGCAGAAGATGAAGGGGGATCAGGCCCCACACATGGCGAAGGGGAGAGCAAGAGAGAGAGGGAGCAGGTGCTACACTCCTTTAAATGGCCAGATCTCGTGTGAACTACCAGAGTGGGAACTCACTCACTCATCACCAAGGGGAAGGCAATAAGCAGTTCATGAGGGATTCTCCCCTACGATCTACATACCTCCCACCAGGCCCACCTCCAACACATCCAACACTGGGGGTGACATTTCAACAAGAGGTTTGGAGGGAACAAACACCCAAAATATATCATCAATACAGTGTCATAGAGATGTATAGTTTAAATGGGAGATTCACAGATCCACAGAAATGTCTTAGAGACTGAGAAGAGTCCTTACATTACATTTGTCACATTTAAAGGCTTAGAGGATGACATTAAATTTCCAGCGAGTGTATACATACAATTGATTCTCATTATTTGTGGTGGTTATGTTTTATGAAGTCACTGTGAACATTGACTCATCAAATCCTAGAGGAATTATAGATTTTGTGAATGTATGGTCACATTTTTACAAACTGATCGATACTTAACCTTATATGTGTTTCTGTTTAGAGACACCTATTTAATATGTATTTTTGATTCATTAAGTTAGCACTTGTGACCAACAGCACTGTTTTCTTCCTTTCTTTCTGGTTTTTTTTTTTTTTTTTTTCCCGCGGCTTACTGCAGTCTTTACCTCCTGGGCTCAGGCAATATGCCCACCTCAGCCTCCCAGGTAGCTGGAACTACAGGCGTATGCCACCACGCCTGGCTAATTTTTGTATTTTTTTTTTTTTTTTTGTGGAGACAGGTTTCACCACGTTGCCCAGGCAAGTCTCAAACTCCTGGGCTCAAGCAGCCCACTCATCTCAGACTCCTGAAGTGCTGGGATTACAGGCGTGAGCCACTGTGCCCAGCCAGCCAACAGCATTGTAACTCATGCCTGAATGAGGCTTATCTAACACATGCATTTTTTTTTCCATAAAGCACCTCACAGCCTTCTTGTGCTTGGGAAGACTAGATAGCACATCAACACTATCCTTGCAGGACATCCAAGCATCAAAACCATCAACGCAAACCCCACAATTTCATGAAACTCATGACACAAAGTAAACTGCAGAAAAGGAGATAGGTTTCCAGTAAGAGAGCTGCAACAAGAAGGCAGAGTGTGCCCTTGTTCAACCTCAGCTGAGATTGGCTACTAACTTTCTTACTGCTCCAAGCACATCCATGAATGACTGCAATGGAGCCACCAAGTATTGATTTGAGGGTCATGAACAAATTTTAGTGATTAGGCAAATTCACAAATATATAATTTATGAATAATGAGGATTGACTCTGTGTCTGTATACCTTATATCTCTCTCTATATATTATATTTGTTTGGATGTTTATCATATTATATATGTATGTTTATATATTATGTATGTATATTTATTCACTATGTTTTAAGAAAATAGAAGATAAATATTTTATATTGATAGATGATAGTATCAGGGCACTTCTAATTTCTTAAAATAAGAGAAAGTGAAGCATAATTTCAAGGATGTTGTTTATCTAAATTAATACTTACTTTAAAGTCTGCAATATCAATTTTTTGAGCACAAATTTTAACCAGAAATCCTAAACACTTAAGGACTATAAAATGATTAAAAATTAGTTTTACTAAACGAGAGTGCAAAGTGATTGGACAGTTCTTCAATCAGTCCTGTCACATGCTCATTGGCTAAAAATGGACACAGAGGACAAACTGATTGGTGACAGATGGAGAAGCCAGAAAAAAAGAAAAAGAAAAAAAAGCGAGAGCATTGCCTAGAAGGTGGCAAGCAGTTGAAAAGAGCAAAAGTGGCGAAAGACGTGGGGAAATTTATGGAGTAAGTAAATAAATCAGCCTGTTAAGTGCAGTGAAAGAAAATGAGTGGAATCATTGGTGCTTTGACAATTAGCTGTACATATTCTAAGAACATGATGAGATTTAATTCTGATGTGAACAGGCCCCTTAACTACTTGTGTCCACCACTGTCCGTGGCGATTCAGTAGAGAATAACAGCAAACTAAACCTATTCAGTTATACAGGGAAATGTTAGGACAGATCAAAGTGCATTTGAGCTGAATGTTGGCCATATGGAATCTTCCAGTAAACTGCAAAGACAAAGAAACATATATATGAAAGCTGTGTCAGACTTAAATGAGAGCACTGACATCTTAATCTCGAGAGACGATTTTTTTTGATATATTATTGATTAATGTAAGAGTAACATCATCGCAAGATATCAAAACCAGGAATAACCTTCTATATTATTAAAAATGAATCTCTCATATTTTATTAGATTATATAATACCTTGAATATACAATACAATTTATCATACATAATTTGCTAGAACATGCACTGCTAATTTTAACATTGAGACTGTGCTCTCTAAATCTTACCATAGAGGCTTTTGCATCGACTATTACTGTGGAGCCCATAATCTAGGGTTTGGGCTCTGAAGACAGAAATTTCAGCTGGTCATTCCTCCCCATCTTCTGCATTATATGAAGCTCGTGGTCATTGTTGTATCATGCATGTGGCTCAACTGAGATTTTCCATTTATTTATAAGAACTAAGGATCCATTATCTGGCAGAATCATTGATTTTTTTTTTTTACAAAAGAGTTTTATGCAAAAACATGAATCAAAGGAGTTTTATGCAAAAATACGAATATATTTTCAGAACTGTGGCTTTGGCATTTCATAGTCATTCTGTAGCAACAGATGACTAGTGGAATCTTTTAAAGTATAATTAGAAAACTACAAAATTTAAAATAATTTAGAATTCTTTTAAGAAAAGTATTTCTTACCATAATGTGATTGTTAAAAGTTTTCAAATGTCCATTTATCTCTCCTGTTTCTGAATGATTGTCAAATTTGTCCATGGCAGTAATCAACAAATTGATTTTAACTTGAATTATCATCAGTTTTACTGCCTTTTTTTGAGATTGGGTCTCACTATATTGCCTAGGCTGGTCTTCAACTCCTAGCCTCAAGGAATCCATCCACCTCAGCCTCCTAAGTAGCTGGGATTACAAGTGCATGTCATCACGTCCAGCTTGCTTTTGATGACATAAATCATAACAAATTCTATTTTTAAGAGAGCTTCGTGAATAGAATATTATCATAGTTTTTTAATTTAACAAGTTTTATGTGTTCATTATAAGACACAAAAAATGATTGTTATTTTTATTATATATAAAAAACAAAAATAAAATAATTTTTTAAAATTTAAGTATGCTAAAGAATAAGAAAGAGCAATTTGTATTGATAATTATACAATCTCTCATATAAATTCCAAAACAGATTATCTTGATTAGTGAAGGAGCTTTTCTCTAAAAGGTAGTTCAAAGACCCAGAATTTTCTATTTGTTTTGTGGCTTTGTGATTTTCTATAAAGCTGCCACACTTGTTTTCAATAAATCATGGGATGATAAAAGCATAGGAAAGATATCAACATTGTAAAACTCAGGGCAAACACACATCACTTCTGCTCAGATCCTGTTGTTAAAATCTGCTCAGATGGCCCTACAGAATTTCAAGAGCAGCTGGAGACAGACGCAAGTTTTGTTGCTGGGATCTGGCAAGAAATATTAGTTATTTGAAATAAATATCTTGGGGGGAAGGTAGACGTATCTATCACAACTGAAATGTGAAATTTTAACATTTAAATCTGACATCCAATTAAAAGGGAATTATTAAATAAAACAGTAGGAGTGTCACACAGAATAGTTCCATTTCCCTGTAAACCTTCCGTGCTCTGCTTATTCATCTGTCCTCTCCTCCCTCCTTCTCCCCTAAGCCATGGCAACCACTGATCTTTTTACTATCTCTACATTTTGCCTTTTATTAGATTGTTATATAGTTGGAAGCATATGTATGTAACAGTATGTAACCTTTTCAGATTGGCCTCTTTTACTCAGTAACAGGAATTTACATTTCCTATGTCTATTCCTGGCTTCATAGATCATTTCTTTTTAGCACTGAATAATATTCCATTGTGTGTTGTACCATAGTTTATTTATCCATTTAACTACGGAAATATCTTGGTTACCTTCAAGTTTTGGAAATTATGGATAAAGCTGCTATAAGCATCTATGTGAAGGTTTTCATGTAGATCTAGGTTTTCAAATCATTTGGGTAAATACAGGTGGGTACAACTGTCGCATCTTACGGTAAGTAGTTTTGTAAGAAACTGCAACACTATCTTCTGAAGTGTTTGGACCATTTTTCATTCCAATCAGCAATAAATAAGAGTTCTTGTTGCACCACATCCTTGCCAGCATTTGCTGTTTTCCTTATTTTCGATTTTCGCCATTCTTATAAGTGTGTAGTAGCATCTCAAGCTGTTTTAATATGTAATTCCCCAAAGGAATGTGAAGTTGAGCCTCTTTTCATATCCCTATTCACCGTTGGTATATTTTCTTTGATGAGGTGTCTGTTTAGGTTTTTTGCTCATTTTTTACTTGAGTTGTTCATTTTGTTTATTGTCGTGTTTTAAGAATTCTTTATATTTTTGATAATGGCTATTTATTAGATATGCCTTTTGCAAATATTTTCTTTCAATCTGGTCTTTCTTTATGTTCTCTTGATAGTGTCTTCTCAGATCAGAATTTTTTAAATTTTAATCAAGTTTTACGGATTGTGCATTTGGTGTCGTATCTAAAGAAATCATCGCCACTTACAAGGTCATTTCAATTTTCTCCCATGTTTTCTTTCAGGAGTTTTATGGTTTAGGCAACTGTTCTGAAGACTTTTGCTGCCACAGGAACAAAGAAATCGGGTGGCACCAGGAGAAGGGGGCTGTGGCCGAGAACAACATTAACTAAAATAATTATATCAAAAGCAGGGGGTTGCTGAAGGATATCCTTGTGTATGTGAGAGGTGATGGAATCCAGTGTACAGATGGAGGGGATTGTCTCAGATGGGATCATGGCTCATTCATCTGTGTGAACAGCAGGAATGCAAAGTATATGGGTGCAGATGCTAGAAAGTGAATGGATGTGATAGTGAGAGTCTGCAAAGTTATATTCTAAAGGCTTAATTTTCTCAGTGAAAAGAAAATAGAGAACAAAAATGGGAAAGCGGTGCTGGGTGTCTGGGAAGAGAGGAGCAGAAAATAAGGGAGTAAATGAGCTAGGAAAGTATGTCATGATTACCATGAATCGCTAACGACACTTTTGAAGTTCCTAGTGATAAATTTGAAGGGCAAATTCAGTCATCATGGTTGCATATATTCCTCCAGCTATGTGAACTGTGGAAATGCAAGCAACGCTTGTGGATTATCTCAGATTGTGGTATTCTCCGGTGAGGACGATGAAACAGGTCGGGGCAAGGGAGTTGAGAGTGTTTGGGTGGAAGTGATTATAGTGAGTAAGCAGAGGGTTAAACGAAGTAGTTAAGGAAAGGAGGCTTCAGATGTAGAACCAACAGATTAGAGAACCTGGGAGGGTGCAAGTACGGTTGGAACAGGGCTGCTAAAGGGATGGAGCTGAAAGTATGGGAAGTGGTGGTCGGAGAATGTGATGCAGGTGCTGAGACAATGGAGGGTCTGGCATTGTTGCTGATGGCAAAGTCAGAGATTGGCCATGGCTGTGAGTGAGTGAGGTCGGGTGTGTGCCTGTCAAGATCATCAGAAGAGAGGATTTTAAATACCTTGAGGATAGGGTGTTGGAAGGATCATCCATGTTAAGACAGGGATATTTTGGACAGAGTGGCAATGAGTCAGGAGCTAAAACCATCAAAATGAGGGAGAACCGCTAGGGGATATGCATATGACAACAACTGTAAGGAACAGTGGCTGACACAATCTGCTGAGGCGGGATTCAAATGGGAAGGTTTTTAGGAAGGGGGGCGTGGTGTGATCTGAGTGCAGCAGTGAGAAGGGAGGTCCATTTCTCCAGGTCCTGTACTAAAAGCCCTGTGGGAGAAAGAAGAGCCCCTGTTTCAGAGGGCTGCCGGAGAAGCCGGGCCCTCAGGAGGCGACTGGGCGGAGTCCATAGGAGCCAGAGGATGAAGGGCCAGTCTCTGGAGAGGCTGAGGATGCAGGCGATTTTGTTGATGCTGGACTGGGATTCTAAAAGGGCCAGGGGTAGGACTTGGGGTTTGGAAGGAATGAGACAAGGAAAGAGAACGGGAGATGTGCGGTGACCTGATTGGCTGAGTAATCATCCCTAGAAGGTTAATTTTGTTTGCCAATTGCTGGAGTAAAACCATTCGATTCTGACCACTGGAGTAAAAATAAATGAGGCAAGTCAGAGGAAAACAGGTTTTTCCTGGAGTATAGCACCCTTTAGCCCTTATCACCCTAAACCTGAACCCAATCCTTCCATTTTGTAAGCTATTAGTTATGTTATTCATTCAATAATATTTACTGAGAATATACTATAAGTCAGGAAGTGAGTAGATGTTAGGGAATGGAGAGAAATTTGTTAGCTAAAACTAACATTAAACTAAAACTCCGCAGTTTGCACATTTACAACGGCAGGTATTTCTATGCAGCTTTTTGTTGTTTTCTCTGCTGGCCTTAGAACATGTGGTTTATTAATGGTGACTTTGCTTCCTATTCTGTTTAGAATGTGAGCCTTCTGACACATAACAGACTATGTAGAAGAGTTATGAAGTAAGCACACATTTTTAGCCTTAGAATGCTTAAAGCAACTTCACATCCAGTCCAAATGAGTGTTATCACCAAGGCCAAAACATTGCACCAAATAGAGGTCAGAGCTTGTCCACCTCAAATTTTGCCAATATTTAAAAAGTGTGCAGCCGGTTATATCATAATGAAAACAGATAAAATAACAAATAAAAGGAGCACTCTTTAATCAAAGGTTATACAAAATGAAATGAAAAGGTAGTGATTTTAAAACTTATAAATGTTTTATAATACGTACTCTCAATGCTATTATAACATTGTTTTCATATACTGCTGTCAAGGGTATAAATTGGTTCCATTTGCCCAAACAATACCAGTCAGTTCAGTTCTAAAATCCTTTTATTTAGTATCTATTCTGTGCAAGAGTCTGTGCTGGGATATGAGAGCAGAAAAATAAATACTAAAGGGTTTTTTAAAGGATATTTTAGTATTTTGGAAAATTAAAAACACATTTTAAGAGTTTTAACAATCACCATTTATCCTGACACAAAACTCCATATGTAAAAAACTACCTGGCTGTTAACTTTAGAAAATTAGTGATAAATATATATTATATATTAATGACAAATATATATATAAAATTAGTGTGTATATATACATTTATTTTCATTCTAGAATTTTATATATATATAAATGTGATGTATATATAAATATATATAAATGTGAATATTTAGAATTATAAATGTGATAATTTATATATATAATGTGATATATATAATGTATAAATTATATATATATAAATGTGAATATTTAGAATTATAAAAAGGATTCGGTCCTTAAAAATTATATGTACAAAGAATGTTGATGGCCATAGAAATGTTTGCAATATAGGCTTTAAAATGCAGTTTCAATACTATATAAACATAAATATATATGAATATGAAAGAAAAAATATTGTGCTAATATGTTAACAATGGTTATCTGTAGGGCATTTTTATTTTCTTATATATAATTTTTCTTTTAAAAACTAATTTGCCACAAATTAGTTTTATAATTATTTTTTAAAAAGCACATTTTAAAACGAATAGATGAGGAGAAACTTTCTCACAAGTGTATCATTTTATTCTAGTTTATTCCATATTTTTATTGTATTGGTGACTTAAGCTAAATAAAGGGGAGCATCTGAGGACAAGATGTCAGAATCCTTAATAAGTCCATGCTGACCCCTGTTCTCCACAGCAAAGCATCCCATTTGAATGTGAGCTTCAGCAATTGAGAAAAACAATTGCAGGGATTTTCATTGTCTAAATGACTCCATCCTATCTTGTGAAATTAACACTTGCGTATTAACTATTTCTCAGATACAATTAGTCTCCATGGGCAAGAGCCAGTGCGTGCAAAGTTTCCCAGGTACGCTCTGGCCTGGTGCTAATTGGTGTCCTTTTATTTCTAACGTGCTTTGGTGCCATAACACAGACGGATCCATCACAACTGATTTCATGTTCATCTCGTGAGTTGCACATTTCAATATGTAGACGTAAATGTTGTTCACTGAATATGATGAGCATTTGTAGCATAATAGTTTGTACTAAGAATTATACCATTGCCATCAGCATTAGAGCATTGTGAAGTGAATAAAGCATAATAAGACCACTTTCAAGTCTCATTCTGATCATCGATGAATAATGATATGTTATGCTTCAAAGACCATATTATTTCATTTTTCTGTAGTTGGCATACAGATTCTGCAGTCAGACAGATTGGGGTTGCTAGGTCAGCTCTGCGTACTCTTTGCTGAGGGAATCGGCGACTAAGTTCACCTTTTGAAGCTTCAATTCACTCATTTCTAAAACAGGGATTTTACTACCCAGAGTATTGTTATAGGGACAAGCACCTGGTATACTATAAACATTCAATAAATGGTAGGTGTAATCTTAAAGTGTTTAAAATTTAATTAGCAAAGTTTTCATACAAGTGTTACCATTTTAACAATTCCCATAACCCTATCAAGCCAGTGATCAATTTACTGTTTAAAACTGTCTACCTGGAAATTACTCCTAGAATTGTTTGAACACTTAATTTGTATTCAAAGATAGCATGATGTATACATACAAAATACATCCCACTTATATTGAGGTAATGGAGACACCACCACCGCAGAATAGTTGTGAACTGTATGGCTTGAAGTCATTCCATAAGGAAAAAAACAAGGATGAGAATAACTTTCTAAGCCAAAGTCAAAACCGCTGGTGAAGATCATCATTTCTATTGTCTGGTATACTCTTTGTCCCCTCCTTTTTCTACTAAGTATGCTTATGAAGTTTTGTTTTTTTAAAAGGCTTACAATGTTTCACATTTAAATTAAACCATTTTGTTTTTTATTTGTGTAAATCCTTATTACCAAGCTATTGAAGTCTTATTACCAGGCTATTTACTACGCAGTAATGTGGAAAGAACTCTCAATCCATTGATTTTTCATTCTCGTCTCCTGTAGACACTCCTTAGTGTGCTACCTGCCTAGAAAAATGCAATAATGATGAAGGTTTAAGAAAAACATGCTTTTCTAAACTATTTTCAGTTGCACGGCATAAAGTAAAATCAATATTCATGATGGAAATAACTTTCCTTTTTCCTCCTGAAAGCACCCTTCACCTTTCAATTCTTCTAAACAGTGACACTGTGTCGCTATCCATGTCGCTCTCTGTGTCACAATCTGTGTCACTATCTCTCTGAGATGGAGCTGTCCTACTGTCACCAAGCCTTAGTCTAAGCTTGGTCAATTACAAATGATGCTCAATATCTAATGCACTGTGGTCTATGATAGACATCTATTTGTTGCTTTTGAGTAAGAGAAGCAAGATATTGAATGACACCACTAATTGAACTGCTGGAGTAACACAATACTATTACTGCCTTTATCATTAAATAAGATAGTAAAATCTTCTCCAAAATTTGAAGTATAAATCACTCTGACATGAATAAGAATTCCCACTAATGTTTTCAAATTCTCAAAAGCATAATGAAAGTATCAATCATAAATATATACATATATAACTCGCCATAATTAAAATGATTTATTTGCTTGATTTAATGCTTTTAGATAAGCTTTTAATATTACTAAATCAAAGTAAGAGGTCTAGCAATTTCCAATTTCAAAAACAGAATGTATTATTGAGCTGGAAGAATTTAGGCATATTCTAAGAACTAGTAATACCACGCCTGTAATCCCAGCACTTTGGGAGGCCGAGGTGGGTGGATCACAAGGTCAGGGGTTGGAGACCAGCCTGGTCAACATGGTGAAACCCCCATCTCTACTAAAAATACAAAAATTAGTTGGGTGTGGCTGTTGGCACCTGTAATCCCAGCTACTTGGGAGGCTGAGGCAGGAGAATTGCTTGAACCTGGGAGGCAGAGGTTACAGTCAGCCAAGATCATGCCACTACACTCCAGCCTGGGTGACAGAGCGAGACTCCGTCTCGCAAAAAACAAAAAACAAAAAACAAAAACAAAATAAAACAAAAAACTAGTCATAAAAAAATAAGTCTACTCAATTTTTTTCAAGGCCTTCCCAGAACCACTAAATTGATTGACATGAAGATTTTTGGTCATATTATGTTTGTCTCCAAGGCTTAGTCATTTAGTCTCTGAGTCTTAATGCAAAGTTGGTCTTGCATTAAGGAAATGGAGAATTTAGGGGACAATAAAAATAAAGTATTTTGAAATTTAAATAGATCAATAATTAACACTTCTGAAAAGAAATATGAAAACTGGAGTTTTATTCTCCTTTTTCAAAAGAAGATATGATTATAGCAGTGCAACTACTTTTTTCCAAATTATAGCATAATATATATATATATACAAGAAAAAATAGTAGGAAAAAATGGCATGGGTGACATTATAATTAATGATATTTCTGATTTTTATATGAAAAATGACTAGAAATGTTCTTAAAAGCTAACAGGAAACTCAACTCTAAATATTATACTTTATAAAAATGCTTAAAAATTCAGTTGAACAGAGGTGTCAACTCTTTTTATTATAAAATACTAACTCATGCCAAAAATATATTAAGGAAAACTATTCAGCTATTGACTTATTCCATTGCAAACACATACATAACTACTACCCAGAGCAAGGACTAGAATATTGACAGAAAGCCAGCATACCCTCAGAGGTTTGTTTCTATCATAACCCTCCCTTTAACCTCTAAAAAATGACTACTTATCTGAATATTATGGCATCAATTCATTGTTTGCCTTTTCACCACCCAAGTTTACATTCCTACATATTATAGTATAACTGTGGTTAATTTCATAGAATTGGAATCACACACATATATATATATACATTTTGCCTTTCATCATTTGTTCACATTAAACATGATGCTTTTGAATTCATTTGTATTATGTTGTATAATTATATGTCATGCATTTCAAAGTATTTTATTGTGTAAATATACCACATTCTATTTATTCATGCTTCTGCTGATCAACATTTAGATTATTTTGAAATTATGTCAATTATGAATAATGACCCTATGAACATTCACATTATATCTCTCCTGGAACACATACACCTATATTTTTGTTGAGTATTGACAGACTCTCTTCTTAACCAAACTTCAGTCAGGCTCCTTTGAGCCCTCTTCTCAATAAGGCTTCCACCTTGGCCCCATCCTGCCCTCAGCCTCCTTAGTACAGTATTAGCCAGTATTCCGCTAAGCCAGTTTGAGAACCCTCCCACCCTTGATATCTGACCACGTTTTATGTTTAAGTCCTTGGCTTGCCTTTTGCAAGAAACCTCTTAGGTCAGTTTATCAAGAATCCCCCTACCCTTAGTAATTTTCTATCCACTGACTGCCTCACTCTGCTCTTTGATATAAATCCTCAGATATCTCTCCTCTATCAGGAGCCCAATCTCTTTTCCCTTCACAGCAGTCTTGAATAATGTCTTCCTAACTTTTTTAACGTGTGTCAGAATATTTTTAATTGTATACCTTGAGGAATAAATTGCTTAGTCATATGACATATGCATCTTAAAATTAATCAAGAGTTCCTATCTTCTGCAATGATTATAACAATTTATATATCTACTATCAATATATGAGAATTTTATGATTTCTCCTTGTGTGCCATCCCCTGGTTCTTTAAATTCTAGCCATTCTTATGGATGTTATAATAAATTTTATTACTGTTTAATTTGTATTTCCTTGGTTACTGATAAGGTGAAGCACATTTCTTTATGTATACTGACCATTTAAATCATTAGAATATCCCACTTTGTGTCTTGTATATGTTAACTTACACCTGTTTGGAGCTTTAGCTTATGTTCTCATGAGTTTTCTCTCTTTCTTGTTTACACGAAGTTATCTGTATATTCTCAAAATAAGTCTTTGTGATTACATGTGTTGCGAATAACATCTTTTCCCCTCTTTAATGTCGAATTTTGGTTTACATTTAGAGATGTTACATTTAATGCCATTTTGTTTGTAAATTTTTTCTCTATGATGAGTGTGTTTTGTATGCTGCTTAAATATTTTTCTAGACTGAGGTCATATTCTATTAGTTAAATTAAATTCATTTATTTGCCTGTTTAATCGATTAGTTCGTATATGTTTGTGAGTGTGTTTTGCATGTCTATGTTCAATCTCTGTGGGTTTCAGACTTCTTCTGTCCAATATGCAATAACATTCAAAGTTTTGGGGTTTTGTTTGTGAGGAGCTTCTCGTCTTCACACCATTTATGAAAGGACTGCCTTTCCTCCACTGCTTCGATGTGACATTTCTGTTGTAAATCAAGTGTCCAAATCTCCACAGGGCTATTTGAAGCACTCTATTTTTTCCCTGTTCTGTCATCTACCCTTGCATCAGAACCATATGCTTTGAAACTTGGCTTTATATATGGCAGTGCAAGTCCTCCCACATTTTTCTCTAAGAGTGCTTTGGCTATTTTTGGGTCTTTGCATTTCCATGTCAATTTTAGATATATCTTGCCAAGTTTCATATAAAATATTGTGAATGAATGATTTAATTTGCAGGCAGAAGCCTTTTAGTGTCTCCTAACTGACATGATCTGAGTGTGGTGGAGCATCCGGGAACAGTATGGAGTTTGTAGGAAGATAACATCTTTTAAGGTAATTGGCTTCTATCACTCAAGCTGCCCCATACTCTAAGGCTTGTTCTTTCAGATGTCAGCAGACAGGCACACTTGCCATAAAACTTCCTGGTTCTGGGAAGCAGAAACATACTGTTTCTGATATGAGGCGAGAGATGTGAAGGAGCTTTTTCCTGGGGTCTGAGGACAAGATTAATAGGAGAGAATGCATGAGTTGTGCTGTGCCTCCTGCACTCTCTGGGAACCAAACCTTGAGTAAAACAGGTGCTCACACATCCTTTAATAATTGCATATAATATGTGCATGAGATATCCAGGACTGTTTAAGAGCAGGGGCCCACATACCCAAGTCTAAAGCCAATATACTTAAACAGATTGGAAAAGCAGTTTCCCTGGGATTTGTGGATCATGCTCAGATTAAACCCCAGTGGAAACATGAGACCTAGAGTTAGACAGCAAACAGTCCTTAAGGAAATACCATGATCTTACTTGGAATTACAATGCTTAATTTAGACCTACATCTTATGTTGCATGCTATGTCTAAATATTTAAATGTTTCCCATCAAAACGCTGGTATCTCAGCCTGCCTTCCCAGGCAGGGTCTTCTTGCACCCTCTGCTGAGGTTCACTCTGTGAGATGGACTAGCTTTCTCCCTTCCAACATGAGTGGGAGTGAGAATTTGCAGAACTGAAGTGAAGGATGGAAGCTGGGCCCGGGCCCAGGCCCAGGCCTCGAGGGCAGGGACTAGACCTGCCAGGACAAGAGTGAGGTCTGATCAGATTAAGACTCCCAGGTTGCCTGGCAGGCAAGTTTCTCCTTAAACCACATATGTTCACCTGAAAATTTCCAATCCTTTTTGTAAGCCCCAGGCAGAGCTAAATCCTTGAAAAGAGAGGAGGGAAGAAGCGCAGCTGTCTGGGATACCTCATCTACCTGGACTTTGGAGCAGCTCATGTTGAACAAAAGCAGCGGCTCTTTCTTGGTTTTCTAGAGCAGAGCCTGTTATTCCCTCTCACCCACGCCCAGTCCCTCCTTGCAAACACAAGCATACACTCATGCTATACTTTGGGGGCTCAATACTGCTCCCAGAGTGTTACCAAATCTGGAACTCTGCCAAAGCAGGTGTGAATGAATTCCATTTATCCTGGACATTGTAGAAACCATTGCATTTTAGCTATTTTTTCAACTTAAAAACATTAATTTCATAGATTATCATAAAATTTATAACCTTATTTTGACATTTATTCTTTTTAAAAATATATATACCAGAAGCTTTAAAAAATGAAAATGGCCCAGAATTCTATTAATCTCTCAGAAACTCTTGTCTATAAAGCAACCAAGTGAGCATTCTTACCACTTATAGTAATAATGAAATGTAATAAAGTACTCTGCAAAATACTTTGTGCAAAACCTTTGCTACATGTTAGAATCATGGCCTGGCCATCCCACTCCTGGCATTTTTCATCTTTGAGACTCAGGCTCTTTGAAAAGTTGCCCTGGCAATGTGATTGCACAGTCACACTTGAAAGCCATTGATCTCATGTTCATTAAGCTCCTGTTCTGTGCAGGACACTGCTAAACTCCTTGAATACATTTTCTTTTTTTCTGTGATAAAACTGCATCGTCACTTTGTTATCATGACCTGGAGGGCCTGAAGGACCTGGCTCCTGCCTCTTTCCTCGCTCAGTTTTCTCCAGGACCTCTAGTTTCTGTTTGTGCGTTCAAAGCACCAGCTGCAGACAGAAGGGCACACGCATTGCCTGTGCCTAGGTCACTTGTCCTGCACATAGTCACAGTTGCTGCTTGATTCTCATTCAGGTCTCAGTTCAAAAGCCTTCTCCTCAAATAGGCTTTCATGAACTCTTAGTCAGTGGCCTTCCTCCTGTCACTCTTTATCATACCACACCACCCTCTTGGCTCTCTTCAGAAAAAAAAATTACCAATCCTTTTTTTTTTTTTCCCCTGAGACGAAGTCTTGCTCTGTCACCAGGCTGGAGTGCAGTGGTGCAATCTCAGCTCACTGCAACCTCTGCCTCCCAGGTTCAAGCGATTCTCCAGCCTCAGCCTCCCAACTCCAGGTGCATGCCACCATGCCCAGCTAATTTTTTAATTTTTTTAGTAGAGCTAGGGTTTCACCGTGTTGGTCAGGATGGTCTCGATCTTTTGACCTCATGATCCACCCACCTCAGCCTCCCAAAGTGCTGGGATTACATGCATAAGCCACCATGCCCAGCCTACAATCTTATTGTTTATGTATATAAACTGCTTATACATTCTTTTATAGGGAGAGAACTAAAATTGTTTATTTTATTTGTTACATTGCCAGTAGAAAAAAGACTGCTTGGGACATAATAGGTACACAATAAATATTTGTTAAATAAAGATTGAATATATAAACCTTAAAGTGTCACAGGATCCTTGGGGTGTCACTTCACCAGTCAGAAACCTCTGTGGGCAGTGGCATCTTTGCCCGAGTTTTGATAAGGCCCACTGGGCTCATTCTACCCACTAGGCCTGGCAGGCTGTGCTCAGCTGATACTACTCCCACACCTGCCAAAGGTGAGCCAGGCACAGAGCAGTGAAGGGTGTGTGAGCAAGTGAGCACAGGGTCTGGTCACTGTGCACAGCCAGACACACCAGCTCGCTGCGATGCTGCATCTGGACCAGGTATACCACAAGCAGCTTCCACTGCAGGTACCAGGGAATGCAATGGTGCCCAGAAGCTTGGAGACAACAGGAACCACAGAGCCCCAAAAAGGGTGTCACAGCCCTGGCTCACAGAGCTCCTAGATTTGGGCTCCCCAAAGGGCTGCAGCTCTCCTCTCTTTCTGTCTTCTCTCCCTCTTGTCACCCACAACATGGTGAGTGGAGGTGGACATGTTTCAGACCCATTTGTATTAAAGCTCTTTTAGTCCCACAATTTGGCAGGTCCTGAGTTCCTGTCCTGCATCCAGGAAGAATGAGGTATGCAAACAACTGGAGGTTGAGCAAGGTGAAAAGGTCCTTTACTGAGGACAGTACAGCTCTCAGAAGATTTGAAGTGGGTAGCTCGTTTCCACAGGCAGGTCACACCATTGTCTCTGCAGCACTCAGGGTAGAGGAAACCCAGAGTGGGTAGCTCCTAGCCACAGGAAGGTCATCCCATCATCTGAGTGTGGCTGAGTCCGGTGTTTTTATGGGCTTCAGAGGGGAGGAAGTGCATGCTGATTAGTTCATGGGTGGTGATAAGTTCTCACTCCAGTTTGTGGAACTGAGAGCCCAGCCACCAGGCCTCAGGCCATCCCTGGCTTGAAAGTGGGACTTCACCAAGGACCCACCCCTTTCCACCCAGAAGCCTGTCTGCCTCCTGCTGCCATCAACCTCCAGGGTGCCCAGGCTATTCGTACCAATGGACACCTGAAGACACATGCCAAGCCACCCTCAGTACCCCCTTGGCCTCCCTCTCATGCCCATTGGCACCCAAAGTCCAGAGATGGCCAAGACATCAGGGAGCTGGCATGTCAGCACCACCCCAAGTGTGTGCCCACATGGCCAGCTTGCAACAGTGCTGGGGCTCAGCCCCAACTTTACTCCAAAATCAGAGTGAGCACCAAGAATGTGAAGATGCCAGGCAGCAGGAGTTGCCTGTGGGGGCAGGAGGGCTTCCCAGGTTTCCCAGAGTGGAGGGATACCCAGGTCTGCAGCTGCAGCTGGGTGGCTGCAGCTGTGCCTGGGAGGGCGGGGCTCCCAACCCTCCAACTCAGAAGGGGTGGGGCTTCTGCCTGTTCCTGGCTCCCCGCTTGCTCCCTGGAGCATGCAGCCCTGGCCATGCCTCCCCTGCTGCAGCCAGCAACATGGCAGCAGTGCTCCAGATGGGCTGTTGTGGCTATCAAAATTATTATTGTTTCCTCTCTCCCTTTTCCTTTTCACATTATTCCTCCATTATATAACTGTGGCTGGCTTTTTCTACTCCTTTTCTTTAATTTAATATGTATGCTGCAGGTGGAATATATAAGTTCTATACACTAAAGGTGGGGGAATTTGCCATAAATTTCTTTACCAACACTGTTATGTCCAAAACTTCTTAAATGGAACCAAGAGGTCTGCTGAGGCTAGAAGAGAGTGAAACAGTGACAGTGGAAAGAACATAACTGTCATGTGGGCTAGTTTTCTCAAAGAATCACTGAAAGAAAAGTCATGCCCCATGCTTCACAAGTATTCTCTCATCTCATTTTAATTCATGAACGGTTAAGCATTCAGCTTAAGCCAAACTTGAACATTTTATTGATTCGTTCAGTACTATTCATGAAGATCATTTGTACTCACACAGTACGTTAGTGACTGGTGTTATTAGGTGAAAATGGAAATCTAGCTGAAAAGAGAAAAAGGAGCCATATATTGGGGAGCAATTACCATATAAATAGGCATTAACTATCTAAGAGAATTCTCCAACACAAAATAAGTGAAATAGGCCTTTTGGGGTGTTATTTCTGAGATTTCAAGTTGAAATGCTATTTTAACACACTCTCTCTCCCTCTTTGGCATTAGCAGAGGGAGAAAATCCTAAGGTTAAAATTTTCAAATGTTCATACTATAACTATGATATATATATATATAAACCTGTTATCCAGTTACAGTGTATAAAAGGGTACAAAGTTAGAAACACTGCTATGATTTTTTTATATGGAAATCAAAATAGCGTATCATCAACATTCTAATAATATATAAAAAATATATTAGGGAGGTTTAATAAAATCATGCAGATTAAAAATACTCAGAGTTTTAATTTATTTTTTGTCAGTTTTTAAGGGTTATAGAGGAGTTTCCTGAAATCGGTTTGGCATGAGGTGGTGATATTTTCAAGATAAATAGAAAATACAAGAGAATATGAAACCTTTTAAATCTAAGTCCTTATGGAATTTGAATACATGTATTGATTTGCTTTGCCATTAACTTAATATGCAACTTGAAATATAAGTTATTCCTTTACTTTGTTTATCTAAAAAGTGAATTAAAGCTGTTACACAATAAAATAAATTTTTTAAAAGAAAGAATAATTTATTGCAGGGACTGTTTATTCTTTTTATGTATATGTTCAAATATATTTTCCTATAATCTCCCCAAAAAGTGAATTAAGGTTATTTAACTATAAAGAAAGTAGGTTTTAAAAAAAGACTACAAAGTTAGGAAAGATTTTTCTCTCTCCTTTATTTCTAATATGTGTTGTTTATATTTTGAAAATCCTACAATTTTTGCATATTTGTTGAAGATACAGGTGACTCTTTCTGTTTGACTTCAAAGACAATGATCATTACATTTGAATAATGTCTCACATTTCACAAAATCAATTTAAATTATGTAGAACTGATAATAACTCTGCAAGGAAATTAATGCTCAATGACCATGTGCAATATAGCTAGTGTCTAAAGTTAAGCAAACATTACTGAGACACAAAGCCAAGTGCAAACTTCTACTTCTGTATTATATCCAGTATACTAAACTGCTTCTGAAATAACAATGAAATAGATAATCTTTTTAAATAATAAATTATGCCTTCCTTGCAAGTATATACATTGGCTAATGTAATTTATAGGGTCCCTGAACATTAGCCAAGTCGATATTTGGCATTACCTAATATTCTTATAATAATTATCATAGAGATTGCATTGTATTTGAATAAGGCTTTAGGGTTTATAAATCGCTATTATGTAAGTTGGCTCATTTAGCTATAACCAAATGTATGGCTTAGTCATTTGCTATGTGACCTCATCCCAATTCACATAGGAAAATTTCCATCCTATCACTTATTCAGAGCTAAAGCTTTCCAGGGCGTCTGTGATAACAGTCTTTAGAAATTCAAACAAGTGTGAGGAGGTTATGTTTATTCAGCAACAATCCCCACTCCAAATCAGTTGATACTGACCTCCAAAACATTTCAGTGTCTTCTAAATAAGGTTTATTCACCCACTGAATCTAAATGTTTTGAATGAACCTCTAAACAAATATACATCTTCTCTTTTTCTTTTTTATTCAGGTGAAATTTGTATAACATGAAATTGACCATCTTAAAGTGAAAAACTCAGTGGCATTTCGTACATTCACAATGCTGCGAAACCACCACCTCTATCTAGTTCAAACACATTTTGCATTTTCAGTTTTGACTGTGTTCCACTCACTGTGCTAATGCTGACTGAAGGCTGAAGAGACATCATTTCTGAGCTCAAGAAACTCCCAGACTAGCGGGGAAGACACACTTCGACAGGACGATTTCCAGTGCTCTGTGTTGGTGCCAGGACAGAGGAGAAAACAGAACCCTCTTGGATGGGAAAGGAAAGCTCCTCTTGGGGTAGGGAAAGTGTTGGCAAAAGTGAAGCTTATCACATCTGATTAGATCTTTAAAGGCTAGAAAAGAATTATCCCTCCCAAAGAGGAAAGGAAAACATTTTCCAGGCTGAGAGAATGCAGAGATGAAACTATGGAAGCTTGGAACAGCACCATGTAGGGAACATTAAGTACTTCGCTCAAGCTGGAGCGTAATATTTGGAAGGCAGGAAGGAAAAGTGCGCGGAGATGGGACTAACGCGTGGGCAGAAGCAGATCATGAAACGCAGTGAAAAGCACTCTTCTTAGGAGCTAGAAAACATTATTTGGCATGAAATAACCAAATACTGAACCATTATAGCTGCTCTGGTCAGATGTTGATTTTGCATAGATCACCTCTTTGCGGTATCATTCACTCATCGGTGGGAGGCAAGAATGGAGGCAAGGATGGCCACAAGAACGTCAATTGCGGCTGTTACTGAAATCCTGGATGGCCAACGGCAGCCACAGAAACAGAGAAAGAGCATTTAAGTAATAATTGGGGAGTAAAATGTGTGAAACATGGAAATTTTACATATGTTTGCTGAGAGTAAGAGAGGCCAGAAGTAGTACCCAGGTTCCTAAGTTGACTGACAGGAGAAAAGCTCATACCAACAAATTCAAAAGTAAATTCAAGTATAAAATGAGTTGATTTCATTTGTAATGAGTTCTGTTGAGACACACTGTATTTGCAATGCCTGTGGTCCCTCCAGTGGTGTAACCCTGGAGTTTGGGATAGAGGTGGGCCACAGATACAGTTAGCATACCACATATGGGCTGTGGTTAAACTCAATCTCAGGCATGGATGAGATACTATCAGGAGATAATGTAAACTAAGTAACTGGGTAAAAATCAAAACAAGGTCACAGCCTAGGGATATTAAATAAAGATTAAAAATGAACATTTAGCAACTAGCATACTACTGGATGACTCTATGAGAACAATTTCACATTTAAGATACGAGTTGACACATGAATTTTGTATAATGAGGTAGAGACAAGACATAATCCAATTATCTTGGAAACCATGTCTGAGAAAATTAGAAATAGTAGAAACAAAAGGCTATTGTGGGACCTGCCACAGTGAGGGCCACAGGTGATCTGAGATCATAGTTACTTAAAAGTTTCAATAATGGTGGTTGTGGAGGTCAGCTGCAGTGGCTCACGCCTATAATCCCAGCACTTTGGGAGGCCGAGGTGAGCAGATCACTTGAGGTCAGGAGTTCGAGACCAGCCTGGTCAACATGGTGAAACCCTATCTCTACTAAAAATACAAAAATTAGTCAGGCACGGTGGCTCTCGCCTGTAATCCCAGCACTTTGGGAGGCCGAGGCGGGCAGATCACGAGGTCAGGAGATCAAGACCACCCTGGCTAACACAGTGAAACCCTGTCTCTATTAAATACAAAAAATTAGCCGGGCATGGTGGCGGGCACCTGTAGTCCCAGCTACTCAGGAGGCTGAGGCAGGAGAATGGTGTGAACCCGGGAGGCGGAGCTTGCAGTGAGCTGAGATGGCGCCACTGCACTCCAGCCTGGGTGACAGAGCGAGACTCCGTCTCAAAAAAACAAAAAACAAAAACAAAAAAAAAAAATTAGCCAGGCATGGTGGCAGGCACTTTTAATCCCAGCTACTTGGGAGGCTGAGGCAGGAGAATCATGTGAACCGGGAGGTGGAGGTTGTAGTTAGCCATGATTGCACTATTGCACTCCAGCCTGGACCACAGAGCAAATGAGACTCCATCTCAAAAAAAAAAGTGGTTTTGGCAAATGGATATGAAAAGTAATAGAAATTAATACAATCATTGAAATTGTATTTGTTTTAGAATTTATTGTGATAATGACTGGGTTTTTCTTAAAAACAACAACAACAAAACACCAACACATAAAACAAAAATATAAAATATGACTAGAATTATGTCACTAGTGTACAGATTTTTATCTTGGACTGGATATTTATGACAATAGAGTAACTGAAATTCCAAAAATATTCCTGCACATTTTATTTTCAGGTCAAATAACCTATAGTGTGATAATAAAACCATTGATTCCTTCAGGTGAATAGTGATGTCTAAGTCCCATCCTTCTCATTACTAATTACCTGAGCAGCTAGAAGACCAAGTCATAGAATACTAAATGAAATAAATACTAAATGAAATAAAAACAAGCATGCAAACAATATTCTAATAGATTACTGTGTTGTCACATTTATCTTGGATAATTTGAACTATTTCTCCAATGACATTGCTTGACCATTTGTTTCTCTGTCTTTGGGGCATTGCCGAAGATAAAGGGCTGCTGCTATATTTGATAGCTTTCATATATTCAGCCCATCTCTAGCTGTAAGGGTGTTTTTCCTGAATCTAATCATCAATATGCCAAGAGCCAGTGTGACTGGTGTTTATCTTCAGCAGAGTAGAGGAAAAAGGGATTAAAATCAGTTTTCATCATGTAATTGTTACAGTGACTACCCAGCTAGTCATAAGTTTTAAAACACTAGATACAGTTGCTGACTTATTAACTTATTTTACTCTAACTCAATTAATTTAAAGTGATAAATATTATATTGTGAAAAGAATAAAGGGTAAAAAGGAAATTCCTAACAAATCTATCAGAATCTTTATCAATATATTATTGCTTTGCATAACTTTTTAAAAAATTTATGTAGGTATGTGGTAAGTGTATATATTTATGGTATACACGAGATATTTTGATACAGGCATACAAAGTGTAATAATCACATCACTGTAAATAAGGTATCCATTACATAAAGCATTTAACTATTCTTTGTGTTACAAATAAGCCAATTAAACTCTTCCATTATTTTGAAATGCACAAGAAATTATTGCTGATTGTAGTCACCCCATTGTGCTATCAACTACTAGATCCTGCTCATTCTTTGTATATTTGTACCTATTAACCATCCTTATTTCCCCATGTCCCCACTACCCTTCCCAGCCTTTGGTAACCATCATTCTACTCTCTATCTCCATGAGTTCAATTGTTTTCATTTTTAGCTCCCACAAATAAGTGAGACCATACAAAGTTTGTCTTTCTGTGCCTGGTTTATTTCACTTAACGTAATCTTCTCCAGTTCCATCTATGTTGTTGGAAATGACAGAATCTCATTCTTTGTTTATGGCAGAATGGTACTCCATTGTGTATATGTACCATATTTTCTTTATCCATTTGTCTGCTGATAGACACATAGTTTCCTTCCAAATACTGTCTATTGTGAATAGTGCTGCAATAAACATAGGCGTATAGATATCTCTTCAACATACTAATTCTCTTTCCTTTGAGTATATACCAGTGGAATTGGCAGCTATGTTTTTAGTTTTTTGAAGAGGCTCTTTACTGTTCTTCATTCTAATTTACATTCCCACCAACATGTACTAATTTATATTCTGACAAGTAGTGTACAAAGATTGATTTTTCTTTACATTCTCATCAGCATTTGTTATTGCCTGCCTTTTGGACATAAGCCATTTTAACTGGGGAGAGATGATATCTCATTGTAGTTTTTGTTTGCATTTCTCTGATGATCAGTGATGTTGAGCAACTTTTCCTATAACTGTTTGCCATCTGTATGTCTTTTTTTTTTAAATATCCATCCAGATCTTTGGCCCATTTTTAAATAGAATTATTGCATTTCTCCCTATTGAGTTGTTTGAGCTCCTTATATATTCTGGTTATTGATCACTTATCAGATGAATAGTTTGCAATTATTTTCTCCCATTCTGTGAGTTGTCTGTTGATTGTTTCCTATGTTATGCAAGGGCTTTTTAATTTGATGTGATCTCATTTGTCCATTTTTGTTTTGGTTGCCTGTGCTTGTGGGGTATTACTCAAGAAATCTTTGCCCACTCCAATGTCCTGGAGATTTTCTCCAATTTTTTCTTATAGTAGTTTCATAGTTTGAGGTATTATATTTAAGTCTTTAATACATTTTGATTTGATTTTTGTATATGGTGAGAGATAGGGGTCTAGTTTCACTCTTCTGCATACGGTTATCCAGTTTCCCCAGCACCATTTAATGCAGAGACTGTATTTTTACCAGTGTATGTTCTTGGTATCTTTGTCAAAAATGAGTTCACTGCAGGTGTGTGGTATTTCTGGCTTCTCTATTCTGTTCTATTGGTCTTTGTACCTTTTTTATACCACTACCGTGTTGTTTTGGTTACAATAGCTCTGTAGTATAATTTGAAGTCAGGTAATGTAATTTCTCCAGTTTTATACTTTTTGCTCAGGATGACTTTGTCTATTATGGGTCTTTTGTGGTTCCATATAAATTTTTAGGATTTTTCCCCTATTTTCACGAAGAATGTCATTGGTATTTTGGCATGAATTGCATTGAATCTGTAGACTGCTTTGGGTAGTAGGGGTATTTTAACAATATTGATTATTGCAATTCACGAATATGCAATATCTTTTTCTTTTTTGCTGTCCTCTTTAATTTCTTGCATCAATGTCTTATAGCTTTCATTGTAGAGATCTTCCATTTCTTTGGTTAAGTTTCTTCCTTGGTATTTTATTTTGTTTGTAGCTATTATATTTATTTGTAGCTATTATAAATGGGATTACTTTCTTGATTTCTTCTGCAGATTTTTCATTGTCGGCATATAGAAATGCTACCAATTTTTGTATGTTGACTTTGTATCTTGAAAATTTTTGAATTTGTTTATCAGTTCTAACAGGGTTTTTTGGTGAAATCTTTAGGTTTTTCCAAATATAAGATTATAACATCTACAAAAAAGTATAATTTGACTTCTTCCTTTCCAGTTTAGATGTACTCTGTTTCTTTCTCTTGTGTGATTGCTGTAGGTGGGACTACCAGTCAGTGTTGAATAACAGTGATAAAACAGGCATTCCTGTCTTGTTCCAGATCTTAGAGGACTGGCTTTCAGTTTTTTGCCTTTGAGTATGATACTAGCTCTTGGTCTGTCATATATGGGTTTTATCATGTTGAGATATGTTCCTTCTATACCCAGTTCTTTGAGCATTTTTATTATGAAGGCATGTTGAATTTTATCAAATTTTTTAGCATCAATTGAAATGATGATATGGTTTTTGTCCTTCATTCTGTTGAGATGATGTATCACATGGATTAATTTGCATATGTCATGCATGCATAAGTTTACTGCAGCACTGTTCACAACAGCAAAGACTTGGAACCAACCCAAATGTCCATCAGTGATAGACTGGATAAAGAAAATGTGGCACATATACACCATGGAATATTATGCAGCCATAAAAAAGGATGAATTCATGTCCTTTGCAGGGACATGGATGAAGCTGGAAACCACCATTCTCAGCAAACTAACACAGGAACAGAAAACCAAATACCACATGTTCTCACTATAAGTGGGAGCTGAACAATGAGAACACATGGACACATATAGAGGAACATCACACACTGGGGCCTGTCAGGGGTTGAAGGGCTAGGGGAGGGATAACATTAAGAGAAATACCTAATGTAGATGATGGGTTGAGAGGTGCAGCAAACCACCATAGCATGTGTATACCTATGTAACAAACCTGCACATTCTGCACATGTATCCCAGAACTTAAAGTATAATAATAAAAAAAATTGCATGTGTCAAATCATACCTGCATACCTAGGATAAATCCTATTTTGTCAAGATGAATGATCTTTTTAATGTTTTGTTGAATTCAGTTTGCTAGTATTTTGTTAAGTAGTTTTGCATCAATGTTCATCATGGATATTGTCCTGTAGTTCTCTTTTTTTTTTTAATGTATCTTTGTCTGGTTTTGGTATCAAGGTTATACTGTCCTTGCAAAATGAATCTCGAAATATTTTCTCCTATTCTGTGTCTCGGTATAGTTTGAGTAGGATTGGTATTATTTATTTATTCTGTTTTTTGGAATAGTTTGAGTAGGATAGGTACTAGTTCTTTAGATGTTTGGTAAAATTCAGCAGTGAAGCTGCGGAGTCCTGTGGTTTTCTTTGTTGGGATTCTTTTTACTATGGCTTTGATCACATTACTTGTTGTTTGCCTACTTAGGTTTTAGATTTCTTCTTGTTTAAATCTTGGTAGGTTGTATGTGTCTAGGAATTTATCCACTTCTAGGTTTTCCAATTCATTGGCATATATTTGCTCATACTAACCTCCATTGATCCTCTGAATTTCTGTGGTATCAGTTGTAATGTCTCCTTTATCCATACTGATTTTATTTATTTGGGACTTCTTTCTTCACTTCTTAGTCTTGGTAAAGGTTTGCTGGTTTTGTTTATCTTTTGAAAAACTCAATTTTTAACTTTATTGACTTTTTGTATTGTGTTTTTTTTTTCAATTTAATTTCATTGATTTCTGCTCTGATCTTTATTATTTCTTTTCTTCTACTAATTTTGGGTTTGGTTTGCTCTTGCTTTTCTAATTCTTTAAGATGCATAATTAGGTTATTTATTTGAAGTTTACTCCTTTTTTCTCATAGGTGCTTATTGCTATAAACTACTTTCTTAGGAGTGCTTTCTCTGTATCCCAAGGTTTTGGTGCATTGTGTTTCCATTTTCATTTATTCCAAGAAATTTTTAAATTTCTGTCTTAATTTTTTTATTGACAACTGGTCATTCAGGAGCATATTCTTTAATTTTTGTGTGTTTGCATAGCTTTCAAAACTCCTCTTGTTATTGATTTCTAGTTTTATTCCACTGTGATCAGAGAAGATAATTAATATAATTTCATCATTTTTCAAGGCTTGTTTCGTGGTCTAATGTATAGTTTATCCTTGAGAATAATCCATGTGCTGAAGAGAAAAATGTGTATTCTGCTGCCATTGGATGAAGGGCTCTGTAAATATCTATTAGGTCCATTAGATCTATAGTGTAAATTAAGTCTGATGTTTCTTTATTGATTTTCTGTCTGGATGATCTGTCCAATGCTGAAAGTGGAATGTTGGCATCTAGGGCTGTTGTCGTACTGGGGTTTATCTCTCTCTTTAGCACAAATATTACTTGCTTTATATATGTCAGTGCTCCAATGTTGAGTGCATATATATTTACAATTGTAATATCCTCTTATTGAATTGGCTCCTTTATTGTTACATAATGACCTTCTTTTTCCCTTTTCATAGATTTTGTCTTGAAATTTATTTTGTCTGATATAAGTATGGTTACTTCTGCTTTTTTTAAGTTTCAGTTGGCATGGAATGTCTTTTTCCATTCCCTTATTTTCAGTCTATGTGTGTCTTTATAGGTGAAGTGTGTTCCTTGTAGGCGACAGATTGTTGGGTCTTATTTTTGTATCCTTTCAGCCACTACATGTCTTTTGATTGGAGAGTTTATATGCAATGTATTTATATGCAATGTGATTGTTGATAAGTAAGGGCTTACCCCTGCCATTTTGTTACTTTTTTACTGGTTGTTTTGTGGTCTTCTCTTCCTTCTTTCTTTCCTTCCAGTCTTCCTTTTACTGAAGGTAATTTTCTGTTGTGTTTTGTATTTTTTGTGGATATGTTGTATATTTTTTGATTTGCGGTTACATGAAGCTTGCAAATAATATTTTATTGCCCATGATTTGAAACTGATGACAATTAACACTGCATAAACAAAAAATTAATAAAAACTCTGTTTTTTATTAATAAAAAATTAATAAAAACATCATCCTCCTGCTTCTTAACTTTTTGTTGTTTCTGTTTGTATCTTATTATACTGCCTGTGTTTCAAAAAGTTATAATTATTTTTGATCAGTTCATCTTTTCATCTTTCTACTTAAGATATGAGTAGCTTACCCACCACAATTTCAGTGTTATAATATTCTGTGTTTTCTGTGTACTCACTATTACCAGTGAATTTTTTACCTTCAGATGATTTCTTGCCCAGGAATGTCCTCTTCTTTCAGATTGAAGAATTTCTTTTAGCATTTCTTGTAGGATGAGTCTGTTGTTGATGAAAGCCCTTAGCTTTTGTTTGTCTGAGAAGGTCTTTATTTCTTCTTGTGTTTGAAGGATATTTTTACTGGATGTACTATTGTAGAATAAAAGTTGTTTTCTTTCAACATTTTAAGTATGTCATGACACTCTCTCCTGGCCTGTATGGTTTCCACTGAGAAATCTGCTGCCAGATGTATTGCAGCTCCATTGAATATTATTTGTTTCTTTTCTCTTGCTGTCTTTAAGATCCTTTCTTTTCCTTGACTTTTGGAATATGAATAGCAAATGCCTTGGTAGTCTTCTTTGGTTTAAAGCTGCTTGGTGTTCTATAACCCTCTTGTACTTGAATGTTGATATCTTTCTCTAGGTTTGGGAAGTTCTCTGTTATTATCCCTTTGAATAAATTTTCTACCCCTATCTTTCTCTCTATCTCTACTTTAATACCAATAATTATTAGGTTTGCCCTTTTGAGACTATTTTCTAAATCTGGTCAATGTTCATTGTTGTCTGGGCATTGAAGAGTTAGGTATTTATTGTAGTCTTTGCAACCTGGGCTTGTCGGCACCCATCCTTCTTAGGAAGGCTTTCCATGTATTTGAAGTGACTCCATGTTGTGATCTAAGTCTTTGGTCACTGCAGCCATATCTACATTAGAAGAAACTCCAAACACAGTAAAGCTGTGGCTTTTGCAGCCTTGCAGAGATATTACCTTGGTGGTCTTGGGTAAGATTCTCAAGAATTTCTTAAATTACCAGGCAGTTACTCTTGTTCTCTTCCCTCACTTTGCCTGAACAAACAGAGTCTCTCATTCTGTGCTTAGCTGCCTGGAGCTGAGCTCGGGATGGCACAAGTAACCCTATGGCCACTATCACAGAGATTGCACTGGGTCAGACCCAAAGCCAGCATAGTACAAGGCCTTGTCCAAGCCCCATGGTAACCATAGTCTAGCCACTGCCTATGTTCACTCAAGGCCCAAGGTGTCTATAATCAGCAGGTGGTGAATCCAGCCAGGCTCATGTCCTTCTCTTCAGGGAGACAAGTTCCCCCTGTCCCTGAGAAGGTCCAGAGATGCTGTCTGTGAACAAGGGCTTCTAATCAGAAACCTTTGGGATCTACCTGGTGTTCTATTCTACTGAGGCTGAGCTGGCACCCAAGTCACAAGACAAAGTTTTTGCACTCCTCCTTCTCCTTTACACAAGCAAAGGAGTCTCTCCCTATGGCCAGAACTGCCCAGGCCCACAGCAAGTACTGCCTGGCTGTCATCAATGTTCAGTCAAGGCAGAAGGGCTCTTTAGTCATCTTGCAATGCATGCCGCCAGGCCTGAGTCTCTTCCTTTACAGACTTGGGTTCCCCTTTGGCCCAGGGCAAATCCAAAAATGCCATCCAGGAGCCAAGGCCGGGAATTGCAGATCCCAGCTGCCCACTTTGTGCTCTATACCACCGTGGCTGATCTAGTACCCAAGCTTCAAGACAGAGTCCCCTTCACTGTTCCTTCTCCTTTCCTAAAGCAGAAATAGTCTTTCCCCATAACCACCATATCTTGGAATGTGCTAGGTCACACATAAAACCAGCATGGCTCTGAGTTTCATCCAAAGTCCAAAGTAGGTACTCCCTGGTTCTCACTGATCATTATTCAGGACCCAAGGGCTCTTTAGTCAGCAGGTGATGAATCCTGCCATGACTGCATCCTTCTCACCAAGGAAATGGGTTCCCTTCTGGCCCAGGTTGTGTCTAGAAATATCATCTGGAAGCTAGGGTCTAGAATGAGGGCCTCGGGACTCTGCCTGTTGGCCTATTCTACTGTGGCTAAGCTGGTATCCACGTTGCAAGACAAAGTCCACTTTCCTATCCTCTTTCCTCTCCTTAAGCCTACAAAAGAGGCCTCTCCTGGAGCAGTGAACTGCATTACCTGGGTCTGGGGCAGGGGTTATGCAAGCACTCCCTTTTCTTGGCCACACTGGCTGGTGTCTCAGTAGGCCACATGCCCCCCAAATCCACTGGCTTTGAGCCCAGTTCAGCACTAGGACTCATCTAGGAGTTGTAGTCCTTGTGTCCTAGACTGTCTTTCTAGTTCGTTTCAGAACCCAGAGCATTTTAGCTCATGGTGGCAGGGTGCTCTAACTCAGGTTCTGACCACTCAGATGGACGATTTGCCTCTGGCTATAGCTGATCTAAATGCTTCTTGCATGGACATCAGCTGAGTTCTGTCCTGTGTCGCTTTCCACTGATATAGGGCAGCACTGAGTTCCAGTGCAAAGTCCCAAAATTGCTGCACTCTCTCTCCTCTAAGTGCACAGATTTTTTCCATGCCACATGGTCACTTTCGGGGAATGAGAGAACGGTGTTGTAGGCAATTCAAGGCTGCCTTTCCTACCGTCTTTAGTGCCTGGTTCCTTAACGTAATGTTAAAACCAGGTACTGTGATCACTCACCGGATTTTGGGTTCTTGTGAAGGTGTTTTTCCCTGTAAATAGGATTCATTTTGGTGCTCCTGTTGGGGGAACAATTTCTGGAGGCTTCTATTTGGCCATGGTGCTCCACTTCCCCCTCACTTTTAATTTTTTTAAACTCAAAGCTATCAATAAATTTTCTGTGGTAACACTGTGAAATTCCATGTCATTATTAATTTTTTAATTTTTAATGAAGTACATTCTTTACAAATTTAGTCCGTAAAGTTTGTTACTTTATAATTAAAAATCATTTAAAAGACAGTATTAGATAAGAATGGAGTTAAAACTTTTCAACAGAATAATTCGTGGGTGGTAATACAAAAATGGATGTACCCATATTTGTCCATGATTTTACTAATGCAAAGGACTCTAGGATAACTTAAAACATGAAAATAAATGTGTATATAAAGGATATAATCTTCTTATGACAGTGTCTTATTTTAATTTAGATTTGAACTTTTCACTTCCATTTATAGAACTAATTTTGTGGAGTTTTTTAAAAAGTATATTACTTGCTGATTAACCAAATTAGATATTTATATGGGGCAAATAAATTCCTTGTGGTTAACATGGGACATTCATACCAGAGCCCATTTTTATAAAGCTGTGAGAAAGATCCAGTAGAGAAAAATAACAGCATAAGATACTGGAAAAAGAAGGAATAATTGATAAATCAAGGTCTGGAACAATCTGAGAGAAAAGGGTCAAGAGCACAAATGATGGATCTGGCTTTCAATCCAAGTAGGGATGACCTTCATCTTGTGAGATTACAAGGAAGGCAGGTGATAAGAGAGCCCGTGAAACAGTTTGAGAGCTGAGAGTTACCTCCTCAGTGTCTCAATTTTCCCAGTGAGAGGTGATGGTCTGAGGGCCAAGACTGAGTGAGCTGGGATTCTATGGGAAGCTTGGAGAGTGGGACTGCCATGGCTGTCCCTGAGAGGGACTTGACCTGCACAGGTTGGAATGAGAGCCAAGCACCGCCTGTGGTTACAGCCTGCTCATTTGTCACTGCAGAAGCACTTGTGGCCACACCTGTTTCCCTAGCATTGTAGAGAAACCCAGGTTTCCAGGTGGAATATGTTGGGTAAACAAATTTTAGTAATGTGAGTTGATCTTCCTATTGCTACAATAGATCAATCATTTGGAATTATAAATTTTAGTTACCAAAATTACTCAAAAAGAAGGAATCCGTATGATTATAAACTTGATCCTGAAATTGGGGTGTGTCGAGTAGGTTTTTGGAAAGTACAGTGGGAAAGGAATTTGAGATGGAAGAGGAAGTAGTTTCTGTGCTCAATATATGATTCATATAGGAATGGGGCAGTGAAGACAGTCAGGGGAATCAAGAAACATGGAGCTCTGCAAGGCACAGGAATAAACACTACGGGAATTTGGGTGTGAAAGAATGGCAAGGCTAAATGTGAGACTAAGTGTAGTTTGTTAGTGTTTCACAAATAAAATATTTCCTTTTGCAGACAGAGTCCTTGGCATGGCTGGAGAAGTCGTGGAGATAAGAATGATGAGAGTTAGGGGCCTGGAAGGATATGGAAGGAAAAGGTGTAATTGCCTGATGGGGTCTTCCTACCCACTACACAGACAAAATCAATTCACTGAGACTGCAACACTGCAGTAAAGAAAGAGTTAAATTGACATGAGGGCAGTCACATAGGAGAAGGGGTTATTACTCAAATCAGTCTCCCCAAAGGCTTGGAGGTTAGGGTTTTGCAAGGATGGTTTGGTGGGTGGGGGCTAAAGAACTGGGAACATTGATTGGTTGGGAATGAAATCATAGGGGTGTGGAAAACAGTTCTCGTGTGCTGAGTCACCCTCTAGGTGGGGTCACATGACCTGTTGAGTCACAAGTCAGGGGTCCCAGCAGAGTCTGCAGTCATCAGAAATTCAAGTCTGAAAAGGCATCTCAAAAGGCCAATCTTAGGTTCTACAATAGTGATGTTACCCACAGGAGTAAACGGGGAAGTCACGTATCTCGTGACCTCTGTAACTGGCTGGTTATCATTTAACTATGCCTATATCTTAATAGAATTCTGGCCCTTCTCATAATCCGAACCTTGTGGCTTTTCATTGGTTTTACAAAGGTGGTTCATTATCACCGTTGTGAGGGCTATTATCATCCTTGCTTTAAGGTTGAAGTACAAACTCAATTTCTTCCCAAAGTTAGCTTGACCTACGCCCCGGATTGACCAAGGACAGCTTGGAGGTCAGAAGTAGGATGGAGTCAACTATGTCAGATTACTCTTACTGTCACAATTTTGCAAAGGTGATTTCAAAGGTTGGAATGGACTATTTGTGTAAGAATGTAGGATTCTCTCAGGTAGATAGAAAGGTTGAGGGTAGAGGGAGGTGTATGCCATGTGCCACAATTCCATAAATAGATGTGTCCAAGAAGGAAATAGATTCCCCTTACACAGCAAGCAGGCGTCTCCATGCAGAGGAGAAGGTTTCCCACGTAAATAAAGGAGTGGAGGCGCCTGTTAGCCCAAGTCACGCCATTTCGCAGACCCTCACCATTCTACAAACTTGGGTCAGACTGGAAAATTCCACCAGGGCGTGGGCCGTGAGAAACATCCTGTTGGACAGGGGACAGGTCCCAGGCCTAACCCCTGACTGAAGTAAATTCCTTCCTTATCAGCAGCCCAAGACAGCGTCCCCACCCCATTTTGCAACAATCCCAGGCCTCTCCTGCCTGGGCCTATAACTGCCCCAGCCTATAAGCGGGAGGGGGGCTCCAGCGCTCACTGGTGCTCCCCCTCCACAGACTCTTTTGTACAATAAACCTATGTTACTGTTGAGCTGCTTCTGTTCCATTCCTTCTCCCTTTGGCTCTAACAGTACCCAGTCAGCCCTGCAGTGCCTTCCTCCATCACACTCTGCTAGAGCAGCCAGTTTACAGCCCCTCAGAAGCTCCTGTATGTGAAGATGCCTTCCCTGGAAGTGCACCGAAGCCTGGAGGGCCTGTGGCCCTGCTCTAGCCCCTGCTGAGCCACATCTGGGCTCACTGGCAGACTGCAGACTGACTGCACCAGGCTTGTTTGGCTCCATTGTTTGAAGCAGAACAAAGACATCCCCTTCCGGTCCCCCCAGAAGTGGTGCTAGTGGGACTTTTAGATGTTGGTTCGATTCTTGTGGAAACACTATTCATTTCACAGGTCAGATAACATCTTCCTTCAAGGACATCCTGGGATCACACAGGCCACTGCAATAAGGGAGGGGATGGTGGACGGCAAAGCCTGTTGCCGGCGGCTGTGCTCTGGGTCTGGTGAGGAGAAGGCCACTCTTCTCAGCATCCCCGTGCTGTCACTACGCTTCTGGTATCCCATTCCAGTATTATTTTCACTTTGTTTCAACAGTTTCTCTTTCTTCTGTCAACATTCTTTTCTACCTTTATTTCTAATTTTTACTGAGGCCTCTTTTTAACCCCTCATCCCCAACTCACCCCTGCATGAAAACACGCTGTGATAGTCAGCTGCATGCCAGCTCATCTTGGCAGCCGTCCCCAGTCAATCAATACAGCAGTTGTCGGGGTGCCGCCGTGAAGGTGTTGTGCAGATGTGGTTGAAGCCCACGTTCAGTTTATGTGTAAGTGAGATTTTCCTAGATAATCTGGGTGGGGCTGATTCATTCCCTTGAGAGAATGTAAGGGAAGAACTGAGATTTGCCACCGAAGAAAAAATTAGTCCTGGAGACAGCAGCTTCAGCTCCTGTTGGAGTTTCCAGTCCAACAGTTCTCTTCCTGACTGACAGCCTGCTCTAGGGATTTTGGTCTTGCCTAGCCAGCTTCCTAATCAAGGAACCCATTCCTTGTAGTAAATCTCTTAATACTTACCTCTTACTGGCTTTGTTTCTCTGGTTGAACCCTACCTGATTCCACCTTTTTGTTTTCTCCTTCCATGGTGTGCTGGAGGCAAATAGAACACCATTTACTAGCGGGACAGGTTGCCTAAGCGATTCCATCATCTGTAAAAAACCAGCATATGAAAGCTGGTCTTCAAGGCTCACTGAGAGGATTAAATGGTATGTTACATGTATATGCCATGCCGCAAGGCAAAATCACAATCCTTTAGTTCCATTTCTTTCCTCTGTCCTGTTTCTTTGTCCTCTTATTTACATTCTTCCTCTTCTAGTAACATCTTTTACAACGTGTATTTGATTTTATAAAAACCTTTCTCATTTAAATCTCCAATATCCAAAAATAATAAAGTATCTTTTCAATGGTATGGGACTATTAGCACTTGAAATAACTGAAATCATCAGAATTTGTAAGCAGATCTCTTCATTTTTCAGGTTTTAATTCAATAAGTGAAAGCTGCGGGTCCCTTTTTTTTCTCCTAACAAAGGATTCAGAGTGTAGATTACTAAATAGGCAGCATAGTGGAGATCGATAGGTGAAAAGTAGTCACTATATATTCTTGAAACAGTCAAAGCTTTTCAACATTCCCTTAAAATGCTAATTCAAGCATTCATATTTCATTGTTTTTCTGCTCTTGCCTTGCTCAGAATAATGGATTCTTGGTAGTAAAAATAATATATATCTTCCTTTTCATAGAATGTGCCTTTCCTTCCTCAAGCCCGCCTGCAACTTCCTTTCATTCGTCATCAGTCTGAGCACTTCACTGCTAGACGTTCTCTCTGAAATGTTTAAGGAGCTCAACGTCTAATCCCAAATGCTCTATCCAGTGTATCATCAAAGAAAATCAAACCATACAACCTAAACTTAATTATAGATTGCCTAAATAATTTCAATGGGAAATCAAAAACAGAAAAAATACATGGAATACACATGTAAAGTAGCATAATGCTTCATCTTTCAATGGGAAGAAAATGGCCTCTGGAACTCACTTGTTCTAACTAATAATCCTGTTATTTCCTAAAATGTGGAGCACAGTCTACGCTAGGAGCTCTCTGAGGTGGCTACACATGGAATCCCACTAGGTTGGAAACATCTTGACTCTCAACTTGCGTCCAGCACCGATTACATCGGCATCCCTGAGGGTGGGGTCTAGGAGACAGTACTTCTCAAAAGGTACAATGGAATTTGAGAATCTGATTTACACTGATCTCTTCTTCCTCAAAGTGTGGTTCAGTGGTTCAAGGCCCACCAGCACTAGAGACTTGCAAAAACACGGGCTCCTCCTCAGACCTGTTGAAACAGTCTGCTTTATAACAAGAGTCATAAGTGATGCATTGCTCTAATTAAAGCAATGCTTCATTCCTCTCCTTGTTTTGCTCAAAGGCCTTTCATAATTTTTTTTGTTATTTCCTGCACAGTAAGGAGTGGGTTTAGATTCTCCAGTATTCTAAGAAATCACTGTTTTTGTCATATTTATTTTGCATAATTCACAGTTTTTATTTTATCAAAGTGTCTATTTACCTGACCGGCTAGCTTTTTAAGATGGAATATTCTGTGTTTTAGGCAACACACAATTTATGAAACAGTCATATTCTGTTGCCATGACTTGAGTGTTTGTCCTCTCCAAAACTCGTGTTGAAATTTAATACCCAATGTGGCAGTATAGAGAGGGGGGCCTTTTAGAGATGATTGAATCATGAGAGCTCTTTCCTCATGAATGGACTAATCCATTTGTTGATTAGTGGATTAATGGATTAACGAGTTACCAAAGGAGTAGGACTGGTGGCTTTATAAGAAGAAGAAGATGAACCTGAGCTAGCATTCTCAGCCTCCTTGCCACGTGATGCCCTCTGCAGAGTTCTAAGGCCCTCACCAGATGCAGGCCCTCAACCTTGGACTTCACAGCCTCCATAACTATAAGAAATAAATCCTTGTAAATTACCTATGTTGTAAGCAACCAAAAATGGACTAAGACATTTTTCCTTAGAAATATTTTCAATCTGGCTAGACCAGGAGGAATGGCAAGCATGTAATTATAACCCAAGTATAAAATACTATTCCTTCAGACCTCAGCCTGTCACAGAAGAAAAACTGGTGGATTAGAGAAAATTTCTAGGAGAAATGTCCCTCCATTTTGTATCTAATTTGGTTCTTGTCATATCTAAACACTTGACCCTGCCTTTCACAATGAATTAGCACCTTTTCCTTCTTCCTCTCTTAAAATTTTCCAATTGAATTGAATTTACAGTCAACCAAAATATGATGGCCAACTTCCTCATATGCACATCTTTATTTTATTTTATTTTATTGCTCTAAAGTAACATTTGAACACGCTGTGGAAATACAGGCATTGTTGTATTTAATTTATGACTCTACATGCTCTTCACTTTTACTTCTCCCCTTGGTAGAGATACTTAATGGTTTTTTAAACAAAATTCAGAAGTTAATTACTGACGTTCTGTTAACAGTGCCAGGCAAGTTTAGAAACTAAACCCAACTGGCCTTTGCTAAAGTTTTTTCCGCTTCTTATAATAGATGCAAGGGGATAATACAATAAATAATTTGAAACATAAAGTAACAAATTTTTATTAATGCATTTTTCTAACTTTAGTAAAGTGCTTTTAAAAATTTTATATCAATGATGTCACTTCATACTGACATAGCTGGTGACAAGAAAGATAAGTCAAACAATGGAGGAATTTAGGGAATGTTTTCCAAGGGTCTGGCCCTGGTGATATTTATGTCTGGGGCTACTTCAAATTCACATTACTTGTGGGTAGAACAAAAACTGATGCACTACATAAGAGTTTTCTAATATATAATTTTCCCTCCTTAGGAGAGTTACTACTAAGAAAATAAAAAAACAAAGTCAACTTAAAGATGGGCCTCACGGCCCAGCCTTCCTTCTTACTCTGCTTTTAGATGTTACTTTTATTTCTATCTTGTCTACACATCAGTGCACACACAGAATAATTTGTTGTACAACCAAACACTACAATGGCACCTGTGTGACTGTACCCTAAATATATTTAAAGAATACCAGAGCCTCATTTCCTTTTGGTCAAGTCTCAAAGCATTCAATCACTCCAGTGCCAATGTGGTTGATGATGTGGAGTTAAGCAGCCAGTCCCTTTGGGAGCGAGGCTGACTGCTGCATTTGCTGTCACCACATCCTTGAGATTCTTCCCAAAGTAGAAAGCTTTTCCTATTCTTTAGGATACCTTCAGAGAGAATAGATATGTTGTTTTTTCTACCTTCTTTTTTTGCCTTTTATTCCAAGTCCCAAATCCAGTACAACTGCAACACTTTTATCTGGCCACAATTTTCATAATTATCGTACCATTTCAATACAATAGCTCTCCAAAGCCACTGTTATTACTACTATACATTTTCTTTTCCACTAATGTAGAACAGGTTAATGACAGATTGGCATATTAACCAATATGGAAATCGTTTTCCTGTATAAGAATCTGTATGATTTTTTCCTTTGGGGTTATAGTAGTAACCTGTCAACTCCCCTACATAAGCCCTAAGATATAGACATATTTGGGCATGTCTGTGTTATCTGTAGAATGTTTTGAAAATGATATTCTGAGTACAACAAGATGTTTCCTTATGTCAGGTCCCTTAGAATCATATCCTAGTGTAAAATCTAAAATCTCTCAGAGAAACTAAAATCAAAGGGCAAAATATCTTTTAGTCTTCTTTAGTGGTTACTAATAACTTCTTTATTGAGCATAGAAGAGGCTTAGCTGCTTAAGAAACAGGGCACAACAGAACACATCTGGATGGGAGAAGATACCAGCTCGGCCAGGAGTGTGGGGACCTCCATTCAAGGCCTCAGTGAGAATAAGTGGGACAGAAAGCTGCAGGTCTCACATGGTCTGGCCAGTAAACTACTTGGCAAAAGCCATCACACAGAGGGTCAAGAGTGGGGAGGAAGAAATTGGAAGATTCCAAAGATGAGGCCATGGATTGCGCTCTTTCATGCACACAGTATGTCTCCCTGTTGGAGGTAGAATTGTATCCCTGTAAATTCAAATGTTGAAGTCCTAATCCCCAGAACCTTGGAATGTGAAATTATTTGAAAATAGTCACTACAGAGGTCATAGGTTAAAATGAGTTCATTAGGGTGGGCTTTATCCCAATATTATTGGTGTCCTCAATAAATAAGGAAGCTTGGGCACAGGCATGGTTACAGGAGAACACCCTGTGAACATGATCATCTGTGAAGCAGGAGGAAGTTCTGAAACAGATTCTCCCTCACAGCCCTCAGAAGGAACCAACACTGCCAACACCCTGATTTTGGATTTCCAGGCTCCAGAACTGTGAGATAAATGCCTTTTGTCTAAGCCATCCAGTTTGTGGTACTTTGTTAAGCCATCCTTAGCAGATGCACACAAATCCCTTGAGGACCTCCTAGGTTAGCACCTGGGAAGGCATATCCGCCCCACTTGGAAATGCACATGTGTTCATTTCTCACTCAGGAGTTAATGAGCATCTTTTCTAAGGAGAAAGAATAGCAACTGTTCCCTTTCTCCTGTAGGATCAGTTGTGGCTACCTTCTTTGTATTCAAGCTGTTAAACACAAAGTCTAAAAGCTTTCTTCCTTGTTGCTTCTAGAGCACCCCACCAAACACAGATTTCATGGCTTCTTTTCTGACATGCTATGCTAATTACACTTTATTCTGTAACATTTTCCTTAAGTGTATCACCAAACTGAAGCGCTAGCCAAAATAACATTTATAGGAGCTATGTAGATACCTCTCTCTCTCTCTCTTTCTCTCTTTCTCTCTCTCTCTCTCTTTTCCTCTAAATTTAAAAGACTGAGTGGAGGATTGGGTCCCTTCTTTCCTTTTCAATTCAGATTTTGAATTCCATTTTTGTAGTCTACACCCCTAATCAGCGATCCATTCCCCTCATCACACTGTCACTTTTATTGAGAGCATGAAACACATTACAAACTTTTTTTCTAGCCACATCCAGCAGTAGTCTAATCAGTACCTTTCTGGCAGCTGTTTTATTTCCAAAGAGAATTGTATTTAGTACAGGCATATTTAAAGGCATATTACCTGAACTCTTTCAACAGGCTTGCAACTTCTTATCTATTTTCCACCAAAATGAGCCATTCATATATCTGTAAGGTTTTTTTTCTCCCTAAGGTTCATATGACTGCAAAAATATCTTAGAATTATATGTGGTGAATTTATAATAACAGTTCCCACACTACTTTTCATACGACAGCTGCTTTATTCCTTGTAAACAAATCCTAGAAAGAAAACTCCTTCGTAAGAATCCATTCCTTTCCTTCATAGCTTTTGAAACACTGTACATTTCTGTTTTAGCCTCTGACTTCTTTTCTCCTGGGGGGATAAGTGCAGGGAGAATAAAAGAGTCAGAAGTTCCTGTCTTTTCATACTTTCCCTCCCCGCTCTGTTCTTCCTTTGGGGCTCCCATGCACAGTGTCTCACATCGTTGGCTTCTTTCTGAAGCCCTTGCCTGCCAGCTGCCTTCTTTTCCTGGGGTGCTGACACTCAACAGGCACCTGGGTGCACTTAAACCTTCATAAATTCAGTCTCACATTTCCTGATCTGATCTTATGGATTTCACATTTTTCTAAATTCCTGATTAGTATTTTATTAGGGAGCAGCAAGTTGAGCCTGAAAGTGAATCAAGCAAGCCTTCATCCTCTGTTGAAATGATATAAACCCCATCTTCTCATGTTCATGTATAAGGGACCATTTTCAAAGTGGGAAGTGATTGTGAGAAAGATTTGCTCCCACGTGCCTAGGAGCACAGGTGTTGGGGCTGAGGGGCAGTATATTAGTCTGTTCTTATGCTGCTAATAAAAACATATCTGAAACTGGGTAACCTATAAAGGAAAGAGGTTTAATGGGCTCACAGTTCCACATGGCTGGGGAGACCTCATAGTCATGGTGGAAGGTGAATGAGGAGCAAAGTCACATCTTACATGATGGCAGGCAAGGGAGCTTGTGCAGGGGAACTCCCATTTATAAAACCATCAGATGTCATGAGACTTATTCACTACCATGAGAACAATATGGGAGAATCCATCTCCACGATTCAATTATCTTCACTTGGCCCCAGCTTTGACATGGGTATTATTACAATTCAAGGTGAGATTTGGGTGGGAACACAGCCAACCCATATCAGGCCTCAACAGAAAGGATGGAGAGAAGGTGTCTGTATCTCAGCAGAGGCCAATAAGGTAAATTTGACTGACTCTTTTATAACTTACTAATGCATTTGCATAAATAAAAAGGGTTATGGGATGAATTAATAGAAATTTTTATGGGCTCCCATAATTTATATGTTGTATCTAAATCCACAGTACCTCAGATATGACTATAATTATAAATAGGGTCTTTAAAGATATAATTGTGGTAAAATGAGGTTATAGGGGTGGTCACTAAAGCAACATGACTTGTATCCTTAAAAGAAGAGGGCATTAGACACACACAGAGGAGAGACCATTTGAAGACACAAGAAGAAGATGGCCATTCACCAGCCAAGAGAGGTCTCAGAAGAAACCAGGCATGCTGACACCTTCATCTCAGACTCTAGCCTCCAGAACTGCAAGAAAAAACTTTATTTCGCTTAAACCACCCAGACTGTGGTACTTTGTTATGGCAGCCCTAGCAGTCTGAAAGCCATCCTGCATAACCTCTACCTACAGCTATGAGAAGCTGTAAAACAGCAAGTTTCTTCAACATGTCACACATCAGTTTCAAAGGAGGTTTCAATTTGCCATCCCCAGGTGCCATCCCTGTCACTCCTAATCACTTCTTGTAAGTTGGATGGGACGAGTAAGCATTTACTTAACTCCATTTGAGAGCAAACTTCAGAAGTGCCTACTTCTTGATTGTCTTCCCATGAATGGAAATCGTTGTCACTAGCTGGTGTACAAAGCTTCTACTTCCTACTTCATGCCATTGGGCACATTGGGCAGTTCTGCTTTGCTCACAGCTGTCATCTGGGGATGGTATTCCCTGGGTTGTCCTGCCACCTCTACGCCTGTCTCACTGAAACTCGCTGCCATCCTGTGTGTACAGGCAGGACCATTAATGTTCCCTAATGTTCCACAGCCTCCCTCAGCTGGTTGTCAACCCAGGGCCACCCACACTTTTGCAGGCTGAAATAGGACACACTCAGCTCTTCCCACCATGACCATCCTAATGTTTCTTTCTTTTAGAAATAAATGATGTAGACTGTATTTATGGCTTTTCTGAGATGAGTTGTTGTTGTTGTTTTTAGCCTGAGCCTCAGCGCACTCCTCTCCCCCATCTCTCTTCCACCCTGGCCACCCCTGTCCCTTCAACACCAAGCACACTCCATTCTGAGCATGTGTGCAGTGCTGTTCTCTAGGGTACCTACCACTGGGAAAACAATGGCTCTTTCTCTTCCTTTCTTTGGGTCTTTGCTCAAAATGTTTCCCTTCTTATAAACTTTCCTGATGATCTTAACTTAAAACACATCACTATCATTTTCTTTCTTTCATCTAGATTTATTTTTGTGTAATACTATTTTTCACTGCTCTGATACTACACCAAATATCTATATATCTATCATTGTGCATTTACCTCCATTGGAATGTACACTACATGAGGGAAGGGACTCTGTATATCCTGTCTACTGCTGTAATCCCAGCACCTAGAATAATATTGACTCATAAATGCTTCAGAATGTTACTCCTCTGAAGCAATGTAGAAATCAATAAGGAGCATCCCTCCTTTATAGCAGTTCCAAGTACTTCCAAGACACAAACCCAGTGGTGGTAAACCTGGCTTAAACCATCAAGTGGCTCATTTAAAAATAGAATTTAACACTTTTATTTTAGATTGGGGGTACATGTGCAGGTTTGTTAACTGGGTATATTGCATGATGATGAGGTTTGGGATACAATTGGTCACTTGGGTACTGAGCATAATACCCAATAGTTAGTATTTCAACCCTTACCTCCCTTCCACCTCTAGTAATCCCCAGTTTCTGTTATTATTATCTTTATGTCTGTGAGTACCCCCTATTTAGCTTCCACTTATAAGTGAGAACATGTGGTATCCGATTTTCTGTTTCTGTGTTAATTTGCTTAGGAAAATGACCTCCAGCTGCATCCATGTTGCTGCAAAGAACATTATTTCATATTTTTTATGGCTGCATAGTATTTCATGGTGTATATGTACCATATTTTCTTTATCCAATCTACCATTGATGGATATGTAGGTTGATTCCACATCTTCACTATTGTGACTAGTGCTGTGATGAACATATGAGTGCATGTGTCTTCCTGGTAGAAGGTTTTATATTCCTTTGGGTATTAATCTAATGTCATGCAATTGCTGAGTCAAATGTTAGTTTTCTTTTAAATTATTTGAGAAATCTCCAAAATGCTTTCAACGTGGTCTGAACCAATTGACATTCCCACCAGTAGTGTATAAGCATTCTCTTTTCTCTGCAGCCTCACCAGCATGTACTTTTCTTTTTTTGACTTTCAATAATAGCCATCTGACTGGCATGAGATGGTATTTAACCGTGGTTTTTATTTACATTTCTGCAATGATTAGTGATGTGGAGCATTTTTTCATGTTTGTTGGCTGCTCATATGTCTTCTTTTGAGAAGTGTCTGTTCATGTCTTTTGCCTGCTTTTTAATGGGGTATTTGTTTTTGCTTGTTCAATTGCTTAAGTTCCTTATAGATTATGGATATTAGACCTTTGTTGGATGCATAGTTTGCAAATATTTTCTCCCATTCTGTAGCTTGTCTGTTTACTCTGTTGATGGTTTCTTTTGCTGGGCAGAAGCTCTTTAGTTTAATTAGGTCCCACTTTCCAATCTTTGTTTTTGTTGCAATTGTTTTGGAGGACTTAGTCATAAATCATTTCCCAACACCAATGTCTAGAATGTCTCCTAGGTTTTCTTCTAGAATTCTTATAATTTGAGGTCTCACATTTAAGTCTCTAATCCACCTTGAGTTAACTTTGGGATATGGTGAGAGATAAAGATCCAGTTTCATTCTTCTATATATGGCTGGCCAGTTATTCCTGCACTATTTATTGAATAGGGAATCCTTTCTTCATTGTTTATTTTTTATCAATTTTGTGAAAATAGATGGCTGTTAAGTGTGTGGCTTTATTTTGGGGGTTCTCTATTCTGTTGCATTGTTATATGTGTCTGTTTTTGTACTAGTACCATGCTGTTTTGGTTACTGTAGCCCTGTAGTATAATTTAAATCAGGTAGCATGATGCCTCCAGCTTTGCTCTTTTTGCTTAGGATCACTTTGGCTAGTCAGGCTCTTTTTTGGTTTCACATGAATTTTAGAATAGTTTTTTTCTAGTTTGAAAAATGACATTAATAGTTTGGTAGGAATAATGTTGAATCTGTAGATTCAAGTTGTTTGTTTTTATGTGTGTATGTGCCTGTGTGTGTGCACATGCAAGTGCACATGAACACTCACATTTGTTGTGTGTCTGCTTTCTATGTTTAAGAAACATAAAAGTTTACTTCCCTCAAACTGATTGCAGGCTCCCCACCTTACCTTCAAAGCCCTTTGCAGAATGGCCCCCTTACCTCCCTCCCTCCTTTTCTCTGGGGTCTTATCTTGCTCTGTTGGATGCATATTTTCTGTGTTTTTCTGTACTTAATGTCTTCCTCTAATAAAAAACATTGCCTCTCTGCAATACACACAATCTTACTGCACCTGCTCCAATTCTGTCAATTGCTTTAAGGTTTAGCTTAAATGTCTATTCTGCGGAGATTTGTCTGATCTGAAACACCCACTTACCTTTATCCAGAAGTTTAAAATCCTACATGATTTTGTTTGTTCTTCTCTTCTAACTTGTATTTTTGTTTTATATTTTATGGATGTGTGTTTGTATTTTATTTCTCCCAGAACCCAGCTCCCAGCTGGGGCTGCTGTAACAAAGTGTCATAAACTGGGTGCCCAAAAAACAGAAGTTTATCATTTCACAGTTCTGCAGGCCAGAAGTCCAAGATCAAGCTGTCAGTAGGGTTGGTTCTTCCCAAGGGCTGGGAGGGAGAATCTTTTCCAGGCCTTGCCCCGCAGATTCTGGCAATTTTCCAGCACTCATTGGAGCTCCTTGTTTTGGGGAAGCATCACCCTGATCTGTGCCTTCTTCTCTTTGTCTGTGTGTCTCTGTGTTCACACTTCCTCTTTTTATAAGGACACAGTCATTTTGAATGAGGGCCCATCTTACTCCACTATTATCCCATCTTAACTAATACATGTAAAACAATCTATTTCCATACGTGATCACATTGATGTGGTAGAGGAGGTTAGGACTTTAACTTATGAATTTAAGGGGGGCAAATAATAACCTTCTTAAAAAGGGTCTTTCTTCTCTGTCTTTGTAGGTCTCTCTATAGTGCCCAGACCAGTGGGTTTCACATTACAGTGACTTCATAAATATTTTATTGGATTGAAGTGTGCCACTTACTCTGTCTCAAGAGTGCCTTTCCCAATATCTGGCACATAGCTAGCATTTCACAATTTATTTTTAAATTATTATTAGTAATAGGTATCTTTTTTTCTTACACACTTTAGTTGAAAGATTAACCTGCAATTCCATTTCCACCCTAATGTGGCATGCCCTGGTGATACAAGCCTTGGTACAAGCTTTGCTATTTGCAATAACCTGATACTGAACAATGCTGGGGTCAGAAGGAGGCAGGCTGTGAGTGAGGGAATGTCAAAGAAGACAAAATGCCAAAGGGGAGAAAATAGGACTTCAGCCTGCTCAGAATGCAGAAAATCACCTATTTGAACAGTATCTCTACATGAGGCCCCAGGGACTCATTTATTTACACGTTTTCCTGAAGCTATTGCTCATCCATTTCTTTGAAAACCTCATAGATTCCATGCTTGTTGACTCAGGAAGTGAAGCATCAGATTTATTCCTGTACACCGTTGCCTTTCAAATTCATATTAGCGACTTCCTTTTCAGTGTCTTGTGGTATATGCAATTTGTATTCAAAACGTCTTCTAAGACAATATATCCCTCTAGCCCAGAGATGTGTTTTGAAGTTCCTTTGTAAGATAGTTCCCTCTGTTACTCCCTGTCAGAGAGATTTTCTAAATGTCCTCCAAGATCATGTTTTCTCTGTTACATAATTTTTAATAGCCCTTGGTACAACTCTCAGTTTGCTGCATAACTGATATCCTCAAAGGAACATTCACCTGAGTCAGCTATGAATGAGCTTTACAGATAAAGTGGTACCTTTACCTTTGGGAGAGGAGCAACAACTTTATAAACAAATGAAAATATGCATTTCTCTTAAAAGCTATTTATACATTTCAACATGAAAACACATTGATTTAAATAAATTAACCAAATTTCAGAATTAAAATAGGTAACACATCGAACTTTTGTAGTCTCTATTTATGTATATTATTAAACAATTTAATGAAAATATCACAACAGATTCTTCAGAGTTCATCAGGTAATAATGTTATTAATTCTGAGGTGTGATTTCTTCTTTTATTTAATTCAACAGAATTGCAAAATAATTTTTCAAATTTTTTGGTGTACATTAGGACTTCTTTACAGAACAAATTATGTGGAAAGATTTATTCCATTGGATTTGGTGGTTTGAGAATTGCAGGTGTGATTTAAAAGTGCCAGACTTATTTCTAAGTACAATGTTCATATACTATACCAACATTCATCTAACCATTGGTATTACAATGTAGCCTGTGCTAAATTCTAGGTTGTCAAATGTAAAAACAAATCACTGATTTAACATGATATTAAATGTAAAGAGATTTGGGACTTTGACAAATTACTACATAGTTAAGTGTATTATTAAATTCATTCCTTTTGGTAGAGTTGGGTAATTTGTTTTTGATAAGTAAAATATACACTCACCAAGCTAATGAAATTGTTTCAGGAAGATCTATCTTTTCTGGGTTTTAAAAATCTTTTCAGTAATAAAGACTTCATTTAAATTAACATAGTTATGTATTACAAGAATATTTCCACTGCTTTTCAGCATAATATATGTCTATTGGCCTGAGCTTGACAATGCTGACTATACACATAACATAGGTGGGCTGTTTGTCACTTAGCAACTTAAGGAGATCAAGTACATATATATATATATATATATAAATATATATATTTATATATTATAGAAAATATATATAAATATATTTATACATTTTAGAAAATATATATAAATATATTATATAAATAAATATAAATATAGAAAATATATATAAATATATATTTATATATTATATATAAATATATATTTATATATGTGTATATATATGTACATATATATTATATATATAAATATATATTTATATATGTATATATTATATATATATATATTTTTTTTTTGAGACAGAGTTTTGCTCTTTGTTGCCCAGGCTGGAGTGCAATGGCACAACCTTGGCTCACTGCAACCTCCTCCTCCCGGGTTCAAACGATTCTCCTGCCTCAGCCTCCAGAGTAGCTGGGATTACAGCCATGCGCCACCATGCCCAGCTAACTTTGTATTTTTAGTAGAGAAGGGGTTTCCCCATGTTGGTCAGGCTGGTCTCAAAACTCTTGACCTCATGTGATCCGCCTGCCTTGGCTTCCCAAAGTGCTGGGATTGCAGGCGTGAGCCACCGTGCCTGGCCCAAGTAAAATCTTATAAGATGTGAATTAGAAGGTATAGAAAATGCTTCTTATTGATTTGCTTTTAATAATACTGCAATACAAGTTTCTCTTGCACAATATATATATTAAGCATTTGTTTTGTTTTTTATGATTGTCTATGAAGCGTGACCAGCAACAAACATACTTATTTCATGACGTCAAGAGAATTTCTACAATATAACAAATGATGCACTCTAACTGATAATTCTAGAATGAAATTAGAAGAATTTGGCTCACTTTCAGGGACTGAATATTCTATGAAGTTGTCTTCTGAAATGTGAGGTCCACTTGTATTAGTTTTTAAATATCTGAGAGAATAAATCTCATAAGGGTTTCTAACTTTTTTCCTGCTCTATGAATTAACCTTCAATTCTAAGGACTCCTGTCGACTTTTAACAGTAAAAAAAAGCTTTCAGAAGTTTCCTAAGAATTACATTTTTAGTTTCCTCTTGTTTCAAACACTACTGTGTTCCTGATAATGTTGAATTTTACCCGAGTCTTATGTTCCTGGAAAATAATCAAGGTTAAGAAATCTGCCTATCCTTTTGAAATCAATCAATGTTTTGCATTCCAGAAAGTGGCTTCTAATATATGACCACCCTGCTCTTTCATAGCAAGATAAGACCTGCTTTAGTCTTCCTCCAGGAATCCCTTGTTTCATAAGGCCCCATGTTTCCTCCCTATATGTAGAGATGATATTCCTTAATGAATATGTTCCTACTACCGTTGCCTGAAGAAAAACATTTCCTTAATTGGTGCATTTTTTCTTTCACTATTTGGGTGCCATGGCTTGGGTCATATAGGAACTCGCCTTTGGGTCCCCCTTTGCTCTGTCCAGGTCTGGAGGCTTTTGGTGTGCTTTGTGCTCTGTTTCTCATTGGAACAGAATGAGGGAACACAAGGGTGAGTCTGATTCTTGGTCTTTGTTCTGGACTCTTGCCCACTGGTAGTGTGGAAAGGATATGATTTTGATTCCTTTTGAGTATTTGTTTGAGTATGGATGCTGCAATATTTTTCCATTATTGTGTGAGCATGTGGCAATCTCTATAAATGGATTAATGGTTTACAGAGATCTTTTCTCTGTGGTGTAAAAAATGACAGACAATCTAATTTGTTAGTCTTTTCTGTTTGTCTATTTCATCTATCTTGAGCTCCAATCAATTAAAAATTCATACCTTCTATGAAGAGAATAACTCCTTAATATAGAGCAATTCGTCTTGTGTTTCTGTGTTTATGTTTAACCCACTGCTGAATTTCTGTGTGTGTCTGTGTGTTTATATTTCTAAAATTCAGAAAGACGTTTATCTCTTATGGTATGTATGCAATATATTCCTAAATGGTATTGTCGAATTAAATCATTAAACCTTTTAACACAGTCCTAATCTGATTGGCTTAGAGATAAATAAATGCTTATTTAAATTGTATATTCCTAATTTCTCAGAAATTAAGAAAATTGAACTTCAAATACTTTCCCACCACACCTGGCTGACTTTCAATATACTTTAAAAACACGTTCTTACAGAAACAAACTCACACATCTTAATACATGTTATAAATTCAAGCTCACATATGTAAGTAAACCTTTGGCAAGAGAGATTAGTATAACATTGTTGGTTCAGTAGAAACATCTATGTAATCTCTAAATTACCAATGTTAAGTATAATACCAGCTTACATTCTTATTCTCCTTGGGTATGCTCTCCGTAAACTTATACATGTTTACTGATTGAATGAATTACCATGAATTCTACTAAATAGTTAAAATTATGAAAAAAATGTAAATGTGTATGCTATATAAGCAAATCAGATCAATATTCTGACAAACTTTATTTAATAAAGTATGTTTTATAGTATATCAGTTACAAGATAATTTCTAAAGCCTTGGAATGATACTGAATTGAGTCAATTAATGGAATTTTATTAGATATCAAGATCATCCTAAGAAAGATAAAACATTAAACCTTTAATTACTAAACATAATTTTAAGTATGTAGACATTTTGCCTCGCATGTTTTACATGATATAGAAAGGTGAAATTTATTTGCAAATGCTCATGAACCTGTTCAGTTTTGCCACTTTGAGGAGTTGTACCATATAGGATGCTGTGAAATGCTGGCGTGAGTACAGATAGCTCACAATTATTTTCCTCCTGTCTTCCTCTATGAAGTAGAAGTCAATGTTGTGAAAACATATAATCTGTATATATGAATGAGACTCAGTTAGTAGTAATAGTGGAAAGGAGGCACAACCTGGTATGCAAAATATACTGGATGAGTTTTTGTTAAGAAAAAAGAGAGTAATTATGTTGTAAAATAAAATGACTGCTTATTCCAGAACGAGAAAAAGAAAATTATAGGAAAAAAAATTAAATGGAAGAAAAAATTTTAGAAAGTTATCAGAAAGGGAATTTTGGCTGTTATGGTTAAACCGGTTAAGGTTTGATAGGTTTATTTATAAGATTTTCAAGTAGAGTTTGAGTATCAAACATTCTAGTGCTGTAAAACTAGATTTTGGTTTTCTCTCTGTTCTACTGAAATTTTCTTATATTATTGGTCTTTTCAAAACAGGCTATAAAAGTTTCCTTTCTATGAGATCTCTTTGCCAGCTTACTCCTTTCTGCCCATGGACGCTGCCAAGGAAGCATTGTTAAAGTCTCTCTTTCCCCTGCTGTCATGTCTAAGTCAGAGTCTCCTAAAGAGCCCGATTAGCTGCGGGAGCTCTTCATTGGAGGGTTGAGCTCTGAAACAACCAATGAGAGCCTGAAGAGCCACTGTGAGCAATGTGGAATACTCACAGACTAGGCGGTCTTGAGAGATCCAAACACCAAGAGCTCCAGGAGCTTTGGGTTTGTCACATGCACCACTGTGGAGGAGGTGGATGCAGCCATGAATGCAAGGTCACACAAGGTGGATGCAAGAGTTGTGGAACCAAAAAGCTGTCTCAAGAAAAGTTTCTCAAAGACCAGGTGTCCACTTAACTGTGAAAAGTATACGTGTTGGTGGCATTAAAGAAGACACTGAAGAACATCACCTAAGAGATTATTTTGAACAGTCTGGAAAAATCGAAGTGATTGAACTCATGACCGACTGAGGCAGTGGCAAGAAAAGGCGCTTTGCCTTCATAATCTTTGATGACCATGACTCCGTGGATGACACTGTCATTCAGAAATACCATTCTGTGAATGGCCACAACTGTAAAGTTAGGAAAGCCCTGTCAAAGCAAGAGATGGCGAGTGCTTCATCCAGCCAAAGAGATTGAAGTGGTTCTGGAAGCTTTAGCGGTGGTCATGGAGGTGGCTTTGGTGGGAATGACAACTTTGGTCATGGAGGAAACTTCAGTGGTCATGGTGGCTTTGGTGGCAGCCATGGTGATGGTGGATATGGTGGCAGCGGGGATGGTCATCATGGATTTGGTAATGATGGAAGCAATTTTGGAGGTGGTGGAAGCTACAGTGATTTTGGCAATTGCAACAGTCTTCAAATTTTGGACCCATGAAGAGAGTAAATTTTGGAGGCAGAAGCTCTGGCCCCTATGGTGGTGGAAGCCAGTACTTTGCCAAACCACAAAACCAAGGTGGCTGGGGTGGTTCCAGTAGCAGCAGTAGCTATGGCAGTGGCAGAAGATTTTAATTACAGTCAGGAAACAAAGCTTAGCAGGAGAGGAGAGCCAGAGAAGTGACGGGGAAGCTACAGGTTACAACAGAATTGTGAACTCAGCCAAGCACAGTGGTGGCAGGGCCTAGCTGCTACAAAGAAGCCATGTTTTTGACAAATACTCATGTGTATGGGCAAAATCTCAAGGACTGTATTTGTGATTAATTGTAGAACAGGTTGTTTTAGTTTCTGTTCCGTGGAAAGTACAAAGCATTCCAACAAAGGGTTTTAATATAGATGATTTTTTGTACCCATGCTGTTGATTGCTAAATGTAATAATCTGATCACGATGCTGAATAAACGCGTCTTAAAAAAAGAAAAGTTTCTTTTGTACCTTCAGTGTAATCCACCTGTATAGCTAAGATTCCATCTTACCAGAGTAACCTTCTATGGTTTGTACGATTGTTTTTTGCCCTTGATTATTTATGAAAACAAAGGTTTCTCATTTATAGAAGAGCTAAGGGTCATTATGATCATCTTAACTCCTAGTTTTACTTTTAAAATATGTTTGTTGTCCCTAGGTTAAATAGATAACCAATTATTATTTCTTAGTAACATATTGAATCAGGATATTTTCTTGACCCCTTAATGGGATTTGTGACAGAGGTGCCTTGTTTTCTCAGTCCACCCATGTCTAACCCTCATGGGAGGCAGCGTGCAAGCAAATGAGTACAGGAACTGAAGTGAGCACTTTTAGGCATTGGCAGGAACAAACTTCATTTACTCAGCTCACCACCCCTTGTTGGGGGAACACATGGGTGAGCAAGTAAGCGACCCAGCTGTCTGCTTTTGGGCACCAGCAGGAACAAACTCCATGCAGGCCCCACGGCAGTGTTCAGGTGGGGCTGTTCAACTCTGAAGCCCCAGAGGGTGTGCCACAATGCTCTTTCAGCTCTGTCATCCATCCATGGACAGCTTAAATGTTAACAGCTCAGTAAGCCCTTTGCCTTCTTGCACAGGGTGGCTGCCTTCCACTACTGAGGGCAAAGGGCCAGTGTGACAGCCTTTTTTTTTGAGTATCTGCACTTGTGGCTCCCGAGCTCTTGTCTGTCATCCAGGAAAAATGAGGTAGCAGGAACAAATTGAAGGATGGTGAATGTAGACAATTTCATTGAACGATGAAAAAGTGGCTCTCAGCAGGAAGGGGAGCTGGAAAGGAAATGGGATGGGCAGGTAATCTTCCCCTCAAGTCTGGCCATCTCTGGCAGGACTCTTCTTTGAAATCAAGCCATCAAGTCTTCCCTCTGAAGTCAAGTTTCTTCTTTCAGAAGTCCAGCTGCTTCTCCCTTTCTCTCTGACTGAGTCTGGGGTCTTCATAGGCACAGGATGAGGGGCAGAGTGGGCTGTTGGTAGTATAGGAAAAGGCAACATTGGAGCAGAAAAACAGGGATGGAAGTTCTCACTTTGGGCCATGGGTTTCAGGATTTTCTGCTAGAAGGCAGGGTTTTGCCAGGGACCTACCCTCGTCTGCCTAGAATTTCTTGCCTCCTGCCTCTATCATTGTATCAACTTGAACTTGTTCAAGTGTTCAGATCTTCCAACAACTTTTGATATTTTGCCTTTCCAAAATTGGATTATTATTTTCTCTAGGAAATCTGTCTTAAAAACCACCCAGATGGCCCCAGTCATAAACGTGTTTTTTCACATTATAAAAAGAAAAGTGCTATAAATAATCAAATCTATTTGATACTTTATGACTGATAAGTGCATAGGAAGTGCTAGAAAATTAGAAGAGATCCTGAGCTTTCCCTAGGTGAAGTTGGTATGGGTAAAATATTGTTAATATAAATATCTCAGAAACTGTATGCTGGATTGGAATTACATGGAAACTTGCCAGTGCCCTTTCCTTTCATATGTTTCTATTTGTTAGAGTCTGGTGTTGCTTTGCCTGGGTTAGACAACAGCACTGTAGCGTTATGATTCATAATTCTAGGTATTTAAGTATTGACTTGGTCACAATTTTACCTCTTTAATTTGAATCTAATATCTTCTAGATCAGTGGTTTTGGACTAAGAATTTACATGACTTACTTATGACATTTTACTAATACTCAGGTGTTGAGGATCTAGTCTAGACTTCCATAATATTTTACGTGATATTTTTGATAGAACTATAAGCTTGATATATTTGTGTTATATTATGTATCAAGATTAGTATATGTAATATCTGAGCTTTTTCTTTGTAAAGATTACATAGAATATCTCCTCTTTTTGACAATAATTAATTGTTATGTTTATAAATATTCTGTCTAAAACCTTTTTGGATTGACTTTATTACCTTGTGTTGTAAGCAACAAAAACAACAAATTTCTTTGCCTATTCAATTATTTTTTAAAACAAATCTCATCAGGCCTTGCACTTTTTAGCCTTCTAAGTAAGAAATTAACCACAGCCATTTTAAGTCTTTGGTCATTTCCAGATATTGTTTGTTTTACCCTGAAGCTTTCGTGAAAGCTCTGGTAATCTACTACAGCTCAGAATTTTCCATCCTCAACAAAGGAGACTGTATCAGAGCCCTGCAAAATAGGACTATGTCATGTATGTTTGGTTATAGGTTTCCAATGGTATCATTGCTTAAATGAGAACCTACCAGTGGAGTGAGCCAAGGTTTCCAAAACTGATGGAAAAAAACAGTTTTTCAGTTGAGAAAACAGCTGAGAAACCGATGGATTCATATTCATGAGACTGTCAACCCAAGATCGAGTGGAACACACATTAATTACATTGGACTGAAGATACTGAAAAGGGATTGCTGTGGGTTTTGTTTGTGGTATTATTGGCATTTTAATTTTCTATTTTTATAGATATATAGGAAGACTTTTCTCCTTATGTGTAACTCAGAACAATGCAGTAGATTTTGCTTTTGTAAACTGAAATGAAACATTTTTAAACGAAATATTTTTCTCTTTGCCCAACACTCTCAGAATTGTGAACCTCTTGAATGTTCTTATTTTCGTAGCAATATAGTTCTGTGCATACATTCACATTATATAATATAGTTATTTGCATGTCCTTGTCAAAAGAACACAATTAGAAACATTGCTTATGCAACCAAGATCTTGCTTGGAATGTCATATTTGAGAATGATGCTCATTTAATCAGATGCAACTAGATACTTTAAGCTAAGGTTGACTTTCTGGGGCCAATGCTTACAATGCCCTCTTGGAAACCTGGCCTGGCACTCAGTTTACAAGATTCTCAGCCTTATGGGTGAGTAAGAAAAGTGACTTACTGGCAAGTCCAGAAATCAGGATATTTTGAAAACTAGAAAGGAGAGGAATTTGCTCAAATTTCTAGTGCTGAATTGTTGCCTTAGATTCCCAGGCTTCCCGAATATCTGATCTGAGATCCCTTATAAAAATTTCCAGCACAGCAAACATAAGAATGCCTGTGTGGTAAATTACCATTCTTGCTGTACCTGTGTACATAATCAGGGCAAATCTAAAGAGACCAGCCTTATTTTGTGATTAAGAATGCACTGTCTTTGAGATCACTTTTGATCAAAATGCTGTAGTGAAAAATGACAGGTCTCAATGGAAAACCGTGTATCACATGCAGTACCCCCCTCCGTGTTATCAGATTTTATCCCTGCTTATCGTCTTTGAGCTATGTTCTACTTCTCTGTAAATTAAACATAACTTATGGATATGTACACTCTATTTTGCCTGGTGTATTAGTCTGTTCCTGCATTGCTATAAAGAACTACCTGGGACTGGGTAATTTATAAAGAAAAGAGGTTGAATTGACTCATAGTTCCACAGACTGTACAGGCATGGCTGGGGAAGCCTCAGGAAACTTACAGTCATGATCAGAGGCACATCTTACATGACAGGAGCAGGAGGAAGAGAGCGAAGGGGGAGGTGCTACACACTTTTAAATAACCACATCTAGTGAGAACTCACTCACTATCATGAGAACATCATGGGGGAATTCACCCCCATCATCCAACCACCTCCCACCAGTCCCCTCCTTCAACACTGGAGATTACAATTTGACATGAGACTTGGATGGGGACACAAATCCAAACCATATGACCTGGTAAACACTTAATTGATTTCTACCCTCCCTGTGGAAAAAGGAGGGTTGGTACTTAACTGCAAATTGGGCCGGAACATGTTACCTTTCCCAAACTGACAATCCTTATAAAATTCTCCCTTTTTCTGTATTTTCTTTAATATCAGGTCACTATCCTCCAAATGACCTTCTCCAGTTTTTCTCATTTGTACTTGATTTGAAGTCACTGAAGACTAAAACCGAGCTGTCCGTATCCCTTACTGGGTCTCTTTGTGGCCTGGAAGCTGTCTCTGGATCTGAAGAAGCCCTAAGAGCTGAAGCCTGATGACTTTGTACAAACCTCAGAAACCTCATCACGCTGCAGACAACCACTGGCCTGAGTTTGCCCTGGACAAGCTGCTTGTCTATAAACTACTAATGTAGTTTGAAGAAATGCTCAGGACATGCATGCCCTCATATGAGAGGGGACTTGGATTGTGAACAACATTACCAAGGGCATCAGCATCCCAGCCTGAGAGCTTCAAGAAACTCAAGAAGTGCTGCGGCATGACAAGGGATTTGCTTACACCAATCTTCTAGAATTCACCGGACTGATCGCTCTCGGAGTTCAACTACTGGATCTTTAGTATAGCCCTTAAAAATACTTCTGCTTTTTATTTCAGGAATCCCTCCTTTATGTAAATAACTTGCTCTCTGGGAGCTAAAGTCACCTGGGACCTTCACGAGAGGTTTCTGCAAACCAGTTGAATTTTTTAGAAACATCCTCAACAAGAGCCTTTCAGTGATTATTTCTTAAACTCTCTTCATCTCATTCAGAAAGTCTATGACATGCTCAGTATTGCTCACTGACTCACAGTGGACACATAGGAGGACTAACGCTGAATTTGTCTGAGTTCAGCACTTTCAGAGATCAATGAGGGTTAAGAAATCCAACCCCTTCTTTTTTTTTTTTTAATTTAGGAAAATGGTTAACCACAAAGGACCATCCTGCCCTTGCATACTCCAGACCCATCTCCACCCTCCCTCTTAACACCTTTCCTTTGTAAAACCGCATGTTTTTTCCCTCTTCGTTGAGATGTTTCACTTACTATTGCAATTACCCTAACTAAAACTATCTTCCTGCAATGCCAGCACTTTGGGAAGCCGAGGCGGGCGGATCACTTGAGGTAGGGAGTTCAAGACCAGCTTTGCCAACATGGTAAAACCCCATCTCTACTAAAAATACAAAAATTATCTAGGGGTGGTGGCACATGCCCATAATCCCAGCTACTCAGGAGGCTGAGGCACAATAATTACTTGAACCCAGGAGACAGAGTTTGCAGTGAGTCAAGATTGTGCCACTGCACTCCATCCTGGGCGACAGAGTGAGACTGTCTCAAAAAGAAAACCAAAAACCTATCATCTTAATTATCTTTTTCATTCCTGTCTTTGGTACATCACATAATAATTAAAAATGCTTAATTTTGCTGAGATAGCTTATGTTTTCCTTACATAATTATGTGTGTGTGTATTGAATAATTGGTCTGACAATTAGTGCTCAATGCACCTTGCAATTTCTTTTTACTTTACATACTATTTAAATATGGGGAGAAGAAGACTTTAATAAAAAGTTTTTAAAAATTGTCAAATACTAAAAGAGGCTGGTATTAAATCCTGTTATACCAATGTATGGGGCAAATGATAATTGGAAGCAGCTTTAGAAAAAGTAAAAAATTTAGGAAAAGTAAAGAAAAAAACAAAATTGTTTTCCCAACTTTAGAATTATTACAAGTAAGTGAAGGTGCTTTAGGGAGCCTCTCTCCATAAAGTCTTATCATCAGATAGGTTTTTACCACCCTTTGTTAAGGATATGGTGATTTGGGAAGCATATTTTCTAACTCATATAGAGAGCTTACCTCAAAATCTTCTGGAAAATAACAGCCAGGAGTCTGAATGTCAGAGGGGTGAGAGGCACATTGAGAATCTGAAAAACAACCGCCGGCTGAGCCATAACTACTTTGTGTATTTCATGCTAAGTTTCATGTCTTTGTCCAGTTAACTCTGAGAGTAACTCGGGCTGTGGACGCTCAGGAGGACAAACAATCAAGCCTTTCTGTCCCTCCTCCTCCCCATCTCTCTAAATTGGGACCCTCCTTGTTCCTTCTTAATGTTTACCACTCTTGTAGTTTTATGTTGTTGGTGTGATTTTTAAAATTTTATCTCTATCCCTAGATTTTAAGTTCTAGGAGTGGGTCAACCATGATGTTTTTTCTGTTCATTCTTGTATCAGTTGCACCAACACAATGCATGATACACCATAGCAACTATTTGTTACATGAACGAATGAATGTATAAGTAAATGAGTCTGAGGGTAATACTATATATATAAATATACAGTATTACTCTATTATTATTATTATAGGATTATATTATTATAGTATTATTATATATAGTATTACTATATATATATATATATATATATATATACACACTCTTGTCCGTTAGACCAAATGCTGAAGAGTATATATATATGACTATATATATATGACTCTCTCTCTCTCTCTCTCTCTCTCTCTCTCTATATATATATATATATATATATATAGTACACACACACATATACTCTTGTCTGTTAGACCAAATGCTGAAGATGTTCTTATACTATTTTGGATGTGTTGTGATTGAGGCTACTCCTTGGCAAAGTTGTGCAGAAAGCACAATTTGTTTTCATATTTTCAGTGTCCATTTCCGGTCATTTATCACAGCTTCCCAGCTGCCCGTCACGCCCCAGCCTTGTGGTCCAGTGAGAGCAACGTCTCCATAACAGAAAATATCCCTGAGGAAAGAATCTGGGATTCATTCATGGCAGCATGAAATGACTGAAGGGTTATCTCCCGTTCGGCAAACATTTTTCATTTTTATTTTTTTGTCAAAAATTGGTACAAGGCACTGGGTTTACAAAGAAGAATAAGAAATGATCTCTGTCTTAAAGAAGAAGTTGTAATTTATTACTTTCCCTGGGAGTATTTTTTTTAATCAGTAGGGACAATGTCATAAAAAATCCAACTCTTTACAATATTGGTATTAGTAGAATTTCAAATAAGAGACAGGTTAGTTTGGAGTTCTTTTGGTGACATCAATGAAAAGTATTCCCTTAGCCATACACTCACCTGAAAAATAGTCACCAATCCTTGATGTGTAAAAAAGAAGTCCACTTTGGGAAGTTGAGGTGGGTAGATCACCTGAGGTCAGGAGTTCGAGACCAGCCTGGCCAACATGGTAAAACCCCGTCTCTACTAAAAATGCAAAAATTAGCTGGGCGTGGTGGCGGGCGCCTGTAATCCCAGCTACTCGGGAGGCTGAGGTAGGAGAATTGCTTGAACCCAGGAGACAGAGGTAGCAGTGAGCCAAGATTGCACCACTGTACTCCAACCTTGGCGACAGAGTGAGACTCTGCCTCAAAAAAAGAAAAACAACAACAAAAAAGAAGTCCAGTTCATGATCCAGAAGGAGCCAAAAGGAAGACAAAACAACAAATGGTGACTCTCTGATTTGATGACCACTAGCTCAGGCAGAAAGTCTTGAAACTGAATTGTGGCTTTCATCCAACCTTCTGCTCAGCCTCTCTTTTTGAGTGATCCAAACTGAACCCAAGGATTTTTCACCTCATTTCAATATTTTGGCTTCTAATGCTGCAGGTTTGCTTGCCCGTGTTTGAACTTTATATAAATGGACACATGCAGTGTGTACTCTTTCATGTTGGCTTTCCCACTCAACGTTATTTTTGTGAGACATCCATATTGTGTCAGGCAGTTGGAGTTGATTTATTTTTACTGTTGTGTGATATTCCACGTGTAAAAACACAGAATATTAAAAAAATGAGTATCTATTGCATATCCATTGAATATTCAAGTGGAGAAATATGCACTGCATCACTAATAGACACAAACTAAAATTTACCCAAATGGCAATCAATAGCAGAATGGATAAATAAATATATTCGGGATGCTATTTTGACTGTTTGCTTTTCTTCAGCAAATGTAGCATAGCACACAGTACAGAACATATGTTATTCGAGGAGTTTCTTTAAAAAGGAAATGTGTCAGAAAACATTTTATATCTATATGAGGGCTTCATAATTGCATTGCTATTTTTGTTAGTAATATAATAATAATAATTTATGTAAGAAGATGTTGCTGCGTGGCAGGCCCTAATAGGACTATGCGTTGCTCAAATACTCTTCGAATGGGGAGCTCTGCTTGCTTTGAATACTGTTTATTGCTTTGAATACTGGCATCTTGATCGCCATAGTTGGTTGTGCTTCACCAAATCCCAGTAATTATTTGTAACAATCATCTGGGCCATGAGGCCGAGGGGCAGATACTTTGAGGACACTGTATTTATAACAAGAGAATAAGAGGGAGTGATCAAAATATGCGCAAGCACGATCCTAAAACCTTTTGAATGGTGATTGCACATATTAGTAATCATGACATTAGCTCACATAAGATCAGAGCCTTTCTAAAATTTTAAGTAATTTCACTGTCTTTTGTGCTACAAGTGTTAAAAGTTCAAAATTTTAAATAAAAGTTGTTCTATTTCTTATATGTATAGCTTCAGACATTGTTCTATTTTATGCAGTAATTTAAAAAATTATGTTTCTTGTCAATGTGTTTAATAAAATGCCTATGGCCAAATTTTATTACCAGGAATTTATTTGCATGGCTCTAAAACTGTCCCATTCTTTGCATTTTCTTATGTCTTATGTATTATCTCCTGTGGTAAATCATCAGAAATATGATTATGTAGTCTCTGAATTCTTGATGACAACAGTGATTTCTACCTCAACAGGGCTGCCTTGGTGGGCATGCAATCAGTCTCATCACATTGGTCCTGCCTGTAGAAGACTCCACACTTGGTTTAATGTTCTGCGTCACCATCTAGAGTCTTACAATTTTTTAAGAGATCCCCTGTGTGTTCATTTTGCATTGGAACTTGCAAATTATGGAGCCAGTTCTGACATTAAATAGAAACTGAAAAACTATTTGCAACAGTCAGGTTTTCCAGGAGGCAGGCTCTGCACTGGAGTTTAGTACATAGGATGTTTATTAAGGAGGGCTCTTGGGATCCATATGTGTGGGAAGGATGGGAAGGACAAAAAAATTGACAGAGGGAGAAACTGAGCTGTCATTCAGGACCAATCACAGCCCCAGCTGACCCCTCAGGGAGCTCAAGGGCTAGACTGGCCTGTCTGAATTGTCCAGCATTGGACGGAGATGGCCCGGCCTTTATACTCCTTCCCACCTCACAGTAATCAGGTAATGGATTTGGGCTGTTCCCGCAAGAGAAAGGGGTGAGGCAGTCTCTGAAAGGGCTGAGAGCCAAAGGGACATGTCAACAGCACTTGAGTCATCTCAGACAACAGTCCTTCATTGAAGGGGGAACTGTTTCACACATTTCGTCGTCCCCTACAGTCTTCTACATTTATGGACAAATGTTTGATTTCTGAAGGCACTTATGCATCATCTTCAAATATCCTCTTGGCATTAGGAATCAGCCAGTTTGTCACTATTCAATCATTTCCTAGCTGCTGGCTTATAAGCCGTTGCTGTTTTTCTTAAGTTGTGACAAGTTTTTACGGATCCATCTCCATATTCTCATTATTTCCCCTTTGGCCTGTGCATAGATTTATTTGTTGGATGGATATCTGTACTTAGAAATTCAGCCCATGGAAATGAAAAGGGGCAAAGCTGATTGAAGTGGAATGGAATCTATGACCTTGACCCTATTAAATATGCCTTGTAGACCAAACAAAATGACCCCATTTACCTTACTAAACTAAGCTGTTCCAGTCCCAGACAAAGAAGCGAGGACTTCCCAACCATCTGCTATATTTACAGGTAGAAATTTAAAGAGTCCACTGGTCTTCTTTTAAGAATAATGAAATCCATTTTTGTTGTTGATTAATTAAAAAAAGTGCTTAAGTGTTTCAACTATACTAACAACATAGCAGAATTTGAAGTGCAAGACAATTGTTCTGCTTGGTTTGCTTTATAAAACCAGAGAGAATATTGAAGAAGCACACAAACACAATCAAAAATTTAAAAGCATGTCCTAGAAACTAAAACTCCCAAACTTATATATAGTATTAGTATCCTTTATAAGAGTAAAGGAATTAAGATAAAGAAAACAAAGAAGATGAAAAAAAGGCAGTTCATTAATTAAAAAAAATAAAAATAAAAAGCAATGGCCTAGTGACTTCTAGGTAGAAAGAAGAAGAAGACAGATTACAATTGTTTTATGAAAACATTTCAGAGATGTTGGGTAGGGCAAAAAGAATAAATCTAACTTTAATTTTGAATTCATGATTTATATTGACTGAATTTATTGCTAATTCTTTTAAATTGAAGGCCCCTCAAAACATCTTGTTATTTGCAAATATAATGTTTGGACTCTCGGAAAGCCTAGATGGCAATATTTCTCTAGTAACTTGACTTCTTTTTCCTTAGGATTACATAAATGCTGGATGGTAACTTTATTTAAAGAACAGAAAAGACAATGTAAAAAATATTGTATAGATGTTTTCATTATTCTTAATATTTCAAATAAACAATTCCAAGGATCTCTAAATATTTCTGATACCACAATTTTTATATTTATATTTTTTATATTCCAGAGATACTGGAAATCCATTTGAACCAGCCAACTTGTCTCTTAACCAAAAGATACCAAAGTGGAAGTTATAAAATTAGCAGCTAAATTGTTATTGCTTAAAAAGGGAAAACAAAATCTTACATTGTATAATCTTAGATATAGTAGAAGTATCTGACTACACTAGCTGAAAATGTATGAATTCTATTACCATGGCTTCATACGCTTAAGATTTTGTACCTATAAAACTGTCAATCCCCTGGAAGACTATATACCAGCATGGTATCACTTTTTATACCACAAAATGAATTATCATTCGATGTCTAGATAGCAGCACTGGGGGTACAAAGGTGGACAGGAAGCTTAAGTGGGTCATAGAAAGGATTCATGCATGAAAACCCAAGTGAAATATTGTGATTAGTCCTGTCCTTACTTTTAGCATTATAATTGTCTTTTGATATGTCACTTGTCTATCTCTTTCATTACACAGCGGACTTCCTAAAGTTAGGGATTTGTTTAATCTCTCTAGCACACTGATGAAGTAAACTGTCAATGAATAATTACGGAAAGAAGAGATGATTACATTGGTGATATCTACTGCTCCAACACACACACACACACACACACACACCCTGCACAACTCACAACCCTCCCCCCCACACACACACACATGCAGAGAGAGAGAGAGAGAGAGAGAGGCTTTCTGTATTTAGACAAGAAAATTGAGATCCAAGCTGTTTAACTGACTTATACAAGGACACTTAGCCTGTTGACAGATATGATTATAACATGAAACCTCTTGATTTGTAGTCCAGTGTCCTTTCATAGGTACTAACTCTTTCTTCCTCTGCAATCATTTTAATATCTGTTGAATTCTTTGCTGGTTTCCTTCCTGTGGAACTGAAGGACGCCAACATTCTTGCATTACAAATTTTTCCCCTACTTTACTCAAACACATAATAATGGATCCATTCTTATTCTGAAATTAATACAAGCCATATATGCCTGCTGTGTGAAAATAGGCCTTATTGAATTCTAAAGCACTGAAGTGTAAGAGCCGTTATTAAATTGTTTCTGGCTTAAAACTAAAATCTTTACGGTAACGAAGAAAAATTGTTACCTGTCTAATAATAGGATGCTTGCCTCTCTCTCTCTAAGAAAATGGGTGGAATACACTTTGCTGTGGAGGACCTCAGCGACACAAACATACTAACAAGGAGATTAGATGCTTCGCAAACTTTTTTAGTAAAGAGACTGCTCCATTCTTTTTTTAATGGGCATTTTTGTTGCCTAGCAACGGGAACGTTCTAAAGCAATCTATACTGGCCTTCTTATGGGAATATATCAACTCAGGTGCTATTTATGGCAGTTAAGCTCTGGAAAGAAGACAAGAGGGAAAGCTTGTTTCATTTTGTTTTGATCCCTACTGTTGGTTCAAATTATATGGTCCCAATTTGACTTTCTTGGGGTTGCAAATTATAACATTGAAGCCTGATTCTATAGGTGCTCTATAGTTATTAAATGGAAAAGGCTAGTGTGTATTAAAAAAAAAAAAACTTTCCCTATTTTGCTTAATCTCAACTTATAAAATTATTCATTTCAAAATCTGTTCCAAATCCACAAAGCACTTTCTGGAATTGGGTGCTTGGAAAACATGGGGTGACTCTTTATCTCCCACACATCAGTATTTCTAAAGGAATCAGGGAATGGAAAATAACAGTGTCACATCTCAACTGACTTGGGCAAATCTGGGGATAGAAGTCCCGGAATTAGAATCTCAGGACCTTTGTTTGCCAAAACCCAACCCTCATAAAGCTTGACACTCCTGCCTTACACCAAATTTTCTCAAAACACCTCACTAGCAGTAGAGCTGCAAAAATTCATCTGAAATACACTCAGGAAATACAGTTCAAACACTCAGGAAATACAGTTCAAATTTAGGCACTACACAATGTAGCAGGGATGAAGTCTGAATCAGTAGCTTACAAATATTGACATATGTAATTTACAGGAAATTTAATATCATCATCTGATCAACGATTTTGATGTACTAAAATATGCCTTTTTGAATTAAAATTAGACTTATCTCCACTTTAGGCTATTTTCTTTTTTCTTATCCTCTTACCTCAATCCATTTCTAAGTTAGAAACTATTTTTTAGTTAATATTATAAATGAAAACAATCAAGAGTTATATTAGTATTTTTCATAGTTGAAAAATAGTAATGATCAAAAACAATCATAATTTACTTACTCTTTGTTAAGCATTTTCAATATTTATATACGTAAGGTGTGTGTAATTAATCAATATGAGAAGCCCTGAAGGGTAACTGGTTTAACATCATTCATACAAATTATAAAGGAGAGATTCAAAATTTTAAATGAGGTCTCTGTTTTTTGATAAGGTAATGTTTTACCTTGTTTGTTTGTTTTCAATATATAAGACTGCCCCAGGAAAAATTTAGTGATTTAAAAGTATTTTTTAATTGAAGTCAAAAATAAATCAAGCAAGCTTTCATTCCAAACATAGAACAAGTTAAATACCTCAGACTCCACTGATGGGTGTATGTATATGCTTTATAAATAACTTAATCATCTGTGATTATGTTTTCATTTTCTGCCTTCATGCTGTGAACTTTGTCTCCCAGCTCTCCTCCATTTAATCACTCTTTTACAATGTGGCCATGACTGTCTTCTTAGGACTCTATCTGATAATGTCACACACCTGCTTTAGATTTTTTACAGTATCAGATTACCAGGTGAAGTCCAAACTCCTTAACATGATAGAAATAAACTTAGCTCAGATGTCTCTTTCAAATGTTACCCTCTAGGCACTATTATTTATAGACTGGTATTCAGATTCAGTCACACTTGTGACCACTAGGTTACTTCAAACTCTCTTTGCCCATGCAGATCAAGAGCACTGACTGGTATCCAGAGAACCCCCAAAGAGCTGGTTCTGCTGTTTTGTAGCTGGATCTACAGGATAGGAAGCTCCTTGCAGGCAGGTCCCACACCCCTGGTAATTAGTACAGTGCTTGACATAAATTTTGAATAAATTAATGAATAAATGAACAAACGAATGCAATGTGATTTTAAACAATTCACTTAGTGTAACTATAGCTCAATTTCCTTGTTTGTTAAATGAAAAAGTCGCTTCGATTGTTTCATTACCTAATTTTGAGTAATAGTATAAAAAGTCGGGTATGTACTAAGTATTCAAAAAATCAACGGCGATTGTTACTTATTTCATTATCACCTTTTCTCTCCCTAGAATTTTTCTCTCCATCTACTGAAATCAACCTATTTTACAAAGAGTTGCTCAAATTTTGCAAAGCAGACTTACTTCATTCAGCATCTGTGTTGTTAAAACACTGTGGGCATACCTTTAATGTAGTTTTTAACACATTGTGTTGCATGTCTACGTTTATAGGATTTCTCCTCCACTGTGCTATGACTATTCCTAGGACCAGAGCCCTGTGTTACTCACCACTTTCCCAAGACACGGCTACATTTGTTACTTATAAGAAATGCTCCGTTTTAGTTGAATACAAAAACACAGTAGTAACAGGATAGTAGCTAGCTTAAAACATCACCAGCTTATTACTGTATCTATAATAGCTGGAGCAGCAGGAGAACTCATAGAGCAAAGAAGGGCATGCATAGGTAGAAAGGTATTCTCCTGAATACACAACTGAAATAATTTCTAAACATTCTGCTATAATAAACTAATGAAAAGTAATCAGAACAGTTATTGTGTAAAGATAACAATCTTAAATATGCCTTATCCTCTGTTTTGTTGATTCAGCTTTCACAGAACACTTCCAAATAATCTAAACTTGTGTACTTAAACATTTTAATTAAGGGATTTAAACTGCAAATTGAATTTTATAAACATGCATCTGACCTCTTCTTTACTTCGAAATTCATTTCTCGTAAAATCATAGATTAATAAATATTGTAAAAGCAATCAAATCAGTCAACAATTCTACTGTTTATGAATCTTGATGAGAGTAAAATAAATAATCCAGATTGCTCAAAAATACAAATAAAACTCTTAAAGAGCAATCACACAGGGGACAAACTAAATTACTCATGAATCCTGTTTTAGAGAAATTTTCTTTTATTGCAATATACAAACTTCTCTTTAAGTTATGTTAAATAAAAAAATAAAAATTCATTTTTAAAACAATAACCAATAATTTAATAATCTGAAAGAAGGAAATGTTTCTATGGCATGCACAATAAAGGTTTAGACATAAACAAAATGTATCCCTTTGTGATTTTAGAACTGATTTTACAGATGCCTTAAGTTCATCATTCCAGAATATACAAGGGTTTTTAAGAAGTTCTGTAAACAGTAAGTTTGTAGAAAGATATTACTGTAGGAGCCTATGAATCTACCCAAATATGTTAAAGGAGATTTAGTATTTCTTCTTTCTTTTTCAATCTATTTACTAACCTTTCTATTATGGCCAATGATATAATTTAATTCAATTAAATATTGTTTATTCCTTATAAAATAATCTATGTGATACATATGATACTGAGTTGGCCTAGATAAATTGGATAAGACCCTAATAATTATTAAAATTATAATATAAATTGTATCTTTCCTGGGAATGTAGGAACACATAAGGCCTGAGGGAATTACAATACAAAGGATGTGATGGACGTGCAGATAAGTATTCTATAATATAACATGCCAAGTGTTAGACAAGTGGTATTAATATTAAAAATTAGTTACACTATTCTGCATGGCAGGCTGGTGTCAGGGATTTATAATTGCAGCCACAGTGGCCTCCTGTGGCCAGGAGATATTTCTACAAAGTAATAATCTTTAGTTATGCTCAAATAAAATTTTACAGCTTATTCATACAGATTTTGCAAGTCCCTAAGCGTAAGAAGAGTGACAAGTTGTCCAGATAAACACTCTTCTTTAACATTTCTCTTCTGCAAGCATGTTTGCTTTTGGAGATTTGGAAAATCCAGTGCAGTCAAACAGGCAAAATGAACCACGCAGTTTTTGTTTTCTAGATGAACCCATTCTTCTTTGATCAAATTGACCAAAGACATGCTTCCTTCCTTTTCCCCCATTTCTTCCATGGCTTATATTTGTTAGTGTTAGTGCTTTCCTGAGGGCATGGGTTGTCTGAGCAATGCCTTTACTCATATTTTTCTGCACAGAGTTCCCACTCGGAAAATTGTTAAACACTCAATTGAGCTCAATTAATATTAAATTAGTTAAATAAGCTACTTGAGTACCGGACTCAAGTAGCATTAATTTCAGTCTCAAAATAAAATCAGTTTCAACCTCCCTAATGCAGTTTATTCACTGTTAGTATTTGAAAAGCAAGGTCTCTAACTTTGGTCAACAAATATTTTTTTCGACAATGTACTGAGCATCTGAAATATTCTAATTGTTCAAAGTGATGAATGCAAAATGGAACAAAACACACAAAAATTTGTTTTTATTTTCTTATATTCTACAGGATGGAGGCTAGAGTTAACAAGCACAAGAATGAATGTTAGGGGGTGTTAAGTGCTATGAAGAATGCCTTTCAAAGTAAAGTTGTAAATCTACGACTTCAGCACATTATGGCTTTCTTTTCCATATTTGTATTTTATCTTATTTCCTTAGGTCAACTGACTTATAACAATGTTTTATAAAAGACTGTGGAGCAGACATTTTTAGAAAAAACATTAACCTTTTAAGAAAAACATCATTTTTTAGGAAAATAAATATTATTTTAAAATCAAGTAAAATATTTAGAGAGTTTGAAAACAACAAAATTATTCAAAATTCAAGAGAGACTCAGATATTTATCTTTAAAAGTCCAACTAGGTTTGATGGAAATACCTTATTGAAAAAATGAATTCATTAGGTTATCATTTAAAAGAAACAAATTATCAAACCATACTTAATTCCATCATATTGGTAAATAAAGTGTCAGGGATCATATGTAATTATCTTCATGCACATCAATGGGGAAGCAAAAATAAAAGACAGTATAAATGTTTCTATAAAGGAATGCAACATCTGCCTACCTGCAAATTCTTTTAAGGTATAAATATAGAGGGAGATACATCAATTTACCCTGAATCAAATATGTTATTTATTTTTAAAGTTTGATGTTCACAGTGAAAAAGAAAAATCACCCTTTTCTTCATTTTAGAAATTTCCAAATAAATGATCTATGTCAAAAATACCCAGTGATATTTATAGTGTTAATCTTTGGACATTTACATTATCCAAATTCAAATTTAATTTTCTTTATAAAATGGAACATTATCTAAATAACACTTCACTGAAAATATTCAAATACTAGTTACGTAGGTATTGAAAATGACCTCACATTTTTGTTTAATTTTATTTTTACATAAGCAAGCATCTATTTTCTTCACTCAGTACACCTTATACAACAAGCACAACTGATTATTTAGCAAGTCACAACACGGTAAGTTAACGTAACATAGCCAATAAAATGATAAATGAAATTAATGATTAAGTGCCAAACAGATGATTCTGTTCTTTATGGCAGAGTGGTTTGGGCACCTTTCCCTGCATGAAAAGCATCCAGGGTGAGGGATGGTTGTATCTTTATCAAATTTGGGTCATTTCACCAGCTGGGCACAAATATTTTCTAAACATCCACGATATGTGGATATGCACATGGCAATGACCCTCCCCTAGAAGTCTCCCGTTCCCCGTGGTACATGTAAAATTTTTAGGTGGCTTATATTCTCATTCCCTTCAAAAGCAATAGATAACACCCAACTCTGGCTTTATATTTAGATTGAGAAACTATATACAATAAAACATTTAGAAGAAATTCCATGGCACAGTCCTACCATGAGTCTGGGTTTCTCACATGTAGAATGAAAATTGTTTCCACTTGGCATGGTTGTTGTAAGGAGTAAAGATACATTTGTAACACCCTGGTATGAAAAATTCATGACTTGAAATTTTATAGCTCTTGTCATTCTTACTATTGACAACAAAATTGGCCTTGGATTTTCACATTTAAATTTCAGTTTCATGAGCTTCAGTCATGCAGAAGCTCAATACACATGAAAAAAAAAATCTTAAATGTTTATCCCATTTAGGCAAGTAATCATGATCATAATCAGTGTTTATTAAAAACAAAACTGCAAAAAAAAAAAAAACCCAGTTGCAATGAGAAAACAGCTGAAGCAGCAATGAGGTAGGGAATGGAAAGCAAGGGGAATTTTATTTTCCTCTTATATGAATTTTGAAACTTAGCAACTCTGAGAAACAATTGTATTGTATTTTCCGCATATGTTTCTATTTTATTAAAGACAAAAATCATTTTTGATGAGTTTAAATACTTGCAGACAGCTCAAAGTTGGGCGATTGTGCCACAGAACAAGCAAAAAAAAAAAATGGCCCTCCTACGTATTTACATGGTATGAACTGGTTACCAGCTACCAGTCCCTGAAGAATGAATTGCAAAGAATCAGATTGTTAAGCAGTCAACTTGGTGACAGCAAATGCAAGCCTCTAAGACTCTGATTACATTTTCTGAGCAGATCCACAGCCCTGACACCCCAGCAGCTGGTGGTTTTTCTGGGCACAGAGGCTGGCGTGAATAGAAAGCGACAGCAGCGTGCTCCATGTCACATGTGAATGAACAGCTACCGTGACAGGAAGACTTTTCTTGTCAACACAATCACTGTGGCTCTGTGAGCCCCCGAGTTATGTGCTATTTTCCACTGGAGGGGAATTGGTACCTGATAAGTAAAGACTTCATTCAGTGAAATCAAAATACATGTATTAAGTGTCTACCATCGACAGGCACCACGATTACCCAGAGATTGACAGGGGAACCCCCCATCCCACCTCTCCTGGATCTTTCATTCCCTGAGAGAAATAGGGGAGAAAAGCAGTAAGCAGAAACCAAAGCCATAAATAAGATAATTTCCAAGAGTAGTATGTGGTATGAATAATGGAAACAATCAACGGGGCAAGGAGGCAGAGTCACTGGCAGGCGCTGAAGAAGACAGCGGAGCTCTGATGAGGAGCCAGCCGCTGAGACGAGACTTGAAGGATACGACGGAGCAGAATGTGAACACCAAGGAAGTGAGCATCCCAAGACTGTGGTAGGAAAGCTTGGAGGGGTTGTGGAAATCGCAGGTTTAGAGTGAGGGCCCTGCTATTTCTACCTGCATAATGTATCGTACATGTAAGAAAATGAAACGCCCACTGAAATAATTGGTTTGCAAAACAGCCTGTGGCTTCCAGTAAGTTCCAAAGGAATACTTATTACTAAGAAAGCAGAAGTAAATACTTTGCATTACATTTAGTCCTTAATTATTTATCACATCTCCTTGTTGTTCATTCCACAGTCTTTGGGAGCTGACCTTTGCTAGGATAAAATACTCACGTTCTGTCTAGCCTAAAGTTTTAACACGTACCTTGTCCCAATCCATTCCAGTACTCACAGAAAATGAAAATATGTCCCAGCAGATCTGAAGAATGTTGTCCAGTAAATTCAATTCATTTCTCTTTTATATCTAATTTCACTTAGGATCTATCCAATGACAGACTTGTTATCCTCACTGACGGACGCAAAGTCCTGTTGTACACTCTTAGAACATTTATGCTTATGACTAAATTTCAAGCTGCCCGTGATTCATCTGCTATTTCCCACATATCTATTTTAGACTTGCCAAGGGAAAAACAGTTATGAAATATGTTGTTCAAGCAGTGCTTTTTTTCAAATGACATATGCCTTATAGCTCCCCATGCTACAACAGAACATCCTGGGCAGTTTCTCTGTCAAAGTCACATCCACTGCTATCAGTAGAGTTGCCAGTGTAATATTTGGCAATGGGATATTACACTACCCAAAAGCAAGCAGTATTGTGAGCCAGAAACAAAATTCAGTAGTATTTTGAGAATTTGAGAGAGAACGGACAACTTTTCCCAACATGTGACTGTCTGATGGATGCTTCCTGGCTAGATCGAGTCTCCTGTGCGTTGACACCACATTATCAGACCACTTAGAAAAAGGCCAAGCTCTCAGATCAGACTGCAAGAATTTCCAGAGACCTCATCTTATTTTGAAGGTTCAGTTTCAGGCACAGCTCCTTTTTTTTTTTTTCTTTTTTTTTTGCAGAAATGGGTACTCAACAAATTACATTTGAGCAATTAAAGCTTTCAGGAATGAATCCTGATATGCAAATCATGAATTTGCAATTTTTTTTCTTAAGGTGGAGTGGTTTTAATTAGAAAAATACTACCTTGGGCCCAAATGAGTGCTTTTGTAATCTTTAGTTTATATCGTTCGTGTGTGTACGTGTGTGTATAACAACGTATGTCTTCAGATGGGTAGGAGACAAGCATGGCGTATTCAGGATGAAGTATGCTGAAGACTATTAACAAGTAAGACATTGCTAGTCAGGCTTTATTCTAATCATACAGGATGGAAACCTACTGAATAGACTCTTACTGACTCTACACGAAACTTGATATTTCAAAATCATGGCATAGAAACAAAATAGTCTAGAATAATCAGGCATTTACATACCTTCATTGTTGTTTCTTTATTTTTAGACAATCTAGACACTTTTAGCTATGTCTGTCATGATCTTGCAGTGTCTTTGTTCAAGGTCAGCTACCTCATGGATTAGGATAGAGGTAGAGGATCCACCCAAATCAGTACAAACACACACATAATTTAGGGCTTTGGACTAGTTGGGTTACCATACATCTCCCTGGAATGTCCAGGTTTATGCCTCTTGTGGAATTAATAGGACCAATGCTAAGATATGAGTATCATACAGATGATGTAATTGTCAACCTCAGTTCAGGCAGGTGAGACTTGATCTCTTAGCATTTATGGTAAGATCATAGTAAATGTTTTCTGAGGGATGGTTCACACTGATGTATTATTATTGAAGTAGGAATGATTGTGTCTATGTCTTGGTGCATATATGTGATTATACTTAACCACACAAACCCAGAAATAGAAAAACTGAGTCAGTAATTATCAGTGTTTTTAAGTCTCTTGATAATTATTTTCTTTAGGAAAAAAATTACACTAATTTTAATATATGTTAAATAATAGTGTTCTTTTGCATTTTTGATCACATTAAGTATTATCTTATTCATACTTGCTTATTTGGAGTAAATATTTTTATTACATTTAAATTATGCACTTTTTACTAATGAAAATGAATATTGATAACTTTTATTCATTTAATGCCATTTATAGTTTTCTTGTATAAATTGTAAGCTCATGTCCATTCTTTTTACCGGGTTGTTGGTTAAAAAATATGTTTACAAGGCCGGGCACGGTGGCTCACACCTGTAATCCCAGCACTTTGGGAGGCCGAGTTGGGTGGATCACAAGGTCAGGAGTTCAAGACCAGCCTGGCCAGATGGTGAAACCCCATCTCTACTAAAAAAAAAAATTAAAAAATAGCTGGGTATGGTGGCAGGTGCCTGTAATCCCAGGTATTCGGGAGGCTGAGGCAGAGAATTGCTTGAACCCAGGAGGTGGAGATTACAGTGAGCCAAGATCATGCCACTGCACTCCAGCCTGGGCAACAGAGCAAGACTCCATCTCAAAAATGAAGAAAAAAAAAGTTTATAAAACTTCTTAAGAATGAATTCTTTTACTGGTCATTTTTAATAAAAATATTTTATGTTAATTTCTCATTTGCTTATGATATTATTGAACCATAGACGTTTTAATATTTGTATGTGGTCAAACAGCTTTTTTCTTCTCCTTTTTTAAATCAGGAAAGATGACACATTTGAGTTTTATGCATGTGCACGTTAAAAGGATGATGGACTTTGCAATCAAATCTGGAAAGCTGCACCCAAAAAAAGTGCTGATACAACAAAAGAACAAATTATATTAATGAGATAGATATAAGACTGGATGAGATATTGAGAAAAACTATCTTGAGAGGAAAGAGGAAATAAGATGAAAATTGACATAAACCTAAATGAGTGAGGAAGCAAAGGGGAAAAGAGACAATTTAGAAAAACAAAAAGGGGCATTTGATTCAGGAAAAAGAGATAAGGTCCAGCACAAAGTGAAAGTAAAATTCCTGGGAGGAGGGCATTCAAGAAGAAAGCCATTAGGAGCGTTAGATAATGCAGAGCTGTCAAGAAAAACAAAGATTGAAAAAAAGGCACTTGAATTTATCTGCTATTTGTAAAACCCTCATCTGCCACTCAAACTATCCAGTACTTCCTTGATAAGCCCTAGTTAATGACTCCAGGTATCACCTACAACACAACAGAGATATGGGGAAAATCCCATTAAATAGAGCTAAGAAACTGACATTTATCATTCCATTCACCACAATGAAGAATTTGCTAATATACAATGTCCTGGCATTGGGAAGTTTGTGGAAATATGAACACTGGCTATGAAAGTTCAAAATGTGACATTGATTCAAAAAGTTGTCATCACATGGTATAGATACCTACTTTTAAAAATGCAGTTTCAAGAAGCATTGTCCCAGCATAACGACATCTCCTTTAACAGCCTCCATTGTAAAGTACAGTTTCTGTTTGGGAAAGCACTGTGGCTTTCCACCCTGGGGAAGAGACTCAATCTGTGCTTTCCATGCCAGTCCGCTGAGTTATGCATGTACATGTGCGCCTCCACCATGCAAAACCCGTCTTACGAAAGCATACAAAAGTCTGTCTCAAGCCACAAGCCACTGTCTCATTTTTTATCTATGTCTAAACATCAAGCTTCTGAAAAACAACTGGCTGCCATCACCATTCTTCATGTCCTTGCCCTGCTACATGCCTTTCCAATCTGACTTATGCCTCTGACCCCGACCCAGACAATTCTGTATGAGTTTCTCAGGTGTCTATTCACTGAATTCTGTGAACTTATTTTCACATATCTAACATTATCTTCTGCATTTGGCCACCAAACTCTTTTTTTTTTTTTTGAGATAAGATATTGAACTCCTAACTTGAGTGATCCCCCTGCCTCAGCTTTCTGAGTAGCTAGAACTACAGGTGATAGTCACCATGTCTGGATAATTTTTATTTTAGTTTTATTGAGACAGGGTCTTGCTATGTTGTCCAGGCTGTTCTCAAACTCCTGGTCTCAAGCAATCCTCCCAACTCAGCCTCCCAAAGTACTGGGATTGCAGTCAGGAGCCACTGTGCCTGGCCTCTGGGCAAACCATTTCTCTCCTTGGCTACTAGGATGTGGTAATTTTCTTGCCCTTCATGATTGTTCCTTCTCTCTACCCTTTAACACATCCTTTCCCATTTCCACCTCTTAATACTCCATTACCAGTATTTTCTAAGGTTCCACATTTAAACTCCATTCTCTGTCTCTGTATTTCTCTCTGCCTCTGGCTCTGTCTCTTATCTTCATACTTTTCACCCCACCCTGCTGGCAATCTCATCTACCCCAGGAATTTAACTCTATCCTGTCTTTGTTATGTTTAAAGAAGAGCCACAAGGAGAGGGCCAGATTTTTTTTTTTTTTTTTTAGGATTTTCCTTAAGGGACATCTGCCTTTTTTTTTTTTTTAAGACTGAGTCTTGCTCTGTCGCCCAGGCTGGAGTGCAGTGGCACAATCTCGGCTCACTGCAAGCTCTGCCTCCTGGGTTCACACCATTCTCCTGCCTCAGCCTCCAGAGTAGCTGGGACTACAGGCGCCCGCCACCATACCCGGCTAATTTTTTTTTGTATTTTTTTTTAGTAGAGACAGGGTTTCACCATGGTCTCGATCTTCTGACCTCGTGATCCACCCACCTCGGCCTCCCAAAGTGCTGGGATTACAGGCGTGAGACACCGTGCCCGGCCGACATCTGCTTTTTGATTAGCCACTCTAAATCCAGTAGCTTCTTTGCTATATTGGTATTTCTTAAATTTGTTTTTATCTACTTCTCAGTGATAAAGACAACCCAAGGAAGAAACCTCCCTTGTGAGCTCATGAGATGTCTGAGAGCCAAGTGGCTGTCAAAGACCCCTTCCTCCTGCTGGAAACAAAATAATGACCAGGAGGTTGCTGTCAGAGAAAAGAAAAAAAAGAGTTAAACATTTTTTCAGTGAAATTTTGATCAAGCCATGGTGGTTGGATGAATCGCATTTCTCTCTTTGATGGTGATTTTTATCTGGATAATCAGGACTAGTTATCAGCATCAGATAATTCTTTCTGCCAGACAGTGCAAGAATGACACTGACAACCTCACTCTCCAGTCTCCTAATGCAGAGTTTCCTACAGCCACCTGGTAGGTGTCCATCATTATAACACTTCCCTGTGCTAGGTCTATCACCAACACCACCGCCTTATGTCACTTTAGTTACATTTGGATTCGAGATGCCCTTCTGTTATAAGAGACCTCCGACTTTCCACTGAGATGCAGAAAACGACCTAGTTCTATCACCAGAACACTGAGTGATCACTTTTACAACGGGTTATTTTTGGGAACTATTCTGCAAGTAGCTCACATCATTCATCTTGTGTTGATTTTTATTAGTCTGAAGTTACGTATTTTCTCTTTACCTCAAATGCTGCTGCATATTTATTTCTCACAGGCTCTATGTAGAATACTCTAGTTTTTTTCCTGACTTTTTAGTTCAAGATTTAATAAAAAAAAAACAAAAACGTGTAGAACATTTCTGTTACATTTTCATAAGTAACAACTTAAACTAAGACACATTCATGGTCAAGTTCATCACCACTCCCTGTCCTCTCCACCCCTTCCTTCCCAGGCCCTTAGCAATATAGATTTGCCTACTTTATTTCCTATTGGATATTGATATCAATATCCTGGCCGGGCGCGGTGGTTCACGCCTGTAATCCCAGCACTTTGGGAGGCCGAGGCGGGCAGATCACGAGGTCAGGAAATCGAGACCATTCTGGCTAACACAGTGAAATCCCGTCTCTACTAAAAAATACAAAAAATTAGCCAGGCGTGGTGGTGGGCGCCTGTAGTCCCAGCTACTCGGGAGGCTGAGGCAGGAGAATGGCGTGAACCCGGGAGGTGGAACTTGCAGTGAGCCGAGATTGCGCCACTGCACTCCAGCCTGGGCGTCAGAGCGAGACTCCGTCTCAAAAAAAAAAAAAAAAAAAAAAAATCCTACATGCTCTGAAGTATCACCATTGTCTTTGATTTCTCACTAACTCAATATCCATTCTCCTGGGTGTATCTACCTTGGAAGTATTTCTAATCCCAGGACATTTATCATGGTTCAAATCTCCAATACTTGCAATAACCTCTTCATTGTGCTCCAGTTTCTAATTATCTCTAATAAATCTATCCAATGCACTAGAGCTATCAGAATCATCCTAAAATACAGTCCTATTTATATTACCTTCCCACACTAAAGCCTTTACTGGCTCCTCTTGGACTTACTAAAACCTAAGCCACATAAAGAGAATAATTAAAACTCAGGCTCAATCACACTAAGCTGGGTTTTTATCCTAACAATGCCACCTGTTAAACATGTGACTGGACTGGATTTCCTCCTCTGTAAAACTGGTGTAATAGTGTTACTTATCCCTTGGTGGTTGTGATGATTACACTGGAAAAACAAATATGAGACTTTAGGGTACACATAGCATATTAAGCTATCATTATTTTATATATATATTCTTTAGCAGAATATTGAGGGTAATTTGTCTCCAAGCTCTCAATTGATGTTTTCACCAAACTGACCCCCACATAGGTTCTCAGCAATCATTTCACTTTCCTGTTTCCATTTTTCTCTTGTTATTCCATTTTTAGAATTTAAACTCTAGATGTCTACTTACCTAATTCTACTTGTTATTTTAAATCCAGATTGATTGCCATTATCTTCAAGAACACAACTTCTCTTTTCATCACCCTCAGACAGGATAAAAATGATATCCATAATGAGAACTAATAATAATTGAACAACTACAACCTGCCACACTATGTCTGAAGAGCTTTATATATATTGCAACATAGCCTCCTTCCCCTGGATCCTCTCTGCATTGTGATAGCTCAAACTCCTCTTATGCACTATGGGCAGAATCACAGTATAAATCACTGTTCTGATTATGTCATCTCCCTGCCCAAAAATCTTCTCCTGGATTCTAATTACACCCAAAAGGATAATTCTGGAATTGCCCAGGTGCTAATTTGATCCACTGCTCCTCACTGCTCCGATCTTCTTTTCACCCCTTGGACACAGTGCTTGTCGCAGTTGGAGCCATGCACCTTCCTGCACATCCTCCTTGCTTTCCTGTTGCTATGCCTCTGCTCTTGCCACTTCTCCTACCTAGACACCCTCCCTATTTCTTCACTCTCTCTGTCATTAGGGCTATGTCAAGTCCTACCACCCTCCTGAAGCTGTCTTTAATAGCTCTAATCCCAAATGATGTCATGAAATATGCAAGCACTGCTGGCATCACTTATTTGGAACCTAACAATGCAGGGAGTTTTCGATGTGTTCTTTGTATTTGTTGCTTGCTTCTACAAATAACTCAAAAGCTTCTCAAGGACAAGGAACATGTTTTATGCTTCCTTGTATAATGAGGAAACTATTTTAAGTATGACAAAATGACACATCATCATTTCATCCTTAGGTTGCCTTTCCTGGCTGCCTTCTCTCTCCTTGGCTAAGCAAAGAGGCAGAAGATTATATGAAAAGAGAACACAGACCTTGACCAGAAGAATGAGACCCAGATCAGCTTTCAACCTCAAAGAGGACTGCCTTGAATTCTGCAGCCAATAATAGTCTTGAAAGCCCAGCTTTGATGAGATGAAACTACCCATAAGTCTCAAGTTCTTTAGCTCCCCTTTTACATATCAAGAGGCAGGTTTTGCTAACTTAATCACAGACTTTAAGAAGGAAAAATTTCAACCAGAGTTGGGAAGGAGATGGAAAGCCTACACCTTGAGATCCTTGGTGGTTGGGAATGACAAACTGATCAAGAAGGAGCAGGATTGGGACACCAAGATCCTGCCCTCCCCTCTCCAGCTCACATCTTAGAGGGAAAGCTAAAGGTGTGGTGCAGTTACTATGGCTTTTTAACATAATGTGTGCGTTAGAGGAACTTGACTCTGTAGCCTGGGCAGGCTCTGCTGCACACCGTCACCCAGGACTACTGTAAACGAGAGTTGAAATCATCAGAAGGCTCCCTCACTCACTCATTCACAGGCTTGGCACCCAGGCTGGGAAGACACTGGCATCTCTGCCATCTGGGGATGGGGCAGGGGAGACTCCTCAGGAATGTCTCTAACTCTCTGTGACCTCTTCCCTTTGTCCCTCGAGCAGATAAATCAAGGTAGCTGGACTTCTCACATGGTGGCTCACTACTTAGAGACCAAATGAGAGACAGGGACTATATGGAAACAGTTTCCTCTTGGCCTGGCTAGCCTGAAGATTAATGCATGGCTTCACCAACTCATTAGAAACAAGTCATTGGAGATAGGTCATATTCAGTGGGAGGAAGTGTAACAGCATGGTTTGTGAAGGAGTGTCAGAGAATCTGCAGATCTCCCTTAAAACCACCACGACATGTTATGTAGTTTGAATGAAAATGTGAAAATAGAGAAACACCCTTGGACCACTGCCCATGTGGAAACCTTGCAGAAGACACCATCCCAGGTGTCCGATGCGGATGAAGATGAAGCAGCATCTGTATAAAAATGACAGGGCAGCCTGGCTGGGCAGAGAAAAAGCGCTACTGAACCCTATGCAGTTCCACGTAGGACACAAAGGATTCTGAAGTTTCCACAGCCTTGCATTGATACAGCAAGTAGCCCAAGAGAGAGAATTGACTCAATGTGTATGTCCAAAATTGCAATAAATATCAGGGAGGATTTTTATGTGTGGATAATTTTGTATAAGTTTTGAAACCAAAATGGATATAACAGAGTGTAGATTGTTATGATGGGGAGAAAGGAGGAAGAGAGGGAAATATGGAGCATCTCTTAGGTCGGTCTGATGGGAAGAATGGTAATTATGTAAAGAAGGAGGCTTGAGAAAGTGAGGACACTCCCCTCTCCAAAACAGATCTATGAAAAGAGGACAAGTGAGCAGAGGGAATGTCACCAAATGTATGAGACCCAAGGACAAACAGCTAGAAAGTTAGTGTTTATGATCAGAAAGAAAAAAAGAGAGAGAGAGAACAGGATGCCCTGGTGTGGGAACTTGTACACTAATAGAGGTTTGAGCGAAAATCCAAGAGTTGGGGCTAGACTATCTGACCAGTGTCCTATAAATTATTATTTGTGAGATCAATGCTATGATAAGGAGCCTAATGACAGGAAGAACTGGAGAGTTGAAGGAAAGTGGAAATTATTCTCCAAAATACTGTTTCTATTGCTTGGGTTCTAGGTAGAAGCCATATAGACTATTTTTTTTAAATGTACAGATGTAATAGGAAGAACAGCAGACATGCTAAATTGCAAATGTCAACGCCTTTATATATGCGAATAATGTGATTTTCTATCTTACAGAATCCTCAAGTTTAACTCCTTTTACATATTTTCAGGTAAAATTATATAATAAATAATATAATAAACATCAAGCTGCCTTATAGATTTACATGGTGTCATCTAAGGGGTTGTCTCCTGATAATAGTTTTATTAACTTCTTATTGGTCAATAGCCTCTCTCCAACCAGCAGTTAAAGTCTTTGAGAGTAGGGGATTTTGACTTGTTTGTATTCCCCACGATGACCAGAAGACTGTCTTACAAATATACATAATAATATTCTGTTGATTTTCTTTAAAGTAGTAGCATCAGGCAGAATTTAGTACCTGTCAGTTTTTGGAAAAATTGAAAGAATGTCTGTGCATAATGAAGGTCACCCCCCAGTACACATTCAGGGCAGGGAAAGAAGAGAGGGTCGAACTCTGCAAATGTTTAATTTGTGTCAGGATCGGGTAGCCTCTATCAATGTAATTTAATGCAAAATCAGATTGGTGTCTGAACACTGAATAATTCATAGATAGCTTACATAAATATGTTTCTATTTGTGCTACCTCATGCACATTTAGGCTAACTTGAGTTTTGGCCCTTAACCCTGAAAAAGACCCCCCTCAAATTAAGCATAAATGTGTTATTTTAAAATAGACTTGTTATTCCTTAGGAAAAGATTTGTCATGTCATCTTGCAATCACACATTTAGCTAGTTTGCATAACATCTATGGTTAAATGTGGTCAACGATATCACTGCTTTATAGTCATCTTACATAAGTTTCACATAAAAAATTAGAGTCAATTCATTGTTGACATGGGAAGAAAAAAGTGATGTTTATTACAAAAAGTTAGCCTCGCAATGTTTAAAAATATTTCCTGTCTACATTCTCCCCATTTTAATGTCTTAATTGAGAAATAATTCATATACCATAAAATACACCCATTTAACAACATACAATTCCATGTTCTTTAGTGTACTCAGCATTGCTCAACCTTCATCACAGTCGGAGTCTGAAACATTTTCATTACTCCAAAATGAAACCCTGTACCTAGTGGCTGTCTCTCCCCATTTTTCCTAACCCCCAGCCCTACACAGCCTTGTAGCTCCTCCACCCAGTCTCCAGAGACTGCCTATCTTGGACATTTCGGATCACTGGACTCATACCCTATACAGTCTCTCTTTTGTTTTGCATCCTGTTCTCAGCATAATGTTTTCACAGTTCACCTAAATTGTAGGATGAATCCATTTTTCATTTAATTTATTGCAGAAAAAAATATACCATTGTATGGATATACCACATTTTTTTTATTCATTCATCAGTTGTTGGATTTGGAAAGATTCCACTTTTTGGCTACATCTTGCAGCATTTTAAAGAGATGCACTGTTAAAAATGTATAAAACCCACTCTTGCTTTAACACTTTGGAAGTGTGAACATCTCTCTTCTCTACTCTCCAACAGGGCAGCTTTCCCAGCTTGTTGGTGGGGCAGCCATTCAAGCCCCTCTGGTGTTTACTGTCTAAGGAAGGACTTCCATTTCTTCCCTAAAACATGTTTTTTCTCCATTCACTGGCTAGATTCATTTTCCAATTCAGTCTTCATAATGCAATGGAATAAAAATACACATATTGTAAAATTTAACACAAAGAGCACTGATGTGGAAGTTAAAAATATCTGTTTCTCTCTTCAATTTTATCATTGCCTTTTGGGGAAAACAAGTACAGTCTGAAATTTCTCTGTTCTCAGAGTTACATCATAGCAGAGTGACCACCTAATAATACTCTGCACTAAGCTTTAGGAAACTTGATGAGGAGGAACTCCTACAACACAAACTTGCACCAAACCAACCAAATGAAAAACCAAAACCAACACCAAAAGCCAAATAATAAGAACCCAATAAAACTCACTACTATGTATTTTGTTTGTTTGTTTGCTTTGCTTTTTAAATTTCTTGATTGCTAGCATTTAATTTAACTAGAGATGGAAATTTTAACACACACACACACAGACACACATCATTTAATTCAGTTAAAGTACGTTGTTCTATGTTGTTTTTTTTCTTTTCTCCTTTTTTTTTCTTTCATCAGAGCTGGCACCCAGAGACTTTGTCCCTGAGCAATATATAAATTGAGCTCTAATTATTTCTATTTTTGTGGACCTGGGTATCTCTGGTAGGAATGTGGTGAATACGGGGAAACAGGCAGAGTGGCTTGCAAAAAAATAAAACACACTTTAAAAAGCTGAATGGGCTAGATTTATGAAGAGCTGCTCGAGAGAGGTATATATTGTCCTTTTTACACCCAGTATGCAAAATATAGGGGAGATGGCCAGCACCTGTTATGCTGAAGTTCTGCTGCACTTAAAGGAATCAGATCTCACATGCGGATGCGAGTGTCTGATGGCCTGAGCAAGTGGCACACAGGAAAATAAAAGAGAGGCATTCTGAAACGCGAAGAAGAGGGGCTAAGTCATGCCCCTAAAGACAGCCAGGGCTCAATTTCATGCAGTTTGGGTATTGCACTTATTAAGACCCCATCCCATATTCACAGGTGTGAAATGAAGCCTGTGTGTAGTCATTGCGAGAGCCTGTACTAGCAGCATCCAAACGCTTCGGTCATGTTCACGCCCCTATCAGAAAAGAAGGCTCAAGCAACCACTCACAAAATGCATTTACAAAGTATGAATGAAATACATCTACTACTGTAGTGATATATTTATATATGACAGATTACACACAAAATGGAAATCGTAAAAATGATGAGGTGGAAAAAAATAGTGAGGGAAGTCCTAATACTTTCCCCAACTCCAATATATCATTCTAAACAATCTTTGGCATGAACCTCCCCACCTAGGAGACTATGGACGCGGGGACTTGGAGGAATGAGGTTAATTCAACATTTATAACAGGAACTCTGCTAGGGTTTCCGATAAAAATAAATAACATAATTTCGAAAAATAAGTAAGTATCTTTAAATACTTAAATTCTCTTTGTAGAGATAAAAGATACCGACAAATCATTATAATTTAGGGATAAGTACAACATTCAAGTTATGTACTGGATACTGACACAGTGATGATCGTGTCTGACAATCAGAAATGCTTCATGAAAAATAAGATGTCATAGAAAAAAAACAAAGTAGAGAGATATTCTCACTGGTGAAGCAAGCCCCGGCAAGAATGAGTATTAAGCATAGAAATATCTCACCTCTTGGTATGATTCTCTGTGCTCCCAAACATAGTACTGTACAGTTAAGTGTGCATAGATAGATATGAGTTAGAAAGACCATGATTATTATAAGTAAATTAAAAACAATCTCAGAACTTGGATTGATTGATTCATGTATTCATTTTTACAGACACTCATTGCTTTTTATCTCTACTTATTCATTCAGTCAAAAATATTTTGCCAATACTGATTATGTTGCAGGCATTTCTCCAGACCTAGAAAACAAGAGGGGAATACGGTCTCATAACCCCTGTCCTCATGGGACTTATATTTTATGGGAAAAGACATCATGAATAGAAAGATGGATACACATATTATATAGCAGGTACTGATAAATTCTGTGAATAAATGTAAATATAAGAAATTTGACAGTGACAAAGGTGTGATTTTTAGCTAGGGTGTAGAGAGAAGGGTTCCCTGAAGATATTTTAGCATTTGGCTACAGAAAATAAGGGAGCAGGACCCGTGAAAATTTGTTCATAAAACAAATTACAGTACAGTTTTGGGCAACTTAAGTTTGAGGTGCCCTTTAGCCACCCACGTGGCAATGTCCAGTGTGCTGTCAGATATACAATGCTGGGGTTTAGGAGAGAGGCTAGACCTGGAAAGCGCTGTGGACTTCATTGCTGATGGTCCGGTCTCTATAGCCAGGGACAAGTTGTGTTAACCTGGGGAGAGGAGTAGAGATGGACTCTAAGCCCTGGGGTTCTGCCGCACCCACAGGTCGGAAGAGGAAATACACTGGGGAGAGACACTGAGGAGGTGCAGCCATTGAGCAAGGAAAAATGCCAGGCCAGTGTCATGTCACAAAAAAATAAATAAATAAAAGAAAAGAAAGAAGTAACAGTCTCAGGAAAGAGAAATAGCAACCCTGTCAAGTGCTGCTGAGAAATAGAAAACAATGAAATATAAGAACTGACTTTTACTGATCATGAAAAGATCTGGAAATTTAGTTCTCATATAATAATCTCAGAGGCAGTTCTTTTCAATATATGATAGATTAGAACAAAAAAGTTACAAAAGTTGTTAGTGATTGGGATGATGAGAAAGCCTAGGCTGGTGGGTCCCAATGTACCAAGGGCTTAAAATTCGACTTAATTTACCCACGTATTAATATAGAATCGCACATCACCAAGAAATTAAAAACTAAGTCACATACAATCATGACTTTTATTTGTATTGCACTTTCCCTCTGAACTTTTTTTTTCTTTTTTTTTTTTTTTGAGAGGGAGTCTTGCTCTGTCACCCAGGCTGGAGTGCGGTGGCACGATCTTGGCTCACTGCAAACTCCGTCTCCCAGGTTCATGCCATTCTCCTGCCTCAGCCTCCCAAGTAGCTGGGACTACAGGTGCCTGCCACCACGCCCGGCTAATTTTTTGTATATTTAGTACAGACGGGGTTTCACCGTGTTAGCCAGGATGGTCTTGATCTCCTGACCTCGTGAACCGCCCGCCTCGGCCTCCCAGATTTTCTCTGAACTTCTGCATAGATCACCCATAGAGGCTCCTCTGGTCTAGGCTGCAGGAGGATGGGTAAAGATAGAGGTTCCAAAGGTTTTAGCAAAAAGACTCTGGGCACGGTCTCTGAAATGACGATTAGAACAAGGTATCAGGGAAGAAAGAGATGCTGTAGCGTGGGTAACAGAAAGCACCGCCTTTACCCTTTTCTTCCATTTTCACTCTTATTCTTCCTTCTATTGACTGCCCTTTACTATCCCTGTTGTGCATTAGGAAACCCAGCCCATAGGGTGAGGAAAATGGTTTTGGTTTTAAACAAGTTCGTCAGATGAAATTTGTTGGCAATAATAGGGATTTGTTTTCCTCCCTCTCTCCATTTTTCTCCTCACAGCCTTGTGCAATTGTGTGAGGTGGGAGGTGGGGAAATGGGGTCAGCATAGGGTTATCTTAGAAGGGTGGGGAAGGAACACAGAAAATTACCAAAATAAAGTGACTGCTTTCTTTTCTCTATAAGTTTCTCAAGTCTGCATTAAATTATGGCTGAGCATTGGCTCTTTACAAGTTTCTGGAAAATGACGATGAGTTTTGGTGAACATATAGCAGTTTAATCATGTAATCATGCGTAGCACTGATTTAGTTTTAAATTCTTGGGAAACCTCAGTCAAGTACACGAAGGCTTAATTTCACTCAGAATCAAACATAAAGGTGACATTTCAAATAACCCTCTCCTATCTATCTCACCATCTTTTTCCTTCTACCCTAACAGTATGACACAATATGCAAAGTGCCACACAAACACACTGCAATTAACTGTGAAAAATGAAAATAATTCTGTTTTTCTACCTGAAGCCCAGCTTTCCCAGGGAGACAGGCTGCAGTTGCTTAGAGAACACAGCACTGTTTTGATTCTGGAGTCCAGTTCACATGCTCCACCTAAAGTTCAAGGATTGTGTATTTTTTCAACACTGGATAAACTTTAAGGGGGAACCCGAGGAACAGCAATTACTTTGGAATTGATTCTGCCATTTAAGTGGCTTCTCACTTTGAGGAAACAATTAAAGTTTTCTCTTCTGGCCCTCAGATCCTGGGATAATTGGATATCAAAATTCCTCGGAATGAACTTAAGAGACGAAGCTGAAAGAGACACGACTATCTGTCTCATACAAGCATCTTGTCTTTGTCACTCCACAGTGCTCCTGCAGGGGGCTCCAAATCACAAGATACCATGTGAGTGTCAGAGGCCTACTGGCTTTGATAGCTGCACACACCTTTTTTTTTTTTTTTTTTTTGCTTTTTTTTTGCAATTTAATACAATGTTTCCTAAGGCAATATAGGCTTGCTGTTTGCAAATCCATAAGCACCCATACCATGCTGAAGGCATGCAAAGCAAATTGGGAAGCAAAGAAGAATATGTCCCACTTTAAGGGATGCACAAACAGCAGTAGTTTGACAGATACTGTTGAGCACAAAGGCCAGCTGGAGTCAGAAGTTATGGGATGTTAGATCCATACCCTATGATTTTGAACATATCTGACTATAGAATCCATTCTTTGTTGCTGTTTCTTTCTAGAATTCATGGATAACTTATATCTAAAGCCAGAAAACATTCACAGTAAGAAATAAGTTAGTGCATGCATTATCTAAACAGAGATTGGTGTTACAAATATACGCATAGATAGGAAGTATCTATCCACAGGAATATTTCTTTAGCAAATGAAATTATGACATTTGAATGACTGAATACAATGGAATTAGTTAATCTCAATCTTCTAAGATTTGGGTTAGATCCTAGTAGAATACAGTTACTTTGGTTAGCTATTTACCTAAGGCTTAGAGTAAAAGGACAATAATGAAAATTTTATTATTATTTCCATCACAACGTTCTACTTAATGTCATCCACTGAGTATCTCTTTATGCCAGTGCTTGTTCTATAGCACTCTGTTTCTTTGACGGAGTCTCACCCTGTTGCCCTGGCTGGAGTGCAATGGTGCAATCTTGGCTCACGGCAACCTCTGTCTCTTGGGCTCAAGTGATTCTCTTGCCTCGGCCTCCCGAGTAGGTGGGATTACAAACATACACCACCATGGTCAACTAATTTTTGTATTTTTGGTAGAGACAGGGTTTCACCATGTTGGCCAGTCTGGTCTTGAACTCCTGACCTCAGGTGATCTGCCCGCCTTGGCCTCCCAAAGTGCTGGAATTACAGGCATGAGTCACTGCTCTCAGCCGCTCTGATTCTTCCTCCGTGATATGCCACATTGTCTGGCATGTCCAGATAGACTAAACTAGGTTTCTAGAAATACATAGTCAAAGCAAACATACTGTAAAATGTAGATGCATAATTATTACTAAAATATTCTGATGAATTAAAGTGGGGTTATTTCACTTCTAATCCTTCTTCGGCTCTTTCTCTGTCTGTGTAGGCAATATTCAAGAAGGATCCATCTACCTTAAGAATATAGTCTCAGATTCCCTCACTAGAGGAAAACAAAGAATTTGAAGAAATCAAGGATGCTCTTATGCCACAATCAAAATAAACTAATCTAAAATTGGTTAAGGAAACAGCCTAAAGAATGAAAAAGATGCATCTCTCAGCTGGAAAGATGATCAGGGATTTCTAGTCTTACTAACACCATATGAAAGAAATAAATTGGCATCGTGTCCTTTCCAAAGTGAGAGCACCAAAGAAAGTTTTTGATTTCATAGCATTATACATGAAAAACTGGACAGGGCTCTGGCCTTTGTTATAGTCCCAGTGACTCCCCACATTGCTAATTCCTGAGCAAGATTTCAACCTCATATCCATGACCTATCAGCAATATGTAGCAAAGATGCTTTCTCCTTTCTCCTTGCTATACTTTCTTGATTTGGTTCTAGGACACTCTCTTCTTCTGGTTTTCCTTCTCCTTCACTGATTTTCCTTCTTAGGTACCCTTTTGTGGATTCTACTCCTTTGCCCCAATCTTTTAAAACCGAGGGTCAAGGATTCAGTTTTGGGTTCTTTCCTCTACCTTACCCACTCCCTTGGTGAGCCAATCTTCCCATGGACTTATATCATCAATATGTCTGGATTTTCTTTATATACATCTTAAGCCTCAGCCCTTCTCCTAAAATCCAGGCTCATATATCCACTGAAAACATGATATATCACCTTCGATGTCTAATAGATATTCCAAGTACAATATATGCACACGCAGCCCCTGCATGTTTCAATAAATCTGCTCTACATCGGCTTTCTCAACTTTGTTAATGTCAAATTCTTGCTTTCATTTGCTCAAGCCAAAGTCCTTGGAGGTTTCTTTTACTACCCTCACTCTCTTATATTTTGTATCCAACGAAACTGTTAGAAAATCCTGACAACATTGTTGCTCTACCTATTAAAAAGTAGAAATTCCTTTTGGCTCTGTCTTTGAAATATATCCGGAGTCCAATAATTTGTTGTTACACTCACAAGTATCATGCTGTTTCAAGCCAGTATTATCTCCTGCTTAGATTACTGCAAAAGCCTTCTAGAAGCTCTGTTCCTCTGCTTTCTTTTGTCTATTCTTAAAATAATAGTCAAAACAATCCTTTCAAATATTGCATTATGTCACATCACTGCCTCCGACTCTATTCAAAAGTCAAACTCTTTACAGGGAGCTATTTTGTTGAGCTGTGTCCCCACCCAAATCTCATCTTGAATTCCCACATGTTGTGGGAGGGACCCAGTGAGAGGTAATTGAATCATGGTGGCAAAGTCTTTCTGGTGCTTTTCTCATGGTAGTGAATAAGTCTCATGAGATCTGGTGGTTTTAAAAACAGGAGCTCCCTTGCACAATCTCTATCTCTTTTCCTGCTGCCATCCATGTAAGACATGACTTGCTCCTCCTTGTCTTCCACCATGAGACTTTCCCAGCCATGTAGAACTGTAAGTCCAATTAAACCTCTCTTGTAAATTATCCAGTCTCAGGTATGTCTTTACCAGCAGTGTGAAAAGGGACTAATACACTATTAGAATGCCCATAACCTGGCTCTGGCCTTGCTGGCTACTCCAGTCCTTACCCATTTCTCCTACTCTACAGTACTCTTGCAAGCCGTGGAGCACTACAGGAAAATTCCCACCCTAGGGCTTCAGCATCCTCTGTTTCTCTGAATGAACCCTAGGGCTTCAGCATCCTCTGTTTCTCTGAATGAACCTAGGGCTTCAGCATCCTCTGTTTCTCTGAATGAACCCTAGGGCTTCAGCATCCTCTGTTTCTCTGAATGAACCTAGGGCTTCAGCATCCTCTGTTTCTCTGAATGAACCTAGGGCTTCAGCATCCTCTGTTTCTCTGAATGAACCCTAGGGCTTCAGCATCCTCTGTTTCTCTGAATGAACCTGGGGCTTCAGCATCCTCTGTTTCTCTGAATGAAATGCTCACTCCTCCGGTGTCCAGTTGGTCAATTCCTTCCAGTTTCTACAACTTCATAAGGCCTACTTTCCCCACGATTTTGAAAATTGCAACCCTCTCCCCAAATCCTCTTTACTCTACATTTGATTTTTTTCAAAGCATTGATCAGCCTTTGAATTACTCTGTGATTTACTCAATAATTATAATTATTACTATGATGACTAAGAATGTAAGATCCTCACGGGATGGCATCTCCATTTTGTTTTGGAATATGCACCCCCCCAATACCTGGAAGAGTATGAATTACATAGTGTGAAATGCAAAAGAACTACTAAACTGTCAAGTATGCTGTGAATCAAATACCAAAATTTTAGAAAATTAAAATGGCATAAGGAGGAAATTCAAAGGAATGTCAAGCCAAGTATTTATATGAGAGTCCTCTCAATGAGGAGAGAGCCCTTTCTCCCTCCTTTTTTATCTCCCCTGATTAATACTCACTTCCAAAGGACTATGTTAACATGGGTCTAAAAACCATAGCACAGACAGAATAAGCAGAACAACTCAAAACTACCATGAAGCATCCATAATTCTGGGCTTATTTTATTTGTTTCTCTCAGCCTCCTACTTTTAGAGAGAGAAACTTCAGTCGTCCTTTCTCAAAAACACTTTAGTTCCAGAGTAAAAATAAACAAATAAAAACTATTTCATAATATTGTGATGGCTAACTTTGAGTGTCAACTTGATTGGATTGGGGGATGCAAAGTATTGTTCCTGGGTATGTCTGTGAGGGTGTTGCCAAAGGAGATTGACATTTGAGTCAGTGAACTGGGAGACTCAGACCCAGCCTCAATCTGGGTGTGCACCATCTAATCAGCTGCCAGTGCAGCTAGGATAAAAACAGGGAGATGAATGTGGAAGGCTAGAGTACCTGCATCTTCTGGCCTCCATCTTTCTCCAGTGCTGGATGCCTCCTGCCCTCCAACATCGGAGTCCAAATTCTTCAGCTTTTAGACTTACACCAGCGGTTTGCCAGGGGCTCTTGGGCCTTCAGCCACAAACTGAAGACTGCACTGTTGGCTTCCCTACTTTCAAGGTTTTCGGGCTTGGACTGGCTTCCTGGCTCTTCAGCTTGCAGGTGGCCTATTGTGGGGCTTTACCTTGTGATCATGTGAGTCAATTTTCCAATAAACTCCCCTTCATATATACATCTATCCTATTAGTTGTGTCCATCTAGAAAATCTTGACAAATACAAATATCAAGAGCGATTTGACTTCATTATATTTTTCCTTGTTCTCATTATGTTGGCCTCATTTTTCTAACTCAAAAGAGTAAAAAGATGAAAACACAACTAATTTTTTCTTCTCTTTGTTTCCTATGGTTTCATGTCACTATCAAGAGATTTCCTTTTCAATCCTTGACTTTTATGTGGCAGAAATATTTGAATTATTTTTCAGAATTTCTAAATTGCCTTGTATATTGTTGTTTTGATTCTCTCCACCTATTGATGATGAGCTATGCCTTGTTTTAAAGGAAAAGTAGATGCTACTTACATAAAGAATATATTGCTGCTGACCTTTGACTTTCAAAAGATGTGTTTAAAAATTTATAATAGTGGGGATAGCCATTCAAAGCCTGTACTTCTATTGGGATGGGTAGAGAGAATTGTATACAGAAGAGAGAGAGAGACAGACAGACAGACAGAACTGTACACAGAGAGAGAGAGACAGACAGAGAGCATCTAAAGCTATAATTTTAATAACATAAGTTATTGTTTAGGATAATCCAGTGTATAATCTAACCCTAACATCCTGCCTGCTATTGTTTGAATGTGGAATGTGTCCCCCAAAATTTCATGTGTTGCGAAGCTTAATTACTAATGCAACAGTATTAAGAGGTGGGGTTTTCAAGAGGTGATTAGGCCATGACGGCTCTTTCCTCATGGATGAAATAATGTCATTATCATGGGAGTGAGTTTTCTCCAGAGTGGAGTCATGATTTAAATGAGTTCAGCGGGCCAGTTGTGGTGGCTGGCACCTGTAATCCCAGCACTTTGGGAGGCTGAGGTGGGCAGATCAGGAGGTCAAGAGTTCGAGACCCATCAAGACCATCCTGGCTAGCATGGTGAAACCCCATCTCTACTAAAAATACAAAAAATTAGCAGGGCGTGGTGGCAGGCGCCTGTAGTCCCAGCTACTCGGGAGGCTGAGGCAGGAGAATGGCGTGAACCCGGGAGGCGGAGCTTGCAGTGAGCTGAGATTGCCACTGCACTCCAGCCTGGGCAACAGAGCAAGACTCCATCTCAAAAAAAAAAAAAAAAAAAAAAAAGAATTTGAGACCATCCTGGCCAACATGGTGAAACCCTGTCTCTACTAAAAATACAAAAATTAGCCAGGCATGGTGGCAGGTGCCTGTAGTCCCAGCTACTTAGGAGGCTGAGGCACAAGAATTGCTTGAACCCAGGAGGCAGAGGTTGCAGTGAGCCCAGATGGCACCACTGCACTCCAGCCTGGTGACAGAGTGAGACTCCATATATATATATATATATATATATATATATATATATGTGTGTGTGTGTGTGTGTGTGTGTGTGTGTGTGTGTGTATGTGTGTGTGTGTTCAGCTTTCTTTCTCAGTCTCATGTGCAGCTTCCTCACCATGTGATGTTTTCTGCCGTGTTAAGGATGCATTTCTGCATCCTCAATATTTGACTTCTCAGCTTCCAGAACTGTAAGCCAAATAAACTTCCTTTCTTGATTAGTTACCAAGTCTGTGTTATTCTATTATAGTAGTAGAAAGTGGACTAAGATACCACCTCACAGGAAGAAACCAAAAAAGCCCTTCTAGAATTAAGGAGAAGAACCCAAGGACTGTGAGATGAAAAGAGCCAGGCCATTGACAGAAGTGTGTCCTTATTTCACTCTCATTGCCTTTGGTGGGCATTAGGTGTAGACACTGGAAGGAATAAGTATCATCCACCTGGAGCCTTACTCTATACTCTGTTCCACATTAAGTGACAAAGGGTGGCTTACAATCCTAAAACCATAGCTTAGCATCTGTGCATTGAAGTTAAGATAAGACTCCTAGCTTCCTCCACCAAATGCTTCACTGTCTCTAGGACCCTGTATAATCTGTTAATGATCATGACTCCAATTGGGCATCAGGATGAGAAGGAATTAATGTCACCGTGTGCCTCTCATGGGGTTCACCCAGGTGAAACATTAGGATTTCCATAGCTGAGGCTGTGGAGCAGCGCCCAAAGCACTCAAGGATGGATAGAGGAGGAGGTAACTGAGTCTCAGTGGATGCTGATCATGAATTCCATGTCTGAATGTGAGCTACTCCTGCTTAACAGTCCCAAGAGATCACAAATTGAAGTACCTGGAGAGATTCAAATAAGATGCTATATTAGTCCATTTTCATCTTGCTATAAAGAACTGCTCAAGACTGAGTAATTTATAAAGGAAAAATGTATAATTGACTCACAGTTCAGCACGGTTGGGGAAACCTCAGAAAACTTACAATTATGGTAGAAGGAAAGGGGAAGCAAGGCACCTTCCTCACAAGGCAGCAGGAAGGAGAAGTGCCGAGCGAAGGGGTAAGAACCCCTTATAAAACCATCAGATCTTGTGAGAACTCCCTCACTATCACAAGAACAGCATGGGGGAAACTGCCCCTATGATTGAATTACTTCCACCTGGTCTCTCCCTTAACACATGGGGATTATGAGGATTACAATTCAAGATGAGATTTGGGTGGGGACACAAAGCCTAACCATATCGGATGCCCTTCTCCTGATGTCCAGAGGCTTGATCAGCCTTGCCCATAGATTTCACCTCAGGATAGAAAAGGGGAAAGGAAGAAATCTGAGAGGGGAGAGAAGCCATGACAGAAAAGTTAAAACTTTCACTCACCTGAACCTAAGTCATAAAATGGCTGAGTAACTTGAGACAGGCTATGAATTCTCAAATAATAATAATAACAGGGTGGGAGAGGCGGAGGGATAACGTTAGGAGATATACCTAATGTAAGTGATGAGTTAATGGGTGCAGCACACCAATATGGCACATGTATACATATGTAACAAACCTGCACCCTGTGCACAGGTACCCTAAAACTTAAAGTATAATAAATATATATAATAAAAAATAAAAAAATAAAAACACAGAGAAAGAAGACTAAAAAAGAAAGAACTAAAAATAATAATAATAATAATAATAATAATAATAATAATAAAGTGAAAAATGTTTTGCAATGTTGTAAAAATAGGAACTGCCAAGGAAGCTAATTTCATCTTTTAAAAATAAAGACAAAAAATCATTAAAATATAATGTGTATATTTTGAAATTGATACCTATCTACCTATCAGTGCTTCTCTGAACATTCTCATGAATCTGTATCTGCACTGAAACCTGATTTCAAGCCCTCATCCAATTACTGTTGAACGAAATGATTATCTTCAATGGTCTTTGCCTTGCTGTATCTCTGCAACATACTACCACATGCCGTCAGGCTGAATTAACATTGAATACCTGCTTTTCACTAAATCTAGGAGACCTTCAATAGATTTTGTGGCTGATGATTATTTATAGGTATTGTATTCCTTCTATAAAATTTTTCTAAACTTTTAAAAATAACTTTGAAATCATGCACTTTAATAAAATACAGAAAGTAATTTCTGAAGATTATTTGCATATACACTTTCTTCTGCGAACTGATAAGAAATTCATAGGACAAAAAATGCTAACACAATTTGAGCATCTAAATGGCATGTATTTCTACTTTTATCTCTACATTGCCAGAAGCCAGTTCACAAAATATATTTCAAAAATAAAATAAGAAATTATTGGAAAGACAAAGTTCATTCTCTACTTGAAAACCCAAAATTAAAGAATAAGTAACTACTCACCTGGTTTTGATAGCAACATTTCAAGGAGACTAGTACCAATGTGACAATAAGATGGATGATACATAAAAGGACTGAATATTATTTTTTAGTGTATGGTAAACAATAATTGATTTTTTAATGGAGAGGACAAAGGTCTTGGCCTTGACATGAGTAGAATTATTTTCACTTTAAACAGGAAGTGAAGGGTTCTCTCTTATTTCTTTCCTTTTTTTTTTTGGCAGATGGATGTCCTATTGCTCAAGGTGACCTCAAACTCCTGGGTACAAGGGAATCCTCTTACCTCAACCTCCAGAGTAACTGGGAATACAGGTGCACTAATGATCAGCTCTACCTCTCTTATTAATGGAGCTAATCTTGTTTTACAGTTATATTTCAATGATCTTCAGGCTTTAGTTCAAATGGTTATGTCTTCATATAAAGATTACCTGTGGGTTTCAGACCTCTCAAATAATGTTCAGGAGAAAATTAAGTGTGAATCCAAAAGCAATACACAGTAACCCTCAATTTTACAAATTTTGACTTAGAGATATAGAATAAGGTCCTTACAGCATCCACTGATGGGTAAATTCTCCTAAATATCCCCTATATTTTTCACCCCTTAGGATTTCTCTTCCATCAGAAGATACCAAATTCTTCTTTCTCCCTCTCTCCAACTGTTTGACTGTTCAGTAACCACACTAACTCAAATCTCTTTCCCACATTCCTTTCTAAAATCCTGTCCATGTGCATGGAGATAATTTGAGCAAAATGAAAAGCCATCCTTAACTAGAGCTAGAATCACCTCCTGCTGCCTTTTAAGCTGTTGGGGGATATTTATTCCCAACACAGTGTTTACAGAACAATTTGAAATAGAATCATTGTGTTTAAGAAATATACAAAATAGGCCGGGCGCGGTGGCTCATGCCTGTAATCAAAGCACTTTGGGAGGCCGAGGTGGGTGGATCACGATGTCAGGAGATTGAGACCATCCTGGCTAACACGGTGAAACCCCGTCTCTACTAAAAATACAAAAAATTAACCGGGCATGGTGGCTAGTGCCTGTAGTCCCAGATTCTAGCTACTCGGAAGGCTGAGGCACGAGAATTGCTTGAACCCGGGAGGTGGAGATTGCAGTGAGCCAAGATCATACCACTGCACTCCAGCCTGCGCAACAGAGTGAGAATCCGTCTCAAAAAAAAAAGAAGAGAGAAAGAAAGAGAAAAAATACACAAAATAATTTAGCTGTTGCTAACTATGCATATCCTTGCTACTAATAATGACAATTTATTCTCCTGGAGACAAAGCAAAAATTAAGTCTTTTTGTCAGTTTATGAGAAGAGGAGGGTGTCTATATTGCTCATTCACTAGTCAACAAATTTAAATTGGAGCAGGGAATTTATATAAAATTAAAAGAATGCAGCTAACTTACAGAAGATAAAAGAACAGCAGCCCCTTGAGTCACTTGTTCACTCTCTTAGGTACAGTTCTCCAGAGAAACAGAACCAGGAAGACATAGACAGAGAAAGAAAGAAAGTAGAAGTTTAATATAAGGAATTGTCTTACATGATCACAGAAGCTGAAAACTCCCATACTCTGCATTTGGCAAGCTGGAGATCCAGGTGAGCCAATGTGTTTCAGTTCCAGTCATAAAGTAGAAAATAACTGATGTACCAGCTTTTTGTCAGTCAGGTAAGAGAAATTCCCTTTTATTTGGCAGAGGGACAGACTTTTGTTCTATCTGGACTTTTAACTGATTGGATGTGGCCCACCGACATTGGAGAGGATAGCCTGCTTTACTCCATCTACTCGTTTAAATGTAAATATCATCCATGAGCACATGCCTGTAATCCCAGCTCCTCGGGAGGCTGAGGCAGGAGAATCACTTGAACCCAGGAGGCGGAGGTTGCAGTGAGCCAAGATTGCACCACTGCACAGCAGCATGGGTGACAAAGTGAGATTCTGTCTCAAAAAAATACAATACAATACAACACAATACAATGGAATCCAATGCAACACAAAACAAAATTTAAAAATACCATCCATGAACACCCACATGGTCACATGCAAAATAATGTTTATTGCATATCTGGGATTCCTATGACCCATCAAGTTGACACATAAAAGTGGAAAGCGTACTGACTGTCCATGAGGTGGAAGGAGAGGAACTGAGGAAGTGGTGGCTGCACTGCTTTTCTCATTGGGTCTAGTGGTGTCTGATATTGAGCTGCCAGGATATGTGGCTGGTACATCTGACCAGCAGGTCAATAGGGGTGACATGAGCACAATTGAGCCTGTGGACTGAATTCTTTCCACACTCAAGGCTGCAGAAGTCTGAATTCTTCCAAACTATCTTTGGAAAACTCAACCCACTGAGCAATAATAGACAAATAAACAAAACAACTTTTTTTCCCTAACTTCCATGAAGAATTTTGTCTTTTCTCAGTGAAAACTATGCCCTCTGCTTTAAGAAGAAAGAAGAGAAACCATTGTTTGCTGTACACAAGTCTTACAACAGAAGGAAACCAACTCAGTTATCCCTGGGGCATTATTAACATTAGCTCTCATCTTGCTGTTTGCCCCACAGGTGACAGAAATGTTCCTAGAAAACCACGAACTCTTTTGCAGATTAGTTTTGGTGCTTTGATTTTTGTAGGCCTACATATTGAATTCCATGACTAGGCACAAAATAATTCCTTTTTAAGGAGAGTTTGCTCACTTGATTGAAAGACCTTAAAGAAACCACTAATGTGAGTACAGTTTCCTTAACTTTATACAAACATTAGTAGGTTTATCATAGCTAAACTCTCTGGCTGACACTATATAGATGGCAAATGCAGCAAATGGTTTCGAGGAGAAAAAAATCAAGAAAAAATAGTGTATTAGTTCGTTTTCATGCTGATGATAAAGACATACCTGAGACTGAGTAATTTGTAAAGAAAAAAAGGTTTAATGGACTTGCAGTTCCACATGGCTGGTGAGGCCTCACAGTCATGGTGGAAGGCAAAAGGCACATCTTACATGGCAGCAGGCAAGAAAGAATGAGAGCAAGACTAAGGGGGAACCTGTTATAAAACCACCAGATCTCATGAGACTTATTCACTACCATGAGAACAGTATGTGGGAAACCGCCCCCATGATTCAATTATCTCCCACCATGTCCCTCCCACAACACACGGGAATAATGGGAGCTACAATTCAAGATGAGATTTGGGTGGGGACACAGCCAAACCCTATCAAGAGGTGAGGATTTACTAAGTGTAATGAAGTAATGGGTGCCCTACCAAATGTGAGTTAATGTTTTCCCAGCATGCTCAGATATTGGGTAACGTCTAAGTTTGCTGTTAGATGAGCACAGCAAATTAGTCTTTCTGAAGTACAACCCCATGCCCTGGTGGGAAGTTCCCACCTTGACTGCCCACTTTGATTGCTAGTTACTTAGTAGGTGATCAGTCCCTCTATATGTGGAGATTTGTAGCTAATCCATTTCACTTTCTCCCCTTGATGGGTTCAGAAAATGAATACTCCATTCAGGAGCATCCTAAGGGACACAGACTGGAAATGCAATAGGTTTGTCTGATAGTTTTTTCCTAAGCATAGAGCAATGTGGATGGATGTTTGCTGGATACGAACACATATGATTCATATGTCCTGCATTCATTGTAGTCTTACATTTAAATTGTGTGTCTTCACTGAATCCACTTGTTTGCTTCAGCACGATGGTCTATGCAGTATAGATTTCTATGCAAATCTAAAGCCATTGGAAATTTTTGGAGGAACTCTTCTCTACTCATCAATAGACTGAATAAAAAATATTCTAGGACTATAGTGAGGGATATTATATTTTAAAATATAGAAGGGTTTACTCGTTTTTTTTGGTAACTCATAGCAAATAAACTCTCACTAAACCATAAACCCTTTATACAATATACACTAATGATTTTCCTCTTCCATTTTTGTTCTAATACATTAATTAAGTATTTCTACATCCTTAACCTAAATGGTTCACACAGATGTCTTCTTCTCCAGTAGTAAAATGAAAAAGTCAGCGCTGTTCTTTATTATCAGCGTCTGGTGGGTGAAGTGGAGAGGTTATGGCACAATGTATTCAGCATTTGTTTTTATCAGTCACTGCTTCTGCTCTCTTGAGCTGTATTGCTTTTATCGCTTTCCAGAATGATGAATATTGTTAATTTTTTTTTGCCAGGAGCCCCCACCTCTACTGCCAGTTCACATGGCTGTCAAACAGATGCTATATTACCCATACTCCACATCTTCCTGGTCCATTGGCAGAGGCTGGACATTGGGAACCTTTCCTGAGGTTTATTATTATTATTGTTATTATTATTATTACTGTTATTATTATTATTACTACTACTATCATTACTTTGTACATAGAGAGATGGGTAAAGTCTCTCTGGTAGCTGAATCTCTAAGAGGTAGACGTTAGGAGTTATTGGTAGTGTTTTCCACAGTGTAGGAAATCCAGTCTTAATGAGAAACATCACATGGAGAGATTCAGAAAAGAGGCATGAAGAGGAGTCCTCTGGGAATGCCATCAGGATCCTCCTGGGACTCAGGTCTGTCACTGTCTTTTCCCTCTGCTGTCAATTCATGAGCTTGTCCAGTCATCTCCCAATGCATTTCCTTTTACTTCCCCCTGCAGACTAGTTTGAATTCTTTCTTTTATGTGTAACATATCTTTGTCACCCCTCCTGAGAAATTTAGGGCAATTTCAAAGAGGATGAGACAGAAGGTGATTTTTGTTTTTTTTGGTTTTGTGTTTGTTTCTTTGTTTGTTTGTTTTTGTTTTTGTTTTGGAATAGCTCATTTTGATCCAGATTCCAGGGAAGTTCCAGGCAGCTACTACCTGCAAATTATTAAGCACCTATTATGTGCCAGGGACACAGGAACAATATGAATTTTTTTAAGGTTAAAACTCTTTTTAAAAATATAATGTGCACATGTACCCTAAAACTTAAAGTATAATAAAAAAATAAAAAAAATAAAATATATATATATTATTATTCTCTCTGTTTTTTTTTTTTTTTTTTTTTGAAACAGGGTCTCCCTCTCTTGCCCAGGCTGGAGTGCAAGATCATGGCTTACTATAGCCTCAACCTTCCAGGCTCAAGCAATCCTCCTACATCAGCCCCCTGAGTAGCTGGGACTACAGGCACAAGCCACCGTGCTCAGCTATTTTTATCCTTTTTCTTTTCTTTTTTTTTTTTCTTTTCTATAGCTATGGGATCTCACTCCTTTTTATTTTATACATTGTAAAACCGAAGCTCAGAAGAGGTAATTCAATCTCCAAAGTCACAAAAGAGATAGCGATGAAGTTAAGATAAAAATCCAGTTTGGTTTGGCATCCGATTCAAGAACTGTTCTTAGGAGATGCCTTAGTATGCTATTCCTCACTCCAACCCTCCACTTAAATCTCCCTTTAAGACAGACAATCCGAATAACTCAGCTACTTAATCACTTGGTCCAAAGCCCACAGTTCCTCATTCAGTCTTCTAAGAGCACTAGCAGCAGAGTGATTCTGCTGCCCTCTTGCTTTGGGTTGAATGTTTGTTCTCCCCAAAAGATGTTGAAGCCTAATCTCTCATGTGACAAAATTAGAAGGTGGGGATTTGGGGATGTGATTAGGTCGTGAGGGCAGAGACCTTATAATTGAATTGGTGTGTTGTGAGAGAGGCCCCAGTGGGCTGCCTCTCCCTGTCTACCATGTGAGGATGCAGCAAGAAGGAGCCATCGATGAACCAGGAAGGAGCCATCGATGAACCAGGAAGGAGCCATCGATGAACCAGGAAGTGGACCTCACCAGAAGCTGAATCTGCCAGCACCTTGACCTTGGCCGTCCCAGCGTCCAGAACTGTGAGAAATAATTGTCTGTGGTTCTTAAGTCTCCAGTGAATCAAACAGACTGACAGAAACTGGTACTGACAAGTAAGGTGTTATAACAAATACCTACAAATGTGGAAGTGGCCATGGAACTGGGTAGAGGCTGGAAGAGTTTGGAAGCCCACGGTAGAAAAAGCCTACACTGCTGCCAACAAACCACTAAGGGTGATTCTGATGAGGACTCGGGAGAGGAAAAGAGGAGAGTTGCAGAGAAAGCCTCCATCTTCTTAGAGAAAACCTAAGTGGTTGTGAACAGCATGCTGTTAGAAATATAGATGAGAAAAACTGCTGTGATGAAGTCTCAGGTGGAAATGAAGAATACGCTCCTGGAAAACAGAGAGACGCTAAATATCCTCAGCTGTACTCTGGTCATGTCCTAGTGTTTTGTGGAAGGTAGAACTCGTGAAGGATGAAATGGGGTATTTGGCTGAGGAAATACCTCAGCAAAGTGTTGGATGAGTGGGCTGGTTCCTCCTGACTGCTTAATAGTAAAAGTGAGGAGAGATAAATAATTTAAAGATGGAACTTAATCATAAGGGAAGCAGAGCTTAAAAGATTTGGTATATTTTCAGCCTATTCATATTGTAAAGACTGAGAAAGGATGTTCAGGTCAAGGGTGTGACCAACAGACTGTTTGATAAGATTAGTCAGCCACCTCAGCAGAAGTCAGAGGCTAAGTCGCACAGGTGCCAGTGGCCCCTCATTCAGTTCTTCCATTGTGTAAGACATCATCTAAGACAACAGAAGAACATAAATGAGGGCCATTGGTGCCTGTGGGACTTTAGTATCTCCTGACCACCTGTGCCTCACATAGAAGGCTGTACTCCCTGACTCCTGTGCTGCACTCCTCAGCTACCCCAGGTACCACTCTCGACGGGCCCTGGTCCCCAGCAGAGCCATGAGAGCACAGCTGTATCCCCCAAGATTTCAAAAGACAAAGCTGTAGGCTTGATATCCCAGCCTCGGAGAGCTGTGCAGCCCAGGCATAGAGCTGCTGTAGGCCGAGCTGTGAGGATGCAGCTCCCCAAAGCCATGGGGGCCCAACCCATGAGCAGCAAAGCTGCAGGGGCAGGATCCCCATTCCAGTGATTCCAGAAGGCAGGAACCCCGACCACATGAGTCCAGGAGATGGGACCCGGGGCAGTCTGTCCAGAAGGCAGGACCCCCAACAACATGTGTCCAGGAGGTGGGACCCCGGGCAGTCTGTCCAGAAGGCAGGACCTCCACTCCAGTGGGCCTAAGGAGCAGAGCATCAAGTCAAAGATTATTCATGAGTGTTAAGGTTTATTGTTGTTTGCTCTGATGGGTTTTGGACTTTTTTGAGACCTGTAACTCCTTTCTTTCCTTTTCTCCCTTTTGAAATGGATGTGCCTGTCCTAAGCCTGTCCCACCAGTGTACTTTGAAAGTACATGACTTCTTTTGGTTCACAGACTCACAGCTGGAGAGGAATTGTCCTTGGAATTAATTGTACATTGAGCTTTATCCATTATCTGATTTAGATGATGTTTAGATGAAACTCTGGACTTTAGACTTTTGAGTTGGTGCTGGAATAAGTTAACATTTTGAGGTTGCTGAGATTGAATGAATGCATTTGGCATGTGAAAAGGACATAAGTCTGGGGAGCCCAGGTGTGGAATGCTATGGACTAAATGTTTGCATCCTTCTATTAACTCATATGTTAAAGCCTAATCCCCTATGTGATAATATTTGGAGGTTGGCTCTTGAGAAATAATTAGGTCATGAGTGCAGAGCCCTCGAGAATGGGATTAATGTCCTTATAAAAAAGAAGAGAATTCCCTCAACCTTTCTATCATGTGAAGAAACAGCGAGAAGCTGCAATCTATAGCAATGAAGCAAGCCATCACCACACTGACTACCAGCACCTTGATCTTGGACTTCTGAGCCTCTCACATCTCTATGTGAGAAAAACATTTCTGTCGTTTATAAGATACCAAATCTACAGTATTTTGTTGTAACAGCCAGAATGGACTAAGGCACCTCCCACAATAATTTGTGGTAATTAATGTTCTAACCAGACTTTGTTCCTGGGTGTGTGAATCTTTATTTTGGACCTTTAAAAAAAGGTATTTTGTTTAATTCATGTTCTAACGAGAAATGTGGTACATAAGTCATGTGTGTGGGGCATTCATGTAGTGTGTGAAGTCTGTAGTGTGTATATATATGTATATGTATATGCATGTACATACATATATGTCTGCAGCCTGTGTGTGTATATGTGTGTGTATACACATACATACTACAGATTGCCACACACACAGTTTAATAGTTTTGAGGTAGCCTGTGTTCATCTGAAATTGAGATACAATATCTTTATAGCAACAAATTATATATGTCCATCTATGAACACAAGGTATATGTACAGATAAGCAAACACTTGTTAACATGTACAATTAATAATTACCAATCAAATTTGGCAAGTGATTACTTGGTGCCAAGCACCATCCAAATGATTTGCTGGGTAATATCCCAGTCAATCCACCCTAAGGCTGTGAGGTAGACACTACAGTGATTTGCCTAACTTTGAGAAACCATGAAATCAAGGCATACGTGTAAGCGTAGCCAGAGTTCAACGTGGTAAGAAATGAAGTCTAGATCCTCTAAGTCTTGTCCCTTCCTGCCTACCTGCCTTCTCCTTCTCAATTTATCCAAGGGGGCACACACCGTCAATACTGGTTTCTCTGCTCATATGTCATTTGCATGATTCTGTTGCACTGGGTGAGTCCTAACTGCCAAAATAAGATTTTTTGTTTACTCTGAATTGATTCAGTAAATAAAGTAAATGTAGATTTTCCCCCATTTTTAAGTTACTCTGAAGGAAGAATTCTTTTTACAATACCTCTGTCCTATTATGTTAAGTGAAATAAGCCAGGCATGGAAAGAGAAATACCATACGATCTCACTTGTATGGAGAATGGAATCTAACAAGCTCCAACTCTTAGAAGCAGAGAGTAGAATGGTGCTTACTCAGGGCTAGAGGGTGGGGTGGGAAGGGTAGGAATGAGGAGCTGGTCAAAGGATAAAACATTTCAGAATGACAGGAAGAATAACTTTTGGAATCTAGTCCGCAGCAGAGTGACTATATAGTCAATAAAAATGTGTTGCATACTTAAATATAACTAAGGGTGAATTTCAAATGTCTCTCTACAAAAAATGACAGGTAAGCAAGGTGATGACCATATTAATTAGCTTGATTTAATCATTCCCTTGTATACCTAGACCAAAACAGTGTTGTACCCCATAAATGTATATAATTATGTTTTGTAAATTAAACCTAACATTAAAAATATACCTTTGTTTTAAAGGTTCAAAATAAGGATTCACACACCTAGGAAAAAATGTCATTATGGAAACATATATAATAATTTGGGGAAATAAAGTGTAAACTTACAGGTAATGATGAGACTGCCCAAAGAGGCTAAATAAAGTCAATGCAACCAGAACTGGTGTGACTTAGGGGTGAGTGCCCTGAAGACTTGCTATCTGAGCAAAATTAAAGGATGACAGGAAGAGGGGCAGGTCTGGGACTGGCCAGGGAAAGGCAGTGGGACATAACTGGTGTAATACACAGACCCAAATGGCTGGCTGGGGAGGACTTTACACTGGTTTCTATAAGAATAAGCATCTTTATACTTGTGTTGATATTTTGACATGTTCAAAAAAACCGTAATTAATGGAATGAATTGTTCAGTTATGTCACTTTTGGATAACATGATGGTCAGTGTTTCCCTCAACAACAAGTACACCACATTTATTTTAGACCAACTTACTGATTGTCTATTCCAATAGAATTGTTAGTAGATTTTTTTTAACATGAGTCAGTACCTATTTTTCAGTTTTCTCAAACAAATGCTTGCTTATTTGAGACATTTGTCTGTCCTAATTATTGGCATTCACTTCTCAGGGAATTTGAAGTAAATAAAATTGACAATGGTTTTAGATCTTCTAGTCCAAAAGGGTCTGATAATTGATCAGTTAATCAAAACTGCACTTTATATTGAGAAATAAAAAGAGTGATACTTACATGTTAAACATCAGATGTAACAATGAAGCACGTGTTGATATTCATTTGCTAATCTGTTGATATGGAGCCAGAATTCTTCTCCTAGTTTGAATTGAGATCTTGAAGTTTGATCTCATCTATCATGAGTAAATTACAGCCCTACGTCATCTTTTATGATTTCTGGCTTCATTTAATTTAGTGGGAGCAGGAATCTGAAGACTTATGAAGCAATCTGATTTCAGATTCAGAATTTTACATTTTTACATTTTTTTAAGATCTTTTAAATTTCTACTTATATGTAAACAGTGATTTTTTCCCCACACGAATCCAGTTTTTCACATCCATTCCACAAAGTCTTTACAGGAATAAAAACAACAACCTCTAGATTTGCCTTCACAGTTGATCTGTTTAGATGATATTTGATTATATTATATAATTTAAATAATAAGCTCAGCCATTACAAATGGTATTTTGAAGAAACAACACCAAGTCTTGGTAAATGTACAAGTTAGCCATAAGAAGCAGAAATTGGAGAGTATTCAGTAAGTCAGGAGCAGCACTAGGCTATGGGTTGATACCACCATGTCTAAGAGACAAAATAAATAAACAAAAGAAGCAATCTAGCTGAAATGATAATCCATTATGAGAACAACTCCATTAACTCCAATTAACTTCTTAAATAATTATTGCCTTAAACTCTTCCGAGAAGCCGAAACTAAACTCACATTCCGAAGACCATGCCTACTATATAAATGCACACAGGAACAGAGGCCCCAAAGCTAGGGAAGTAGACGTCCCCTCTCATACATACACAAATAGACATTCCTGGGTGTCCCTCATCTGCACAGCCATAAATGTAGGATCGCATAAAGAGGAACATAAAACAACTAGTTCAGAATCTCTCCTCAATGCTCTCCTTTCAATCACCTACACTCAAAAAGACAAGTCAACTGCTAATAGAATTTTTCCTAATAACAAGAAGTTAATGCATCAACAAACTAGAAGCTAAGCATAAATTTTTAATCTGATTTGAAAACAGGATGTTAAGATGTGTTTTGAAATTAATGTTGCATTTTATTTTATCTCTGATCAATATCTGGAGGCGACTGTGAGTGGACTGTGGAAATTGAAAGCACTTCTTTGCATGTGCAGATATCTGGGTGATTTCCCTTCAACCTGTCCCATCCTTACTCTACCCTCTTGCTTCTGGAAGCAGAGAAAGAGAAGGGGCAGGCTTTGGCAAAAATAATTTTATTTTAAGGCTTTAATCACATTTTAATAAAAATCAACACACCATTTTAAAATGTGAGTTCACTGGATGAGATCCAGCAATCAGATTTTATAACCTCCGTGTTTATAAACTTTCCTCAACCTTTTCTGAGAAGTAATGGTCCATGTGAAATTCATTGGCCCCCTCTGGTGGCATCTTGAAGACATTACCAGCACACAGCTTTCAAAGGATTTTAGTAAGTTTCTAGGCTTTCAGGAAGTCATTTTGAAGAAAGAATCAAGAATATAATTTTGTTTCCATAACTGAAATTTATTTGAGAATGTCATAAGCAATTTTTATTTATACAAATTTTAATAAAAATGATAATTGCCTGAATCTCCAATAAATTTGATAGATACATGTTTTTAGTTGAAGAAGACGGCTAAATCTTTTTTACCTTGGGCCAATCTTAAAGCAAAAGCGGGAATATGTCAGTGACCATCTCGAAATTTTGAACCGAAGAGCCTGACATGGTGAGACAAGGAATTCTGCTTTGCTGGTTCCTACCCAGTCAAGCAGAAGATTGCGTAAGTCCCCCTAAGCACTTGCAGAGAGAAAGGACATAAAAAATACACACTTCACATGCTACATTATGAAGGGCACGAGGGCAAGTTTTAACCAAACCCGAGGCCCCATGCGGCCTAATTCTTCTCAGTTTGCCAGTGATGCATGGTGATTGACAATATTGAGAATGTCATGGTTGTTACCTGGAAAGAACACAGCCGGGAAAGAGAGCTTCTGGAAGGTTCGGTGTGCAGAGTTACACCAGCGATGTTCAGGGGCACACAATACACAACATGTTTGCAGGGAGACAAAGAGGCAGTGATACGACACATTTAGGCAATTGTGAATTTTTATAATTAGTGTCACATCTCTTTAGAAGTTTCTCTGAGTAATACAAGGTCAAAACTAAAACAACACCATCAAAATAGAGCTGTAAAAGCATCGTAAGAAATTTTTTCTAAGGCAATTTATATGGATTTCTCAATACTATTTGAATAAATTGTCATGTCAGCTATATATGTGTGTACATACAGGATTACACAGTCAAACGCCCACTGCAGTTTAAGATACAGAAGTAAGTGACCTTTCTTACATGTTCAAACCTTAGTGATTTTCAGTGACTCCCTGAACAGAGTAGCAGGGATCCAGGTTTCTCCCTCGTGGAGCTGTACCATTGTCACCGTGGTTGTCTGGACTCTGCTTCCTTCCTCCCATCTGCGAATGTGCTCATCCAATTAGCCCTGCAACACGGCTCTGAGGGTCCCTCCAGCTCCCTCAAAATCACTCTCTATGCACTTCTCCCTACCTGGATGCTTTATTACAACATCGACAGAGACCCTTAATTCTCCACTAATGCCCCCGAATCTCACCTGTGTGTTTTGTTTTTAATTATTTAAGGCTCTTTTTCTATTTTTCGGCTTTATCGAGGTATAATTGGCAAATAAAATTTTTATTTAAGGTGTACAACTTGAGGAGATGGAATGCATTGTGAAACAATCACCAAGCTAATCAGTAGATCCATGACCTCACATAGTTATCCGTGTGTGTGTGTCACCTTCCTGACAAATTTCAAGAATTCTAGACAGTAGTGTTAACTTTAGTCACAATGCTGTACATTAGATCTGCAGGACTTACTTATCCTACATTACTAAAGTTTGTATCCTTCAAACAATATCTCCCCGTTTCATTTTCTCCCACCCCACCCCAGGTCCCGGTAACCACTCTTTTACCCTCTATTTCTATGAGTTTGACTATTTTAGATTCCACATGCAAATGAGACCATGCAGTATTTGGCTTTCTGCATCTGGCTTAATTCACTTAGCACAATGCCTTCCAACTTCAACCGCATTGTTGCAAATGGCAAAAATTTCTTATTTTTAAGACTAAATAATATTCCATTGTGTGTGTGTGTGTGTATATATATATATATATATAAATTCTATTGAAAATAGACACTTGCAATTTCATGTCTGGTTTTGAGGTCTTTGACAGAGAAAACATACTTTCCTCTATTTACAGAATCTTCATCCATACTGAGTATTTTTTTCTGGATCAGTGGTAATACATATTTCTCCTGGTCCATTTTTGGAGTAAAACTACCAGTTATTTGAGATGCCTTTATGCTTTCCAAAATGAATTTCACAAAAGTTGTAGAGACTATTTCTGTCCGACTGCCTGATCTGGTCACTGATAATCTTTAAGAATACCAACATGATGAGTCTTGTGGAAGAAAACCTCTGACTCTGGAGAGGAGCTGAAATAGCAGAAGCTTCTTTCCTGGCTTCTCCTGTTTGCTAATCAGTAGAAATGGAGGCAGATCCTCTCTCTGGCTGCATTGCAGACTGTGTGGCAGATGGGACGTGTGTTGCTCACATCTGCTACAAGAGTGCACCTCAGCAACAGGCGTGCCTTGGCGGGGAGCCTCCAGCCGCAGCCACCCCCAGGTCTGCCCCAGCCTCCCAGGAGAGGATGGTGTTACCCTGGGCAGTTCCAGCCAATGACCGAGCACAGTGGAACATGAGAACCTGGTTATTTGTGCGTAACAGGGGAATTCTGTATGAATGAAATTGCAAGTTTCTATTTTCAGTAGAGCTACTTCCTACCTGCACAGCTCAAGGAGAGGCAGGAGGAACAATGAATTATGAATAGACAACGGTTTGTAATTCTCATAAACAATGCTGGGCAGCCTGTTACATTAGTTTCTATTGCTGCTATAGAAAATTAACACAAATTTAACAATTTAAAATAAACTTATTTTTCCATAGTTCTACAGGGCAGAAGCTCGGGTACGAAATGGCTCAGCTAGTTCTTTGTTTAGAGTTCCAAAAGGTGAAGATGAAGGTGTTAAGAGGGTGATGTTCCTTTCTGGAGGTGTTGAGGGTGAATCTTTTTCAGTCTCATTCCATTTGTTGGCAGAATATGCTTCCACTGCAAATTCTGGTTGCATGATTGAGGTTCTTAATTCTTTGCTGACTGTTGGCTGGCCACCATTCTCAGTTTGGAGACACTGCCCACATTCCTTGCTCATGACCTTCTAGCAAGCCAGGAGACGCTGCCCACACTCCTCACTCAGGGCCTTCTATCAAGCCAAGAGACGCTGCCCACACTCCTCACTCATGACCTTCTATCAAGCCAGGAGATGCTGCCCACATTCCTCGCTTAGGGCCTTCTATCAAGCCAGGAGACGCTGACCACATTCCTCGCTCAGGGCCTTCTATCAAGCCAGGAGACGCTGCCCACATTCCTCGCTCACGGCCTTCTAACAAGCCAGGAGACACTGCCCACATTCCTCGCTCAGGGCCTTCTGTCAAGCCAGGAGATGCTGACCACATTCCTCGCTCAGGGCCTTCTATCAAGCCAGGAGACACTGCCCACATTCCTCGCTCAGGGCCTTCTAACAAGCCAGCAGTTGGGGGCTGGATTCTTCTTCTGCTGCGTTCTTCTTCTGCTGCAGGTTTCTTCGGCCTCTCTCTCTCTCCCACCTCCCTTTCCTGCTGCATGTGACTGTTTTCCAGGTTTTGAGGGCTCATATGATTACACTGGGCCAACCCACACGTATAATTACTTTATCTTAAAGTCGGATAATTGGTAACTTAATTGCATCTGCAAAGTCCCTTCACAACAGTACCTGGCTTCATGTTTGATTGAATAACCCGGGATGGGGGTCTTGTGGGGGTGGTATCATTAGAACTCTGCCTATCATAAGCATGTGGTCCAAACACTACATGAAGCCTTGTGGTCCCACGGATATGATCATTTTGACCTCACAGATAACTTTTTCTGTTCCTTGTGTACACTCCATCCCCTACACATGCACATACCTCTACACTGAAAATGACTTCAGAGCAAGGGCCATGTGGAACACAATGTGATTCTTCTTCTTTACTCACAAAGCTGGTTGCACATTTGCAATATGCAATAAATATCTATTCAATGTAGAGGGAATGATATATATTTTACACAAACTCACACACACACATACACGGAACACTCCACATATTCATAGAAATGTGGTATTCCAGGTAAAGTTATGGATTGGGTGGGGCTCCATTTGTCTATGCACCGCCCCCCACCTATACTACATATTCCGGACTCAGGTAGCCAATAGATCAATTCCTAAATTTACTTGAAACACCCTGGCAAGGTGGTGTTTGTGGACTCTGTGTCTGTCTGGGAAGCTTTTCTTTTGTGGATTGCTCCCCAGTGGTCGACTTCTACCAAGGACAATTTCTACATCAATCGAGTCCTATCAGAGTTGGGAAAGGAGCTGACATTGTGTGGTACCTCTGACTGTATTTTTCCCATTCCAAAATAACTTATGGTAATATCTGTCTTTCAATATATGAGAACTGTGCTCTCCTGTTTCTGAATTAATTCAGTATCAGTATTGTCAGCCAAGGCGGTAAACCAAGGCAGTGACTAACGGTCCCTGAGCAATATCTGTGCTTCTAGTTCTGCAACATGCCAGAAGCCTTCTCTTTTAGCAGCTATATGTCGTCCAATAAACCTTGGAGTTTCGCAAATAGAAAACTCTGTGACCCTTCTTAGCTTCCCAGAAGTCATTAGGAATTCTCTCAAGAGAAGAGAGTGCTCTTATTGCACTGAAAGGCTTCAATCTTTGTGTGTGTTTTTTGTTTGTTTTCCTTTACCCGTTATCAGACACTCTTGTATCTTCTCAGTTTGACAGCCACTCAGCCCCAAAAGAAGATATAGTTAAAGATTTGTCTCAAAGACAGGATTTCCAGTAAATGAACAAAAACAACAAAGCACAGATGTGGGGCTTGTCAGCTTTTGAAGAGATCTCATAATTGCTTTCAAAGCAAATATATTCATGATGCTTTATGAGTCATTTACAATAGCCCATGCTATTTCATAAATCATTTTTATTAAATTATTTACTCCCTTGTTGATTCTAAACTTTTCTTATTAAGACTTGTACTTAATTGGCAAGATTGCAGCACACTTTTATTTCAAAAGCATATTGAAACATTTCAGCAAGAATAGAATAATCTCGGCCGGAGGCGGTGGCTCACGCCTGTAATCCTAGCACTTTGGGAGGCTAAGGCGGGCAGATCACCTGAGGTCAGGGATTCAGGAACAGCCTGGCCAACATGGTGAAACCCTGCCTCTATTAAAAATACAAAAATTAGCCGGGTGCAGTGGTGGGCGTCTGTAGTCCCAGCTCCTCTGGAGGGTGACGCAGGAGAATCTCATGAACCCGGGAGGCAGAGGTTGCAGTGAGCCGAGATTGCACCACCACACTCCAGCCTGAGTGACACAGCGAGACTCCGTTAAAAAAAAAAAAAAAAGGAATAATTCCATTCCTCCCAGTTTCTCCGTCTTACAATTAATAAACCCTGAACAGAACACAACAACCACAGGAGACTATGAAAGAAGAAAAGAATTGCTGAGGTGCCTGAGGATGTGAGGAATGGCACAGGCTGAGTTCTCTGGGTTTCCTAAATATCCCCCACGTATCCCAGACAGGACACTGAAGAAGCCTCAAACGCACAAGGGCCAGCAGAGGCAAACATATACAACTCCTAGAAATGTGTGATTCCCTGGCTAAAGGACCAGGAATAGGGCAACCTAAGAACAAAACTAATATGTATTAGCAATACCTCCCTACTTCAGCCGAACACCAACAGAAAAAACATAACCTCAGCCCTTGACGTTTCAGCGGGGTGAGGAGGAGGCTGAACTCCCACACTACCATCTCGCCCCACTAAAGTGGGGGCCAGCATGCTAGACGCTTCGGTGGAGTGATGCTGGTGGCTAAGTATTTAGCTAATGTTCAATGGAAGATCATGGAAGCAGGCGCTCCTCAGATTCCCACAATAAGATAGTGTCATCAGGGTCCAACTCTGAGCTCAGCCTCCACTTCCACCCAGGGATTATAGGGCAAGCCGGTGTGAAGCGGGGATCATCAGAGCTCCATGGCTACATCCCCCGCAAGCATTAGAAGGATTGACTGGGAGCTGAGCCCCCACTCAACCAGCAGCAACAAGGTAGAATGAGGTGATCAGGGGTGGGACTGGTTGGCACTTTGCTTCTCCCCACTCCTTCCATAGTGTCAGGGCGCCTCATGCGGGGCTGAGCTTGCGTGCAATCCCACTCGGAAGCAAGGAGGTGGTGTTAGTCAGTGCACCTCTTTCAAAGTAAAAATGTCAGTGGGGCCACAGGCAAAGCTGGATGTCCACTTCCTCCATGATGGAGGCAGACTGAGTCAGTATCCCACATATGCTGGGGTGGTGCTTTCAGAGCCCAGCAAGAAACAGCAAAAACACACACCTGGGCCTCCAACCACACCTCAACAGGCAGGGAGCGTGATTAGAAAGAAAATTAAGTAGAATCCAGAGTCTGATAAAAAAAAACTCTATCCAAAATGTCCAGGACATATTTGAAATTCATTAATTATACTAAGAATCAGGAAAATCACAACTGGAATGAAAACCGACAATCAGCAGATGCCAGCATCAAGATAATGCAGATATTAGAATTACTCAGCAAAGATTTTAAAACCCGTCATCATAAAGGTGCTTCAAACAAACAATTACAAATTCCATTGAAACAAAAAAAATTAAGAAATCTCTGCAAAGAAAAAAATCATAAAGCAGAACCAAAGGGAAATTATAGAACGGAAAAATATAATGACTAAAAATTCTCACAGAATGAGCTCAACAGTCAGAGGACAGAATCAATGAACTTAGTGAGAGATTGAGATAACTTACCTAATTTGAACAACAAAGATAAAATAGACTGAAAAGCAGATAAACAATTCCAGAGGCAGGTGGGACAATAACACATGAATTGATATTCATTTCATCAAAAACCCAGAAGGACAGAAGGACAGAGAAAGTATTTGAAACAATAATGGCAGAAAAATTTTCAAATTTAGCCAAAGAAACAAATGTATAGATGCAAGAATACCAACTAGAAAAACTCAAATCTTCAAGAATACATATCATAATTAATTTCTGGAAGCTACATAAATAAATAGTCTTGAAAACATCCAGAGGGAAACAACGTATCACACTCAGGGAAACACCAATGTCAGTGGCAGCAGATTTCTCATCTAAAACCAGGGAGGCCAGGAGGAAATGGCACACTTGTGAATTTCTGTGAGAAAAGAACTATTAAGCACTAATTCTATACCTGAAAAAAACATCCTACAAGACTGAAATGGAAATAAAGGCATTCTCAGATAAAGAAAAATTAAATAAATTTGTCACTAGCAGACCTGTGTTAAAGAAGGCTAAAGGAAGTTTATTAAACCTAAAGGAAATGACAATGAAGTAGCCTAAAACTTCAGAAGAAAAAAAAAAATATATATATATAGGAATGAGGGCCAGGCATGGTGGCTCATGCCTGAATCTTAGCACTTTGGGTAGCCATGGTAGGAGGATCTCTTGAGCCCAGGAATTTGAGACCAGCCTGGGCAACATAGGGAGATCCTGCCTCTACAAATAAACAATAAAAACACAGGTGTAGTGGTGCATGCCTGTGGTCCCAGCTACTCAGGAGACTAAGGTGGGAAGATGACTTGAGCTGGGAAAGTCGAAACAGCAGTGAGCCATAATCATGCTACTGCACTTCAGCCTGGGTGACAGAGTGACATCTTGCCTCAAAAAAAAAAAAGTATTAGAATGAATACAGAGATAGAATATTCTCACTCATTTCTTAAATCATATTCAATGGTTGAAAGAAAAATTATTACATCATCTGATGAGCTACTCAATGTATGTAGAGAAAATATTTAAAACAATTACATTTAAAAGTGGAGAGGATAAAGGGAGCCAAGTGGGTACAAAATTTCTAAACCTCGCCTGAACCAGCAAAATATAAATACTAGTAGACTGTGATAAATTACATATGTATACTGTGATACTTAACTAAGAAAACTATGCGAAGCAATATAGTCGAAGACACTATACATAAATCAAGATGGAATTCTAAAAATATTCAAGGAACCACAGAAAGGCTGGAAAAGAGAAATAATACAGGAAAAAGAAAACGGAGGAAACAAACTAAAAGCAAACAAAAGTAAATATTCAAATGGCAGAATTACATCATAATGAATTAAGCAGATTTGGAAGCTCAGAATACCTGGGACATTTGACAAAAGTCAGTGTGGAGGACATTGTTGACAAAAAACAGAAAATAACTGGATGTGGCACAATTAGGTAAATTTGTCTTAGATCCCGAAGGGCACCTGATTAACAGACACGTCTTAATTTTAGAGTTTTATAACTTAAGCTCAAATGCTGAGCCCCTCATTCATTTACCTGATGGGTGACTTTGGACAGCTTTTCCTACTCTGAAACTCAGCCTCTCCGGAAACACATAGTTGTCCATTTCAAGGGTCTTTGTGAGGATTAAATGAGAACTTGGATAAAGCGCTTGTTACAGTGCCCGGCATACAACACCCCATGAGTGTGGCTTACCATTCTATAGAACAGGGAGAGAACATAGGTTTCAGAGTCTGGTTGACAGAGAGTTCAACATTTTATGAAATGGCCGAGGGAGGTGATAATCCTGCTCTGCTTAGCACTATTCTAATGTTACCTTGAGTAGTGCATTTGGGGGAGCTGCTTTTATAGGAACCCAAACCAGTGGTTTACAAAATGTGGTTCCCAGACCAGCAACATCAGCAGCATGTGGACATTTGCTTGGACCACAGATTATCGAGCCCCACCTACATCTGCTTGAGGTAGGAGGTGGAAGTCAGCTCTGGACCAGGCAGAAGACTGGCTGAAACACGAAAGAGACTATTGCTATGCAATGTTTTCTGTTTTACTGAAGAAGCTAAAGTGTGTTACAGCAAAATTGGCTTGGGACTAAATTATTTCAATTAAGGGTAAGATTCAGGTATGTGTTAGATAAAATCTTATAGCCTACAGCTAACTTTATTTAATTGGAAACTAGCTGCTGTCAGGAGCCTAAAAGAAGAAAGTCTATCAAGATACACACAGTACCATCCAGCTGACTACTAGATCAGCAAAAGTCTGATGTAAGACGCACTTCATCCTTATTTAACTCCTTCAATCGCTCCCTCTCTCTCTGTCTTCATCTTCTCCTCTCCTCCCCTCTCCACTTCTCTCCCACTCCTCTCTTACTCCTCTTCCTCTCAGCACCCCTGTCTTCTGATTTTCTTTGGAGTCCTATGAGGCCTGCATTCTTGGTTTCACCTGTCCCTCGAAACTGAGTAAGTAAAGAAATGACCAAAAGAGCCAAATGTCCTTGACTTTAATTTCTTTTGTTGTCAATATTCTTTATCCCTTCTCTATCTTCTACGCTTTTAAAAAGCCTGGACAAATAGTGGGAGTAATTTACATGACAAGATGACAAGATATCTCAAAGGGAAGGTGACAAGACTCTGCCTTGATTGCTTTGTCATAGCTGGCAATCATTTATTATTATTATTATTATTTATTATTATTATTATTATTAGATAGAGTCTCACTCGGTCGCCCACGCAAGACCTCATCTCACTGCAATCTCTGCCTCCTGGGTTTAAGCAATTCTTCTACCTCAGCCTGCCGAGTAGCTGGGGTCACAGGCATGCACCACCACACCTGGCTAACTTTTTGTATTTTTAGTAGAGACAGGGTTTCACCATGTTGGCCAGGCTGGTCTCGAACTCCTGACCTCAGGTGATCCACCTGCCTCAGCCTCCCAAAGTGCTGGGATTATAGGTGTGAGCCACCATGCCCAGTGATTATTGCCCGGTTCTTAGTTGACAAATGCAAAAGCACTCTTACAAGACTAAATTACAGAAGTCTCACAGAACTTTTTGCAAAAGGGAGAAAGCAACATACAAGCAAGCACATACACAAATATCTACACACTCCTATAGACATTCACACACACACAAACATAAGGGTCCATCCCTCCCAGGTTCACACAGAATACCCACTCTTTGATTAGTTTCACAGAATCATGAAGCTGGAGGGGACAGAGAACCTTCAGCCATCAACTGGCTGTGTCCCGTTCAATCAGACAAGGTAATGTCAAACATTTTAGCTTATTACTTTCTTTGACATCCACTAAAGAGGACAGCAGTGACCCAGTTTCTGCAAAAATATTGAACAATTCTCCCTAGATGCCAATAAGATTGTTTCCACCCTTGAAACTTCTTGATCTTCAAAATAACTGCTTCTTTTTCTTATAGAAGAAGGGAGGGTATTGACAAAACAGAAGACAGCTTTCTTCAGGCTCAAATGCCACAAGAGATTAAGCAATGGCTTCACAATTGTATTTAAGGCTAGGCCAAAAATGACTTGTAAACGTATTAAATCTAACATTAACTCATTAGTATATCCTGTTTAATGTGAAATTGTAGAAGATTACACTGCAGAGAGGAATTTGAAGTTACAGTACAAGTGTAATTGCCACTCAGTCCCCTGAGAAACCATATCTCCTTGTTGGAGGCTGCCCATGGTAATTAAATGGTGATACACAGTTCTGGTAGCCCAAGGGAAGTTGTCAGACTTACTTCAGACAGAAAGTACAGGAACAGATAGACCATTACATCCATGTTTGTGTGTATAGATTTGGATATTTTTAGACAACAATATTTAAATATTATTCCACAATCTACTGTCTAAGCTCTAAAATATCCCACTAGAACAAAGGAAAAATAAATCACTTCCTAGGCACTACTATCTTATTCAGAACTGTTTTTAAGTTGAATTTCTAAATATTTTATCTTGTTTTTTGTCTTATGTTGTTTGCTTTTGTTTATAGTTATGAAAGCTCTTTTGGACAATTTGCCTAACCCTTGCCCTATCTTATCTGGTTTCAATTATCTTTTCTTTAAATGAAAAATTATTATCATGTCTTCAAAACCTTTGCTATTTCCTCTATATTACTTCTGCTGTTGCTTTATCTGTCTAGTTTATTTCTCCTGATAGGCAACCAGTTTCTAGGACTTCTCCAATCCTGCCCACTACAAATCGTCATTGATTCCTTCATTTTTCATATGCTATACAATTGTGAAAAATCCGTTTAAAAGCTTACACCCCTGATTTTACTGACTGTGGAACTTGAAGATCTCATATAGATCCAATCTAATCGTGATTATGCAAATGAGGAAACCGAGAGATGGACAGTAACTGATCACAATCTTAAACTATCATGGTAGCCATGTCTGTGACACCCATTCTGTGCATTTGGCACCATTTGCTCTGCCTCTTTGGGTCATATTTCTGCCACAGAAGTATACATAAGCCACAAAATTTGGAAAAATTCTACTTTGTACTTCAAACATTTCCTCTCTCCCATTTCTCCTCCTATGTAGATCATGTCTGATAAAATATTCATTTGTTTTACTTTATAAAAATGTTGAAAAGTCATTGGATTCCAGTCCACAGAGTAGGTTCTGGCATAACATGATAGACAAATATATATGACCCTCACTGATGGGATTTACAGGGTAGTAGGAGGGTTAATCAAATAATCCCACACAAAAATTTATAATGACAACCATTGAAAAGTGCTCTGTAGATAAATATTACCTGTGGTAAAAAGGTAAAATAGGGGAAGCTGTTCTTAAGAATTGCCTAAGCTGATGATATTTGACCCTAATTACCTAAGCTGATGAGATATGATAGATGAATGGATAGATAGATAAAGATATATATCATATATATATAGTAATAGGATATATATCCTATATATATATACATCCTATTACTTCTGTTTCTCTGGAGAACCCTAATACTTTTGTATTAGGGTTTATATATATTAGAAACCTAATACAACTCGTGTGTGTGTGTAATATAATAGATAGTAATATCCTATTACTATCTATTTGTATCTATATGGTATAGGGTCATGTAATTATGGAAACTGAAAGGTCCCTCAATCTGCCGTCTGTAAGCTGGAGACCTAGGAAAGTGGTTAGTGTAGTTTGAAAGCCTGAGAGCTGGAGGGCTGATGGTATAGACTCTAATCTGAGTGGGAAGGACTAAGAAACAGGACTGCTGAGGCCAGGAGAAGATGGATGTCTGAGTTCAAGAAGTCAGTGGGGAGAGAGAGGCGGGGAGGGAGAGAGAGAGAGAAAGAGGGAGGGAGGGAGAGAGAATATGACTCCTTCCATACTCCACTTTTTTGTTCTATTTAGCTCAACACATTGGATGATGCCTACCTACACTGAGGAAGGCCATCTCTTTACCCAGTTCACCAATTCAAACGGCAATCTCTTCCAAAAACACCCTCGCAGACATACTCAGAGATAATCTTTAACAGGTATCTGAGCATCCCATGATCCACTCAAGTTGACACACAAAATTAACTATGATGGGTATAAACTAGAATGAAGGGGGAGGGAGAGAAAAATGGAGTGGTGCAGGAGGTTGCTAGCTGCTGAGTTAGGCAGGTGGATCCAGTCGTCTTCAGGCCAAGAGCATGAGGAAAACTAAAGAAAAGGAATTGCATCAGATCTTCATTGTTTTTCTTAATTGCTCTGACTGTATTTTGAAGACTGTTCTGCGATGAAGAAGGTGAAGGATAATGTAATGAGAAGGCTTGAAATAACCAGAGTAATCTTGAAAAACAGAAATGCTAACAAATACACTCTATGGAGAATGCATAGAGAGAGGAATAGCTGCAGATCCACTCACCTTTCTTGGTAATTAATAAATTTAAAGAGGCTTTGGGACTAATGAGCCTGATGAGTGTGTTCCATGCCTCTGTTAGAGTCACACGTTCACTCTTCCTTTTGTGTCTTTTTTTAGAGACACAGCCTTTGTGTCCTTGTTTCTGGTTTGCACATGAACAAGAATTTGTTTCTGTATTTATTTGCTTGTTTTTGTAGCAACAATAACTGGGGATTTGGTTTTATTCTCTGACCCTTTCAGATATCTGAAAATGAATGAGTGAAATCTATTTGCTTGAATAAGAGAGAACAGGGAATCCACTTTCTTAGTATTTTTGTTGTTGTTTGTGGATTTGCTATTTTGAGCTCAAATCAATAAGAATTTTGAGCTCAGTGGAAAGGACAGCTCTTTGACATCAGCACTGGTAAATTTTGTTGGCGTTTTTCTTTCTGTGTTTATTTTTGACCTTTAGCTGTAGTGCTGGGACTAAAGCTATATACTCCCTATGTGTCTATGTGTCTATATGTGAGAAATTGTGTGAAGTTAATATGTCTTCCTGTCTCTATATGGTATTAATAAATTTGATTTTAACTCTCTTAAGTTAAAGGAGCTCTGTTCTAATGTATTTGAAGTGATAAATAAATGCTTATATCAATTTAATATTCCTAAAATTCCAGAAGAGAGGAAATTAAACATCTAAGAATTTCCTAACTCAAGACACATTTTAAAAATTCAACTCACAAAATTAGCTTTGACAAATCAGACTCTTAATAATTTTGACTTTTAAAGCGAGCTGTATGTTTTCTAGATTATCAGTATCCTAGATAGCACAAGCGTACATTGTATTTCACTTGGATTCATTTTCTCATGTAGAGAGTAATCTGAATTTCCTAATCTAATACAAATTACTGATCAAAGAAAAAATATTACTGCAATATAAAGTTTAAGATTATGAAAAAGCAATTTGTGTTCAACTAAAATGAATCGCTTTTCTCATAAACATTTTATACTAACAGTAACTATATTTTGAAGTGTATCAGTTTCAACACATTTTCCAATATCTGTAGGTACTAAAACCTTAGTCTAATGTTAAATGGAGCTAATTAATGAACAATTCTTAAATACCTACATAATTTCCAACTAAACTAGGAAATTAAAACATTGACTTCTAAGCACACATTTAGTTGATATGCGATGCAATGTATTTAACTGATATAGCTGATATAGTTTTAATTGCTGTAGAGAGGCTATCTTATAGGTCATGTTAAGGAACATGTTAATTTTTGCTAATTTTAGTATCCAAAGCATGTGTATCACTATGTGTATTCATGAGACTTTCTCTTCTTTTTGAGACAGAGTTTCACTCTTGTTGCCCAGGCTGCAGTGCAATGGCACCATCTTGGCTCACCAAAACCTCTGCCTCCCGGGTTCAAGCGATTCTCCTGCCTCAGCCTCTGGAATAGCTGGGATTACAGGCATGCGCCACCAGGCCTGGCCTGGCTAATTTTCTTTTCTTTCTTTTTTTTTTTTTTTGAGACGCTGTCTCGCTCTGTCCCCCAGGCTGAAGTGCAGTGGTGCGATCTCCACTCACTGCAAGCTCTTCCTCCCAGGTTCACGCCATTCTCCTGCCTCAGCCTCCCGAGTAGCTGCGACTACATGCGCCCACCACCACGCCCAGCTAATTTTGTGTATTTTTAGTAGAGATGAGGTTTCACCGTGTTAGCCAGGATGATCTCGATCTCCTGACCTCGTGATCCACCCGCCTCGGCCTCCCAAAGTGCTAGGATTACAGGCATGAGCCACCCCGCCAGGTGCTTTCTCATTTTCTACAAATATTTGTAGATGGCACACATTTATTAATTCATACTCCCAATTTGCTCTGTAAAGTTAGGTATTTTTATCAAAATGTATAGTTTATGTCGCTAATTAGTGCTGTACTAAAAGCAGTAAGGAAAGAATTCTAGGTCTTGGAGCAAAGTGATAGATTAATTTTTTGTTTATGAATGAAAAATAATATGCAGTTTGGTCCTAAAGTGACTAGTCAGTCTAGAAAATGAAAGAAGATAGTACAAGACAAACCTTGAATAGATACAGAAAGTCATAGAATATTTGCAGAAAGAAAATGTATCCAGCTCGTTTTAAAACTTCAAATGATGGATCCCAAAAGAAGTAATGGAATGTGTTAATATTTTTAAGAGTTTGCTCAGTTTTGATGGGTTTATTCACTAGATAGTTTTAAAAGGGAGCTCATGGATCCTTTACTCCTAAATATTATAAAAATGAAAAGCTAAAATTTAGTATTCTCTCTGCTAAAATGATATATTGGTAACAGAGTGTTTGGTTTAAACTAGGGATAATACCTTCTGTAGAAGCTGCCCAGATATCGGACATTCCATATCTCACCCCCAAAATTTTATCTGCATTGTGCTGACTTTGTCATGCCCTTGATGGCAAAAGAGTTAAGAATTCTTGCAATTGTATTACTTTCTTGGTATGCTTATTTTAAACTATTTTATTGTCACTTTGATAAATAGGTAACCAAGTGTTGTTTCTCAGACACACATGACCCTATCTTTTTGAATGTCCAAATCTCCTCTGACAACTGTTTTGATGTTTGCCTTTTCAAAATAGAATACTAAATTTCGTCAAAACTAAAATACCTCTAATGCTAAAAAACATCATTGAAAATTCAAAAGATCCCCAGAAAAACACTAAGTTTTGTTGTTTCACGTTAGGAAAAAAAAATACTAGAGATATTTAAGTTTGTTTCATATATTTCATAATTTCCATTTAGTTCTACTAGTCCAAGAGATACATGTAAAGAAATATCAAAGCAGAAGAAACACTGCACTTTCCCTAGGCTAGGTTTGTTTAGATAAGATGTAATCAACGTGAAGATTTCAGAAACTGTATATTTTATGAGAAGGCCCTGAGCATGTTCTTGCCCCAAGATAGATAAAAACTCTTATGAAATAGTTATATATGGTTACTCAGCAGATAATTCTAATTTACCCTATTTGAGTTTTACTGGCCACAGAAATACATTAAAAATAGCCATTAAAGGCTGGGCGCAGTGGCTCACGCCTGTAATCCCAACATTTTTGGAGGCCAAGGAGGGTGGATCACCTGAGGTCTGGAGTTTGGGACCAGCCTGGCCAACATGTGAAACCCCGTCTCTACCACAAATACAAAAATTAGCTGGGCGTGGTGGCCTGCACCTGTAATCCCAGCTGCTCGGGAGGCTGAGGTAGGAGAACCATTTGAACCCTGGAGGCAGAGATTGCAGTGAGCCGAGATAACGCCATTGCACTCCAGGCTGGGTGACAGAGCGTAATGCCGTCTCAAAATAAATAAATAAACAAATAAATAAAGCCAGTAAGTCGTTTTTACCTATTTTCTGATGCTCACCTGAAGCATCTATAGGCTATATGTCATATTCTGTGTATTTAATAAAGAAGGAGCACAGCCTCATGGAAAATGTGTATCAGGTGCTTTAAACTATAAATACTCAAAGAAGTTACAGGCTTCTGAGCTGACTTCATCAAGGCAGCTTTTGGACCAGACCAGCAAACCAAATCAAGATTTCCAGGACTCTTTTTAGTCAAGAAGAAACCATTCTTCATGAAACCAGTTATTTGACCCTAGGTTTCACAGAACAAGAATGAATTACACAGCAGATAATTAGCTGATAGGGAGAATTATTTATAGCTATTTACTTTCAATATTATTGATGCTGCCTTTTCCCTTTTTATAGAAATTCATTTTTCTTGTCTCTAATCATCAACTCTTTTATTAGATTCTGCTTTTATAAACTGAAATAAACCTTTTATTGAACCTCAGAATGTAAAAACTCTTACTGAGTCTCCGTATTTTTGATAGTGATATATCATTACTTATGTAGGTTCCATAAAATCTGTTCTCCTTCACATCTAGACATAAATGGAAGAAATCAATTGTACAACAAAAGCCTTACTCAGAGTGTCATATTTGGAAATGTTCTCATTAAATCATATATGACATTCCACTTTATATGTAAATCCAGGGCTGGAAAATTCTCCCAGGATACTGACCTGATCCTTGCTTCCAGGCTAAGAAGTTAACTTGGAAAAGTTGGAGGTGCCATAAGAAAAGAGGAATTTACTCAAGTTTATAGGAACTGCAGGTTAAATATAATTGACAGAGGCTTGGCTTTAATTATTCCCCCTGAGGACAGCAAGTAACAGAGGTTTTTAAAAGTCCACTGTGAGATTCCTTATGAAAATAGCCACACCGGAGTTAATTCTGTGACTTCAGATGCTCAGTATTGCATGGCTCTTTATTTGCAAAGCGAACTCAAAGAGTCCCGCATAATTAACACTCTTGCGGCACCCGTATAAATCTAACGTTCTGGTGGATAGACGGTAAGATGAACGCGAAGGATCCCTACCTCCTGGTGGGCTGACTTCCCAGTTGCTCCTAACCCACAGAATGTGGCAAAGCTCATGAGTTGTCATTCTGATGACTAGGCTGCAGAAGTTAGCAACATCTGTGTTACTGGGCAGATCCTCTCTCTTTGGTTATCTTAGAATGCACACGTTGCTGAAGCAAGGTGCATGTTGGAGAGGAAGGAAGGAATTCTAGTTGTTACTTAGCAGACACTTTAGCATGGCAAGGAAATGTGGACAACCTTGAGCCAACAGGTAGCTAGAAGTCTTCTGTCCAACAAGCTTTGAAGTACTGAATCGTAACTACTACAAATACCTGAGCATAAAATCAGATTCTTCCCCAGTCAGAGCCTTCAGATGACTGATGCTGCAGAGGTCACAGCTCAGGGTCCTGAACCAGAGAAATCCCTGGGCCAGAGAAACTGTAACAAAATTAATGTGTGTTTTTTGAAACCACTAGGTTTCGGATAATTTCTTACACAGCAATGAATAATTAGAGCAAACCTAATAAACCCAACATTTTTTTGGTTTGTGATAAAAAATCTAATTTCTGGGGCTTTTGACAAGCACAAGGATGGGAAATACCGTCAATAAAAAACTTTAAATGGGCACAATTTCTACTGGGTATCTTTAAAATGGAATTCTGGTTGTTAATTAGCAGCCCATTTGGAATTATCTACTTCTATAGGGTGTTTGTATTCCATTGACTTTGAATTTTATAACTCTTGAAGTTGAAGAAAAACTGATTGTAAATACAAGTTATTTATGTCTAGAGAGACGTAAATTTCATCTGGTGAAGATTCAATTGATTTCTACTTCATGGAAGAAATAATCTGAATATTACATTTTATGCTTATGAATATTGACAAATTTGGCAGCACTTAGCAATTAATCTCAGCATTTCTGACCGTGTACATATGTGTTTATCTTGTCTTTGAATTATCTTATGAGTCAGTTTTAACTACTTTTAAAAATGTTTGACACGCATTCATTTTCTAATAACATGAAAACCATGATCTTACATATCCTTAATAAAATATTATTTAACAGGCCTCATTCAATATTGTGAAACCATATAATTAGAACCCATTTGAGCTATAAAATAATTTGTCACTTAGTCATTAAGCCACTCACTTTCTCAATATCTAATCCAATATTTTACAATGTTGCTTTGTTTAAGGCACAAAGGCGTTTACATCCTAGGGTAATGTACACAATTAGATTCAGGATTTCCGAGGGTAACATCATTGCTTTTAAAGCAGGTAAAGAGAGACCGGCAGGGTGTTGGAAAAGTAGAAGCAGAAGGAAGCAGGAAAACACTGGTGTTAGAGGTGCGTGGATTAATTGAGTAAATACATGTAGAGCATTTAGAAAGCACCTGCAAAGAGCAAACACTTGAGCTCAGTGAATGTTCGTTTTTATTTACTTGTGTTCTACAGATCACACAGAAACCTGTCTCAAAACTGCCCCCAAAAAGACCCTGAATTGGGCTTATTGTGAAGTGACATGATACTTTAATTTATGGGAATTGTTATGTAATAGTAGACATGTAAGAAACATTTATTGAATAAATGGTATCTCGCAACTGGGGAAAAAGCCTTTTTTCTGGGTAATGTTTTCAGACAATGCTTTATTTTAAACTTGAATTATTTACCCTATATATTCCATAATTTCTATTCTTATTCACATACAAAATAAGCATACTATACCTATGTGTTAGCCGTTCTATATCCCCATGTCTTCTGTCTTTCAGGCTAAATGCCCGGTATTCTTCTGCATTCTCCGCATGGCACAGGGTTTAGCTGTGCCCTATCACTCCCATTTTGAACATTCCTCAGCTTGTCTACCTGCCTTACAATATGGGGTGAACTGCTCCAGGTGTGGCATGACTGGAATGGACAACACCAATGTTGGTGTTACTCTCCTTCCTGAGTTTAGTCTTCTATTTGTTTAGTTTAAGGCTGCATTGGATGTTATTGAAGCCTCAGCCTACTGCTGCCTCATACAGAGGTTACTTGCAACGTGCCTGTTTTGTATCCATATTTTTGTATTTTCCTTGTATACATAAATATCCAGTAGCATGAAAACTGGTACATGTGGTAAGTGTATATATAACTTTATAAGAAACTTCCAAACTCTTTGCTGAAGTGGCTATTCCATTTTGCATTATCACCAGGAAAATATCAGTTTCAGTACTTCTACTGACTTATTTTTTTAAAAAGCCATTCTAGTAGGAATGTAATGGTATCTCACTGTGCTTTTCTATTGAATTATTCTAATGACTAATGATGCTCATCTTCTTTTTCATGTATTTATTTATAATCCATATCTGTAATGTTTTAATGTATTCAACAAATTGGACTGGTAGTCATTACTATTGAGTTGTAAATAGTTCTTTACATTACTACATGTAAGTTCTTCCTAGGTATATGTTTCGCATTTTTTTCGGATCTGTGGAATGTCTTTCCATTTTCACAAAGCTGTCTTAAAGAAAAACTAGAATGCTTTACTTTGGATTAACTAATTTATCTTTTTTTAATGGTTGTTTTTGTGGCTTAAGGTCATAAAACCTATGTTTTTTTCAGAAGTGTTATGATGTTAGGTTTTACATTTAGGAGTCTGATTCCTTTTGAGTTAATTTTTTATGTGGCATTGAGACGGCCAGGTGGGAAGGGCTCCCTGGCAAAATTCCAACTGGCCAGCGCGTTGGGAGGGGTGCGCGCTGGGAGGGGTGCGCGCTGGGAGGGGTGCGCGCTGGGAGGGGTGCGCGCTGGGAGGGGTGCGCGCTGGGAGGGGTGCGCGCTGGGTGGAGCCACAGAAGTTGACAGCCTCTGCAGCAGGGAGGAGCCTGGCTCCTGCTCTTCCTGTGTGGAATCTGGGATTCAAACTGTGAGGCAGGAAGCACACCTGCAGTGACTCTGGCTTTGTGGAGTGTCTGTTTCCCCTCTGGCTTTGTGGAGTGTCTCTGTTTCCCCTTTTCTTCCTTTTCATCCAATAAAATCCTGCCTTACTCGCCCTTCAAATTGTCTACAATCCTAAATTTTCGTGGCTGTGTAACAAGGACCCCATCTTTAGCTGAACTAAGGAAAGGTCCTGCAAATTTTTTGGCACACAACGTGGGGGCTCAAGAAGCAGTAAGCAAAATGGGGACTCAACACCTCAGTGTCCCTTCTAAGCCTGTTCATCCTCAGACTTCTGAGGGTAGGGGAAACCGTGCTCCCACCCCCACTGCTCCCAGGGGAGGGGGGCATTTTCATGGCCTTTTCCTGCCTTTCTCGGGACAGACTGGCGAGCAGTGGCTCCCAGCCACCCGTCCCTCCCTGCCGGGGCTGGCACATATGGCTCAAGGCACGACGGGCAGCTGGCTGGCATTATTCTGCCACATGCCCACGGAGTCTCCCCATCCCTGGGCCAGGGAGGCCAACTCCAACCCACAGCAATTAAACTTGTCTCCCTTGTGGAGGAAACACTTGCATAGAAATAAGAGGTTCTTCCCCAGGCATTTTAAAACTTTTTTCTTTCCTCTTCTCTACCCTGTCAGCAGTTAACTTTTAAGCAAGTTTTTTTGTTTTCTTTTGTTTTGTTTTTTTCTGTTAGAAGACACTTTACTAGGCCAGCCCGCCCCAACCCAACTATCACTGTTTATATTCTCCTAAAAGTTTTAGTTGTGAAAAAGGATCCTGTGGGAACTGGGTTTTCTCCTGCCTGTCTGTGTAGGGGTGTGTGTGTGTGATATCTGTAAAAACAGCTCTAAGTAATTGGGCCTAAAGAAAGACAAGCACTTGGATCAAATAATTTTAAAGGGAAGATAAAAGCTCTGGTACTTTTTGGTTCACGTGACTTAATCTTTGAGAAATAAAAACAGCCTTAAAGATTATTGGTAAAAAGCGATGTCATTAAAACGTAAATAGATGAACTAAATTATGCAGGTCAGATGCAAGGTTGGCTAAGTGACTTAAGGTTACAAACTTCTTTTTGGGTTTTGAGAATTATTTGACTTCCCAGCTTCACAATCGTTAAGGCCTTGGGACATATGGAACTAACCACACCCTTAATTATGCTGAAAAAAGTCAAACCTTGGCTGCACCTAGCACACAATTAAATCAACTTACCGGCCGGGTGCAATGGCTCACGCCTATAATCTCAGCACTTTGAGAAGCCGAGATGGGTGGATCACTAGAGGTCAGGAGTTAGATTTCAGGCTGACCAACATGGTGAAACCCCGTCTCTCCTTAAAATACAAAATTAGCTAGGCGTGGTGTTGCACGCCTGTAATGCCAGCTACTGGGGAGGCTGAGGCAGGAGAATCGCTTGAACCCCGGAGGCAGATGTTGCAGTGAGCCGAGATAGCGCCATTGCGCTCCAGCCTGGGCAACAAGAGCAAAATTCCATCTCAAATAAATAAATAAATCAGTAATAATAAAAAACCCCAACTTATCAGGTTTTACATTACTGTTAAAAATTGCTAGGAGTTACTATTATAACATGTAATTGAGACTACTGGAATTAGATTTACATACCAGGTGTGTTAGAACAATAAAATGTGTTTTTTAGTAAAAGGTTATAAGAAGGTATGGAAGTGTCAGTTTTTGCCTAGGGTTAAAGGATTGTTTTAAATTAGACAAGATACAGCTGAAGGTTCAAACAAGGGGAGGAAGGATTGTGGAAATTAATCTTGCAAAAGAAATTCTGTGTGTGAACATAGACTAAATTCAAAAAAAGTATTATATGGATTTGCTGTAAATTGGATATTAAAATAAAAGCACAACAAGGTATTCTTAAGGTGCTAATCTGCTCTTTGGCAAAATTTGTAAGGGGTTATAAAAGGTTTTTGCTTCTTTAAAATTTCTGAGTCATCATTTTGGCAAAATAAATTATAGTAATCTGGAATTATATTTCATAATATCAAGTGTTTTGAACTTCGTACATATTTATCCGGCTTCACAAAATCAAATTTCAGTTTCAAAATTGTCTTTGCTGACACCTGGCTTTTTGGATACTTCAGAGGGCCCCTGGAGTGTCCAGAAAAGAGAGGTAAACAAGAGTATTTGACATGTTTAGGTACATAGGATTGTCAAATGGTGTTTAGGTTATATTTTTGTGAATAATGCTAATATGTGTTCCAAAATCGTATGGAATTTCTAAAATTCTAATGTATAAGTGTATGCTGTCAATCGTAATTAAGGTTGTTATGTTAAGTTATTGTAAACCACAGAGATAATCAAACTTCTTTTTCAATCATGTTTCTAACCGTAACTACCCTGGACACTTTGCTATTTGTAGACAATTGTCTTGTTTTAATCCTTTTCAAAAAATGGTTTATAATAAGCTATGGAACTTTGACAGGTGCTCTCAAATAATTTTGGTGATTGTAATATTGGAATAAAGGAAAATGTGCAGGACTCCTGAAGAGCTAAAATGTTCACAAATATCAAACAAAACAAGAGTTAACTAAATGGACTGAACTCAGAAACTGAAGCAACCTTTTTAACTTTTGCTCAGAATATTTCTAATCTTTGTTTTGTTTTTCGGAATCAACAAAACTTATTTTGAAATGTTTACAGCCTTTAATAATTGAGTATGGTATACTCCTATGAACAAAATTTGGAACATGTTTCTCTCTGCCTGGTTCCTCTAGAATTTGGAAACTATCTGTGAGTATTTTTAACTTAGGGCAATATAGTTGTTTCCATAAGTGCAGTAAGAGTCCACTTTTCTTTTGCAACAGGACACAATTGGAAAAAGTTGGTTATTTTACCATGGCTTTGACTGGAAAGGTAGGCTTCCCTTTAAGGAGTCAATCTAGACTTTCAGAGCCAATAAAACCCAGTGGGGAAACTGGCCTCATACCCTTGTCTATGCAGTCCCTGCACACGGTTCCTGACCTGTGTGGTCAGTAAATAATGTCACTTTGTAACAGGTCCAGAAGCTCCAAATTTGTCTTGGGACCTTAAGAGTTGAGGATCACCCAACTCACAGATATTTGAAGATACAAACCTATGGCTGGGATCAGCTTTAAAAAGTCTTATCTGAGATTCCTTGGGGAACAGAATTCCATTGGAGCCAATCCAAAAGGCCTATGTAGAAATGATTATTCGTGCTGCACTTTATGCAAATTATCAGGCCAAGTATGAGACTATAGCATATTTTGCAAACCACTCAGTCCTATGATGATTTTTTTTTAACAAAAATAAGGATGGGAGAGAGAGGAATTATGTTCCAAACCTTATCATACATTTATCATTAAATTTTAAATGCATTAGTTGTTTTTAAGTTTTGCCTATATTTTAGACTAATTCTGCTTGTTCCTGTGAACGTAGCAGCAATCTCCAGCCGCGGCTCAGAAAGAACAAGAGGGATGGGTAATGTAAACATCTGGATCAAGGCCGGGTTTGGTGGCTCATGCCTGTAATCCCAGCACTTTGCAAGGCTAAGGTGGGTGGATCACGAGGTAAAGAGATCAAGACCATCCTGGCTAACACGGTGAAACCCCGTCTCTACTAAAAATACAAAAATTTAGCCAGGCATGGTGGCCAACACCTGTAGTCCCAGCTACCTGGGAGGCTGAGGCAGGAGAATGGCATGAACCCAGGAGGCAGAACTTGCAGTGAGCCAAGATTGCACCACTGCACTCCAGCCTGTGTGACAGAGCAAGACTCCGTCTCAAAAAAAAAAAAAAAAAAAAATCTGGATCAGTATTCTAGTTTTGAACAATTATCCTGCAAATCTTGCCAGGTGATGCCCATCACTCAGAGGTTTCCTTTTGGGAAAGTAAGATCAAGGGAGCTAACCAAAGCCAACTACCATGCACCCAAATCCGAGCAAGCGTAACTCTAGCCACCAGGTATCTGGGTGTGTCACACGGCATCCTTTTCTCTCCCTTGTTGGAGGAGGACTGAATGCCACAGTTTTACCTTAGCGTTTGACTTATGATAATGAGTCCAAGCAACCTTCCCAAGACAAATTTTTGTCCCAAACTCAATTCCAAGCTTTGGCTCAAAGTCCTACGAAGGAAAAGTGGATCTGAGGGATCCAGAGGCAAATGATAATGGAAGTTAAAAGGCGCAGTGCAGGTGAGCGTGGCTGATTCCTGCCAATTAAACCGAGCTTCTCGTTTCACGGATGAAGGCCACATTACTATCCATGGCATAAATGAGGTCTAGGGAATCCAAGACTACCGAGAGTAAGCAGGAAAGAGACATAGGTAAGAGTGAATAATTCCTGCTCTCTAGGCCTTCCTTGCTTCATGGGTGCAAACTGTTTTAACACCCATGGTGGCACCTGGCAAGGTTGCCGGGACTCAGAGATACAGGATGGAAGAGGGAAAGACCTCTCTCTATCACTCACATACCCCCGATATCTGCTAGGAAGAGAAAGGAAATGGGGACACCTGCTCTCCTCGTTCTAGATGGGTAGCCATTCATCTTCAGTCTGTACCACTTTCAAATGCATCCTGAACTCCTGGGACTCCTTTGAAAAAATGCTGTCTTTTTTCCTTTCTCCTCCCTCTACTCTCTTCGCTGATAGTTAATTGTGTCTCTGTACTATGGGAGACTCCCCTCAGATGCATCATCCAAACTGGGAAAAGTTAATGTCCCAAGCCTTAAACTGGTTGGTTTACAGTTAGGCTCAGGGGAAGGGAACCCAGAAGCCTAACATATTGGCAAAAGGGTAAAGTTTATTTAACCATTTGGGCTTTTGGCCTCCCTCTCTCTGTGCAAACTGGTAAAAGGCCTTGAAATTTTTGAGCTGTCCTAACCCCTGCCCTTTTTCATTTTGATACATGTTTTCTAATCACCCTGTTTGTCTCTTCTTGCCTGCAGGTAACCAAACTCCAAACAGCAATGGAACCAGAGCCTCTGAAGGTGGCCCCTTCTGCTGGCAACCCTTAGACAGGCCTCACAGGGAGCCCTGACTGCTGTTTCCCCAAACAGCATACCCCGTCAGTAGAAAGCACTTAGGATCGATTTTCGGGCCCACTTGGTGGCACGTGCCTGTAATCCCAGCACTTTGGGAGGGCAGGATGGGTGGATCACTTGAGGTCGGAAGTCTGAGACCAGCCTGACCAACATGGCAAAACCTCGTCTCTACTAAAAATACAAAAATTAGCCAGGCTAGCCAGGCATGGTGGCACATGCCTGTAATCCCAGCTACTTTGGAGACTGAGGTAGGAGAATCACTTGAACCCGGGAGGCAGAGATTGCACTGAGCTGAGATCGTGCTGCTACACTCCAGCCCGGGTGACAGAGCAAAACCCCGTCTCAAAAAAAATAAATAAATAAAGATAAATATAAATACATATCAGGCTTGTCTTCATCCTTATTCTAATGACACTTGGTTAGACTTCTTTAGAGGCGGGAATGACACTACCAGGTGGGGGAGGATCCAGGGAAAACTCCACCAGCCTGCACACAGGGGTGAAGCCTCAGCAAGTTTGCACTCTTTGCAGTGGGAGGAGCCTGCCTTTTCTCTTCCTGTGTGGAACTTACGACTCAGACTGCGAGGCAGGAAGTGCACTAGCAGAGACTCTGGCTTGCAGAGGGTCGTTTCTCCTTTCTTCCTTTTCTCCCAATAAAACCCTGCATTCCTCACCCTTCAAATGGTCTGCAAGCCTACATTTTCATGACCCTGTGACCAGGACCCCGTCTGTAGCTGAACTAAGGAAAAGTCCCGCAATCGCATGTGTTCAGGGTTAAGGCTAATTTGTTTATATGTAGATAACCAATTTTCCCAGCATGGTTTGTTGAAGAGAATTTTCACTTACTTCTCTGAGGTTTTGGCTTATGTCTTTAGTCTCACAGTTCACATCAATGATTCAAAATGTGTCAGAGTTTTTGAGAAAAAGATCAGCTGTATGACTGAAGTCTGTCAAATATCCAATTGTGCCACTGAATCCCTCTGCAAACACTGAAAGCTCAGCTTATTTCTCTAATACTGCCATAGCAGCCCTATAAGTTTCTCTGTCTTCTGGAATTTTATGCTTTTAAATACTCCCTGGTTGCACAGGTTTTCCAATTCTCACAGGTAGCATTGGCCTGATGTGAGCTACTTATCCTACCCAGAGGTACGAGTGTCCTCTTTGTGGAAAACATATTCAATAAATATTTTCACATTTCCGCAAAGTTGGGACTTACTGAGCAAAGAATACTAAAAACCTCAGCAAAAGAATGGCTTAGTAGAAAACATATCTTGTAAGTTAAAGATACTTCATTTCTCTGATAGACTTAAAGTCTTTCCCCTGAAGCCATTTGTTTATGTTCTAGGATGATAAAGGAAAAAAATAGAGATCTTTTTCTCTCCCCAGAAAGGATTTGTTTACATTTCAGAGCATGGTCTCCTTCTTGCTTTAACTCTTGCTCCTGTGACTCTGGAGGCAAGAAGGGGCAGATGGGCCAACTATCCTATAAAAGCTCCTAGAGTCATAATTTCAGGGTTCCTCTCTTGTGGCACAAATCCCATTGGAGACACAGGTGACATCTCGCTCTCATTGTCTCACAGACAACTGGGCCATGGAAAACTGACACAAGAGTCTCTGTGAGAAAATAAAAAATGTGTTCCCCAATACAAAGTTCTCATATTTTTTAATGTATATCTACATATCTATATATCCATCCATCCCAGCCTAATTATTTGACTTGCGAGTAACATCTCAGATCCTTCACATTTTGAACTTAACACTCATATCATTTAATAATCAAGCATTCTAGTATACTTGTCAGAGATGGAAATCAATTTTATTTAAATTAATTAAATTCTACATGGACTTCCTGGTATTTCAAATGCATAAGACCTCCTTTACCATTCTGTTTTTCACAAAATCTTAATCAGTATCATATTTTAAACATGCTGTTTGTAGGCTGGGCGCTGTGGCTCATGCCTGTAATCCCAGCACTTTGGGAGACCGAGGTGGGCGGATCACTTGAGGTCAGGAGTTTGAGACTAGCCAACATGGCGAAACTCCGTCTCTACTAAAAATACAAAAAAAAATAGCCGGGCGTGGTGGCGGGCACCTGTAATTCCAGCTACTCAGGGGGTTGAGGCAGGAAAATCGCTTGAACCCTGAAGGTAGAGGTTGCAGTGAGCCGAGATCGCTTCACTGCACTCCAGCCTGAGCAATAGAGCCAGACTCCATCTCAAAAAATAAAAATAAAAATAAAAATACATACTGTTTGTCAAGATGAATAAAAAGTTGATGCTTAACAGATATTTGAAAATGGCAAATCAATATATGGGTTCTCTATGATGGCTCCGTTTGGCCTCAAAAATTAATAAAAATGATGGATATGTGAAACTGCATAGGTGATAAAATTGTGCAGGACTTAATTCACAATGTAAATGAGAACACATATAACTGGAAAACTTTGAATATGATTAGTGAATTATATAAACGTTAACATCCTGATTGTGATATTATATATAGTTTTGTAAAATGTTACCATTTGGGAAGTCAAGCAAAATATAATAGAGATCTGTCTGTCTGTATTATTTCTTATAATTATATTTAACTCTATAATTATCTAAATTAAAATGTCTATTAAAAACTAGTGAAAGTGTTTTAGGAAGGCCAACGAGTGTAAGGAAATCACATGCTTTATCACCCCAAGATTACCACCTACACTCAGTATTTATGTAATTTTCATTTTAAAAATCCAGAAAATAAGCGGGGCATGGCGACTCACACCTGTAATCCCAGCACTTTGGGAGGCTGAGGTGGGTGGATAAACTGAGGTCAGGAGTTTGAGACCAGCCTGACCAACATGGTGAAACCCCAGTCTCTTAAAAATAGAAAATTAGCCAGGCATGGTGGCACATGCCTATAATCCCAGCTACTTGGGAGGCTGAGGCAGGAGGAGAATCGCTTGAACCCCGGGAAGTGGAGGTTGCAGTGAGCTGAGATCATGTCATTGCACTCCAGCATGGGCAACAAGAGTAAAACTCTCTCTCTCTCTCTCTCTCTCTCTCTATATATATATACACACATATATATATACACACATATATATACACACACATATACACATATATATACACACATATATACACACACATATATACACACATATATACACACACATATATATACACACATATATACACACATATATACACATATACACACATATACACACATATATACACATATATACACACATATATACACACATACATATACACATATATACACATATATACACACATATATACACATATATACACATATATATACACATATATATATACACACATATATATATACACACATATATATATACACACATATATACACACATATATATACACACATATATATATCCGGATATATATATATCTCTCCAGAAAATAGGATCAATTAGCATTGCTCCACATGTTTGTCCAAATGGTATTTTTTCTAGTTCTATGTATTACTGTTCAGAGTACAGGTGAATCAGGTTTCTTAGTGAGGTGACTGACAGCAAACAATACAGGCCGTATCTGCATCCCTGAATGTGTTATAATACCCTTGCATTTTGCATATCTGTACAACTGATACAATGTCCTGAGCACATATCCAGGCTCAGCTATGTGAAGAATTATTCCAAATTTATTTATATAAAGTAGGACTTGTTGCATTTATTTATATAAAGTAGGGCTTAGTTGTATTGGTGCAGCTGAGCTTACAGTAAATTTTATATGGTTCTCAAATATCACTTGGAATTATCCAACCACAGCTGTTCCAGTTGGTGGGGGAGCAAGACCTAGAAGTTATTTTCTGCAAACTACTCAGCTATCAACTGTTTATGCTAGCTGCACTTTTATTTTCTATTATTTAGATAAGCAACACTTGTATGATTCCTGTAAGTCATTTCTGTATTTAGTTTTTAAATTGCACTTAGCCTTCTCCTGACAATTGACCATATGCTGTTCACACATTTTTACTACCAAATCTTTGTAACTATGAAAATATACTCATCTCTGAAGTATATGATTTAGAATCTTAGAGCAATGAAAATGGAATTATGGTGTTGCCCTGAAACTGAAAATTCATAACAAGGCATGTTCTGTTCTCCCCACCAGATGTCACCCTCATACTTCCTTAAGAATCTAGAAACTTCATTAGGCAATAATTTTTTGGAATTTTCTGTAGCTGTTTAGTGATACATTTCACTCTCTCAGCTTTGTGTGTTTGTAGAAAATCCATTTCAAGTCATGTCATCATTAGAGGAATATTTTCTACTGTTAACACACGACTTTAAATAAAATTGGAGACTGATTCTAACCATTACAACCGCTGAAGGAGCTTTCTGTTATTACTGATGCTGACCCACAACTTAGAAAAGCAAAGTTCCACATGCTCAGATATTTGCAGTCTCTATTTCCACTTCATTTGAAAGGAAGAGGATAAATCCATCAGGGTTCTGGAAATGCATGCAAACCGCACTGTCCACTCCTGCATCAAGCCTCAGACTATCAGATCTTTGGATGTTGCTACACTCGGTAGAAGGCACCTGGCAGCCGCTGCGGGACTACAGATGTGAGCCTCCTCCTTTAACCGAGTCAGGTGTGCCTTGAGACCAGGTAGGAGATTGTTAGATGCTGTTTGTTTGTTTGTTTTTCATTTGTTTTCACTGAATGTTGCATGAGACTATTTTAAAAACGCTTTGAGATACTCTTTCTCAAAGAAAGATTATTCATAATCCACCCAAGTCTGCAAAATTCACAACCCACCCCTCCGCCATTTTATAAACTATGCAACATATTTGATAGTGGTCAAGTGAGAAAACCAAAATCAAACATCCAAAACTGGATATTCGAAATTGAGTCTGTATCACTCCAAAGTCAAACTATTTCCACTACAAAAATTGCCTACTCACAAACCCAAATGTATAACTGGTTGCCATATTTGAGTCATTTGTAGCATTAGTATTCATCACATATACATGGGTTCTGCATGAGAATCACTTAAAATAGTTTACTTTGAATTTAACAACACTTTTTTAAACTGCTACATTTATGAACCAATATAATTATGTTAACATTAATATAAGTAATATTGCTAATATTAATATAAGTAATATTATTAATATTAATATAAGTAATGTTAGTAAATACAAAAATAAAAAGGTCATATTTCATTTCACAGACCTAGTTTAAGCCCCATAAATTTATTTCAATTCTTAAACATTAAAAAATTATAGTTTGAGTTACCATATGTCTCTTCAAGTTAGATAAATAAAGTTTCTTTGAAAGTCTTCCTTAACTGCCAGTTCTGCTCATTGAAATGGCTTTATACACAGTGATGAAAAGGAATAAGAACCAGTGAAGCTTCCAGATAATGGATACTGAATGTTAATACATAAAAGCCAAATATGCAATTACTATTTATGAAACAAACAACCCCCTAATATATAATAATATTGAGGGTTATAATAATAATAATAATATTAGTCTGTTCTTGCAACATGATAAAGAAATACCTGAAGCTGGGTAATTTGTAAAGAAAAAAGGTTTATTGGCTTATGGTTGTGAGGGTTGTACAAGTGCAGCACCTGCATCTGTTTGGCTTCAGGTGCGGGCCTCAGGAAGCTTATAATCATGGTGGAAAGAGAAGCAAGAGCAGGTGCATCACATGGCAAGAGAGAGCAAGGGCAGTGGGGAGGTGCCGCGCACTTTTTAAACAACTGAATCTCAAATGAACTCAGAGTGGGAACTCACTTACAAGAGGAGGGCACTAAAACATTCATGAGGGATTAACCTCCTTGACTCAAATACCTCTGACCAGACCCCACCTCTAACACTGAGGATTACATTTCAACATGAGATGTGGAGAGAACAAACATCCAGACCATATCAGGTACTTATTTTAATGTTGATGGTTCCAAATTATATTCAATTTTCTTCAGCAAAGGAAATGATGTAAAATTGTTATGCTAAACAAATTGTGCAAATCTGATTTAAAGTATGAAACAACATGTTTTAAATTGTTAAATTCAATTGTAAACATTGAATGCATCATATATAGATGATATTTTCTTTGGTGCTGATATTTAAGTTACAAGAAATAATTTCAGAGATAGGTGAGAAAAATTCATAGTAGTAATAGTAATATCTTGGCTAAAAATGTATTATCTTCTGTTCATACTTCTCAATTTTTACTTCGGTCATGTATAACTTAATGAAATATTAGAGTGGGGGGATTTGTACAGGCAACATGAGTTATTATTCTACATGCAAACTGTTGTCAACTCAATTCCTTTGTGATGTGATCCCTGTAAACTCTTGTTACTATCTGAAAACCTATTACTTAGCAACAATACAATGCCAGGCTCTGAAGAGGTTTAACACTCCTTCTCTACTATTGGCTGTGAGAAGAATGACTTCATGATTTGTTTGAATTGGTCAATAAATAGGACATTGTTGCCTTATTAATTCTAATAAATTAATAGGAATACTACACCTTAAAGATTAAAAAATATAGAAAACTTCTGCTTATGGTTAACATGAAGTAGAAGTACTTTTCCCGTTTTCCTTCTGCTAAGCATGAACAAAACTCTGAACATTATGTACAAAGAAAACATAAAAAGACTCTGAAATGTAGTCAGAAGGAAAGAGACCAGGTAGTAAATATGAGACCCAAGGAAGGAATAAATAATAAGTTCTTGGTCTGCTTTGGCCTTATATATCCCAGACTTGAAACTGAAGAATTCTGTCAGCAACCTGGAAACATCAACGGACACAGTCAAAATAAGTCCCAACAAAAGCCTGCTTTCTCTGGCCAAAGCATCAGAAAAGGTGCAACATAGGAAAACAGAACATTTCAGACAATACGTTCTCTACTTCAGCAAACAGCACAGGAGCAAATGAGGCCCTATCCCCACCACCGCCATCAAAGGGAGTAGGGAGCTTAGATTTCCACCTTTGCTAGACTGTAGCAAGGAAGGTGTCACCCTGGCTGAGCAGTAACAAGACACCCCCACACTGCAGTGCCAGCGCAGACCATGTAGGGAGCCTGGACTTCATCTCCGTTCAGCAGCAATGAGACACCCCTGCTGGAGAAGGGGCTAGGACAGATTCAAGACATTCACTAGTAGCCAACTGCCTGAACTAGTCAAGCCCCCTCCCTCATTGTCAGAGCAGGTCAACTGGGGAGCAGTACAAGACCCCTACTCCTCCAAGCCCGGGCAGTGTTAGTTAAGGCCAACTGAGGAGCCAAATTCTCACCCCACCAACAGCAAGGAACAGCCCTTATCCCCTCCTTTCCTGTCAACATAGACTGAGTCGGGGACCTGGACCTCCAACCCCACCTGACACTAATAAGGTGCTGCCTCCTCCCCCAGTCTGACAAGTGTGAGAGGTAGCCCGCTGAATCAGAAAACTAAATATAATCCAAGGGGTCATATTATGTCCTGGTTTCAGCTGAAAGTCACTTGTCATGCCAAGAAGCAGGAAAAACAAAATTTTTCTCATTTAAGAAAAAGTGAACCAACAGACTGCAAACACCAAGAAGATACAGATACTAGAATTGTCTGATGAGGAGCTTAAAGTAGCCACAATAAAATGCTTCAACGTTACGAGCACACTTGAAACAAATAAAGAAGGTATTTATTTCTCAGGAAAGAAATAAAAGATACAAAAGAGAACCAATTGAAAATTGGAGGACCAAATTTAGAACTGTGAAATCAAACTAGAACACAAAACTCAATGGACGGGCTCCATTATAGATTGGAGAATCAAAAGAATCAGTAAACTTGAAGACAGAAGAATAAATATTACACAGCAGCTAAAAACGAGAGAAGTTGACCAAAAACAATTGCATAGAGCCACAAGGGCCTGTGTGATTATACCCCAAGATGTAAAATATGTATCATCTCCATCCTAAATGGAGAGAAGAAAGAAGGCAGGATTGAAAACATAGTTGGAAAATTAATGGCTAGTTCCCAAATTTGGCAAAAAGACATAAACCTACAGATTCAAGTAGCTGTGTAAACTAAAAACTGTATAAAACCAAGGAAATCTATAAGATACCTCATAGTCAAATTTATGAAAGCCTTGGATAGAGAAAAAAAAAATGAAAGCAGAGAACAATACCTCACCTTTCGGGAAAATAACAGTTCTAATGACGGGATTTCTCATCAAAAATCATGAGGTGAGAAGAGGAAGTGTCACAGAGTTTTTTTGTTTGTTTTTTGTTTGTTTGTTTGTGTTTCTTTTTTTTTTCTTTTTTAAGTGCTAAAGGAAAAGGACTATCAATCCTCCATTCTATGTTCAGCAAAAAGATCCCTCAGTAATGAAGGGAGAGTCAAGGCATTCTCAGATGGAGGAAATTTAGGATTATGTTTCTGGCACACCTACTCAAAGAAATGCTAAAGGAATTCCTCTAAACAGAAAGGAAGAGATAAAGGAAGGAGCTTGGAACATCATAAAGGAGGAAGAACACAATAAGGAAAAATGTGGGCAAATACAATAGTTTTTTCTTCTCCTTTTGAGTTTTATAAACTATGCTTGATGGTAGAAGAAAAATATAACACTGCTCTGGGTTTCAATGCAGGTAAATGAAAAATTTAAGACATATAAACAGAGAGGTAAGGTTACATAAAAGTGGTAAAGTTTCTACACTTCACTGAAGCTGGCAAAATGTTGGCACCAGTAAAATGTAATGTGAGGTCTATATAATCTTAAAGTAATCACTAAAAGAGACTACACAAGAGAACTACTAGATGGAAAATCAGGAGATCCACTGATTCCAGGAATCACAGAGATCCACTCAAAACTTTACAGATAAATAAAAATAATCTAAAACAAAACTTTAACCCACAGGGAGGCAAAGGAATGAAGAACAGAATACAAGAAATAAAAATAAAAAAATAGCAGACTTAAGCCCTAACATCAATAACTACATTATAGTTAAAGGGTCTAAAGACACCAATGAAAACTCAGAGATATGAAGAATGGACAAAAATAAAATAAAACTCAATCCAACTTTAAGCCACTTATAAAAGAAAGTCACTTCAAATGTAATGAATAGGTTGAAAATAAAAGGATGGAAAAGATCTAGCATGCAAACATTAATCAAAAGAAAGCAGAAGCAGTTTATTAAAATTAGTTAGAGTGGACTTTAAAGCAAAGAAAAATACCAGGTACAAAGACAGTCAACACATCATGATCCACCAGGAAGCAGTCACAGCAATCCTAAATGTGTAAGTGCCAAACTATAGATCTGCAAAAGATGTGAAACAAAAACTGATAGAAATGGAAGGAGAAATAGACAAATTCATCATTATAGCTGGAGACTTCAATATCCCTTTCTCAAAAAGTAGTTGAACAACTAGACGGAAAATCGGCAAGGATATAGAGGAATTCAACAACACTACCAACCAACAGATTCTAATCAATAATCATAGAACATTTCAAACAAGAGCCAGGTATGCATTTTTTTTAAGTGCTCGTGGAAGACTTACCAAGAAAGTCCATATTCTAGGTCATGAAACAAACCTCAATAAATTCAAAACAACCGAAATTACACAGAATATGTTCCTTGATCACAGTGGACTCAAACTAGAAATCAGTAGCAGAAAGATAAGTGAAAATAATCAAAACACTTGGAAACTAAACAATATACTTCTAAATAATCCCTTGAAAGTATCTCAAAGGAAACAAAAGAAAAAAATTGTATCAAGTAAAACTTCATTGAACTAAATAGATTTATAGGAATTTACAGAATGGTTCCTAGAAGATGTTAAAAAGGGCAACAAACCAAGATTTATAACAGGAAATTTAGGCTGGATCAATATTTGTATCATAGAATATCAGTTTCTTACAATTATTAGGTTGGCGCAATTGTCCTTGCGGTATTTGCCATTGAAAGTAATGGCAACACTGCAATTACTTTTGCACCAACCTAAAACAATGTAATTATCCAATATTTTAAATTATTTTTTCAGTAATTTGTAATAAAAATTGCCATTGGGTGTTAGGTATGTTGTGGTTTACATTTTTTAAAAAAATATATATTATGACCGGGTGCAACGGCTCACGCCTGTAATCCCAGCACTTTGGGAGGGCGAGGCGGGCAGATCACGAGGTCAGGAGATCGAGACCATCCTGGCTAACATGGTGAAACCCCGTCTCTACTAAAAATACAAAAGATTAGCCGGGTGGGGTGGTGGGCGCCTGTAGTCCCAGCTACTCGGGAGGCTGAGGCAGGAGAATGGCGTGAACCCGGGAGGCGGAGCTTGCAGTGAGCCGAGATCCCGCCACTGCACTCCAGCCTGGGCGACAGAGTGAGACTCCGTCTCAAAAAAAAAAAAAATTATATATATATACACACACACATATATATATATATAGATATATAATTTGCATAAAGACTTTAAATGGAAAGTCACCAAAACATGACTGTACTTGAGAAAAGTCCTTCAACAGATAAGTCTCTGGTTGGCAATGTAGGTAACTAAGCCATAGCCAAACATGTACTTACCCTTATGTAGCATCAGAAATGGCTTCCTTTTGTGAAAGGATTTATTCTTTAGAGAAACAACAGAGATTTAATTCCATATCTCTGATTACAATAAGGACAATTTAACGTCAAAGAAGAAACAAAGGCTGTTGATGTACTTTCTAAACATCTGGCAAAACATTTTAAGACACTGAGTTAACGTGTGTAGAAGGATTTATAGAAGGTGTCTTTTTGGCATGTAGTATCTGAGGGAACAATTATGAAGTTGTTTCCTTACACAAACAAACTTCTGGCAAATTGATGTGCTGACGTGCTGTGAATTAGCATCCTGACCCACTGTCATTTGTTAGTTAGCGTGATGGGTACCTTAAAATCCAGCTAGAAGTTGTTATATAAGAAAAAGATACAATAACAGGCCATCTGTTATTCCTATTGGTAAATGAACACCATGAGCTCTGGTTAATGCTGTTGATGTAAAACGTAAGGGAGGTGTTATAAAACTGCTCGCTGACAGGTATAAACACACTTCAAATTACGTGTGGGATTAATCAACAAAATGTGTGGCTCTCATCAGCCAGCTGCTCCATGTAGACAAGTGCCATGTCCCAGCAGAAGAGAGGCCAATCAAAGTCCCTGCTTCCCTCACCTATGTCCACAGTGTGCAGGCGAAAGCTCACCTGAATTCAGATAAGAATATGGGGCAAGGGGAGAATGATTTTGAGCTATGTGACAGAAGTCAGTGCAACAGATAGAATAATTCGTATATCATTAGTATATCATTAACACTACAATAATTAGTATATCATGAATATAAAATGAGAGAAAGACTATTATTTAAGCTGTTACCTTAGGCAGTTCATTTATTGGAAAGTAGTTATTGGAAAAACAAACAATATAGTAACACCTTTAGGCAGATGTTTTCAATTTGAAATATAAACTGAATATTTTGCCCTTGGGGAAATCACAAAATTAAGTGATTTACTCAAGGTCATGGCAAGTCAGTAGCAGAGCTGATGATAGAAACTGCTTCTATTTCTGATCAGACTATTTATCCCTCTTCCCAAAATGCTACTGTCAAACAGAACTCAGATATTTTTTAAAATTTAATGCACAGGAACATACTTTGTAGAGTTGACACCCAAGTCATGACATTCTGAGACATGGAAGCTGTCAATCTGCCCATGAGGAGCACTAGTGTCCCTGACTATAGAGACCTGCAGAGTCTCTTTGTCCATGGGAAAAATGTATTGTTGTGTTGGAGACAGAATGTGCATGGGGCCTTTGCTTTGCAACAGGCATGACAAGAAAACAAGGAAGTAGGTAGGCACTAAAATCTAAACAAACAACATTTTGGCTTCCTTTTTTTCTGCACATACTGTGAATCTCATGAGATGTAAGTCGTAGACTTGGTATGGTCAGTAATTTGTTAGGCAAGTTATTTCACCACTTAAAGTCTTAGTCTCTTAGTTCTTAAAATGAGAAGACTGATTACATGTGCTTCTGTTTCCATGACTGATTCCTAAATCTGTGAAATCAGGGTATAATTTGCTTTTATAGAGCTATGGATGTGAAATAATAATATACTGCATAGAAAGGATCTGATAGAATAGAGCAATGGCGGAGAGTAAGAAAAAAAAAACAAACAAAAACACATGCAGCCTCCACAGAGAACATGAACTGCATTTCATTCATGCAGGTTTTCCAGTGGCACACAGCAAGGACCTCGTGATGTCCTCTTAGTGCACTCTGTCCATATCCAGAGTAAAGCTTAGCATGTTGGATGTGATGTATCTGTTAGTAAGAAAGATTTTGAAAAGGACGAATCTCCATTATGATACACATAGCTATTTCATTATTACAAAGTGAGCCATCAGTATTACAGTCTTGAGGAAGGGTGAGCTGGAGTGCACTAGTTTGTGACTGCATTACAGAATTGGTAGGATCTACACAGGTGTATGTCATATGCACATAGGCACATGAAGTTCTAACCAGAGAAGCTCAATAGAATGTTGGTTTTTTTAATGGACAGTTCAGTTCTTGCGAATTAGGGTAGTTCAGAATTGCCTCTCTTTAGCTTCAATAAGCTCTTTACAATTTTGTTTCTATATTCTGCCATTAAATCAAATGAAAGTGCTCAGCAGGGTTTAGGGTGCCCTCACCTTAACAACAATAATCTAGCAAAAAATCCAACTACTGAATATAATTCGGTGCTCTGATTCTCAGGCCTATATTCTAATCCCAGCACAGTTGATTACTATCCCTGAAGCCTCTTACAAGCGTTTTAAAACTTCTGGCCCTCTGTTTTCTCAGTGGTAAAATGCTATAAGAATTTAACTTTATAACATGTGAAAATATATAAGCAATTAAGCATGAAAATATATAGCTGGTGTTATTCTCATGGCACTTTCTAATTGTTTCCCACACATCCAGGCTCATCTACACATCCACACATCAGTTCAAAGCAATATTACACATATTTTGCAGGAGAATCCTCTTAAATCATAGCCTTGATTCTCTGATCTCCTGTTCCTACTACTTCTCTGGCACCATACTTCCTCTATTCTAGTTGCCTACACATAAAGTCTAAATCCCCTGTCATGGCTGTGGAGACCCTTCCCAGTCTGGCCCATGCACAGCATGTTCCAGGTACAGTGGCCTGAATACAGCCCTCACCTTATCACCTTTCTACACATCCCCCTGATCAGCTCACCCTTTCCTTCTCTGTTCAACTGCAGAAGGCCTCCCGCTCCCTAAGTGCTGACTCAAACACATACTCGTGAATCTTTACTGGGCCTCACTGCACTCCCAACACTGAACATTGATGTAGAAGTACCAAGGTAACATTTGGTGCCTCATTTGAAAATAATTTTATCATTAAAGTGACTTTTCACCATTTATTTTAATAAATATATGTATATACTAGGTTGTATATTTATATACTAGCACAGTTTTTCAATACAGTAGCATTGTATCGACTATATTTGGGGGCTGGAAACAACCAGCTTCCAAAATAATATCATAGATTCTTTTGAGATACTCTGATAGGAAACTCAAGATATAGCAAAATTTTAATTTGAGAGAGGGCATAACTTAGAGAGCAGTTAGTCACATTAAAAGAAAGTTCATCATTTGGTTCTTGCAAACAGTGATTTCCCTGAGTACCTTTAAAATACTATTTGATATATACTGAATATTTCAGGGGCTTGGTGTTGCATAAATCAAGGTACAGACTCTAGGTTTAATTATTTTGAGAGAAGGGCTCAGTTGTGAGAGCTGTCATGGCAGAATTAAAGTTCTCAGAAACTAGAGTGGTCATAATAAGTTGATGTTTCAGGAAAAAATTACATATTCCCAAAAGTTTAGTACAGCTTTTCTTTTAAAACCTGATCAGGGAGACAGAGGAATGTCTTATTTTTCTTTGTGGGTAATTCAACTAAGTTAAGATAAACCAATCATTCTCTTAAGTATTGCAGTAGTACTTGTACTTAAAGAACAAAATAAAATAATTAGTAAATATACCTGAGAAACTGGCTCCAGATTTTATTGGTAATAAAGAATACAGATAGACAGATAGATGATAGATTGGTAGATACATAGATATATCACAATGTCTTCAGTGTACAGTACCATTCTAGGGAAAATTTAAAGGCCTAGACAGTCTAGCACACACTATTGTTTATTGTTAGTTGGTGTTTTATGTGGTAAAGGCAGAACTTCCCCATGCTCATTGGAAGTCAATAATTAATTAATCAATTAGCATTTGCAATAACAATAGCATACTGTATTTATAAACTGAGTTATAATACACAATACCAATACAGCTTTCTTAAATATCCACTAGAATCTCTCAAATAGCTTGTGCAATATGCAAGGCAGTTGCACACAAACAAAAGCAGTCTAGGCCACCAGGAAAATAGGAAATATATTAAATATATCAAAAACAAACCAGTGAATGGCTAGCTATACTTAGAATAGCTATGAGAGAGAGTATTACTGAGCAGGAACAAATACCACTTTAGGGAGCGTGCATTTGCTGAGGAACATGTGGTTCTTGAAAATTAATGACTGAAGAGTATGATACATATGGTAAGCTGACTGCCTCTCAGCTGTCCAAGACCATGAAGTTAGGTGGGTTATTACTGCTGCAAGACAAGGATGTTAATGCTACCTACATGCTGGAAAGGGTGGGCAACCTATGCTGCAAATTTTCCACACTAAACTGTAAGGTACTGTATTAGTCCATTTTCACGCAGCTGATAAAGACATATCTGAGACTGGGATGAAAAAGAAGTTTAGTGGACTTACAGTTCCACATGGCTGGGGAGGCCTCACAATCATGGCAGAAGACAAGGAGGAGCAAGTCTCTAGAAAGTTCTGAAATATCTCACATTTCCCTGTCTTCTTCTGAGCCCTCCAAACTGTTCCAACCCCCACCTGTTAACCAGTTCCAAAGTTGCTTCCACATTTTCGGGTATCCACAGCGGCACCCCACTCCTGGTATCAGTTTACTAGTCAGTTTTCACACTGCTGAAAAAGATACACCCAAGACTGGGAAGAAAGAGGTTTAATGGACTTGCAGTTCCACATGGATGGGGAGGCCTCACAATCATGGCGGAAGGCAAGGAGAAGCAAGTCATGTCTTACATGGATGGCGGCAGGCAAAAAGAGAGGCAAAGAGGGCAGGAAAACTCCCCTTTATAGAAACATCAGATCTAGTGAGACTTATTCACTATCACGAGAACAGCACAGGAAAGACCTGCCCCCATGATTTAATTACTCCCACCTCGTCCCTCCCACAACACATGGGAATTCACGATGAGATTTGAGTGGGGATACAGCCAAACCATATCAGGTGCATTATTTTCTCCAACCTCAGAAACATTTGCTATCAAATATGTTTTGCAATTTTTATTTTATATTGGCTATAGTAATACAGAACAAGAAAAATGAAAGTGATATGAAATTGGCTCAGAGACAAAAAATTTATAGAAAAATAATTCATCTAATGGTAAATACATTTATTGCTTTTAACTTATTATTATTATTAATTATTTTGTTTTGAAACAGGCTCTGTTGCCTATGGTGGTGTGCAGTGGCAGGATCATGGCTGTAGTCTTGAACTCCTGGGCTTAAGGAATCCTCCAATCTCAGCCTCCCAAGTAGCCAGGACTATAGGCACACACCACCACACCTGGCTATATTTTTTTTAAATTTTTGTAGCGATAGGGTCTCACTGTGTTGCCCAGGCTGGCCTCCACCTCCTGGCCTCAAACAATCCTCCCATCTTGGCTTCCCAAAGTGCTGATATTACAGGTATGAGCCACGGTACCCAGGCTTAACTTATTATTTGTTAAGACTAAATAATTCTTAAACTATAGATAACACTTAAAAGATAGAAATATGATATACTAGGTAGATATAAATTATGGTTTTATAATTTTACTTCTTAATGTTTATTTTACATTCATTTATAATATTTATAATATTATCCTTATATTTATTCTCCTTTTGTAAGTCATGACATGTAAGTAAAATATAAATCTCACATATTTCAAAAAGGAAAATATTTTATCCCTATAAGGGTCACCACCCAGAGACGACGGGTCTTAACATTTGGTTTATACATTCCTTCTTGACTATTCAGTTTCACACACACACACACACACACACACACACACACACACACACACACGAAAATGCTTACATATATAAGGTAAATTATATACACTTATTTAACAAAAGCATGATCTTTTACTATATGTCATTTTCTGACAATGCAACAAGAATATCTTTTCATGTAACTAAAATACAAACGTGTCATAATTTTTATTGGCAGCACTGTATTTCAATATATGGAAGTAACAATTAGCAAATTAATTAATTGATTTGGAATTAATGCCTTAAAAGAGGAAACCTTTGTTTTTTACCCACTGTCTTCACAATGTCTACTCTCCTTTCCCTATTCACTAAGACACCATAACTTTTTATTTAATTGCCATTTTAGAACTATTGTGCTTTCAGTTAAACTTTTTAAAATTCAGCCTGATTATAATAGACAATTCCAATTGTCACTCAGTTCAAAACCTGCCCCTCATCTCTGCTCCAAGCTCATGTCTAACGGAGGAAGAAGAGGAACTCTTACTATCCTTATTTTTGTTTATTTCCCCATCCCCAGCTTCCCATACTGATTCTGGGTATTCTAGGTCCTAGCGGTCACCTAGAGTGGGAGGACAAGGTGGTGGCAGAGACTGGGTAGTGGTTCACCAACCCCCATGCTCTCACTCTTTTTTTTTTTTTTGAGACGGAGTCTTGCTCTGTCTCCCAGGCTGGAGTGCAGTGGCTCCATCTCAGCTCACTGCAAGCTCCGCCTCCCGGGTTCAAGCCATTCTCCTGCCTCAGCCTCCCGAGTAGCTGGGACTACAGACGCCTGCCACCATGCCTGGCTAATTTTTTGTATTTTTAGTAGAGATGGGGTTTCATGGCATCTTTCTAGATGGCTTTACTAGCCCTCATAGAGGTCGATCATGTGACTCAGACAGCCAATGGAGTGGGAGTAGAAGTGACACCTGCCAAGGAGATGGGACCACGTGATTGAGGGCATCCAATGGGGTGCAAGTAGAAGTGATGTCTGCCTTCCACTAGGCCCTCCAAGCTGGAAGCAAAAAATCCAGAAAAGATCTCTAGATCCTAAAAGATGGAGAACGCACAAGATGGAAAGAACTTGGATCATGAATGACTGTTTTGAGTGGAGTACCTTCCCTTAGACCTGCACAAGACTGAGTGTGTTATGCCAGTGAGACTGGAAGTGTCTGTTAGAGGAGTCATCTTATTACCAGCACGCACACACACACACACACACACACACACACACACAAAGGCAAAGTGCTAAAGGCCAACTGCTTACCTGATCTTCTTCTAACTTTTGAAAAGCAAATATAATTTGTCTTCACTGATGCCGAAATACTTGTTTTCATTTTCCTTCTTTTTTTTAATTTTTGGGGGAGTTATCATCTCTATGTGGCATTTTTACATTTTTCCCCCAAAACACCACAGCCTACCCAATCACTAGGAACTTTCAAGATAATACCTTCTGTAGGATCTGCTTGATCCATGTTGACCATCTTTGCACAGCAAGCTCTAGTGTTGGGTCACTTTAAAAGAATGATTTCCTGCAGCTCAGTAAACATCTTACTTGGGGGCAGAATGTTTAACCTGTATTTTTGTGTTTTTGTATTTTTAATTGATAGATCATAGTTGTACATATTTTGGGAGTACATGTGATATTTTGATACTTCTATACAAAGTGTAATGATCACATCAGGTTAATTGGGATATCATCATCCAAAATATTTATCTTATCTTCGTATTAGTGCATCATAATTCTTCTTTTCTAGATATTTTGAAATATACACTAAATTATTTTGAACTATAATTTCTCTGCTGTACTTTCTAATACTAGAACTTATTCCTTCTATCTAAATTTGTTTCAGGTTTGTTGTTGTTGTTTGTTTTTCCAGAAATTTTCATGTCTATGTATGGTTTACTTGACTTGGAGAAGTAGAGAGAAGGAATCTCCCTCTTTTTTTTCCCGGATTATTATGTGACTTTAACATTCACTGCAATCCTTCATGGGGTAATAACTCTCTTAAAAAAAAAAAAACAAAAAAAGCAACTAATGCATTTGGTGGTTCCCTTTCAGTATCTCATCCTTGGTTAGGGGAAGGCAGATGGTGAGGGTAGTGGTCTCAGAGCCAGATTTTATATTAACACTCTGGAAACTCCAGAACAAAGAACATCTCCACCTGCTAATTGCAAATTAATTTTCCATTATTTAAATATTTAGAATAATTTATTGGATATTCAGTATTCATATCTATATTAGATAAACATCTCTGCAGCTCAATATTTGTTCACACCTTTTGTAGTTTCATTTAGGCAGCTTTACAAAAGTAGAATTGTTTTTTCAATAAGTATAAATTATTGATGCATATTATATCTATATTTTGTCTCCCAAAAGACTTTCCCAATTTACCTGTTTATCATTAGACTAAAAAGAAGCTGCTTCTGTACACAAAACATCAATAGAAGACATCAAAATTGAAAGAAACAGGTTTTATCTAATAGCTATTAATAAACATTGTCTTAATGTTTTACCTATATTTTGAATAGTAGTGAAGTTGAATATTAAATCCATGTTTACTGACTGCTGAATTTTTAATTTAACAAATTGCCTATTCATAATGAAATGAGAATTCTGGATTTTTGCTCCCCAAATTGCTCAGCACCTTCTCCATATAGGTGATGTCACTAAGCTATTGCTCAAGTTAAAGTTTAAAATCTTGTGAGTCATTCTTGAACTCTGTCTTTTCCTCACTCTCCACATGAAATTTTTCAACTCATTCTGTCCATTCTATCTCCAAAACATATGTGGAAGTCAACGTCTTTTAAGTCTTTCATGACCTATTTTGTAGACAGCTGCTATAGCTTTCTATTTGGTGTCTGCTTCCCAGAGACTCCCTATGTATGGTCATCTACTTTGAGAACGTGACCCAGATCAGTGCCAACCTGGAGGATGGGCTGCCATTTTATAATTCATCATCCCAGAGGGAACCCTAATTGCAATTCTTTTCAGTGGGTTCCAGGAGTGCTACGATCCTTCCACTCTCCCACACCACAAATATATTCTCCATAGAGCAGTCAAATTGACCTTTCAAAGATAAGAACCTAAGCACATTGATATACAACTTATATCCTATAATGGCTTTCTCTAGCATGTAGAAACATTTTTAAATTTTTTAGAAGTTTTTTTAATTTTGAAACAATCTAACTTATAGAAAAATGGCAAGCAAGTGCAGTATAAAGAATGTTTTTCCCCTAAACCATTTCAGAAAAAGTTTTCAACATGTTGCTCATCACCCCAAACGTTATAGTATATTTTCTATAAACAAAAGACCTCTTCTATGTAATAAGAAAATGATAGGCAACTTGAGAAATAAAGACTGAAGGACGTGTCATGAGGAAATATATTTCACTTATTTATCTATTTATTCAACATGTATTTAGCAAATACCTATAATATGGTAAGCACCATACTGATGTTGAGAATACAGCAATGAGCAAAACATTCCCTGGTCTCACAGAGCTTACCTTTATAGATTGTGAAGATCAATAGAAAACAACCAAATACAATGTGCTAAGGGATCTCGATCCCCATGAAATTAAAAGGTAAGAAAAAGGGCTGAAGAGCGATGGTCGGGAGACAGGAGAGGATGGAATGCCGCTCATTTAGATAGAGAGATCATGGAATTCTTCTCTGTTAGGGTGACAACTGAGCGGGGGCCTGAAGACAGGAGTCAATTATAAGGGTAATGTGGGAAGGGGCAGGCCAGGTGAAAAATAAAAGAAAAAAAAATAGATTGCTTTGCTGTTTGAGTAACATAAGGAGCCCATCCTGGCTGAAGATGGTTGAAGAGGAGTACATGAGAGATGGAGTGACAGTAATCTGGTAAAGATCATGTAGGGGCTATGGTCATGATGACATAATAGAAATAAATGGTACTCAATAGTCAATGTCCTGTTTTGAACCAACCATCCTTTTACAGTTTTATAACATGTTTCATCCTTCTTGATTTCTATGAACAAGTACCTTCTACTGCTGATGTTCAAACTCTTTAAATACCATGTGCTTAGAATGAAAGAGGCCCATTAGCTCATTGCCTCCATCCCTCTGGCAATGAAAAGCAGAGGTTAAAATGATCCCTAGCTATTATCTCTAGGTGCAATGGCCTAACTTTTTTTTTCTTTTTTTTTTTTTTTGAGATGGAGTTTCACTCTTGTTGCCCAGGCTGGAGTGCAATTGCTTGATCTCAGCTCACTGCAACCTCCACCTCCTGGGTTCAAGCAATTCTCCTGCTGCAGCCTCCCAAGTAGCTGGGATTACAGGCATGCACCACAAAGCTTGGCTAATTTTTTTTTTTTTTGTATTTTTAGTAGATATGGTGGTTCACCATGTTGGTCAGGTTGGTCTTGAACTCATAACCTCAAGTGATCCACCTGCCTCAGCCACCCAAAGTACTGGGATTACAGGTGTGAGCCACTGTGCCCAGCCAGTTTCTCTGTAATTGATCATTTACAACATCCCACTGTGGTATATCTAAGTATTACAATTTCCATCTCCAGGCAGAGATCTTGAGTCGGTATTCAAGTGAAAGGCTCCTGAGGAAGTTGTTTTCAAGCCTAGCTTAAATTTTAGGCTGACTAGGTTTGTGATAAATTATTAGACTGAAAAATCCCAAATCACCAATTGGAATAGATATAAAAACCACACATCTCATATGCACAAAGGCAGTAACGGCTTATAAGTCAGAGGAGAAGAGTTACAATCCACAGACGCTGTATCATGGGATTTTCTGTTCAACCAGATGAATATGCATGGATTTAGGGCAGAAAAGCCAGAGCTTCCTGTAAACCAAAAATTAAATTCTAAGGCCCACCAAACTGTCTGAATGGACCTCCTCTTCAGCCAGGGCTCTTTTAAATAACCTGAAAGACTGCTTCAGGCCATGATGGGAAGTGGGGGTCGGTCATGTCTCGTAATACCCCTCCAGCATTAACATCAACACAGACTTTAAGTCTGATAAGAAACATTTTACAAACTATTTGGTCTGTCTCCACAACCTCTTATCTTAACCCAGACATTTCCTTTCTGCAGATCCCAGGTCTCTAGACAAACTCAACCAATTGCCAAACAGAAAATGTTTAAATTTACCTGTAGCCTGGAAGCCCCCACTTTGAGTTGTCCCACCTTTCTGGACCAAACCAATGTATTTTTTAAATGTATTTGATTGATGTCTCATGCCTCCCTAAAATGTATAAAACCAAGCTGCACCCCAACCACCTTGGGCACATGTTCTCAGGACCTCCTGAGGGCTGTGTCACAGGCCATGGTCACTTATACTTGGGTCAGTATTCTGTAAAATATTTGAAAAATATTGACTCTTTTCATTGACCTGTGTCTGTTAGGATTTCATTACATGAATCAAGGAGAAGTACTTTAAAATGTCATGTTCTTATCCTATAAATTTCAGAAACCATTTTGAAAAGCATAAAGAATTGCATTAGTCAGATGCACAGAAAAAAGGTTTTTATTAAAAAAAAACGATCCGGGTATTTCAGGGAGCATCAATGTTGTTAAAATATGAGCTTTGGCATTTAACAGATGTGGGTGTAATCACAGCTGAATAACCCTTGGCAAACGTTGGCAATCATTCTAATCCTCAGAACACTTATCTTTAAAATGGGCAAAAAATATTTCATAGGGTTGTTGTGGGCGTTAAATCGTGCCTGTAACTTGTTGAACAGAATCTCCTGCATATAGTAAGCACCAAATAAATAGTATCTATTTAGAAAAAAATTAAATAATTTCACTACATTGTACATTTAAGTAACAAAATGCATTAGGGTCAACTTCAACCCTCTTTAAAATATGGCTGTTTTTAAGATCTGTGACTGAATGTCATACCTAATTCTTTAAAGAGATCAATAAAATCTTTCAGTGTATTTTTGAAATTTATGGTTTTATACAATATAGATTTTATATACTAAAAATACTTCTATAAAATAAAAGTATTTTTAGTAAAACTTTCATAAGTAATTGCTTCTTCCATAAAATATTGGTAATAATCTGTACAATGTTGAAATATATTTCCACATACTGTTTCACCATAAACTATACCTTTTAAGAAATAAGTTATAAAGTAGTAAATAGTAAATAGGCTTTCCTATTTCAAGCTATTTTTTGCTATATTTCATTTCAGCAATTGTTATTGGAATGAGAAAGACACATACTGCATGGTGAGGAGAATACTCATACGATAATGGAGATATGTGTTGTTTATATTAAGAACGCTTTAAATCCAAAATTGTTTCCTAAAACAATATGCACCCCTCAAATATAAATAAACTTTATAACTCATGCCAAAATAACTTTGAAAAAGGGAAAAAATTAACTTACCTTATCAAAGAAACATATGAAAATTTCAAGATGAAATTCAAGTTTTCTTTCTTGCACAAATTAACAAGCTCGAGGAAAGTTTATCAGTTTTTATCTATTAATTTAGTTGCCTGTTCTTTCTGAAACTAAACAAAATAAATCAAATACATTTCTCTACTTAGGATAATAAGTAGAATGTTGACACTAATACTAAACTACAAAGTTCAACCCTTCGAGAGGGATCAATTAATAGGTATTCATACCACAAGACTGTATATACTCTAAAACGTAAATAAGAAACCCTTCTGGTTTTATTCTGCTTGGTGTCTCTGCAGACTGGCGAGTGCTAATTTAGATTAATGGTATCAGCTGTATCCTCTACTCACTAACCACCTCTTTGCATTTGTTATCTCTCACAGCTGTTTTCTCTTGCAGAGAGAAAGGAGTACTTTAAAGTGAGTCATCATGAAGCTACAGTACAGGTGGTGCTGGTAATAGTGATGAGTTTGCCTATAAAAACACTTTTTGGGGTATTTATTAAAGAGTAATTGTTGTCATTTGTGTTATGTTGTAGCTGTCATGATAATGTAGTAACATGCTAGTTAATGGTGTAATGTTAATGGCGTAATGTACCACTATCTGGGATAACAAACTTATTTCCTGAATTAACACTCAATAGGGCCAGGTGTGGTGGCTCATGCCTGTAATCCCAGCATTTTGGAAGGCCGAGGAGGGAGGTGGATCACTGAGGTCAGGAGTTTGAGACCAGCCTGGCCAACATGGCAAAACACTGTCTCTACTAAAAATATAAAAATTAGCTGGGCGAGTGGCACATGCCTGTAATCCTGGCTACTAGGGAGGCTGAGGCAGGGGAATCACTTGAACCCGGGAGGGGGAGGTTGCAGCGTTGCAAGATCGTGCCACTGCACTCCAGCCTGGGCAACAGAGTGAGACTCCATCTCAGAAAAAAGAAAAGAAAAGAAAATATAAAGCCTGCAAATTTGTAAACTAAGACATGTCATCTTTTGCAATACAAAATCATCATCAACAATAAATTTATAATTTTCCAGCATTTCTCTGCGATCTCAGGTGGTCTCAGGTAACTTATATTTATAGCCTCATTAATCTTCAAAGCCACCGTGTTATTTCTATTCAGGACATGAAAAATCATGAGATTCAGCGCTATGAAGTGATTGCACAACAAGTGAATGGCCTTCCCTGGCTGGCTGATTTTCCCCCTGTGCAACGCTTTACTGACTCTTCAAAGTCTGCTGAGATTCTGTGGATATTTTATAAGGCATTATATATAAAGAAAAAGCAGCCCTTTGAAGTACAAATGTAATTACTAAGGCCCATGTAGCCAGATGCTTCGTACAAATACATACATATTAATATGTATACATAAATTGTTCCTTTACTTAAAATTAATGTTTATGTCTTAGTAACTGATATTTCTCTTAGCAAAACAATGATAAAATTTTAAAAATAAATAAAACAAGCAAAAAAAAAACCCTTAATACGTAGTTGAGGTAGAAAGCCAGACTTTGTAGTGTTACAATGGCTTTTTTTTTTTTTTTTTTTAACAAAAAAGAAACAGTCAAGCTGTTCCTCAGGAGACAGAGAAGCGTTTGTTTTGCAGCTTGCAAAGCGCAGTTACATCAGAACAGGAGTGAGAATGAGGGAAAGAGAGAAGATCCAGGGGAGGGTTGGACCCTATTTGTTGCCTGGAAAGTTGATGGGAAAATTGATGAGAAAATTACCATCTCATGGGGCCCAAGAACAAACAAAATTAAACATCTCTGTTCCATGATCCTGAATATGTGTTGGCTGCAATAATATGAAGCCCTTCCTGTTATCTTCTGTTCTTCCTTAGTCTCCTTCACTTATGAATGCTTTGTAGAGGGTAGATTGTGGGCATACTGAGGGGAAAGCAAGAGCCTCGATTTTTTCAACTGTAATTTCGTGACGATGGCAAATATTATCACAGGTAAGCAAAGGTGACCGATAAAATAAGACTTTGTTGACAAAACAGACGAAAATACTCCAGGGAAGGCCTTAGATACACTTAGATATTGGACTGTCAATGAGGAGCTGCCAAGCCATATAGGACTCTGAGTTAGTTATACTGGATGGCCCAGAGGGGTCCACAGATGCAGGAGGCTGTCCCGTCTCAGACTCTGTCCAATTCTCTGCTGTGCCATCCTTATCAGTGGACTTTGCTTTTATGAAATGAAAATAATGACTCCCACTTTAGGCTCCATGTCTATAGTCCAAGTAGGAAGAAGAACAGGCAACAATTATGAGCCAGCAAGTCCTATTCTTTTAGGTCAAAAACAATAGCATTCCCAGGATCCCCCCTCCACTGACTTTTCCTCACACATCGGTGACGCGAACTGGTTCAGGTGTCTGTGCCAGGCTGGGCAGGTGATCACCTAAGGAGACAGACTGATATTCTGAACAAAATTGAGATTCTGTCCTTAACATGGTGAAATATTAGTACGAGGCTAAAGGCTGGGAGACTCTAAGTGAAACCTAGGATATCATTTCTCTTTTAAAAAACAATTCTTTTTTTTTTAATTTTTCATTTTTGTATATTTTTTATTATACTTTAAGTTTTAGGGTACATGTGCACAACGTGCAGGTTAGTTACATATGTATACATGTGCCATGTTGGTGTGCTGCACCCATTAACTCGTCATTTAACATTAGGTATATCTCCTAATGCTATCCCTCCCCACTCCCCCCACCTCACAACAGGCCCCGGTGTATGATGTTCCTCTTCCTGTGTCCACGTGCTCTCATTGTTCAATTCCCATCTATGAGTGAGAATATGCGGTGTTTGGTTTTTTGTTCATGCGATAGTTTGCTAAGAATGACGGTTTCCAGCTTCATCCATGTCCCTACAAAGACATGAACTCATCATTTTTTATGGCTGCATAGTATTCCATGGTGTATATGTACCACATTTTCTTAATCCAGTCTATCATTGTTGGACATTTGGGTTGGTTCCAAGTCTTTGCTATTGTGAATAGTGCCGCAATAAACATATGTGTGATGTGTCTTTATAACAGCATGATTTATAATTCTTTGGGTATATACCCAGTAATGGGATGGCTGGGTCAAATGGTATTTCTAGTTCTAGATCCCTGAGGAATTGCCACACTGACTTCTGCAATGGTTGAAAACAATTCTTAATTTTGAAGAGCCCAAAGGTGCAGATAACTCTCCTAAACTTTAACAACCCTCTAAATGCTCATGCTAGTCCTACCATAGAGTTAATGTAAATGGTAGTTTTCTGGATTAGATTCATTAAGGAAATCCCAGATGGGTCTCAGGCTGCCAGTTAGGAATAACCAGAAGAAGGCTTGCATATAGCCACTGCATTAATTAGAATCTCCACAAGGCAGAGGATGTGTTTCATCTGCTGTGGCAATGGCAACACCTAGGGATTCGTGTCAACCATCACATTACAACACTAACGTGGCTGGACCTTCCCTCTGGGTTTTCCAAGGCTGCCCACCTCCAGCATGTTTCAAAAAATCATTACATTCCATAACATGGTGACCAAAGAGACCTAGTATTTTATTTTCAATAAAGAGGCAATGTTTTCCCCTTTTAGATTTTGATAGCCTTGAAGAATACCATCTTGAAACTGAACTCGACTTTGCAGATCCACTGTGATCTATATTGTTTTTCCTGATAGAGTTGATTTTTTAGACTGTTTGGGAAATTATGCAAGCAGCCCCAGTCTAACAATTAGAAGAATGAAATTGTATTCTGTGATCTATTTAAAGACTTTGGGGAAATAGTTTAACTTGCCTGGCTTTCAATTTTTTGTTTATAAAACCAGCAGTTTGGAATAGATGACTCTGAGCTTACTTCAGTTAACACACACTCTCCTCCATTCGGTAACAGCTTGATTATACATTCTTTAATAGTCTTTAAAAAATGCCCACATTGGCTGGGTGCGGTGGTGCATGCCTGTAATCCTAACATTTTAGGAGGCTGAAGTGGGCAGATCATGAGGTCAGGAGATCAAGACCATCTTGGCCAACATGGTGAAACCCCGTCTCTACTAAAATACAAAAAATTAGCCGGGCATAATGGCACATGCCTATAATCCAGGCTACTTGGGAGGCTGAGGCAGGGAAATCACTTGAACCCAGGAGGCAGAGGTTGCGGTGAGTTGAGATCGCACCACTGCACTCCAGCCTGGAGACAGAACAAGACTCTGTCTCAAAAAAAAAAAAAAATTGCCCACATTATGCTATGTAGATCATTTGTTATATTTTCTTTTCATTATAAAGCAAAGATGTGTTCACCTTCACCTCCACTCATTCCCAAAGAAGACTGAGAAGGCAGTGACATCTCAGCAATAGCCTAAAATCAAAAGTAATGTGTAAATGTTGGCTTATGTCTGGACTTGACCCTCAGTAAGACCTTGATGGTAATTAATTAGAGTCACTCACTGACAGTTTTCAATTTCAGCAATTAAATCACCCCAAATACCTATAAATGTATATAAGCAATTAAATACTTCTTTCTAATAAGGGACAAAAACTACACTGTATAAAAATGCCTTATAAATGTAATTTTATGTAGAAAATATTTGCAACAATAAATGTGGTAATCCTGATGAGGTAGCAAAGGAGTGCCTGGAGCATAGGAGTGGAGAGGGGAACAGTGGGTAGCAGTGATGGAGTAGAAATAAAAAATTATTGAAAATATATGATAATAAATGATCAATAAAGTACACTATGTTTAGTAAGGTAAATTAATTAAAAGAATAATCACTGCCTTTCTTTCTGAAATAAATTCAAAGTATGCTTTGAATCTATCACTGTTCCATTCATTCCAAGAATAAATTCCCACAAAAAACTAAAAATTAATCATGTTAATAACCCAGATCATTGAAAAAAATTATTTAATAGAAGAATATGACTTAAATAGGTTGATTTTCACATTAAAGTTTTGTTTATTTGCTACGCCATGTCTCTTGTGATTTTAAAAAATCACATATTTTTATTATTACCTAGCATATCCTAATCACCTTTATATAAAGGAATACTATTATTACTAGTATTGACATTAGTTAACAATTTAGTAATTTAGAGAAGTATGTTTAATTTAAATTCACTCTGCTATTCTTGCTGACAGCTATTGCTTCAATTTCCAGGTCCCAAAAGAGATAAAAACCTCATCACATCCATCTCATTCTTGGAATACTTATGACAGAAAAATAAATGGACCTGACCACTCTCTCCCTCACAGTAATGCAGTTCATTGGGTTAATTGATTTTAAAGAAAGTCTACTCATACATGATGCCTGTTAATTGTTAATAAAGAGTCATTTTTAAGGAAAAATATAGGAAATCATGACTGGAATACTTAGTAAAATTGTGATATAAGACTGAGGTGGAAGAAGTTTATTCTAATGTATAATAATTTACTTAATCTAGAATATCAGATTGGAAAACACATATGTCACAATGTCAGTAATGGGACAGATGGAAATTACATACACAATGATACAGAAAGGTAGGGCCTGAAAAACGTCAAAGATACTTAGAATAAACAGGAATTTATTTTGTTGACAGTTGGCGACTGTAGTCCAAACTGACTGAAGCTACAAGAAGCATTGGGAAACTTTTGAAGGTTGCAGAACAAGAGATGGTGGAGAAGAGGTAGGGGTTAGCAAAGATAGTATATATGTAATTTTAAAATGAATTCAACAAAAGAAAGAGAAAATGAGGCTATTTCTGGATTTCAAAGCCAAGGGTAGGACTGATATTTAACTGGTTCAGACTTCTGCTTTCTGAGTTTAGTAAACGGTTTAACTTATATTAGTCCTTTGTCAGATGTATAGATTGTGAAGATTTCCTCCCACTCTGTGGGTTGTCTGTTTACTCTGCTGATTTTTCCTTTTGCCATACAAAAGTTCTGTAGTTTAATTGAGTCCCAGTTATTCATCTTTGTTTTTATTGCATTTGCTTTTATGTTCTTGGTCATGAAATTCTTGCCTAAGCCAATGTCTAGAAGGGTTTTTCCAATGTTGTCTTCTAGAATTTTATAGTTTCAGGTCTTGGATTTAAGTTCTTAATTCATCTTGAGCTGATTTTTGTGTAAGATAAGAGATGAGGATTCAGTTTCATTCTCCTACTTGTGGCTAGCCAATTATACCAGCACCATTAGTTGAAAAGGGTGTCCTTTCTCCACGTTATGTTTTTGTTTGCTTTGTCAAAGATCAGTTGGCTGTAAGTATTTAGATTTATTTCTGGGTTCTCTATTCTGTTCCATTGGTCTGTGTGCCTATTTTTATACCAGCACCATGCTGTTTTGGTGACTATGGCTTTATAGTATAGTTCAAAATCAGGTAGTGTGATGCCTCCAGATTTGTTCTCTTTGCTTAGTCTTGTTTTGGCTATGCAGGCTCTTTTTTGGTTACATAAGCATTTTAGAATTGTTTTCATGGCAGATGAGAGGCAGGACTAGATTGCAGCTCTGACTCAGATGGACAGAGCAGCGTGCCGAGGCTCGCATACTGAATTTTAGCTCCAGAACAACTGCAGGAATAAATTAGGAATCCTGAGAGAACCCACAGACCTTCTGAAGGAAGTGGACTGCTCCTGTAGGACCCAGGAGACATCCTAAATACTGTGAATGCCCAAACTGCAGAAGTGGGAAAGGGAGATCCTCCACCCTCGAACACACACCCCCACTGGGGAAACTGAAGTTCTAGTTTGTGGGAGACGATTCCAACCTTTCCTGGAGCTGAGTTAATTTAAAAAGCTGAGAGAAATACAGGGCTAGAGGAAGCACCAGGAAAGGCCCCGGGAGCTTGCTGGGTCCCCAAGCAGGCCATTCCTGCCTGGCATCACAGGGATTTTTCAAGAGGGCAGCCAGAGGTGTGGGAAAAACGCCACAGGGAGAAGGAAGTCTCTAGCTGAACTTTGTAACAATTTGAACTGGTCAAAAACCTCCTGTCCAGAACTTGGGGGGAGGGCACGAATCTGGCTTGCAGACTGCACAAGTGGCAGAAGAACTAAAGCCCCTTTCTCTTGCAGCTGGGAGGCGGGTAGCCTGGGGCAAGTTCTCAGCTCTGCTTGCCCACTGCCTGGAAACAGACTTGGTGCTATTGGTGGGGGCACGATGGGAGTGAGAACAGCTCTTCAGATTGTGTGGGACAAAAAGGCCTGTGACTGCCGGCTTTTCCCTACTTCCCTGACAACCTGCATGACTCAGCAGAGGTTGCCATAATCCTCCTAGGTTCACAGCTCCATTGACCTGGGAAACTCACCTCCATCCCCGACAGCAGCCGCCAAAAGACCCGCCCAAGGAGAGTCTGAGATCAGACACGCCTAGCCCTGCCCAATCTGATGGTTCTTTCCTACCCACCCTGGTAGCTGAAGGCAAAGGGCATATACTCTTGGGAAGTCTAGGGCCCCACCCACTACCAGTTCTTCTCCATACTACTACAGCTGATGCTCTCTGGAAAGCACCACCTCCTGGCAGGAGGCCAACCCACACAAAAATAGAACATTAAATCACCAAAGCCAAGAACACTCACAGAGTCCATTTCACATCCCTGCCACCTCCACAGAAACAGGTGCTGGTATCCAAGTCTGAGACCCATAGATGGTTCACATCACAGGACTCTGTGTAGACAACCCCCAGTACCAGTCCAGAGCCTGGTAGACTTCCTAGGTGGCTAGACCCATAAAAGAAATAACAATCACTACAGCTCAGCTCTCAGGAAGCCACATCCATAGGAAAAGGGGGAGAGTACTACATCAAAGAAACACCCTGTGGGACAACAGAATCTGAACAACAGCCTTCAGCCCTAGACCTTCTCTCTGATAGCGCCTACTCAAATGAGAAGGAATGAGAAAACCAACTCTGGTAATATGACGAACGAGGCTCTTTTCTGATAGTTCTTATCGTCAGTCATTAGTATATGTGAACTCTCCCTTTATGGCCTTCCCTGGCTCTATTTGTCAGGCATTTTGATTCTGACAGCTTTCCCAGCCCCACATGCCTTTTCCCTGTGCTGATGATACTAATTTGTATTAAGCTACCACTGTGAGTATAACAACCCTATCTGAGTCAGGCATGAGCCACTGCGCCCCGCCTTATTAACTTATTTAATACTCATCACACAGTGAAGAATATACAGAGACTGCCAACCCCTCATTCAATGGAAATTAGAAGGGGACACAGCTCATAATTGACTGATACGGAAACCTGGCTCAAGGGGCTTTGGGTATAAAAACTTTGCTACTGTCAATTTACTTGCTTATCTTTTGGAAATAATTTGTTTTTTGTTTGTTTGTTTTTCTCTCTAGCTCCTTTTAAAATGTTTATTTTTGAAAATCTGAAATTTTATCAAAACATATCTAGATATGTGTATATTTTTACTTATCCTACACAGAACATTCTGTTGCTTCAATCTATTCATTTTGAATTTTCTAGAAATTTCTCCACAATTAGATCATCTAATATTTTTGTTTCTGCATCATTTATTTTTTCTATCTTTACCTCTTAATATAAGTATGTTGGGCAGTTTCCTGTGTCCTTCATGTCTTTTTACTCCATTTTCATATTTTCTCATTTCTTTCTCCTTTTCATCCCACCTCTTTTCTCCCTAAGCCAAATTCTAGTAAATTCCTTCAGATCTATTATTCAGTTAATAAATGTATTCTGCAGAAAATATTTAACACAACCAACACACATATTTTTTAAATGTATTATTATTATTTAAAGTTACTTGGCCTTATTGTGATTTCTGTTGAATATTTATACTTTTTTTATTTCCTTTCAAATTGTTCTTTTCTTATGTCCTTTACCTTCTTATTAATTGTGTCTCTTCACCAGTCCTTATGTAATGGATATTTCACTGATTTTAATTTACAGTTGTTTGCACTTTCTTTTCTAGGTATTTTTCCCCGACTTGCAGCAGCACATCCCATTTCCTTGAGTTATGAAAGTGTTCCCCTGAGAGGTAACGTATTTTCTTCTTCCTTGTAAACAAGGGGTTTCACGCATTTGGGACAAATGTTTTTCATTAACATCTATTTAGATTTCACACTATAATCATACATTTTGATCTCATACCGTGAATAGCATAATTCTTGGGTTTAGATTTTTCAAAGCAGACTTTTTTTTTTAAAGAGCCCTAAAAGGCAAGTGATCAACCCATCTAACTTGCTGCTTTTTGTGTGTGCTGGTAGGTGAAATATTTCTAACCTAATATCCTAATACCCTAATAATGGTGCCTATCAGTACATTCATAGTCCTAGCTTTATATTGGGGCCTCAGTTCCAGTTTTTCACATTTTACAGATTCAAGACAACATATTTTGCTCCAATTAGAATATTTAAAACACCAATTAGGGCCTAATTTTGGACGGAATACACACCTGAGTTTGAGCTCACACACAGTATTTTACCATGTATGAGTTTCTTCATTTCCAACATAAGAAGTTTTGTTTCTTGTTTATGAAGCCATGCTTTAAACAATTTAAAAAAATTTTTGTTTAAATCATTGATTTTTTAAATGTATTTTTAAGCAAGGACATTTAAATTTCTTTATCTTAAATGAGATGGCTGTATGACTTTTCTAATTCATAAACTGCTAATAAATTGCTATTCTTTTTTGAAGGAAGTGGTTTTTTATTGAAGAAATTTTTTAGTAGAATGTTAAAATACAAATTCATAATATACTTGAGTTGTAAAACCGCAATAAAATAAATGGTTAAGTATCTACTCACTCAAATTAAGAAATATACCATTTCTATTACAGAGACTCCAGTAACACCCTTCCTCCTCCCAAAGGTAACTACTGTCATGATTTTGGGCATATCATTCTCTTGCTTTTCTAAAAAATGTTTTATTTATACATAGGATTATTTTCATGAATCAATATGAGGTGTTTAAACATAGCCAATCAATATAGTGTTTCACTTCAATTTTAACTTGAATGCCCCATGTATTGTTGAGATGCTTATACATCTTTGTAACGTTTGGAGAGGGAAGAAATTGATTTATATATTTTTGAGTTTTTTTGTTTTTTGAGGTTTTTGATTTTTCATTGATTTCTCATTTATCATTTTGGCTCTGGGGGAAAAAAGTCATATCATTATTAAATTTGAGCTCTTGTTCTAAGAGCCTGCTCCCCACATTCCCCTCCAATCACCTCACATTCTTCTCACTGAATCCTCTTTCCCAGCTTACTCCTGCACCTGCCTCCACGGGATGCCAAACTAGACTGGAGGCTAACCCCTAAGGAGGCCCCCTCCCCATCACCTCACAAGCTAAGCATCCCAGCTGAGAGGCCAGGTGAGAGAAGTGATCTGGTTGGTAAATACGGTTCCTCAAAACTGGGTCCTACGCTTTGGCCTTCTCCTTTGTTCTGTGGCCTCTTAAAAGGGGGGACATCCAAATCTTTGCATTCAGTGGTGACCTATGAATTACAAATTTCTATTTCCAGCTCAACTTTCCTCTGGCTCCAGAGACCCTTTGTATCCGTCCACCTATCTACATCTCGTTTTCAATATCTTAAAAACATTCAAGCCAAAACCCAAGGATACCCAAACACATAGAATCTGAACGTGTTCTCCCCACACTCTTGCATTGGTTTGTGTGAGTAGTGAAGGACTTCTCTTCCACTGGTCTCTAGACCATAACTTTTTCAAAGTCAGAGAAGCATTCTTCTTTTGTTCACAATTGTCTCTCTACCATGTGCATGGCAAAGTTTGAACTGAAGCAGTGAATGTTTAGTGAATATATTAATTTACAAGAGGGTCGGTTAAGCAAGACCATCACGATTGAAGTGAGATAGCCTGGCCTCTATGCACCGTCCTGTGTCACGTCCTAGGCAGAACATCTAGAATTCCCTGTTCCTTTTTACAACAAGCAGCAGCCATCTTTCCGCTTGGAAGACCCTCAGTAAGCGTCCTTGCCTGGAAAAATCTAATTTTTTTTCTTTGACTCGCAGTTTAAGAGTCATGGAAATAGGACAGGCTTTGTACCCACGTAAACCGCACTTGAATCCTGCCTCTGGCACCTCCAGGCTGTGGGATTATGTGGATTGCAGCTTCTCGCCTGAGCCTGTATTTTCCATTTCCAAATAAAAAGATAGTTGTGCTAGTGAGGTTAGAAAAAGACATTGCATATAAAACAATTAACCCAATGGCAGGCAAGTATGAAAATATCTTCTTGATTTTCTTCGGGAGAATTCTCTGTTTCACAATACTGATTTTGTACTTACAGAATGTGGTATATGGCCGGGCGCGGTGGCTCACGCCTATAATCCCAGCACTTTGGGAGGCCGAGGTGGGCGGATCACCTGAGGTCGGGAGTTCCAGACCAGACTGACCAAAATGGAGAAACCCCGTCTCTACTACAAATACAAAATTAGCCGGGTGTGTTGGCGCATGCGTGTAATCCTAGCTACTTGGGAGGCTGAGGCAGGAGAATCGCCTGAACCCGGGAGGCAGAGGTTGCCGTGAGCCGAGATGGCGCCATTGCACTGCAGTCTGGGCAAGAAGAGCGAAACTCCGTCTCAACAACAACAACAAAAAAAGTGGTACAAATGCAAGTACATTTATCCTTCAATATAGCTTGTAATTATACCGTAATTATCTATTTAATATGCTCCTTATGAGATCATGAATGTTAATATTTACGTTCCTTTATCCTAGCATAGGTGTCTCACCCACTCATAACTATTTAATGTAGGAAGCTATGATTGCGGGATTAACTGGACACACTGTAAATATTTTTGAAATATAAAAATGATCATGCTTTTACATGAGCACAAAGTAATATATTATAAAACTTCATTATATATATAAAATATGTACATATATAACCATATGTACCATAACACTTTAAATATTTACCATAAATATATCTATTTTCTGCTACTGTAAGTCAAATGCCAAACTAATAAACAATTTTGATTTTTTACTAGAAGCCTAAGAATTAGTGCAACGAAGTGTCAAATTGTCATGAAACTAGGTAAAATTTATATGTGCAACATTACCTACATTTGTGAATTTTAAAGTTTATGTTTTAAGTTTAGATTCATTTCAGGAGAAATCTATCAAATTATTTAAGCTCAGGAGATAGTACAAACAGTCGCTTTATTCTGAGATGTTTTGAAAGAGCATGGGTGGGAGAAAAGAGAGGTTCTTTAAGAATGGAATTGAAAAGCTGAGATTTCTTGCTCCTGGTAACTATGCTCTCATGTAAGTCTTTCAACACTTTTCTTATGAAGAAGGACACAGGAAAAGACTCGAGGAATGACAGTGACCTGGTAGATCTCTAGAGTTAAAATGGGAAAAACAAAACCGCTCTTTAAATTATATCTAATACTGTAGGTTGGGAAATTATATTACCTGAGGGAAGATACAGAAAGCAACCTGAAGCCTCAAAACCTACAGATAGATACCAAATCTCCAGCTTTAGGTATCAAATCCAGTTGGTGGTAAGTTAGCTAAGTTTTTTACTTCTTAAAATTGCTAAGAGAAAAATGATTTGAGAAAGCCAAAGGTCACTGAACAAAGCAATAAAACTAAATGTTTATTCCAAAAGAGAGAGATTTCAGAGAAAGTGAGAGAGAGAAAGAGTCTGGGCTCCACTGCAAGCCTGAAACTGTCCTTGGGACTTTTTTTTTAACATGCTATCATTATGTAATTTGCACAAAAGTCCTACAAGGTAGGTATTTTAGTTCAATTTTTTTCCCGTACTAACGTTAAGATTCAGAAAGGCCAGAAAACCATGAAAGTTATAGAAGTCACAAATATTTTAGTTGCAAATCTCAAATTTAGTGTGTTCAATGGCAAAGACCTTTCTCATTTTCATAATTTTAGGTAATCACTTTGAATAACTAATTCTGGTCCTTGAAATCCGTACTTAAAATGGATATATTTTTATAAAACATACCTGCTTCACAGGATCAATTTTATAGAGAGGTGAGGTAGATTTATATTTTCATCTCAACTATTTGCTCCCTTCTCCTCTATAAGATGATTTTCCACCCCTCCCCACTGATTCTGGGCTTGGCCATGTTACATGTGTGGCTAATGGAAGGTCAGCAAATGTGATATAAGCCAAGAGCCAGCCGAAGTTTCAGAAACATCACTAGAATTTCCTCCAACTCTCTTTCCTTCTCAGATGAGAATGGCATGTCTTTAATAAAGCCTCCTCTTTCAGAATAGATTCAGATGAGGAATCTGGAGGGAGAGCCACAGGCGTGGAACTGCAGCCTCTGATATGTAAGGACAGTGAGAAATCAATGCTTGTTTGCATAAGCCATTGAGTTCATGGGTCCTATCTATCTTAGTGTTGCCAAGCTATTAGTCTTGGTGCTTGAAACCACAAGGCTAAAGTAAATAATCACTGATGTCATTTTAGAATATTCAAAATGCCTATTGACTCCTTGATATAAAAAAACTAAATATAAATTGTGATTTTTCAAAATCTCTTATCTATATAATACCTTCTATATCACACATATCTATATCATTCATTCATCAAATATATATTACTAGTCTGCTATGTACCTGGGCCTGTTTTAGACACTATACAAAGAGTGGTTATTAAGACATACAATACATGGTGCCTTCCTTACATGGAGTTTGCACTCTAGAGGGATAATTGTTTTTATACTATTTGTTGGTGCATTGAAGTAGTGGTCATCCTAGGCGGGAGGTGGATTGAAGAGCCAGGGAAGTGAGCATCACATTTCCTGGAGGCTGCCCCTGCCTGGAGATGTCCTTTCTTGGACCACCATGATAGGAATAGGAAGCAAATAAACAGGCAAGTCCTTTATGTCCTCATCTGCCTTTCAATCTGGCTGCACTACCTCTGCTAGAAGCTCCTGACAGTGGTCAGTCAGCTGGTACAGGAAAGAGTTTGTAGATTCTCAGTTCTAGTCATTCAGAGCAAACAGTAGATTGGAAGGTGAAGTGTAATATCTGCCTACCTAACAGGGTCCTTAAAAATATAATACATACAGATAAGCAACTAAAACCATCTGGTCAGAAACGTTCTATATATTTGGCAAAAATCTCAATGTAGCTGAGAAAAAAAGCTGGGCTATAGAAAAGGAGTAGAAAGAGACATTATTTTCTCCTAAGTATATCAACATTTTAAAAAGTGGTTTTATTGTTTTATTTTATTTTATTTTTTTAGAGTTTGTGGCTTTTTTTTTTTTTTTTTTTTTTTGAGATGGTGTCTCTCTTTGTCACCAGGCTGGAGTGCCATGGCACAATCTCAGCTCACTGCAACCTCCGGATCCAGGATTCAAGCGATTCTCCTGCCTCAGCCTCCGGAGTAGCTGGGATTACAGGTGACCACAACCATGCCTGGCTAATTTTTGTATTTTTAGTAGAGACGGGGTTTCACCATGTTGGCCAAGCTGGTCTCAAACTCCTGACCCCAGGTGATCCGCCTGCCTCGGCCTCCTAAAGTGCTGGGATTAGAGGTGTAAACCACTCCACCCAGCCAAAAAGTGCTTTTAATATTATCAATTAATACATGTTAATTACTTTCTTGATACATGAAGATTATCCTTACAGAAAGGTGGGCAAACACACTGAATGAAAATGTTCTCATAAGATACACCTAAGCAACGATCTACTTAGAATAACTGCCTTATAAAAAGCCAAAACGTTTAAATTACACTTTCATTCATAAAGTTAGCCCATATGAGGAGCTAAAAATCTATGGTTTCTAAATAATACTGAATTGACATGTACTTCAAGTAATTTATTCTAAATGTTACTCTAAGTTTGTTGTGCTTTAAAGCTTCCCAATTTTTGTATTTTGAGTGTGACAATTTTGTTTAGGAAACACACCCTGCTAATTAAATTTTTTAAAAAGGAGAAAGACTTCTATATCTTAGGTTTTTTTATTAAAATGTAATTTACAAATGGTAAAATCCATTTTGGTGTACAGTCTGGTGAGGTTTGACAGATGTGTATAATCATGTAACCACCACTGCCATCAAGATAGTGAATACTGTCAACACTCCTCCCAAATTCATTCATGTTTTTTGAGGTCACCAGCTCCTGACAAATGATCTAGAACTCTTGCCTTATAAAAGGAGCTCAGAAATGTAATCTGCAACTCTACTTTTCAGACATGGTTTTACTTGGTGTTATTTATTTATTAAACCATTTAAATAATTCAGTGAAACTACTGGTGCCTGAAGTTGTTAACATGGCAAAAGTTTTTATTATTAATTCAATTTCTTTAATAGATTAAAACAACTATTTAGATTTTATATTTCTTCTTGTGTAGTTTGGAAAACTTGCATATTTCAAGAAATGTGTTCATTCTACCTAAATTTATTAGCATAAATGTGTTTATTATCTTATTTTAATTACTTATTAGCTCTAAGAAGACACTTATAATAATGTGTATTGTAAGCCATTTAACAATATCTGGAAACAAAAAAGAGGTAAAGCTGAAAATAAGTCTTTAGGATTATTAATGACTTTCCTTCATGTGTTTCTAACAGTTGTTTATATTGTCTTTGTTTTTATCTTCATCAGTCTTACTAGGGATTTATCTATTTTATTAATATTTTAAAATAAACTACTTTGGGTTTGTTGATTTTTCTCTACCATCCCTCGAAATGCAGTATGATTTTATAATTTCACTTAGCTCATCTTTCGTTTAGCTTGTGATGAAAACTCAGATGACTGATTTGTTTGTTACTAATATAACCATTTAAAGCCATCTGTTTCCTTCTAAGGTATAAATTTCCCTCTATTTTTTCTTGAAGTTTCATTCAGTTTTGAACTAATTCGAGTAATTCCTAATATCTCTTTTAATTTCCTATTTAATTCATCCTTTTTTGTTGTTTAGAAATGTAGATGTTAATTTTTCAAGTATTTGGGGATTATTTAGATCTATTTCTGTTATTGATTTCAAATGTAATGCAAAAATGATCAGAAAATACATTGCAAGATTTCAATCTTTTAAAATTTAGGAATCGTTTATGGAACAACCTATACAATACCTTGGTGAACACTTCTTGTGCACTTGAGAAGAGTGAATCTGCTGCGCACACTGCTCTGATTGTGTCAGTTGGGTAAGTCAGTCTGTAGCACTGATCAATATCGAATATTCTTCTTACTGATGTTTTTTGTTTCATTGTTTTGTCAATTATTAAGATTGTTTAAAATCTACTATGATGAAGAATTTATCTATTTCTCCTGTTAGTTCTGTCATTATGCTTCATGGATTTTGAAGTTTATACACTTTATTCATTTTGAAAATCATCCTTATTCTTCCTGCTAATACTCCATAATTTGAAGTCTGCTTTGTAAGATGTTCATATAGCCATGAAACTCCTTAAGTTTACCTGCACAATGTATGTTGTTTTCCATCTTATCAACCTGAGTCATACATGGTTGTCTCCTGTAGGACACAAATAGTTTGATCATTTTTTTAAAATCTAATCTGTTAATACATACCTTTTAATAAGAGTTTAGTTCATTTAACTTCATGTGATTGTTTGCTTTTAAGTCCACTGTATTGATTTGTTCTATTTGTACCATTTCTTTCACTGAGTGTGTACTTCTCCTTTCCTTTCTTCATGTGGGTTATCTGAATCGTTTTAAATATTAAATTTGAAATCCTCCACTGGATTTTTAGTTGCACTTCTTTTTATTAAAAAAAATACCACTCTCATATTTACAATGTGCATCATTGTCTGACCATAGTCTTCTTAGGGCTAACACTGCACCACTCTGGAAAAATATAAGAACTTGACTAATGCTGGAATAAACTTGTCCTGTGCTATGTATTATTGCCATATATTTTACATACCCATATGTATAAGTGATGGAAATGAAGGTAAGGTTCAGATTAGTGCTTCTTAAACTACTAATATTTGTGATGCAAGGCTCATTGCACATGTGTATTTTCTTTATATCTTTTTTCTTTTTTAAAAATTATTATTTTATTTAAAATTTTTAATTTTTATGTCAGTAGGTTTTTGGGGAACAGATGGTGTTTGGCTACATAAATAAGTTTCTTGGGTGGTGATTTCTGAGATTTTGGTGCCTCCATCTCCCGAGCAGTGTACACTGTACCCAAGGTGCTAAATAATGTAATTAAAATAATTACATTATAAATATGAAGATAATCAATTTCATTAATTTTAATGAAACTTATTCTCCATTTATATATGCAGTCTCAGTAGAAAGAAGCACATATTTTGAATTTTACAAGTTATAAATAGCATGTGCAAGAGAAAAATGCTGATAAAATGTTGCTTTTTTTTTTTTTTTTGAGATGGAATCTCACTCTGTCGCCCAGGCTGGAGTGCAGTAGCGCAATCTCAGCTTACTGAAACCTCCGTCTCCTGGGTTCGAGTAATTCTCCTGCCTCAGCCTCCCAAGTAGCTGGGATGGTCTCGATCTCCTGAGTTGCTCTGTATTTTTTAGAGCTGATTTATTTCATTACTTTTTCAATGTTATCTTAATAGGCGCATATATAGGGAGATTTCCTCTTCTTCATGGGGGCAGGCATTGGAAATTTCTGAATCCAACTTTTGCACTTTGCAATTACCTTATTTTTCTTCCAATAGTAAAATGAGAGAGACATAATTTAATTTACCCACATATCCAAGGAATTCATTCAGGACAACTGAAACATTTTAGGCCCAATTTATCACAGTTGAAAGTGTCTTACCTGAGAATATTTGAAAGTGGGCATTAAGGTATCTTTGCTCTTACCTTGAATACTTACTTGCAAGTGGGTCCAAGCATCTATTAATAAATAGCAGTGGGCGGAAGCAGTGGCTTATGCCTGTAATCCCAGCACTTTGGGAGGCAGAGGCGGGTGGATCACTTGAGGTCAGGAGTTCGAGACCAGCCTGGCCAACATGAAGAAACCCTGCCTCTACTAAAAATAGAAAAAAATTAGCCAGGCGTGGTGGCGGGTGCCTGTAATCCCAGTTACTCGGGGGGCTGAGGCAGGAAAATTGCTTAAACCCCTGGAGATTGAGGTTGCAGTGAGCCGAGACTGCGCCACTGCACTCCGGCCTGGGTGATAGAGCAAGACTCCATCTCAAAAATAAATAAATAAACAAAACAATAAATAATAAATAAATAGCAGTGACCATGATATGTATTGATTAGTCATCAACAACTTAGCTGAAAATTCTGCCTGAGGAACCATGGTCTGTGCTCACATAATAAATCCAGAAACAGTATTTTCCCTTTATTTGCCTCTTCCACACATTACTAGAATTTTTATGAGTCTGAAGATGTCATATTCTGTGTCATTTATCAGGCACAGGATACACACTCAAAAGGATATACATTCATTGAGTATTATGCTAATTATTCTACAGTGAAAACAGCACCAAAGACAATGCCGTAACTTTACTTGGAGTAGATGGCAAGAGTAATCTTTACGCCTCAGGACTCAAAATAGTTAAAAATTAGCCAAACAAAAATGCCTCTGCTGTGGATCAGTGCATACAGTCAGGAATACGATAAAATCATGAACATTTCTTGATACGAAAAAATAATTGACATACCCATGCAAATTAAAGCAAAAAAAAAAAAAACCCACAGGCAATTGTTATTTTAAAGGACTAAAAATAAATGAAAGGGGAGACAGGAAGGGAATAAAGGAGGAAAGGAGGAAGTGGGGGAAGGAGAGAGAGAGATTTTCTTGTCTTTAGTTGAACATTATTATTGTAACCTAAATGTGGCAAAGCACGTCACAAAGTAGTCCACTGGAATCCAAAATCTAGTTAAAAATACAGATAAGCAATGATGAACTTTGTTTCCTTAATAAAATATTTTGAACCAATAAGCTATTTATATATTTAATGGTTTAATTTTTATTCTACTTCAATTAGACAAGAAATATTTTTCTTATTTATCCTCCAGTAGCTGGTGATTATGGCTTGTGATTTCCCAAACTCTATGTGTGTATCTACTATGTTTAGCACAAATTCAATATTCTTATTTTGTTATGATGATGTAAGAACAATTTTAATTGTCCCAAGATGTGTTTTGCCTTTAACAGCTGGAATTTTAGAGCTATAAACAGTTATATTATTAAAGACAATTTTGATATTAATTAATAATTGGGAACATCCTGAACTTCCTTTCCCCTCCCCACGTTATTTAAATGCTGTTTTCAGTGGTATTTATAAAAAAAGACTCATGGAGGTAACAATACAGAGTAATAGAGATTAAATAAATTCATAATATTTTGGGGTACAGTTTCTTAAAGTAATATTCATTGATTTTTTAATAAAATAAGTAACAAATAAATGATGAATAAAGTATATTTGAAATTGATTAAAGCCAGATTATCAGGCTGATGAGAATATAATGTATATAAATAGATTATCATTCTCATTTTGAGTGAGAATGCAAAAGATGCTAGAAAAGTGCAATTTCCAATGTTCTGTTAAAATTCCCTGGGATTCTGGAGTTTGCCTACCACCCATCATTGTGCATATGGCTAAAAAAGCTGCTTGGGCGGGTTCTCAGAAACTTTTACATTATAATGAGCATGTCTCTATGATTTGAACAACCTACTGACTAAAAAAGTGTATGACCACAATATAAATAAAATAATAATTATATTATCATGTTAATATGTAATTTGTGAATAGCATTCTAGCTGATGGAACTTCTCAAATTGTAGATATTTTAGGGAAATGTAATTGTATAATTAATTGCTTAGAGTAATAATGCTGATGAGAAAGGAAACTGTTAGTGGTAATGCATCTTTTCTGTGCTTAAACATAAATCTTGTGCATCCTTTGTTATTAAATATTATAAATTTCATTTTGAATTATGTTTATTACATATATTTAGAAAAATGATTTTTTCCAACCTGATGAACAATAAAACCACATTCACTTTGAGAGCTGAATATGTTATTGTATGTCTAGAAAATAGTAAAAAAGAAAATAACTAGGAAATAATTGAGATAGTCATACTTCAGGAATTACCTATTTTGTGGCTTATATTTTAATATAAAATGACAAGAGTAACACGCTGTATTTTTTAAATGGGTCTCTTCTCTGTTTTTCTAAGTTAATAGTTAGTGATTTAATATTGCGCTTTTCAGATTCCGTTTTCAAAATATAGATTCATAAGAAAGACTGAAAATATGTCTTTGAGGACTTGTAAACCATTAACTTACAGAAAAAGGTGGAAAAGAAATTATTGTAAATGTGAATACCAACTAAAATTACAAAACTTTCTTGGCAATTTCAAAGCCTTTTTATAACTTTATACCTAGGCTTTGGATAAATAATCTCCAGGAAATACCATATTTTTCCCTACTTATGGCAATTCACGAAAGCAAAAATATACATTTATAAAAATATTGAATGAGTGTAGACAGAAAAGGCAACTGAAATTACAACTATGGCCACTATTTCCTTTTTAAAAAACTTTTAAGTTCAGGGTAAATGTGCAGGTTTGTTGTGTTGGGTGTTTGTTTTACAGATTATTTCATCACCCAGGTATTAAGCCTAGCACGCATTCGTCATTTTTCCTGATCCTTTCCCTCCTCCCACCCTCCATCGGAGAGGCCCCAGTGCTGTATGGTTCCCCTTTGTATGTCCATGTGTTCTCATGATATAGAAGAATTGGTCTTCTCTATAATGATAATAGTTTATACATGGATAATAGGCCTTGGGGTCAGGGATGAGCTTCTGTGAGGAATAAAGAAATTTAACGAATGTAATTTTTCCACTCATTTGCGCTCATTTAACAACACGTATTGATTACCAATTACGTATAATGCACCTTGTTATTTTGAAGAATACGTAGCTTGGTCTGTTCTGATGCCTGTCTCTGAGCACATGTTCTAGAAATTAGCAATTCTCAATTACCCATTACTGATAGCCTGTGTTGGCGCCTCTTCCAGTATGATTATCTTCTCTCTTACAGTGTATGGTAGCACACTAAGAGGTACTAGGCAGTGTCTGACTCTGGTTCCTTCCTGCCTTACTAGCCCCTACATTTTTTTCCCATTTAGTCGTGTCTTGATCTCTCAGAAACTGATATTCACTGATTTGTGTCTTTGAAAGGTGAAGTCTGTTCCTGAACTATCTAGTGCTATTGGAATCACTGAGACAGGGCAATCATTTTTGTTGGGAATGCCTGAGCTGTAGGTACAGAAAACTGTAATACATGAGGCATTTTTCCTGCTCTGGAGAGCAAACTGCTAGAACACCAGTGTAGGGGCCATGGCCTACACTGTGGTCCCACTGATGTCATATTGCCTGTGTGTGCATATCAGTTTTTTTTTTTTTTTTTTTTTTTTTTTGAAGCGGAGTCTCACTCTGTGGCCCAGGCTGGAGTGCAATGGTGCGATCTCAGCTCACTGCAACCTCAGCCTCCTGGGTTCAAGCGATTCTTCTGCCTCAGCCTCCCGAGTAGCTGGGATTACAGGCACCCACCACCATGCCTGGCTAATTTTGTGTGTGTGCATTTTTAGTAGCGATGGGGTTTCACCATGTTGGCCAGGCTGGTCTCGAACTCCTGACCTCAGATGATCCACCAGCCTCGGCCTCCCAAAGTGCTGAGATTACAAGTGTGAGCCACCATGTCTGGCCGAGTTCTAATGTTAACAGAAACCTTCTTCACTAGGTGTAGCCTCAATTTTACAAATAAAGAAGGTGAGGGCCACATTGGCTCATGCCTGTAATTCTGACATTTTGGGAGGCTGAGGTGGGTAGATCACTTGAGGCTAGGAGTTGGGCAACATGGCAAAATGCCATCTCTACTAAAAATACAAAAATTAGCCAGGGGTGATGGTGCAGACTTGTAATCCCAGCTACTCAGGAGGCTGAGGCATGAAAATCGCTAGAGCCTAGGAGGCAGACGTTGCAGTGAGCTGAGATAGCCCCACTGTACTGCAGCCTGGGCGTCAGAGTGAGACTGTCTCAAAAAAGAAAAAGAAAAAGAGAAAAAGAAAGAAAAGAAAAGAAAGGAAAAGAGAAAGAAAGAAAAAGAGAGAAAGAAAGAAAAGAAAGAAAGAGAAAGTAAAGGTGAAACTCAGAGGATTCAAACAGATTTTTAAAGAGCACATAAATAGTAAGAAATAAAACTAAATTTGATTTTCACTGCAGTACACCACTTTTATATATTGTAATGTTGCTTATGAAACTGCATTTACCAACACAGCTGTCTACTTCCTTGCTTATCTACCAGGATGCTATTACGTGAATTTATGCCAAACAATTATCTGTGACTGAAATACAAGATTTGCTTTCCAGTGTTGCTATTTCTGTGTATACTTCATGATGAGTGCTTTGGGGGTTACTCAGGAGCTCTGGCATTCAATGTTGAATGACAGATGATGAACAACAGCACTTTGACATGATGATGCAACAAAACAGCACTGGAAGAAATATCATCCAGACACAGAGTCATTGGATTTGGAAAGTCATATATTTTATGGTGGACAAGTTCTGAGGGGGGTTACTCTACATTGTTACTCTTTATAGATGATACTTTTGTTCCATGTCGATCATAAAATGAAGTCTACACATGATTTAGGAAAAATGATTTATTTTTATAATGCATTATAGGATATAAAAAATATCTTCCAATGAATGGTCATTTGAACCTCACACGCTGTAAGGTGGAGAGAAGGTGTTATAATACATACTTTTACAGATGAGGAAACACAAAACTACGGGGTTAATATGAATAAGTATCAACTTCTTTCAGCAGTACGTACTATGTTGAATATTAACGTGGTTATATTACACATTGGTGAAGAGTGTTGGTTGATCTTGTGGTTGGTGAGGTTGGCTTCAAAGCTTGATTCATCATTGTTTATTGTGTAATCTTAAAAAAGTTACTAAAACTCTTCAGTTTCCTCATCTGTACAATAAATAACAACAAATATTATTAATTAGTCATAGAATTGCTAAGATGACCAAGGAAAAAAATTACATGTAAAACACTCAAAATGGTGTTTGGCATGTGACCCTCAGTATGTTCGCTAGTCAACCATCACCTTGAAACAATAAAGTATAGTAGAAGTAAAAAAGCCAGACAAATATTCCTGGACATCTAACAATCTGCCCGTTACTCTTTCTCATGTCTTGTTTCTACACTGTTTTGATTCTACTGTATTTCACTCCCATTCAATTTAGCAAACATACCTGTCAGAGGCTTCTACTGAAAGTAGAAATCTTAAGTTCCATTCTGCTGAGATCTTAAAATATTCTCCCTTGAATAAAGTGTAAATTCCTTTGGATAGTATTCCATGCACTCAGAAATCATGATGTAAACTCAAACCTACTCTGTCAAATATACTTAGTATGTCTCCTGTCTATGTTCCAACCAGCTCAATTAGATGATCTTCTGAGCCTACATCTGCTTTAATTACTCTAGGTGGAAATTTCTCCCTGCACTACTATTTGACCATTGTCTCCATTCTTCAAGACCTGCTTAGAAGGTCAGTTATTCACAAAGCCTCTCTTGATCTTAAGAAGATACCTATATTCTCAGGTTTCTGCTACAAACTTCTTCATTATAAAGCATCATGTCTATTGAATTAACATTTGAATTTATTTTTATCTTCCATGGAAGATGATGAAGGAGGTAACCAGGGCTTTGCAATCAGCTTTGCATGATGGCCAACACAGCACATAATGTTGGGCTTAATTTTCCTTATACAGCTCCTGTAAGCAGTCTGCCTTCTACAGGGCTCTGTAATTGTGTTCCTTCCTAGACTGCCTTCTTCATTTTACCCTCAAAGTACTTAGGAAGGAGCTTGGTAGACAGACTGTGCAAGCTCAAAACAGCCTAGCTATATTGATATCACACTTAATGGAAAAGTGAATAAAGAGTACAAATTTGATAATGTGATATAAAAAGAATGTTTTATTTTAAATAATTTATACATTGTTTTCTGGTCATTTTTAAGTTTTGTGTCAGTATCTGTGACTATTAAGAGAGGGCACAAAAACAATTTTTCAAAGAGCAAACCACTATAAAATAGCATGCCTCAGAGGTTGGAAAGATGGCAGAAGTTGGGGACAAAAAAGAACATGTTGGCTGCACAGTACTTACAGATATAAAGGAGTAGTTTAACTACATGATCATACTGTTTCAGGAATAAGGAGATTCTGGAAACCAACCCAAGTAAATACACAAGTCCAAAGCAGGTTGAGTTTATTTTTCCTACCTCTGAGGAACTAGAGGCATTTTAAGAGAGCATTTACCTCTTTAATAATACACAAGAAAGTACAGAATCAGAGGCTACAAGAAAATGATGAGTTGATATGAGTGTCTGACATCAGTCACCCTAATTGTTATTTTTATTACCCTGTTTTATTTATTTTGATGATACAATTCAGTTAAATTTGTGGTACAATTCAAACAAGTTTATTAATAAAATGAATCATAATTGTAAATTAACAAAGGGCCTCAGATTTATTTAGCAGGATTATTTATAAAAACATTTCTGGCTATTTTAACAGTGTACTTTTATTTTTCTACCTTATTACACCTTTAAGATGGGCTTGGGAAATATTAATTAAGTGCATAGAGATTGATAATTAACTCAAGACCTGTTTATTTTGTTGTTGAATCTATTTTACAATTTCTTGGCTGGGTCCTTTACGCTAGAGTGCAATAGATAGAAATGAATCCATGGAGGGAAAAGGGCACAGAGAAAAATGGCACCGAAGCTAGCTCGCCTCAGTGCAATTAGACAAAACCCTAACTCACTTTTCAAAGCATATTTATTTAGAATTCAAAGAATTTTAAAAATGTTGTTTATTTAACTTCCCTTCAGAGAGGGAATCTGACATGACTCATTTTCATCAGAGATACACAAACTTCATAAGATGCTATTATTTATTTCACTGACAAAACATCAGTAAATTAATTGCCGCCACTTTAATCAAGGTAATAGGAACCAGGGGGTCATATCTTGTAATTTATTATGATATTCTGAGGTTGAGGAAAACCCATTCATGGAATTTTTTTAAAGCTGTAAAATTTGAGGAAGACCCGAATTAAATTCCTAAGGGAAAAATACAGAAAAAAATGATACAGAAGCTTAAGTGAATATTAAAGTAATGCCAACCGTCTAAGTTACTTAACACTGAGGATCATAACTTATGGAGTCATCAGACTCACGGAAATACTTCTAGAGCAAAAGTAAATGTGAAACAGAAAAACCAGCAACACCACAATGTGATTTGTTCTCCATTAAAAGCCCAAAGACACTGATCTCCAATTATGTGGACAGCCACATTTTGGTTACAAAATCAAATTCAAGTTAATTATGGCAAATCAAACACCACCTATGTCTACTTTGCAAGATAATGCTTAAAATTGGTATGTATATAAAAACATACAAAATAAATCAGATTTCCAAATTAGAACCTTGAAATTAGGCAACTACAATACATTTGGACAGAAGTACGAAGCTTAATATGGGGATTCATTGGCATTGCATGTGATTATATGCTACCATTATTTTGAAAAGTGAATGAAAACTTGAAAAAATAAAATGAAAAAGAATAGCTTTATGAAATTAACACAGCAGGCTAACTTAATGCATTATTTGAAATCATCTTGTTAAATCAATAAAGCACTTGGGTTGGTAATATTTGAATTCACTTTATCAAAAAATATAATCATTTATTAAAATAACATGTCTTATAAGTCTTGAGACATCTCATTCCTTATCTATGTGTGTCACCACCTTTAGAATGTGGGCCAAAGGCTGCATTCAGGTGATAAGGTCTGATATAGCTACTAAATCGTTTTTGATATATTGACAAATTTCAATACTGGCTGATAAATAAGCACCGCCAGAGCCCTCCAGAGAACATCTCCCAACTCTGCCAGAGCGCTGCACTCCCAAGTTTGAGCATCTAGAGTGAATGCCAGGAGAAAAGGCTACCTCCAGACACTGCCCAGCATCGTCATTATCTTCTTTCATGATTAGTCTGTGTCTGTACATTGTTGAGAAATTTTAGAGTTATCACTGAGGAGGCCTGTTCTTCATTTAAAATACAGTTGTTTTCCCATGAAGCTGCTGTGTGTTAAATATATGTGAGCTATTCATTCTTATTATTATACTTCATTTAGTGTTTTTTTTTAAAGTCCCATTGGTAGATTTCTGGTGAAAATACCTTTTAAGCAGGGAATCAGCATTCTGTATATTCAGGAGAAACTGGAGGGGACGGACATGCCGGACAGTTATAGAACAAATTAATAGTAAAATGTTCACCTAACTTATTTCACTATTTTTATTGCTGTTACAAATAAAAAATCTTGACAGTTATATCATACTTTTGAGATTATCATTCAAAGGGAAAGGAGTCCTCTGAAGATTTCTAAATGGAGAAAGCAATATAAGATATGATTAATCCTTTAAAAAAATCTTTGGTGTATTAATTTTAAATTAAAGGGCAAAAAAGGAACCATGGTAATAAATAAACCAGTCAAGCCAAATAAAAAAGGGTACATTTTATCATAAGCAATGTGTATAAAACTATGTAGCATAACAATGAAAAATAATCTTTGTCATGTTCAAAACCTTTTCTGATTCCCTAGTTTATCAAATTCATTGAAGTGATTCTGTAGCTTGACATTTTTTCAAGATAGAGTGTTTATAATGGCTATGATAACTCTTTGACTTTTCTATTATAAAAATTTATTTTCTATTTGCTTATTTTTTAACATATATGACATTGTATTCCTAGTAGGGAAGTATAACAGTAATTCATCTAGTTTGCAAAGCCTGCTTGAATTGCAAAGTCCAAATTTTAGTAGACCAGACTGCTCTGTTAGTGGAAGGACAGAGTTCTTTAAACCTGGAGAATTCAGTAGTTTTGAAAATGTTGGGAAGCATATATACTGATAGTAATTCTTATTTTAAAAATTTATTTTGTAAGATTACACATTGAATATTTTAAAAAATAACCACTCACCAAATCAAACTTTACAGAGTGTGTATATAATTTAATAGCAGTAAAATATATTTTAGGATTTTACTTTATGTTAAACACATCATAATCACTAAGCTTTCAGGTGTATTATGTGTACCTGAGAATAAGAATAATTCATAATGGTGGTTTAATTCATAAAAGGGCTTGTGATTTTAAAGCAGTTTTAAAAAGAGTTCCCTATTCTAAAAGAAGAAAATATTCCCCTAAACTTTTAGAAGCCAAATATTTTGGGAAGTAAACCTCAATACTGAAGGACATCCTGTACCCTAAAAGGTGGAAAGAGTTGACATAAAATGTGTATTTATGTGAGTCAGTTTTTTAATCACTCTAATGGAAGAAAACATTTCTCTTAACTCAAATTAGGAAATTATTATACATTTTATATATATTTATATAAAAAGTCGTAAGTAGCAAGCATATGACATAAAGAAATGGAAGAGTAACAACAGTATTTGACAATGCATGCTTTTCACAATGTGTCTAACAAAAAGGATATTTTCCCAACTCAAATATCCAGTACTGACATGCAGGGTATTTTCTCAAACTGTCAATTTGGTCATATTGCTGAGTGCTTAATCAAAAACATTTCTACTGTAGAGTATGAATGGTAAAATACCTGACTTCAAAAAGGATTTCTGAAACTCAGTACTTTCTTTGATATAAAACAAAAAGGAAATCAGGGGTATACAGGAAAGACCAAAAAATGAATTTTTTTATTGCAATCTAGTAATTTTACTTGTTACTTTTTCCTGTATTTAATCAGAATATAATAATAGGTGTGTATAGTCCATAACCTCTAGCTGGTGATTCCATGGTCCACACTGTCACTTTTCACTGTAGCATGTTCAAAATCATTCAGGAACGCACTATTCTCAAGCTGTCTATATAATGAAAACAATGTACATGTAACACAAGGTTCATCCAAATTCGTGTTTTTTTTTCACATATCACACAATGTACAATTATATAACAAAGACATAAAACAACATAGAAACAAAAGTGAAACTGACAATAAAAATAAAGTTGGGATAGTCTTAATCGGGAACTAATTTCTTCTTCAAGTTTCCAGTTAATCTCAAAATGTATTTAAAAACTAAGGAGCACTTGGTGGCCAGCAACCAAATTACGAAATGAACATATCAGTGTGCAGCGGGGATGTCTTGCCGAAGGAATAACAAATGTCTGTAATTCTTAAGTTTGGATAAAGGCAGTGGAATGAATTTAGAAATATGTCCACTTTTCACAATTCACTATAGAATTTTCTTTTCACAGTCCCCATGTTTGTATAAATAGTTCTTCTCTGAAAATAAAAAACAGTTAAAACATTTTCTCCCAATGAAAAATGCATACAAATACACCAATTTATTAAGGTAATATAGAGCATGGAAATGCATTCACCTAGTTCAAGAATAGTTGATAGGCTTGAGGAGTTTAGAAGAGATTAGCTGTCAAGCAGATTCAATTGGAGACAAATTAGGCTAATATAGATATAAACAATCAAGAGCAAAAAGTAAAGCCATTGTGATATCTGATGACAAAATCGATGTACACGTAGACAACTGGGATTAATGAAACCTTTTGCATTCAAATTTTATAGTATAAAATTTGACTTAACATGCTGCATTTAATTTTGATGAGATGAGCTACATATTCATGCAAAAATAAGAGTCTATAAATTGTGTCAGTACCAAAAATATTTAGTGTACGAATTTTGAGTACAATTGTTGCCAAATTACATAAAGAAAGTAGTTACCAGTTTTAAATATTAACTTCAGCTATACTGAGACTGAATATTCTATTTTCTTAGTTTAAAAACCTTGGTTTTTTTCGAGTATTTCTTTGGAGATAGTTCATTAAAACTTTACCTTAAAACATGTAAAGTTTAGATTATTAATTTGACGTCCTTCTAAATTACATTTTAGTACAATTCTTGATGTTAAGAATACTAAGATTTGTTTTAAAGGTATGTATCCCGAGAATCATCTCTCCTATAAACACTGAACCCATCGTATTTCTAATTGTGAAATGTCATGAAACACATATCTCAAGAAATAATGGATAAATAGCACATTCCCTAAAAAACTACAAGACAGTTGCAACAAAACAGAATACGACAAAGTAGGAAAAGGAACCAAGGGCATCTGCTTACCTTGAATTTTCTTTCTAGACCCTAGTTGTGTTGTATTCAGATTCATGTTTGCTTAGAGACCCAATGAGGCAGAACCTGGAATGTTATGGCTATTTCATTCAACAAAGTACTATTTGCACAAAAAAATATGTATACAAATATTTACTCAAAAGCATTTTTAAAATTCAGAAAACTGTGGAAATAGACTTATGTCAGCATGCAAAACATATCAAATCAACTGAAGTATTTTAGGTTTTGAGAATGTAATGAATGGAGAAAGTATGTCACGATTTATAAAATAAACTAAATGCTAGTAAACATGCAAAACGAAGTATAAGTTGACAAGATTTTGGAATTTAAAATAATTTTTCCTAAATTTAAATGTTTTTTCTCAAAACTTTTACTCATTTTAAGGCTAATACTACAACACAGATAATATTGCATTTATAGTTGAAGGAAAATAAATCAAATGTTTCTACTATTTCTTACAACATTTAAGTGTAAATGATGAATATACTATACTATCCTATGCAATTCCTAATATAAATATTATGTAATATGTGAAAGAAAAGTATTTTTGTGTTCCTACCAAAAATAAATACATTATATTGAAAAATATGTTATTTTGGGATTAAAATTGTCCATCAAGATGGGTGAGCCATCTTGGTAAGGCAATCGTTTTCAAATATCATTTCATATCTCAAAATATATAAATATTGATGGGAGCAATGGTCACATGGAAGTAAGTTTGCATTATAAATCTGTATTATAAATTAAAAGCCATCATTTTATAAAATAAATATGTGTATATGTTTAGAAATAAATAAAGTATCTTTGGTCTCTGTGTGCATGTGTGTTCACACACATACATATCGTGCACATGTATGAGGTTTAGGAAGAATATGGATAGCAGTGAAAAGGAAAAAGAAGAGGGAAACTATTGGAAAACTAGGGTTTAAATCATTAATTAAAGGGAAACTGAAATATGAAGACAAAATAGAAGACAATACTCTGGAAGTATTTCAGTCTTCAGGTTATAGTTGTCATCAAAAAATCTATTGATACTGACCGCTGGACGGCTTTATCGTGTCTGGACAGCCTGTGACTGGTGGTCGGCACCTCTTCGATTTCATCTATGTCACAGGCATCTGCAGCATCTTGCGAGTAGCTGTGTTTCATGACAAGGATATTTCTTCTGTTCATGGGTGGGATGAGGGGTTTTCCTGGCTGTGTGGGCATCTCTGTCAAGATAGAAGCATCTCTTGTGCTGAGGTTACTGCGGCTGCCTTTAGTGCTGGACAGCTGTGATCCACAGTGATGGTCATGAATGCATTTGGAAGATGACCTCCGCAGTTTATGGTAATTTTCAAAGTCATCTGCCACATCTGCAAAGTCAGCTGTAGCTCCTGTCCCTCTGAGAGTGCATAACTCATAATGAGGAGGTTCAAATACCTCCTGGAAAACTGTCTGGTCAAAGTCTGATTTCCTTTGGACATACTTTTTACGAGGCTGTTTGATCTGTACGATGACAGAGATGATAATGAGGATGATCACGATGCAGGAAGTCACGCCAATGACAGTCCCACTGGTGTTGGTCAGCTGGTCCAGCAGGCTGGTTTTCCTCTTCTCTATAGGTTGGAGAGAGTGAAAACAACAAACGGACAAAAGAAGAAGCAACGCAGCAAACATTAATATTATAGTCAAAATGTGTATTAAAAACTTAAAGTAAAGCAGGCTGAGCACAGAATTTTTACAGGCTTATAATAACTTAAGAAAATATTTAAAAATAAATACAAGGTCTCGTTTTTCACCAAAAAAATCCACTGAGCAGCCTTAAAAATAGCCCTCCCTCCCCATTGCCCAGCATCTCAGCTTAAAATACACACACACACACACACACACACACACACACACACACACAATCCTCTATCTATCTAATCTATCGTAGGTTAAGAAAATATTTTAAAATAAATACAAAGTCTCTTTTTTCACAAAAAATACACTGACCAGTCTTAAAAATAGCCCCCCTCCCCATCGTCCAGCATCTCATCTTAAAATACACACACACACACACACACACACACAATCTATCTATAAAGTAACAACAATATTCTGATACCAAAGGATAATTCAATTCAATCTGAAGACACACACTTTTGGAATGATGGCATGGACTCTTTCCCAAATGAAATAATCACAACTGGTAGAAAATTATTTTAAAAACTCAACCAATTAAAGCCTGGTTTAATGAAACTCAGGAAATTGTCCTAATGATGTACATCAAGTGGAAATATATTTATATAAACCAATCTACTAAATGTCCTTAGGACCAGTGAGAGTCTGTGGCATTTGAGCCATGACTTGCTTCCTCCACTCTTGATTCACCACGATGGGAACCCTACTCAGGGAGGTGTGGACAAGAACGCAGGGCACCCTCTCCCTGCAGCTCCCAGTTAAGTGAGTTATGGAATCTCCTTAGAAGGGGAAAGCTACCAGCATTTCTCAATGCCCAACCAGGTCCATGTTGGACATGCTTCTTTTCTGGCCTGAGTGGCTGAGATGTCTGGGGCTCCCGAGGTTCCTCCTCTCAGCCTTCACTTGGAGGGCAGGAGCTCAACACCAGGTGTCTCCAGTGGAGAATGCCAGGCTTGGATCATGCTTACCCAAGTTTGCTGACACAGGAGAGCTGCCTGGAGTGGCAAGTTGACAACACCACATGTTAGCAACCTCACCCAAGTGCTCTGTGCATAAACAGACCTGTACCACTGTTCCTGCCCCGACCCAGAAGAAGCTGTGCCCAGAAAGAGAGTCAGGCTGAAAGTACAGAAAGCATTATAGCTTCCCCTAAATAAAGTTAGTTTATTTGAAATGGTGTGTGGAGAAACTTAAGCCTAATGATAATTTCAAAAACTATGGAGATTTTGTGGTATGCACAGGCTTCTGGACATTCGAAAGTTCGTCTTATTGCTCTAAAGACACTAACTGCCTCTTAGTGTTTTATGAGGGCCTGGCTGGTACTTGGATAGGAGACCACCTGGGAATACCGAGTGCTGTATGCATTTAAGAGGCAGTGTGCAATTAAGTATGCAATTAAGAGACAGTTAGTGTCTTAAGAGCCATAAGACGAACCTTAGAACATCTAGAAGTTTAACAGAACGAGCTAGGAGAGTAACAGCTAATGAGAGTCCTCCTGGGTTATAACAACTCACAAAGGCTAGACTCAAGGACTACCCTTGCAATTAATTAAATTTAATTGACTAGACTGTAGAAAAATTTATGATCTTGGGCACTGTCAAAAGCAGTAGAGCAATCAGCCGGCAATTGGTGGAGACTAACAACTGGCTGCAATACCAACAGAGGTGATAGCTAAATAGAGAGAACAGGAAATGAGAGAGGCACAGAGAGCCCTGTTAAAACCGTGTTGCCCAAGGCTGATGGTGCGAAGTCCAAGGCGGTGGCCTCTGTGGTGCAGCATCAGAGGCTTCACTAAAATGGTCCAGCCAAGTCTACATTTAGAAACAAACAAGAAAAACTACAAGTCCTGGGAGGAAGGAGTTAGTATTCAGAGATGCTACTAATCTAACATGTGATTTTCAACAAAACATTATAATACATGTAAAGAAACAGTAAAGCGAAGTGTATATATAGGAAAAAAAAAAGCAGGCAATGAAAAGACCCTTTGGGGAGCCGGATATTGGAGTTGGCAAAGATTTCAAAGCAGCTATAATCAATATGTCTAAGGAACTAAAGCAAGCTATGACTGAAGAAGCTAAAGAAAATGAGGACAATGCTCATCAAATAGAGAATATTAATGAAGAAATATAAATCATATAAAAATGTAAAGTCTAGAATTGAACAGTACAATTACTAACATGATAACTTCCTGGAGCCTCAACAGTACATTTCAGCTGGAAGAAGAAAGTATCAGCTAACTTTATAAAGACAGAGGCATGCGAATAGTGCAATATGAAAATGAGTTTCAAAACAAGAAGGCAGAACAATAACAGAGCCTCAGAAAAAAAAATGTGGCAAATCAACAAGCACACTAACATACTGTAATGGGAGTATAAGAAACAAAGGAGAGATGGAAAGTAACAGGAAAAACAACAACAACAAAAAACTAGAGGAGCTAAAACTTCCCAAACTTAATTAGAAAACTCACATCCAAGTTCAACAAATTCCAAGTAGGATAAATGCAAAGAGATCCACACAAAGGCATATGATATTGAAAACATTAAAATAAATAAATAAAACACCTTGAAAGCAACAGAGGAAAAAAAAAACTCATCATAGAAAGGAGCCTCAATCAAATTAACACCTGAGTTATCATCAGTGGAGGCCAGAAGGCAACATGATGACACATGCAGTGCTGCAAGCAAAAGCAATACAAAATAAAACCAAACAACAGCAACAACAAAACCCCAGCAGATACCTGTCAACCAAAAACCCATTATCCAGCAAACCTGCCTTCACAAATGAAAGACATTGTGAGACTGGCAAAAATGAAGATAATTCAATGATAAAAGAGCTTCCTTAAAATAAATATGGAAGAGAGTTCATGTTGAAAACCAGTGAGTTCAGACAGTAACTCAAATCCACATGAAAAAATTGAACAGATACTAAATTAAACAGGGAAGCAAGTAAGGTCTGTAACAGTGAATATGTAAATAATTGCAAAGGACAGTAGAGTGGCATCTTTCTTCTGCAGTCTTCACTTAACTCTTTTAAAAAAGCAATGTTCTATGTATATAATCGTAATGTTGGACTATAGCTTACATAAATGCAATATATTTGGTGACAATATAGTATAAACAAGGTGGGAGCTAAAATGTTATTGGGTGAGGAAATGACACCAGGGTAATGCAAATCTAGAAAAACAAATGAAGAGAACCAGAAATAGTAAATCAGAAGGATTATATAAAAAGTTACACTAATATACTTGCTGTCCTTTCTTCTCCCAACCACTTTAAAAGACATACAGTTATATAAAGTAATAATTATTGCAATGTATTGTTGGGTATGTAACGTTTAAAAATGTAATAGGTACAAATATAATTGGAAAAAGGAAAAGAGAATAGAGCTATATAGGAAGAATGTTTCTATGTCTCACTATAATTAAGTTAGTAGAAATCTAATACATTCTGAGAAGCTAAGCTGTATGTTTTAAGTCCTAAAGCAACTAAGAAAGTAAAACAATGCATTAAAAACTCTAAAATAATTAAAATGTTGGACTAGAATATACTAACTTAAGGCAGAAGAAAGCAATAAAGAAGGAAAAGAGAAAAAATACATGAGACATTTAGAAACAAAAAGTATAATGGAATATATAAGTCCAACTATATCAATGACAGTACTAAATGTGAATGGATTAAAGAACCCAATGTAAAGGCAAAGATTTTCAGACTGGATAAAAAATAAGATACAAATATAGACTGTCTACAAAAGAAACACTTTATATTCAAACATGCAGATAGACTGAAAGTAAAAACGTGGAAAAGAAGAATGGAAACCAAACCATAAGAAAGATGTAGTGGCTATACTAATGCCAGAAAAAATATAACTCAAGACAAAAAACTGCACTAAACTCTAGAAGATTGTTTTGTAGTGATAAAAGCGTCATGAGGAAGATATAACAATTACACACATATATGAATTTAGCACCCAAGCTTAAAATTACATGAAAGAAAAATTTTACAGAAGTGAAGAGAGAAGTAGACAATTCAACCATGATAGCTGAAAAATTTAACACCCACTTTCAATAATGGATAAAACATAGCAGAAAATCAAAGGCAAACAGAAGACTTGAACAATGCTTTATAGCTTGTTTAAGTTTATAGGCTTATGCCTAGCAGACATAACAGGCATCTATACAACACTCCACTCAACAACAGCAAATACGTATTCTTTTCAAGTGCACATGGGACAAACTTTAGGCTACACTACATGCTCGCCATAGGCATAACCTCCATAAACTAGAAATGAATGCAATTTTTCCCCTATCACAAGAGAATGAATTAAAGGCTAAAGGAATCATTTTTCTTTCTGAAAAAAATAAATATGGACTTTCATAATGCACATCCATTCACATTTGTTGCATGTCAAATATTTCTTACACACATGGGACCACGTTTATATAGGGCAAAACAAAGCCAGTGGTGACCACGAATTATTAACAGGTCTGCAATAAGATCACTTAGTAAATTTCTAATCCATTCAAAAGTAATGGATTACGAAAGTAATCAACAACAAAATAGTTGATAGTGTAACTGCCTCTCCTACTGACTGTATGAAACAATGAATACTGTGGTATTACTTCTTTACTTCTATGCACAGAAGGCTTTTAGTAGATAATACTGGACTTCAAGCATGAAAGAGTTATTTGCCTATCTTCTTTTGTCAACTGTTTAATATTGGATCTCAGTAAAATACTTCACATGGCAGTTTCATCTTAACTAAAACATGCAACATCCATAATCCAGCCAACGATCCCTGTTCACATAAACAAGCCTTTGTGTATAGACAAGGGAAGGAGGCAAGGGCTTTGGGAGCTATGTTCCCGGGAAAGGAAGAAAAGCATTTTCGTAGCAAAACTGAAGTGGAGTGAAGTAGCTGGAAGTAACTGAAAGTACAAATGCTAGTTCAAGACATTTTATCTCTAGAGTATGTACACAAAGTCCAATCAAGACAAACTGGAATGAATGAGACGTGTAGCCACAAGCAGACAGCATCACACATGACAGGAAAGTAGTGTGCTCCCCTGAAAGCTCCCGTTTTCATAGCTCTGCAGGCTCTAATAAGGTGATGTCTTTAATGAGAATTCAAGTACTGAGGATAGTCCACTGTGCACTAATAACGGAACATCTGGACAGAGCATGAGTAAAGGCTAAGAAAAACGCTTACAAATCAATTATAAGACATATGCGGTGGTCATAAAAGGCACTATACACTCTTATTTTAAAGACTGTCTGATTGATACATATAAACTTCTACCCCACTCCACAGGGAGGAAATTTTTTTCAAATTTCAGGCACTAATCATTACCTTTACAGTGATTTTCATCCCAAGGATACACACAGTTCTGGAGTCCATTGCAGACCAAAGTATTATTAATACACATGTTACTATGGCAGAAGAATGTGTTGCCTTCACAAGGAGCTAAAAAGAAGAAGAACAAGACAAAGGAGGAAAGTTATAACTGACATTCAGTAGTAAATCACTCACATTACAAATCTAAAAAAAAAAGATTAGAATAATTTGCCACAAACTGAGATAAATGATCTGCCGTGCGATTTTCAGAAACGGTGCCGTAGTGGTAATTATTTCTTGTGTTACTAAGAGTGCTGGCATTCCTCTAGAGAGGCTCAGCTTGTAAAAATGCCATAGGGTATTTTCCATCATTAAAATGAAGAACATTATCCACATTTTTTTAAGTAGGCATATTTATTTAGCAAACCTGAAGCATCTACCATGGGCATAAATTATACTTTATACAGAAAGAATGTATAAATTTAGTTTTACTGTGCAAAAACACCTAATAGAAATTTTTAAATAATTTTGAAAAACATATACTTACCAAGTACTAATGAATAACATACACTAAAGCAAACCCTGTAACATTACTTAAGAATACGAAAAAACAAAATGCCATGGAAATTCAGAATCATGAAAAAATTAATCCTGAACAACATAAAAAATATATTATGCTTATTACATTTAATATATATGGTGATAAAATTAGCTTACTACGCATGTATTTCATACATTCTAGTGATTTGATGTACAATGATCATTATCTCCAGATTACAATGCACATTGAGGGGACTGAGAGGTAAAATATGAACTTCAAGAAGGTATAAAATATGGCTAAATAATGATGAGAAAACATGAGTTTAATATAGCAATGTAAAATGTTAGATATGATTTCAATATAAGGAAAAATACATTTCTTTCATTATTGGAGTGACAGAATATTTTAAGTGATCAGTCTTTATAGTAATATTGCATTGTGGATGGTTGCTTACAGAAAGTGCTTTTAAAGCTAACTTTTGTTTTTACCTTTGTATTCACTCCATGTATCAGATAAAATGCAATTCTAGTGTTTCTTTTTTTCAATAAAGGCTCTACAATCCTTTTAAGGACAGGCATTCTAGCAAAATCTATTGCACATGAAACATATGAATTTCCAATGATTGACAAATGAAGATATATTAATGATCAGTACTATTTAGACACTGCAGTCATGTTATAATGAGTTTATTTTTCACTTTCAAAACTGTATATTACATAAGTTTTAGAGTTAGCTTCTTTACTATATTTGCTACACTAACCACAACTGTCAAAACAATACTTTGCAATTTAATATACTTAAGGCAACTTACTGTATTTTAATACTCCGAGAGAAATCCTTTAAAAAAAAACACTCAAATTCTGAAAACCAAAAGTAAGGCAAAGAAATAGCTAATTCAAGCAATGTGATTCTTCCTGGTTCTTCATCCCCTACCTCCTCCCCCAACCCAAACAGTTCCCTCTCTGTTCATTTTGACTTTATGTTCCTGGTTAAAGAGTAAAAAGCATATAATAGTAATTTTGGAAAATGAAAATTAAGAGTAGAAAATATGTAGTAGTCATTTTGAAAAAAAAAGTATCACGCTTAACACTTTATTTTGCTAATGATTTGTTAAGTACTGTTCTGTATAAACCTTTCATAATGTAAAATTTAACAATCCAGTATATTATTGTAAAGACCTGCTCTTTAGTAAGCAACTAAATTTGAATTTCTGTAGCTGACTATAATGGCTTTTGCAGAATTGATAAGGTCTGTTAATTAGATAGTGAATGTTGTCAAAATTTGTATGCAGCATATAAAGGAGATTTTGGCAAAGTTTATATTAGAATGGTTGTAAAATGCTTTTGTAAAAATGCTTAAAATACTTATTACCTAACAAATTGTAGTATACGTTTTGAAAGTATAATTACCCATCAAGTAGGAAATACCTTTAAAAATTATATATTTACCGACCTTCTATGAGTTGGAAAAATTATTATAATTATTAAATAGGAAGGGGTAGTTTAAAATTTAAACATATAAATAAAAATAACATTGCATTCTGGTAATCGAGTGAAGTGCATTAGTATGTTGGTAAGAGCACTGAAATTTGAATTCCAAATAATCCAAATGGGATTGTGTCTGTTTCTGCTGCTTGGTAGTTGTGAAACTATCAATGTTCCAGGATCAGTTACTACATATTAGTGGTTTTACCAAGAATGCAATAAGTAATTCAGGAATGTCAATAAATCACATTTTAACATGCTTTTTCACATTAAATAATTATGCAAATATGCCAGTTAATTAGGAGTTAGCCTCCCTTTTGTTTGTGGTGCTTTTTTTTTCTTTGTGTGTGTGTGTGTGTGTGTGTGTGGAGGAGGGGGGTGGGGGTGTTTGTAATATCCTAGGTATTTCTCCATGTATTTTCTTCCTTACTTTTGCTAATAAAGAATTGCTGTGCAAATGAAAAATAAAAACAAGTAAGCAAATCCTGATATGGTTAAGAAGCAATGTAGAGGCTGGGCGTGGTGGCTCACGCCTGTAATCCCAGCACTTAGTGACTCTGAGGTGGGCGAATCACCTGAGGCCAGGAGCTCGAGACCAACCCGGCCAACATGGTGAAGCCCGTCCCTACTAAAAATATAAAAATTAGCTGAGCATGGTAGCACATGCCTGCAATTCCAGCTACTCGGGAGGCTCAGGCAGGAGAATCACCTGAACCTGGGAGGTGGAGGTTGCAGTGAGCCGAGATTGCGCCACTGTACTCCAGCCTGGGTCTGGGTGACAGAGAAAGACCCTATCTCAAAACAAACAAACAAAAACAAACAAACAAAAAAGTAGCAATGTATAAAATTGTACATACCTTTGGCAAAAATAAATTTTGTTTTATAGACACCCAAAGTATAATATTATATTGGGTTCCGAATTTCCTCGTTATTGTCTGAATCTCTCTCTCAGAAATGCATATATGCAATGATGCACTAAAGACTCTCATTTCTCTCCTGGTTAAGAACTACAATGGCACCAATAGACCAAATCAAGCCTACATTCTCATTGCTCTTTCGACGACTTGCGTGCACTCGGTGCACCAATGTGTGTAGCCCATTGCTCCTAGCACACTCCTGACCTATCCGGCACCGTGTCCACACACCACTCCCTCCTTCTACCTGCCCCAGATACCCCTTCTCCACTCTGCCATCCAAATCACATCGGAACCCTATAATCTATAAACCTGTCTTAAACAGTCTTACAATATTATTCCAATCTATCAGAAAACTTAGCTGTTCCTTAAGTCCTATTTCACATGTAATTTTTAAAGTTTTAAGAGTATATTTTATCATCTTTTTTGTATATATTTGAGGCTTGTGACTATGCTTTTTTAAAAATTAATGTTTATGTTTAATCGCTCATAATGGCTTAAGCTTACTAGGCTTGTAGTAAATATTCAACAGATATTTTAACTGATTAATATTACTTAGCAAAAGGTTAACTCTGACTGGGTTGCATACCTTAGTATTCCAGAGAGCAGAAGACTCTGACAAATGTGTTTATTGGTTGAGAACTAACCTTCAAGGCCATGGTCTTCCAATCAAGGCCACGGTCTCCAACGCAGCATGTAGTGGCTATGGGCAGCATGTATTCTCAGAAACTAAACTCAGCATCCTGTCTTTGCTTCTTTCACTATTTCTGACAAAGCACATATTCCTCGACCAATTTACATAAGACTTATTCTACTTACGAGATTCAATATTCATCATTTAAGCTATTGTCCCTTATAAACCAGCTGCTTTATTTCCTAGTGATTTCAAGGAAAGTCAAAATTTATTTGTAATAAAGTGGCAGCCAAAGAAGTAACAATCCAAATGCCAAGTACCTCACACAGTTTCCAGGGTCACAAGAGGGGACACGCAACTTTATACTTGTTTCTATCAGAATAGCAAATAGAGCTTCCCATTGACGTTAAAACACTAAGAACATAGATGGAACGATTTGCTATTGCTTTTTGTCACTGAACTACTTGAAATTGTATTTAGACACGAGACCCTCCAACTAACTTGATTTCACTTTATTGGGTTTATTGACATCACCATTTTATCATCCAGATCTAACGACCCAAAGAAGATGGAAATTGATTTCTATTAATGAAGCAAAATATTCTAGTCAGCCAAAATAATGTCCTGTGTATAAGCATATCATTGCTCTTGATTTAAAGCACTCACCTAGAAAGTAGACACTACAACACTTCAAAATGAACCTTTCTTCACTGTTTCCTCCTCCCACATACACCAATACATATGCATTTGTGCAAAGCATTCATTTGTGGCTGTGCAATAGACTGTAGATTAAACACAGCTCAGAGAGTACTTCTCCACACACATCAGCCTGGGATTGAAGAGTCCTGCCAACAGGACAGAGAGCCCAGCTGTGATTTGGGCTGTCAGGAGCGATAATCCTTAAGGACAGATTGCTTCCTCGTGAGCAAAAGCAGGTTTATAAGAGTGTGTGGTGTGCAGTGATTAAGTCCCTTGCATCCTGGCCACCTGGTCTCTGACTCCCAGGGTTGCCTCTTTCACACTCTTTGCCCTTGAGCTGATTAACCTGTAAGTTGCTCAGTTACCACATCTGTAAAATGGGGATAAAGATAATACTTACCCAAGCGACTTAATAATGCACAGAATGCCGTATAGTGTCAGCAGCATGAATACAAACATTACAAGACAGAATTGTAAACCGTTTTAGGAGAGTACTGTGCAGAGACTGTGGAATCAATATGCCTGATTTTCCAACGTGAGTTACGTGATCTTGAGCAAATTCACTAACTTTTTCAGTTTCTGTTTATATCTATATAATGGGGATAATTATAACTATTACATAAAATTTAAGAATTAAATGTGATAGATCTTTAAAAACCATAACAGATACTGTCATATGGTGTATGACAAAAGAATGTTACCTGTTCTTGAACTACCACCACCGTTACCAAAACAAAAGCAAATGAAACAAAACAAAAAACTTAAAATGTTAAGATGTATGACATAAAATGTTAAGATGTATGATATAAAATGTTAAGATGTATGATATAAAATGTTAAGATGTATGATATAAACGTGACTTAACTGACATTAAATTTTCTAATTTGTAAAGTGAAGAAAATCATTCACAGATCCCTTGTTAAGACTACACGAGAATGCATATTTGAAAGTCGCGTCAAGGAGTTCTCTGAAGCTAAGACCTCCTAGTTATCTTTGTACCTTGGAGAATATGCCTTTGCTACAACCAAGTCTAATATGAAATACTATGTTTCAATTCTACAAGAAAAGCAGAAAACATAAATTATGCATATTAAATAAAATACAAATACGTATTGGAATGTGTTTGTACTACTTAATAGGAGGAAGGTTTAGCTGTGTAAGATATTTAGCTGTGATACTCTTTTTTTAACAGTTTAATGAGACCATCAAGATAACAGGTATTTTCTAACATCCAATTGTTAAGAGAGACATTCAGATCCCATCTTGGAAAAGCAAGCCAGGCCATATGTAGAACAGAATAGCTCTCAACCTTGGGCTGCAATCTAAAAGAAATGTTTTTGCAGACATGTAAATGATCCGATAGAATTGAGGCTTGGATAACAGGGACAGTATCAGCTTATAATTTTAGTAACAAAATCTTCACAGTAATTTAGTAGATACATCCTGATTTTGATGTTATCTATGGGTACCTTAACTCTAATTTAAAAATTCCAATAAAATAATCTTCAGTTAACATTTATTCAAATACTTTATAATAAATTCTTTGGAAACAAAATTTAGTACAATATTTTGCTGAGGAGAGGACCTTTAAGACTAAGAAATATGGTATGTTAGTTTTGGTGAGTCTCAGGGCCTTGCACCCACTGAAAGATTCAAAGAAGTCATGAGGTAAAATATGCCTGTTTAACTTTGTTTAATCCAAATATTTCCAATCTTACTTGTTTACCACTTAAAATTTTAAAAACTAAAACTTGGCAAAGTGTTCCATTGTGTCCAGAAATCATTATAGTGATGGAATTCTTAATTCTTAAAAGAACATAGAATAGGGTGGGAGATTATTAACATGTAAAGTTGGGTAAAAAATTAGAATACACTTTTTTTTTTTTTGAGGCTGATTTTCGCTCTTGTTGCCCAGGCTGGAGTGCAATGGCGCGATCTCCACTCACCGCGACCTCTGCCTCCTGGGTTCAAGTGATACTCCTGCCTCAGCCTCCAGAGTAGCTGGGATTACAGGCATGCACCACCACGCCCGGCTAAACTGAGAATACACTTTTTAATTTATGAAAACTCACATACCAATGCACTTATGTAAATTATTTCAGAAATGCAAAAGCCAAAATGTTGGCAGTGATGATTTCTAGGATTTACTGAAATTATATTTACCTTTTTTGGAGAAATTTTCCATATATACTTTTATGTATAAGTATATGTATATATACATTAAAAACACACAAAAAAGTTTTGTAATTAAAGGATAACTCATAAGTTTGCATGAAAAAATACGAAATGTTAATCAAAAAAGTTAATTTTCTCTTTCAGATTTTTAAATCAGGAAAATAGTTTTTACATAGCACCTTTGCTTTGCTCTATTGCTTCATTACTCTTGAATTCTGTTTTTAAACCCTCATCTATTCCCATTATTACCACAAGGTGGCGAACTTACATCAGACTTCAGTGAAGGAGCTTTTGACTCCCTCATGGGGATGATTAAAATAAACCATGAAAGCATGTGCAGTAACTCCTAAACCTATACATTACTAATTCTTTAAATAAGCAAATTATGTAGCAGGGGACGACAAATCTCTTACATATTTTAGTCATGTAGGAGAAGATAAAATAAAGCCACAACACTCAAAATAAAGGTAGATTTACATAATGTATTTAATAAAGAATCATAGAACACATTGTTTTTTAATGTGAAAGGTCTAGTTATAGATGTACCTCCGATTTTAGTGTTTATCTCATGTGGATTAACACTGTTTCAATTCTGTAACTTAAAGGTTTTTAATTTATAATAGCTACTTTAATGCAGAATCCACTACGCTTATTCTATTAGATTTCGTTTTTTTTTTTGAAATCCAGAAATCTGCTAAATAATATTCAAGAAATATTAAAACACATTGAAATAAAAACAGGCAGATTTGAGACACTGATGTTTCAACTATCCATGATTTATGGTTAATAAAACTATCATTGGTAATTTGTTCAACGTCAAATAAGTCATCATATTACATCACGAAAAATTGGAAAACGAAGTGATCCTTGATCATATTCTCCTAAAGACTCATTACACCACTGGAACACATGTTCCCTGGACTTAGGGTCTGGCTCTCTTCACCTCCCCTCCCCAGTCCACTCATCTTGTTCTCTTCAGACATTCTTGCTTCTTGCTTTCCTCAAATTATTTTAACTTCTTTAATTTTGAGCTTCGTCTAAAACACCCAGCTCTGTGCTGGCCTGTGTGGGCACAGCCACAGGCTGTCTCACACACAGAGTCACACAAACTCATACACCACACACACACTCACAAACACACACACCATTCACACACACACTCACACATTCAAACACAGTCATACACACACCACACAGCCACAGTCACACCTCTAGGTCTCCTACTTCTGCTCTTTATTAATTCTTCATCATTCCCTGATCTTTAATTTGAATGGAAATGCTCACAAACACGTATGGAAAAGCAGCTGGGGGAGGAAACAGCTTGGAGTATGTATTAGTCCGTTGTCAGGCTGCTGTGAAGAAATACCCAAGACTAGCTAATTTATAAAGAAAAGAGGTTTAATTGACTCACAGTTCCACATGACTAGGGAGACCTCAGGAAACTTACAGTGTCTTCATGTTGGAAGGCAAAACAGGCACTTCTTACATGGTGGCAGGAGAGAGAAGTGACAATCAGCGAAGGGGGAAACCCCTTATAAAACCATCAGTTCTCATGAGAACTCACTATCATGAGAACAGCATGGGAGGAAACTGTCTCTATGATTCAATTATTTCCACCTGGTCCAGCCCTTGACACGTGGGGATTGTTAAAATTCAAGGTGAAATTTGGGTGGCGACACAGAGCCAAACCATATCAGAGTACATTTACATCTTCTTGCTTTATTTCTTGGGTTCAACTTTTATCAGCCTTGAATATTTACTAAAGCTTACTTTTTTAAATTAAAACTTCTAACCCTTGGGATGGTCTAGAATCTATTACTCTGTTTGGTGAGGGATGGAAGCAAAGCTTAACACTTACATGAATATGTAAATATGACACATATCAACATTCTATAGTTAGGTCATGAATTCACATTGAAGAGCAAAATCTAGCATACTTACTTTTATTTATTACTAATGTTTATCAGTTCAGGTAACTAAGGTGATTTTCCCCCTGCCTTCTCAGGCCGCTATGCTAGTGTCTTACAGACCCCTGTAGCTGAGCCCCCTGAGGCTGTCACAGGTCCCTTATTTCCTCTGTCCTCTCTCTCGGCAATTTTCATCAGACACAGAGCCCCCACTAACGAGGGGGCTTACATCCCCAGCTCTGACTACTGTGTGAGATCCAGACTTACCCTGAATATTGAAATTCCTACTTAACGTCTCCATTTGGAACTGTAATTACCATCGCAAACAGAATATGGCTGATGGGCCTAAGCAAAATGATTATCACCCTCTTCCTCTTATCCACATTTTCCTTTTTAATTCTCACCTCCCACACCTTCCTGGCATTAACAAAGGGCACAACCATCCCCTCAGGTGTTCAGGCGAAAGGCTCAAGACCATCCTTGGGTCCTTTCTTCCCCGGATACCGTTGAGCCAGTGGCCATCTCTTGCATGGCTCTATCTCAATACAAAGCTCTTGTTGAGGTCTCCACTGCTGTGAATGAGCCAGGCCACCATTCACTGACAGCAATCTTACATGGAGTTCAGGGACACAGAAACCATGGGGACCTTGGCCATCTGAAAGTATAAATCAGGCCACATTTCACTTTGTTGAAGACACCCCAAAACACTTTCCAATAATGTTAGGTTAATTTCCAAACTCCTTGTACCCCTTAGTACACAGCAAGTGATTTATATTCTCACAGCCTCTGCTCACCCTAAACATTTATAGAATTCTTCCTAACCTCAGATGTCACCCACCATAACCACCAGGTCATCCTGCCCTCATCCTTCCCACCACATCACCCATGTTGGTTTTCCCACAATACATACTAGGGCTTGGGCTGATCCCTTTGAGTTAACTTATCTGTGCCTTGTTGCTTCCTCTTAAAAAGTCTGGCAACCAGATGTACCACTTTGTAGATGCTTCATAAATACTTGGTGACAGACTATATATCACAATAAAAATTCTTTTTTTTTTTAATTGGAGATGAAGTCTCACTCTGTTGTCCAGGCTGGAGTGAAGTGGCATGATCTCAGCTCACTGCAACTTCTGCTGCCCAGGTTCAAGCAATTCTCGTGTCTCAGCCTCCCGAGTAGCTGGGATTACAGGCACCTGTCACTGTGCCTGGCTAATTTTTGTATTTTCCGTAGAGATGGGGTTTCATCATCTTGGCCAGGATGGTCTTGAACTTCTGGCCTCATGATCCACCCACCTTGGCCTCCCAAAGTGCTGAGGTTACAGGCGTGAGCCACAGTGCCAGGCCAGAATAAAAATTATTTAAGCAACACAATGAATATTAAATGCCATCTTCTCATTAATGTCTGACAATGATCTTAAATTTTTAAATAACAGCAAAACTTTAAAAAATAAACTTGAAAGAAAATAAAACATTAGAGATATCAATTATGAGTAATCAACTGAAGATGCAAATTTTTAAAAACTTCAAAAATGTCATTAAAAATACATAGCTTGGCTGGGCACAGTGGCTAACATCTGTAATATCAGCACTTCGGGAGGCCGAGGTGGGTGGGTCATTTGAGGTCAGGAGTTCAAGACCAGCTCGGTCAACATGGTGAGAACTCATCTCTACTAAAAATACAAAAAGTAGACTGGTGTGGTGGTGCATGTCTGTAATCCCTCTACTCAGGAGGCTGAGCGGGGAGAATCGTTTGAACCCAGGAGGTGGAGGTTGCAGTGAGTCGAGATTGTGCCACTGCCCTTCAGCCTGGGTGACAGAGTGAGACTCAGTCTCAGAAAAAAAAAAATATGTGTGTGTGTGTGTGTGTGTGTGTGTGTGTGTGTGTAGCTTGCTACTATCATTTTTAATTGTGGTACTCTACACAAACAAAAATATAAAAAATATATAAAATATATTTGGCCATCAGAACTTCCCACAAAACAATTTTTTTCCAAAACAAATGGAAAAATTTCCCTTGTCAGCACATTGAAACTTAAAATGGCCCATAGGCTATGTAATTAGAGGAAATGACATTTTATTTGAAAAATGGTGACCAGACTTGAGGCCAGAAATAGATTTGTGTATCTTTTTTTCATGTCCTTTATCACCTTCATAGTTGTTTTGAAAAATCAATATGTTTTCAAAACTCTGTTCCAATATGACTTTTACTTTGAAAATATCCAGTATTATCAAGATGTACATATATTAATCTGTTTTTATACAAGAAATTCTGTTCACAAATTTCAATTTGATCTCACACATATTTATGAGATTCCTCCCCAATCTTTGTGCAAAAATTACATATTCTTACTGTTCTGAGAGATATTACATTAAGAAACACATCTTCATTGGAAACTTACATTCCATATATAAAAAATCTTTCCTTGTATGTGGGGTGAATTTATCCGTTATTATCATAATGTATCCATTATTTTATCTTCCCTAGAAATTACTACATACTTTTATACTTCCATTATGTCTGCCTTGATTCAGCCCCACAATGATCTCTTCAATGTGTGTAGTTAGACATTACAATTACAATAAGGAGGGTATTAAATATCTTTGGCATCTGCATGCTGATTACTATTAGGCCCTGGACATGTGGGCCAGTGTTGGTTTTCATAATATGTACATGTCAGTAGCAGGTGGCTAGTTTAGACACATTATTCTTTTATAAAGGTGCAATACTTGCTCTCATTGAACATGCCAAGTCCCACAAAGGGGGCCTGCAGTAAATGAAGATTAGAGCCAAGCGTAAACACATCACCATGACCTCAAGCTTAAAAATCTGCTAGTTCAGAGGCTATCAATTAAAAATAATAATTTTCTGTTTCCATATAACAAACATATGCTGTGTATTTTCAGGGGCAGACATAAACCACAATGGTTGTAAAGCTAGAATCAGACACATTAATATGTATTATTCCCAATGATTCTACTAAAAATTACAGGAAATTTCCTGCCTTTATTCTTGTCCAAGTGATTCCTTGCAGACCCACACACTTTATTTAAAAAAATTATTCTAAATGGTTCGATGGAAAGTTCTGCAATATTTTCTCAGTAACTCAATGAATAGGCAAAGAAGCAAAATTACTTAAGATACTTGTTTTGGTCAAATTACTTAAGAAAATTAACTTTAAATTTTAAGTATTTCATCAAACTACATGTCTGTACACATAATACTTCTTCAATGGTTTAAGTAACCATATCAGTAATAAAAGTCCATCGATAATTCATTTCAAATATTAGAATACTTTTGACAGTTGTTTTCTTTATGGTGCCATCAAACTCAATCAAAAGCTTTAAAAAAAACAGGAAGGAAGGGAGGTAAGAGGAAGGAAGGAAGGAAGGAAAGAAATGAGGGAGGAAAGGAGGGTTGGTTGGCTTCTGGTAGATTATACAATTTTATTTCATTTTCCTTTGCTCAATAGCCTCACTGTATTTGAAAGTGTTAACTACCCAAGTTTCAGTATGTTGTTATCTCACTAACGGATACAATACTAGCCACCTTCTGCTGACCATTTGCTACGTTCCAGACATACATTTAAAACTTTCAGTTGCCCTGTGATGTTTTCTCTGTTTTACAGAAAGGAAATTGAAGATTAAAGTCCAGGCATCACACGTAAGAAAGTGGAAGAACTGGCTGACACTGAACATGTGCTCTTACACATTGTAATTCCATTTCAGATCTTTTTCAAAAGCAAAACAATTTTCTGAAATGGCTACTTTGTGATTCTGGTTCTAAAAACGTTTATCTTTTATTTTAAAATTTCAAACACATCTATACTTGCCCAAAGTCATATTTAAATCTTTAGGACAGATTAACTTTTTTATTTTTTTCTACAGTAATAAAATATTTAAATTAAAAATAAATTCTTTATATAAAAGAACACTTATTCAATAGCAAGGTGTGAAGGCAGACTTGTGTTAAGATGTATCTTTATCAGTTGACATTGTATACCTTTGGCCTTAAAGTCAACTTAATAATTGCTTTCAGAATTTCAGTCAAAGACCCCATCAGCTTAATACAAACAAGCAAAAACAACACAGAAATACAAATTCTACTGTGGTCAAATAAATAATGGCTCTCCAAGTTGTCCACATCTTAGTCCCACATCCTGTGAATGTTACTTTATATGGAAAAAGGGATTTCGCAGGTGTGAATAAAGATTTCAAAATGAAGAATTATTCGGGATTATCCAGTTAAGCCCAATGCAATAACAAGTAAAGAGAGATGGAGACTGAAGGCACAGAGGTGATGTAACAGCAAATCACAAAGGCACACAAAGATGCTACTCTGGTGGCTCTGACAAAGTAGAAGGGCTATGAGCCAAGAAATACTGCTCTAGAAACGGGAAAAGGAAGGAAATGTACTCTACACTGGAGCCTCTTATGGGGCAGCAGCCTTGCTGACACCCTGGTCTCAGCCCAGTAAAACCTGTTTTAGGAATCCGCACTCCAGAAGTGTAAGATAATAAAGTTGTGTTATCTGATGCTTCTAAACATATGCTAATTTGCTACAGCAGCAATGGGAAACTAAATGCCAAGTAGCAGATTTCTCAGGCAATCTGACTTTGACTAACCAGCCTTCTGCCAAAGTGGCCGTCGCTGTACAGCGCGGCAAGCAGGGACAGGAGAGGGCAGTGATGAGAAAAGTTAAGATGAGACTGCTGATGGAGAGTGGCAGTTTCCAGCCAGGATACCCTGACAACTCGTGTCATAATTAGTCCTGGAATGAATCCAAGGCTACATTTTTTTTCTAATTATTATCTGTCTTTAAGTTACCAAAGTGAATTCAAGGGTGTACGCACTCATATCAAGGGGAGAGAAAGGCCAATACTGTATCTGGTGGGCTTACCGTCAGGATCTGTCATGCAGTAAGTCAGTCATCAGTTGAATGTCTCTCGGAAGATAAATGGTGGAGAAATTCTATTACAGAGCAGAGTTATTATTTAGTCTGAAAACAACATGTCAGTATATGGCAATGTGATATCCTCGAAAACTGTATTAAAACTCTACTGATGGGTTCTTTTCTGATATTATAGATGAGTCAATTAACCCAACATAGAAAATAATGTACATACTCTTGCTTTCCTAGACTTAATACATCTTTTCAGAAATTCCTATTTGTTGCTTTGTAAAAAAGTGTTTACCAAACCAGTACATATTTATTTTAGAAAAATTAGAAAATACAGGCAAAAATATCGTCACCCAAATATAACCATTAATATCTTCATCCCATTGTCTTTTACATATATGTATTACATATATAATAGATGACATGTATTAAATGTTTATCCCATGTAGTTACAAGAGTATAAATGTAATGTACACGTGTTCGCTACTTGCTTCTAACCTCTTGTTTCTTAACACAGTAAAATATCAGTATCAATCTACCACATCATCTTAATAAAGAGTATATGTACATTCCCAGAACCATTTAACCAATCTACTTAAGCATTTTTCCATGCTTATAAATATGGACTCATCAGCAGTATATATTCCTAGAGGTAGTATTTCTGATTCAGAGGTGATATTCTATCTTTGTTCCCTATTTTGGAATTTTTATATATACTGCTAAATTGTCCTTCAGGAAATATTTTGTTTCCTATAAGCAGTGCATATGCTTTTATTTCAAGATTCCATCTCCAACATTATTTCATATTTTTAACATTTTGATAGATGAAAATGACTCATTAAATTATAAATTTATGTATTTGTTTACTAATATGTTTACATGTTTGCTTCTTATGCTTACAGGGTATTTATGCTTCTCTTATGAATTAATTATGCACATTTTGGCCCCATTTTCTATTAGAATGCTTATCTTTTTCTTATTTTTGAATATAATCATTATTTTTTATAAGATACAAATATGTACCTGTTGCCTGCTGTTGTCTTACCAATTATTCTCCAGGTCAACTTTTCCATATTTATTTTGATTATGATGTTTCTGTATTAATAACTATTTGAAATGTATGTATATTTGAATATGGTGATTTTTTTCTTATCAATAGTGTGCTTTATGTATATTTTAGGAAGACCTGCCAATATTTAACACACATTCAGCAATTTTCTCAGCATATGTTGTGTATTGTTTATATTTAAATCTGCACCATCTGGTATTTATGCTACTATATGACATACATAAATAAATATTTCCTATATTAGTAAAGTGGTCTTAATCCTTTTAAGATACATCAATCATGGCAATTCACAAGGTGGCGGCATTAAGATTTATAGTAAGACTTCAATTTACACTTTGGCCTAAGTTACGGTTGGTAACACTGCTTTCTCCAGTACATAACATTTTCTTTTCGTGGTGAAATATATAGTGAATAGAATGTCTTTTGATCTTAGTATTTACACCAAACTTGTAAATTGTGTTTGGCCTTGCTTATTCTAGAGGAAAAACTAAACAGTGTTGTGAAATATTAAGAGAGAGGATTTACATTTTTAACTCCCTCTTCTCTTTGATTCTTTAAAATAACTCTAAATTGGAAAATGTGTTAATTTATTTTTCCATAACTAACAAAGTTATTTAAACTCATCCCATTTAAATCTGAAAGAAGTTAAAAAGGATTAAAGTAAGTTGATTATTTTGAAGATATTTTGGTGTTTAATCTCAGAGGGTTATTGAGTTATAATTTATAATTTTTTCCCTTAGGATCCATTAAATTTAGTTACTGAGATTATATGACAATTTTACTTAGTTATTACAAAATTAAGAATTTGCATTATCCAAGACAGAATGAAAATTATGTGAACAAAAGGCAGATGGCAGGCTATATCTTGTTCTAGACAGGAAAAGATAATAAAACTGAACAGTGAAATAAAATCAATCACTGTGTCAGTAGAGCAAATATCCAGCTAACGTAAACAAACGCTGCAGAGAAAAACTACACACAAAGAGAATTAGGCTTCTTAGAGTACAACCTTCCGTGGGTAATTTACTAAAATAAATGAGGGAGTATGTGGTGGGAGTGTGGCACAGAATACCAGATATAAATGAACATCTGAAGTGAGTCACACACTTGAGTTGAATCTGAGTTAGTGTGGAAGTGCGGTGCCTTCAGAGAAGCAACCATCATATTCATCTTCGAGCCATCCATGCCTGGAAAGTTTAATGAAGGAATAAAAGAATGAAAGGAGGAATATAAATATGTATCAAAATGAAAAGTTATTAATGATTAGGCTAGTGGAATCTCAACTTTTAGTGTCAATCTGATGCTGGAGTGATTGTTTCCTACAATTACAGTATATCTTGCCCCATCTCCTGAACTACCGAAAGTAGGACTAGTACTATATTAATAAATAGCAATATATTAAAAATGTTTTTAAGTAATATGTTAAAATTGATATTTGGATCATCCATTACATTGAAAAAACCCACATCATTGCAATAGGAATACTATGCATTATTTTCTACTGCTGAGTCACAAATTATCACAAATTTACCCACCAGCTTAAAACAATATCTTTTTATGATCTCACAGTTCTGTATGTCAGAAGTCCAGGCAGGGCTCAATTGGGTTCTTTCCTTTGGGTCTCTGAAGGCTAAAATCAAGAGTCTGTCTGGATTGGGTTCTCATGAAAAATGTGGAGGCCTCTTCTAAGTTTGTTCAAGTTGTTGGAATGTTTCAGTATGCTGGAATAGTAGAACTGAGGTCCCCACTTTCATGCTGACTGGCAACCTGAGGACATTCTCAGCTTCTAAAGATTGCTCAAAATTCCCCACCACGTAGTTCTCTGTATAATATGGCAGGCTGCTTCTTTATGGCCAGGTGGAGTGTTCACTACAGTTAAAAATCTCTGATTTCTTTCATCTCTAACCATTAGATCTTTATTTAGCTGGCTCAGACCCACTAGGATAGTTTCCTGTTTAACTCAAAGTGAACTGATTGGGGACTGTGATTATAAAGATCCCAAGAGTATAACCCCATGACCCCATGACATAAAGTTCAAATCTCATCTAAGTCTCATCGGTTCAAAGTCCAGAGTCTCCTTGTTTGAATCATCTAAATCTGGTGCAGACCCTGGGGGTACAGTTTCTCTCCGTGTATGGGTTCATGAAACTAGAGACAAGCTGTCTGGCTCCAACATTCCCAACACAGTGGTGGGAGAGGCATAGAATTCTAGTCCAAAAAAGGAAGAATGGAGAATAAACAGGAGTAATGAATTCATAACAGTTCTGAAGTCCATCAGGGTAAACTCAAATTCTTCTTGACTACTCTGTTGCCCTTGGTTCTGTTCTCTGAGACAGCCTTTCTTTCTCATGGAAGGTGGCATATATATATGATATACACGTGTGTGTATCATGTACACACACACATCTCTCTATATATATCTATATATATATATATATACAGATCTCTATATAGTTCTCTCTCTCTCTCTCTCTCTCTCTCTCTCTCTATATATATATATATATATATATATATATATATATATATATATATATCAGTTTCATCAGATTGATCATGCTGTGAGAATTCTGGCATTCCAGTATTTCTGGTACTCTGTCTCTTCCTGTCCAAGTTCACAGTATTTCTGCTGAGGAAATTAGCCTACACCTATAACATTTAGCTCAGTAATTTACTTAGCTACATAGCCTATATTTAGCCTATATTAGTAACTTACTAATTCTGTTTCCCACCTACCTGCAGAACACAATTGTGCTAGGCTTTCTGCTATTACAAAACAGGGATTCCCCCCTCTCCCAGTTCCTAATAACATATTCCTCCTCACTTGCATCTGAGTCATCACCTGTAGTTCTCCAAATCCAGATTTCTACTAACCACCTGTCCAAGGAAGCTTGGGCATTTTTCTCTCAAGTTCTTCAATTTTAGAGAGCTCACCTGATTAGGTCAGGTCAACCCAAGATAATCCCCCTTCTTTTGATTAAATCAAAGTCAATCAAGCTTTAAGAGCCTTTATATACATCTGCAAAATAAGTTTTCACAGAGAAAGAATGTAAGTTAATAACCAAATGATATCCCAGGCTATTCACAAGTTCTGACTGTCTCAAGAGGAGGGGATTACATAAGCGTTCTACACCAAGAGTTGTGATATTGTATGGCTCTGTGTCCCTACCCAAATCCCACTTTGAATTGTAATAATCCCCAGGTGTCAAGCGCAGGAACAGGTGGAGGTAAATGAATCATGGGGTCAGTTTCCCCCATCCTGTTCTCACGATAGTGAGTGAGTTCTCAGGAGATCTGATGGTTTTATAGGCGTCTCACAATTATTCTACTGGCATGCATTCTCTCTCCTGCTGCCCTGTGAAGAGGTGCCTTCCGCCATGATTGTGAGTTTTCTGAGGCCTCTCCAGCTATGTGTAGCTGTGAGTCAATTTAACCTCTTTTCTTGATAAATTACCCAGTCTTGAGTATTTCTTCCTAGCAGCGTGAGAACAAACTAATACAAGGTGAGAATGTCTTGGTTCATCTCAGAATCTGCCTTCCACAGAGTATTTCAACTCAGTTTTTGGAACTTAAATGTTACTGTATGTATATTTCTTTATTACAAATAAATCTAATTATTTATTTATAATAATATAGACAAAAGACTTGATAGTCTTTTGTCACGAGTTAACATAAAACTAAATGCATTATCTCATTTTAGCAAATTATTGTAAATAAATTCCATACGACCATAATGTGGACAATTTGTTTTTTCCTCTTCTATTTTATATGTCTGTTTTTAACAGAAATATGCTATTCATCAATCAAATATTAAGTGATTCATATTTTATGGTGCAAAAGTTGTAAAGAAGAGCAGAAGAGCAGCTAAATGCAGAACTTCAGAAATCAAAACTAGTTATAACTCATTCATCCATTCCAGTTACTGCAAATTCATATTCTAAACAAAGAATAAGATTGGCTCAGAAAACTTAGCAGGTGATTTATTTGAATGGGCATATTCCACGAAGGTCTCTGTTTATTCATATTGGGCAGTTATTCAAATACACAGTCCTATCATAATTGGTTATGAATTATCTATGTGTATTCAAAATTAAAATTATTCTAAATATAATCATTCCTTTAAAATTAGTAATTCTTTAGAGTCAATAAATTTTCAAAAAAGATGCCAAAGTATAAAGCTATAATAATATAAGAAATCTTAAATTGAGTCCATAAAGTAAAATACGGCACACTTCTAATAATCAATGTAAGAATTATCCAATGTATGGCATATCTCAAATTGGATGAATTCTTTATCGCAAATATGTTTCTTGGTATTTGTGGCTTCTTCATCTATGAAACTAAATTAATTACTGATTAATTAATTGTTTTTACTGTTAGCCTCAAAATACATTTAAATGTTAAACAAATACTCTTTCTTAAAGAATATATGCTAAAGATAATACTTAAATGTTTTGTCTTCTTTTTTGGATTACTCATGCATGTGCTCTTCTCCACCGGGTAAATTGTAGACTAAACATTTTGTGTGATTCAAATGCAAAGTGCCATTTAGCTTATTACTAAGCCTACCATCTAGTCAAGAAGAGAGTTCTCTTTAGGTGATAATATTGATTTTCTTTGTCTTGTCCCTGGGTTTCAAAATTGCTTTATAGGATGAAGTCTGTATATTATTTTTCTGAAGCAAAAAAATGAAGTTTAGCTGGGCAACCAACAGCCTTGTGATGCCATAAATCAGGGCAGCAATCTTTGACAACACTGAAAGAGGCAGAGGTGAAGAGTTAGCAAAGTCGGTCGAGGCAGCAGTATTATACCTATGGGAGCAAGCTGCAGAGGTGGTACTTCTCAAGCCTAGTAGCAAGTAAATACTTACCCTTTTCAGTGCCCTTATGCTCTCCCCTTTACTGGCATTAGATAAATTTTGTTAGAAATATTGGCATTTAACACAAGCTTTATAAAATGCTTCTAATGTGCACTTGCAAGTTAAACGTCTGCTGAATTTTTTAGTAAGAACTTCATACCTCCTTTATACACTCATTATTTCCTTTTCCTATAATTTATTCAGATACAAATGTAAAAATATGATGGCTAAAAATGCATTCATATAGTCCCCAAAATAGCATGTTTCAGAATAGAAACCTCTCGTTATAGTGTACTTTTGTCTTAATACTTGAGAGCCATGTGAACGTGGCATGCTATATGATTATGGTGTGAAAGCACAGTATGTAGGCATAAAATGCAGTGGATAGGACAGAAGAATCAAAATTCAGTCTGTAATCACTCAAAACAATGCTGACATATGAGAATAACTGTTATCTATTTTCATAATCATTATCATCATCATCCTCTTTAGAGCATTCGAGCTCTGTCTCAGAAGTGCCTCAAAAGTAGTAAAGATATTCACAAGAGAAATCATGGATTAGGAGTCAGGTCTTTAATTCTTGCCTCAGTTCTGTTAACAAATCATTAAGCATGGGGTTAAGTATGTGTGGGGAAAGTCAATTAACTTCAATGAACCCTTTTTTTTTCTGTTTGAATTCAGAAAATGTGAAAAATTGAAATAGACGCTCTCTAAACTCTCTTCTAACCCCTAAAAATATCCTATGGTCCTATCACAAGCAATTTTTAGAGATATTAGGATATTATCAAATATGCTCTGTCTTGTTTCAATTTCTGTTGCTATAAAGGCATACTGGGGTAGTTTATTTCCCAAAAAAACAAAAAATAAAAAAAGACGTATGTAGCTCAGAGTTCTACAGGCTGAGAAGTTCAAGGGCATGGCCCTGGCTTTGGGCGAGGGATCTCATGCTTTGTTGCAACACAGTGGAGAGTTTCCAAGGGGAAGTGGCTATGTGCAAACAGGAGCTGAAAAACCTGAGGGACGTCCTGGCTCTATCATAACCCATATCGTAGAAACTAATCCATTCCTGAGCAGATAAATTCAGTCTTTTGAGAGTGAGAACTCACTCATTACCAGAACAACATCAAGCCGTTAGGTATTTGTCCCCATCACCTAAATACATCCCACAAGGTTACCCCTCTCAATACTACCACACTGGGGATCAAATTTCAACAGGAGTATTGGTGGAGACAAAGAAACCAAACCATGGCATGCTCTTAGTCCATTTGCGCTGCTCTAAAAATGCCATAAAGGGAGCAGCTTATGACCAACAGAAATTTACTTCTCACTGTTTTGGAGACTGGGAAGTTCATGATTAAGGCACCATCAGATGTGGAGTCTGGTGAGGGTTTGCTTCCTCATGGAAAACTATCTTGAACTCTCACATGGCAGAAGAGGTGAAGGGTTTCTCTTGGGCCTCTTTCATAAGGGCACTCATCTCACTTATGAGGGCTCTGCTCCATAATGTAATCATTTCCCAAAGGTCTAAACTCCTAACATCATCACCTTCGGTAGGTGCAGATCTCACCATATATATTTTGAGGTGACATAACCCTTCAGACTAACCCTAACGCTAACTTCTTCCCCCAAATCCTTGACCTTCTCACACACAAAATATATTCATTTTATCCCAATAGCCCTAAAAGTCTTAACTTGTTTCAGTGTCAATTTAAAACTCTAAGTCCAAAATCTCATCTAAAGCAGGTATGAGTGAGGCTCCTTATACATTCTGAGGCAAATCGTTCTTACGCTGTAAATCTGTGAATGAAAATGTTATGAACCTTACAAAATAAACGATGGGACAGGCATAGGACAGTCATGCCCAGTCCAACAGGGAGACATAAGAAAGAAGCAGCAGGTCCCCAGCAAGCCCAAAACCTTGAGGCTCAAGAATCATTTTCTTGGCCAGGCACAGTGGCTCATGCCTGTAATCCCAGCACACTGGGAGGCCGAGGCATGTGGATCACCTGAGGTCCAGAGTAAGCAACCAGCCTGACCAACATGGTGAAACCCAGTCTCTACTAAATACAAAAAAATTAGCCTGGTGTAGTGGTGTATGCCTGAAATCTCAGCTACTTGGGAGGCTGAGGCAGGAGAATAGCTTGAACCCGGGAGGGGGGAGGTTGCAGGGAGCTGAGATCGCACCACTGCACTCCAGCCTGGGCAAGAAGAGCGAAACTCCATCTGAAAAAAAAAAACAAAACAACAACAAAAAAAAAACAAAAAAGGCCGGGCGCGGTGGCTCATGCCTGTAATCCCAGCACTTTGGGATGCCGAGGGGTTGGATCACGAGGTCAGGAGACCAAGACCGTCCTGGCTAACACGTTGAAACCCCGTCTCCACTAAAAAATACAAAAAAAATTAGCAGGGCGTGGTGGCGGGTGCCTGTAGTCCCAGCTACTTCAGAGGCTGAGGCAGGAGAATGGCGTGAACCCGGGAGGCGGAGCTCGCAGTGAGCTGAGATTGCGCCACTGCACTCCAGCCTGGGGGACAGAACGAGACTCCATCTCAAATAAACAAACAAACAAATAAATAAGAATTTTATCTTCGTGTTCTATCCTTTAAACACACTGGGGTAGAGGTCTACCCAACTGCTTTTCTGGGAACAGCCACAGCCTTCGTAGGTTGAAGTCACATATCCCTGTCTCTAAAGGTCTTGACCTGGGGTGGCCCCACCCCATGATTCGGTTTGCCATTGTTAGTGGGGGCTCTCTGCAGTGCGCCCCCTTGCAAATACTCTCTGTCCGGGTTCCAAGCATCCTTTGAAACATAGGTGAAGGCAGCCATGCCCCCACAGCTTTGCTGATCAAAATGTGCACCCTCCACTTGGTGCAGTGAGGAAGACTACTGCCAGAAAGTGCCGGGTTAACAGTTTGAGATACGAGGTAGTGGTGGACAGTGGTTTTTCTCCTTCAACTCATTCTGTCCCCCTAAACACTGGCCCTCTGGAGCTGAGATGAGAGGCAGGCGCAGTGATCTCTGACATACCTTCAGTGTCATCCTTCCACTGACTTCAGCAATAGGTCCTGATTTCCACCGAGTTGGCCAATCCACACTTATTTTATCAGATGCCTGCCTGGCTACACCTTTGGTGTTTTCTTGTAAGCATGTTTTCTCATTCTTTACAATATGAATAGGCTGAGAATTTTCCAAATCTTTAATTTTTGCTTCCATTTTTATTAATAATTGCATCTCTAAATCTTTTCTTTCTTCTTGAATTTTATGACAGGCAGTCAGGAGTCAAACGTTCTTTCAACACTTTGCCCGGACATTTTCTCAGCAAAATATCCAATTTCATCCCTCACAAGCAATACCTTCCACAAAACACGAGAGCATAAACACAATTCTGCCATATTCTTTGCCAATTTATAACAAGGATGAACTTTCCTCCATTGTCTAAAAACATATTCCTCATTCCCATTTGAAAGCTCATCAAAACGACCTTACTATTTATATTTCTATAAGCATTCTGTTCAGAATAACTTAGGAATTATCTAACAAGATTCTCCTCCTCCCCTTCTGAGCCCAGACCAGGATCAGCCTTAATGGTCTTGTTCATGGCAACGTAAATGTTTTCTAGCACCTCAGAACTCCTCCAGCCTCTACTCATTACCCAGTTCCAAAGCCACTGCCACCTATTTTGAGGTATTTGTTAGAGCAACATCCCCACAGATCAGCATAAATTTTCTATGTATGTCCACTTGGGCTGCTAGAACAAAATACCATAGACTAGATGGCTTGTAAACAACATTAAAAATTCCAACCTCTTAGTTTTGAAGGGACATAACATTCAGGCACCAGCGCGCTCGAAGCACTTCACCACTGAACTGGGGATACTATTTCATAAATGTGTAGGCACCAGGAAAAATATCCAGGTACTTTCTTATTACTTGAATAAGACGAAAGCTGATCACTGATTTTATATCTCCAACTTTTACTTCATGGGTGTATGAATGGAGTAAATGTTAGATAATACATATAACTATATATACATCTATAAGGCACATATTGGATGTGTATAATTATATATTAGACATATAGTTACATATTAAATGTATAATTATATATTAGATTATATATACACTAATATACATTAATGTAATTGTATATATTAGCCATATATAAAAAATATATGAATAGTCTGTTTAACTATCACCCTCTACAAGAACCAAAATCATCAGCCACAACAAAAATGTAAGCCAAAATTCTCCCTCAGCCACTAATATTGAATAAAGCAATACCACTGAGGAACTTGAAACTCCCTAAACAAAGTATCTTTGCTTCCTCTTAAGTACCCTTAGAATGATTCCTACCCACCCATTTCCAAGTAGTAGCACTGATCGAAGCCCACTTTCTATTGTTTTGAAGTTTTCATCTCTTACGTGGAATACTTTCACTTCAATGAATAAAGACAGTCTAGACCCATGTACGTCATCATAGGATGACTTTGATCTTAGGTATAAATAATGGTAGAATTCTGCATAATTTTAGCCAATGCAATAAAAAGTAAAACATTATGACAAATATACACAGGCATCGTCTGAGTCTGTTTGGGTTACTACAGCAAACTACAATAAATTAGGTGGCTTATAAAAAACAGGGTTTTGTTTCCCACGGTTCTGGATGTTAGGAAGTCCGAGATCAAGGTGCTGGCAGATTTGGTGTCTGTTTAGGGCCCATCTCCTGGTTCACGGATGAAACGTTCTAGCTGTGTTCTCACCTGGTGGAAAGGGCAAGGCTGCTCTCTGGGCCCTCTTTATCATTAGAGGACCAACACCTATGATGAGAGCTGTACTTATGAGCTAATCACCTCTCAAATGCCTCACCTCCTTATCCCCTCACCTTGGCAACTGGATTTTGAACACAGGAATTTTTGAAGGGGCGCCACAGAACCATTCAGACCAACATGGGTGGTAACATGACTAAAGGATAAACCTGTTTCCGTGGAAACTTCCTGTAAATTTATGAGATGATCACAGAGAACGCTGTTGTAAAACTCATCATTTGAAGAGAGTGATTATTTGTCCACTGTGAAAGAACATATTGGGATGGGTGCCTCTGTAGGAAGAACACCCTGTGTCTTTTGGATTACTCATTGAAAAGTCAACCCACTTCAATGACTTCTAGAGATAATTTAATCACATGCCTTGAAACTCTATTTTTTTGTAGTCTCAAATAGACATATTTATAATAATATATGCAACATATATACAGTTCACCATTTCTTATCTATGCAGATTTTTAAAGACTCATAGAGCTTAATCTATTTTCCGATTGAAAGGGATCTTTGATGTTAGCCGGTCTTTTCACCTAACCTACACAGATGATTCCTCTATACCGTTCATGCCAGATAATAATCCATTTTCAGATCCAATCACCCATCTATCCATATTTTATATCCTTCATAGGCATTCTTTCAAATTTTGAATATCACAACTCACAAGATGAACATTTTTCCCCCTAAATTGCGCTCAAAAGTTTCCCTATAACTTTCAAACATAAATATTACCTTTGAGACCCATGAGACATAGGTGTGAGGTAGTTATCACATTTTGAACAACAATAAATCCTAAAGTAAACATTTCTTCTTATTTGGCATTACATCTTTGTCAGCCTCTTCTAGGTGGTTACTCTCCTCACTAATAAGAGTCAGGAAAGAACAGACTGTGCCTTTTGCATTTTGATTGGTGCAGCTTCCTATAAAACTAAAATCTTTTTTTGCATTGTTACTCCACTAACTTTAATACAGGCTAATGTTGTTTAAGATTATTTTTATCAGTCATAATCAAAGTATTGACTCACATTGAGTTTGAATGAAATAAGACCACAGGACCGTCCTAGGCATCAGGGTTCCTCTATGTTATTGATTTTTGAAATATAATGCTTTTATCATATGTCTCTATTATATTTTATGGTATACTTTTGATTAAAAATTACAGATTTTTGTTATTTATTAAAATCTGGACTGTATCATTTAATATATTAGCTTGCCCTTCCAAATTTTTATCATTTAAATTAAATACGAGTTCTTGGTATGTTATTCCCGAAGACAGATAAGAATACTGAATAAATATAGAACCCTGAAATTCCCTCACTGAAGGAATGATTCATTGAATTGGGTAGATCAATCAGCAGTGAGCCACCAAGGGTGTTGTCTTGTAGCCTGAGTCTCATATGCTTGTCAATAAAATGAAAAAATTTTCCTCAAGTATTTTGCTGAGATAAAAATGCACTACCTCTAACATTTTAATCAACTACTGAACCAAATACATAACAGCATACTGTTTTAATCTGACATAAAGCTGGGAGAGATGTTTGACATGCTAGATGATGGTGTCAAGACTTAGAAAGACTGAGTGACATTCAGTATTTCTGTGTCATAAAATTCCCCAACTGGGTAATTAAAAGGGAATTTAAAGCCCAAACGATTTATTCGTTATGCAAAATAACTGTCTAACACACTTAACATTTACGAATTTAAAACAGTATTGGCTCCTCTGCTGCTGACAATAAGAGAAATCACTGAAATTTCAAAAATATTGTATTGTCTTTTCTAAGAATACAAAAATGCATAGTTGTGAAATACAAGGTGCTTATTTCTTTTCATTTAAAGTTGTTTTTAACTTTTGTTTCAGATTCGGGGTACATGTGCAGGTTTACTATGTAGGTAAAATGTGTGTCACGGGAGTTTGGTGTACAAATTATTTCATCACCCATATAATAAGCATAGTACCCAACAGGGGTACTATGGTCCTCACCCTTTTCCCAACCTCCACCCTCAAGTAGGTTCTGGAGTCTGTTGTTCCCTTCTTTCTGTCCATATGGACTCAGTGTTTAGCTCTCACTTATTGGTGAGAACGTGCGGTATTTGATTTTCTGTTACTATATTAGACTTCTAAGGATAATGGCCTCCAGCTCCATCCATGTTGCTGCAAAGTACATGGTATCATTCTTTTTTATGGCTACATAGTATTCCACAATATATATGTACCACATTTTCTTTATGCAGTCTAACATGGAAAGGCATCTCATTTGATTCCATGCCTTTACTATGGGAACAGTTTGGGGACAGTGCTGTGATGAACACACACATGCATGTGTCTTTATGACAGAACGATTTATACTCAGTATTGGGATTGTTGGGTCAAATGGTAGATCTGTTTTGCCAAACTGCTTTCCACAGTGGCTGAACTAGTTTACATTCCCACCAGCAGTGCGTAAGTGTTCCCTTTTTTCCCACAACGTCACCAGCATCTGTTATTGTTTGACTTTTAATAACAGCTATTCTGAGGCCAGGCACAGTGGCTCATGCCTCTAATCCCAGCACTTTGGGAGGCCGAGGCAGGCCGATCACCTGAGGTCAGGAGTTTGAGACCAGCCTGACCAACATGGAGAAACCCCATCTCTACTAATAATACAAAATTAGCTGTGCATGGTGGTGCATGCCTGTAATCCCAGCTACTCAGGAGGCCGAGGCAGGAGAATCACTTGAACCCGGGAGGCAAAGGTTGCTGTGAGCTGAGATCGCACCGTCGCACTCCAGCCTGGGCAACAAGAGCAAAACTCCATCTCAAAAAAAAATAATAATAAATACATAAATAAAATAACAGCTATTCTGACTGGTATGAGATGGTATCTCACTGTGGTTTTGACTTGGATTTCTCTAATAATTAATGATGCTGAACATTTGTATATGCTTGTTGGCCACATGAAGTGTCTGTTCTTCTTTTCAGTGTCTGTTCATGTCACAAGGTACTTATTTCTTAAATTTCTCAGAATCCTTTTTCACTTGCATAAATTTGTAACACATGAAATATTCAGGGTTTCTAACAAATATTCAGAATATATCTATTGGTATGAATCATTATTTATTAGAACATAACTTTCTGAAGTTTCTGTGATTTGCCCTTGACTCTGGATATCACCCATTGTGCTGTTTTAAACATTTTCTGAAACTTTTCTCATTTACAATCTACCCAAGCAATTCTCTCTCCTTACCTACTTTAATTGGAACTCTGAAGTCAGAAACCTATTTGAAATAAATGGGACTGCAAAAGAAGCTTACTAAAAAGAACCTACCAAATATTTTTATGCAGGTTTTTAAAGATTTAAACCCAAACTTCATCAGAAGCTGCTGCATCAGTTCCACAGGCTTCCTAAGAGCTAAATTGAAGACAGATGAAATTCATCATTTCCCAGTTGAATAGTGTGAACTGTCTTAAGAAAGGCTATGGTGCATATGTTGAAATAAGAAAGCAAAATGTAATATGTAACTCTTTCCTGTCATGGATCAAAATGAGAAAAAGAGGACCTTAGTGGTTTAAACAACATATTAGAGAATAGCCTGCTGTGCTCACTGTGTGAAGAAAACACCATTAACAGCTTATGAAACTGGCATCATATGGCATATACGAAGGAAAAATAGTCAAGTGCAGAGAATCTTACGTTCTTGAAAGGATGTGAAGAGCATCTGAAATCGGCTGTTTCGACTGCCCTCATCTGCCCACATGCGGATCACCCCAAGACCCGTGCGTAGCATGACATCATTAGCCACAGTGCTACAGAACTTAGCTTTCAAATCCTCCACGGAACTGCTTCCATCATACACAGCCACAAAATTCCTCTTGCACTCATTTGAATTCTGCATCTCATAGTCCAAGAATCGTAAGTAAATCTATAAAACAAAAATAAAATAATTTCCACATATCAAAATATGAATGTACATCAGTATCAGAACTCCTTTTCTCTTTTTCAGTCTCACAAGACAATCTTGATTGCAATCAATCTTATTATTTTCCCTTGTGAATAGAAAGAAGATGTACGATAAGAACAAACTGTGTTTAATATTTTTTTTCAAATGCTATTATCCTTTCTTTACTTAAATGCACCATTTTCTAGAGCTGAGTATTTTTACCCAAATTCGCTTTATGTCTTCTCATAACTTACTGGAAATCAGTTACTAGTTTTGCATACTTACACACTGTTTTACTTTGATTAGCAAATGTATTTTAAGTATTCCTGATACATTCTTGTTTCAGTTCGATGGCTTCCTTTTACTTCCAAAAATGTACAAAAATATGTGATTTTTATTAATACCAAAGAAAAACAAAAATGATACTGAAAGACAGTCTCTCTGATTTGTTTAATCAAATTATTTAACATAAATACACTGCTTCATTTTTGAGTCGAAGTATAATTTTTTATAAAAAGGCCAAGCTAGTCTCTGTCCATTCATGCCATATATAGACAAGCCATTTAGCTAAGCTACATAAATAAAAATTATGAGTAAAATGTACTGTGCAACTTGCTTTATATGTTATTTTGTAACACTTCCAACAACTCTATAAAGTGGCCCATTTTATTGTCATATTCAGATGAAGAAGCTCAGACTCAGATGGTATAAATTGAAAATTAGACATGAGCATCCTCACTTCCTAGTCCATAATTCTTTCACAACATTATGCTGCCTTAGGTGTACTGCTTTTCCATCAACAGACATTATTTGACTCTTTACTAATGTGCATTCAAAATCACAAGAATTCATTCAACCAAATACAAGTCTATAAAGAAATAATTTGTTCATGCGTCCATCGATTCAGTGGCATCCACAGCTTGTCCTGTGATTGTTGCAGACACTGTTCAAGGCGTTGTGGATATCACAGTGAACAAAAGAATGAGGGCCAGTGCCGAAAATGTATGTCAATTAAACCATGACAATAAGATACAATGTCAAAGAGTGGAAATTATATAAAGCCAAAAGACCCATGCACTTTGAGAGGGATACCTAGAATGGTTTCCTAATAAAGACACATCTTTCATACAGATATCTCCTGAATATTTTACATTTTATTTTAATATGAATGCCTATACGCTATTTCCTCTTAAATGCATTTCTCTTAATTTAACATGGATATAAACTAAAGACATGGCATTCAAGCAAACATCCATCTCTTTCATCATTCTGTATGTATTTTTTTCTTATTTCGTAAAATCTGAAACTGATACGACAATTTCTTCCAGATCCAGTACGTCTATCCTAAATATTATAATCTCACTATTTAAATTAGTGAAAATGTATCTCTTGTCCTCCATGTTCGTACTCAACAGGGCACGAGTTCCTGTCAATTTCACCTTCAAACTAGTTGTTTTCCATGTCCATTCACATTTCTATAATATTTCAACACTCTCCTGACCAGCCTGGATAGTTGCAAAGTACAGATTCTCCTTACAGCCCCAAAGTTTACTCTAATAAAAACTAGTTTACTCCAGCCAAAGTTATATTTCTAAGAAACAAATCTAATAATCACAGTCTTTTTTTCATTATACTTTAAGTTTTAGGGTACATGTGCACAATGTGCAGGTTTGTTACATATGTATACATGTGCCATGTTGGTGTGCTGCACCCATTAACTCGTCATTTAACGTTAGGCATAGCTGAAATTTGTAACTGGTGTATAATTTTTAAAAAGTCTAAAAACATCAACTAGCAAATTTACATCCTTCTTATCTCCCAACATTATAACCATTTTCAAAAAATCCACCCTTTATGAACATGACATTAGCTTCACATTCTCCATCTTCTGTCTAGGAACCTCTTCCTGATTTGTCAAGACAGTTCAACGGTTGCACATCCAATGAAAGGTTTTCACTGCTCCCACTCCCCAATCGCAGCAGACTTAATCTCTACAGCCTCCATGTGATTTTGAACATATTTAAAGCCATAGTTATAGGTTATATGTCCCTTCTAATAAATTTGTGTTCTCGAAAAGCTGAATCAGTGGTATATATTTTTGTATTCTAAGCATTAATATATATTTTACACATAGTAAACACTCCAGAAATGTTTGTGAATGATTAACTGGAAGTTTCATTTTCTTTATTGAATTCCTTTGTTCAGCATTCATATTTATCATGCACCTATATGACAGACATTTAAGCGTTATAAATAATGATAATTACATAGAATAGTCTTATTTTATTATATACAGTGGAAATTATATGCAATAATTCTCAGAACAAGGTATAGCATAGATCTAAATTATGACATAAAAGGACAAGACGAAATGTTGCAGACTTGTAAGATGCTGAAAATAGAATGTGAAGTTCTAAATGAGGAAATCCAGACACAATTTGATGAGAAAGAACAAAATCAGAGAAATGTGGACAAATGAATCAAACTGAACAACAGTGGAAAGCACTTGAGTTGTAGTATGCTTTGCAAGGTAGGACGATTTTCATACATGAGCAATTTGTAGCACTGAAGTTGGAAGTCATTCTAAAATTTCCAAATACTTTGATGCTGATTTAAATTACCTGCCATTGCTACAGCCTTATGAGAGACATATGCCCCAACGAGGCCTTCATTTTCGGTATGCCCAGGTTATTCCTTTGTTTTATTTTATCTAAAACTCAGATATTACTCATGCAGTCCATCTGTGATTTCTCCTCCCAACACAATATTTCATTTCTAAAATTATTCAGAGAATTTCAGAAATATCCAGTTTAAGAAGGTATATATGCATCTAAAAATGTTAAACTTCCAAGTTTATACTAACTCGTTTGTTTTTTCAATGTTAACATGACTTAAAAAAAAAAGATTTTTTTTTCAGATGACCTTTATTAGAAAGCTGGAGGTTGCGCCACTGCACTCCAGCCTGGGCGACAGAGCGAGACCCCATCTCCAAAACAAACAAACAAAAAAGGCTGGAGCAAAGAAGAAAAAAAATAATAACTTGCTCCAGGATCATAAGTGAATTAATGTGGAAACCTTAAAAAGGATTAAAATTTCCCACTCTGGATTTAAATTTCTTTTCATCAGGTCACAACAGTGTTTTCAGTTTGTTTACTTTTGTTTACTTTTTTGACTAAAAGTAAACAAACTGAAAACACTGTAAAAATCAAAGCTAAAATCTAGGTATTATACAAACATGTTAAGTGGAACAAAAATTCAAATATGTACTTATACTCTAAAAATTCTATGCAATAAATTCAACAAGTTAATCAGCTCTCAAAAAAGATGCAATTATAATTGGAAGTAAACATTGTCACAAGCAGGAGAACACAGATTAGGGTAAGTAAAGAGTGCGTTCCACTCCTTTGAAGTGTAATACAAAATGACACGTCTCTCCCAATAGTCTTACAAAGTTATAAAAACCAAGTACTAAGCCCACGGGATGAAAAATATTTAAATAATTGTTTGGCTAATACAAAAAAAAGCTATTAGACCACCTGATGTTTTCAAGTTGAAATGTTTCAGTGGCTCAAGGTGTTTCAACAAATATTTAAAATTTCTAACATTGCATGTAGAAACACACCTTAAAATACTAATTTATTGTTAGGAAAAGAAAGTTTGCGTGTTATATTGACGATAGCTTAAGACACTGCTAATGCATTATTTCATATCTCTCAACAACAATAGATACTTGTTATAATCATTTAAGATGAAGAGAACTGAAGTTTATAAAAATTAAGTAACTTTCTCAGAGTGACACAGTAATGTCACTGAAGTAACGGACTGGTACCGAAGTCAGATGTGCCTAACACCCGGATACTCATCACACTATGCAGCCTTATGTAATGCTTTTAAATGCTCACAGAGTTATAGCCCAGAAAGAAAGTTATATTCTTAAAGAAAACAATCAAAAACAAAATGAGTAATCAAATAAATAAGCAAAGCAAAACTATCCACTTCTTCTAATGAGCTAGAAAAGATGTTGACTATCAAGTTATAAATAAAATTTATAGAAAATAAACGTGTCCCTCAAAAATAAATGGCTGTTTTAAATTCTTTAAAAATAGAAATATTTCACATAAGAATATTGCTATAGTTAGAAAGTCAATTTGCATATTGGCCCTATATTTTTTTCATTTGACAGTTCTATATTTTCCACAAGAGGTGACTGTCTTGCATTTGTACATGAAGTGCAATCACTGCTACCTAAGTATCTTCTATAAAGGACCTTCTTATTAAATAGAACACTAATTAGAGAGTAAGTGAATCACTGCCGTCACTAGATCCCAGGTAATCACGTCTGAAGCATTCAGTAGTGTTTACCTATGATCTAGTGATGGCAATGATTTTTTATCATATAGAAAAAGAGAATATACTTTACTGGGTCCAGAGCTGTCAGTACAAAAGCCAAATTCCATTATCCAGAAAACGTGATCACGCTTTCCCATACTAACTCTAGTATATGTCATGTAAAATCTCTCTATATATTATGATTTGAGTGACTATCTCATTAGCTTAAATCTTGTACCACAATAATACTAATAGAAAGAATTATTTAATGTAGCAAACTACAGAAAGCTCTTTAGTCACTTACTGAAAAAAAAAGAGAAAATGATAAACAGAGTAATACATAACACTAGTAAAATAGATTATCATCTCTTCTCAGTGAATCATTTTGATGCATTCTTTTTAATCAATCATAAAGAGTTGGAGCTGACAAGATAATTTATTGAGCAGGACATGGAAAACTTCAAAACATATAAATAATTTCTAGTAATATCTATTTTTCAAATCACATGGAAAGCAGAACCCCTTTTTATATGCAAAGCAAATAAATCTAGCTAACAATTTACTAAGTAATATATTCACAAACAAAATTTAATACCACCTGCTCAACCAGGTCCCTCTCCCCTCATATCAAAATGATATACAGAAAATAGACATTATTTGAGGCAATTATTTACCACTTGCCAGAACAGTTTTCTCCTTAATAAGTAAAAATTAAATCTGTCACAGTCTGAGAAATGCTGTACATGGTTTCAATACTACTAGACACCTTTATAAATAAAATCAAATTCTACAAAATATGTAGCCCAGGATTTCTGAATTTTCTATTTTATTATTGACCAGACATGTCAGGTTTATAAACTTATGTAGAATATTCCGTTTGGACGGTATCAATGTTCCCTTTATTTTTGGAGAAGGAACCAGAACATCTTAATGCTTTATAAAATATTAACACACAAGCACACACACACACACACACACACACACACACACACACACATGTGCACAGCACAATTCCTGATATAACAATAAAAAATAATTTTCTGGCATATATAAACAAGTACCAAAATATTTAAAGTCCACCTGAGTAGCTGTTGAAAATATGAGAGTATAAAAATGCCATTTTAAAACTTGAACTGTACAATTTTTTTGGTATTTACCTACCTATTTAAAATTTTTACTTCGTTTATCAAATTTTATTCTTACTTTTTGGAGATAAAAGCAGGCTCAATCTTCAGAACCCTTGATGCTTATCTCTGTAATCAATTACAGTTACTACACTTGGTTTATTGCATTAATATTCTATTGCTCGGTAACAAATCACCACAATTTTAGCAGCTTTAAATAACACCCATGTACTATCTACTATTAATAGTTCTGTAGGTAGGAAGTACTGGGTTCTTTGGTGAGGGCAGATGAGGGTGAAAATCCAGTTTCTCACAGTTCTGGGACCAAGGTCTGTATTTTCTTGAGGACTGCTTACTGGGGTCACCCTCACTCCTAGAACACATTTCTTAATCCCCTGATTCTCTTACTTCCCCTTTCATTCATGTCTAAAGAATCTGCTCCACTTTTAAAGGGCTCGTGTGCTTAGATTACGCTCACCTGGATAGTCTACCTTTTGATTAATCCAAAGTCACCTGACTGGTAACCTTAATCACATAGGCACATTTATCATATTCACAATCCCAGCAATTGGGGCTGGAAATCTGTGTTCATTAGATAAGTAACTTTAATACTTTTATCACCACTTTACTGTAAGAGACTATTTGTCAAGTGTTTATATTTTTTATTTTAATTTGACTGAAAGTATTTTTGAATTAGTTAACCACAAATTGAGTCAACTTTAAATATGAAATGAGTAAACTGTGTAAGCTAGAGTTTTATTATCCAAAAACATTAAACATTAAATTACCTTCATTTATGTATTTTATACATATTTTGACTCTGTCCCGTATCCCGTCCTAGCAAGTGATAAGAATGTGAAGTGATAGATTTGTTAATTAGCTTGATTTAATCATTCCATGATGGAAACATCACACCGTACCCCATAAATATAAACAAGTATTATTTGTCAATTAAAAATAAATTTTAAAAATATTTTAAAATTAATTTTTAAAAACCTTGATCATTTCCTCAAAGAATGTGGTTTTGTGAGAGTGAACTGGGCCAGGAATTGGGAGTTGTTAACCTTGCTCCAGCTCTGTTGCTAACTAGCCAAATATTTGGGCAAGTCACTTATCATAGATTCATTAAATTTGGTTTTCAGATGACTTTCATGTTATCTGTGCCAAAATATTACTTGACTTTTAACTATTATACAAAATCTCTGCCAGACTCTGCTTGGATTCCTCCGGTGAAATCTCATTCAATCTCTGTTATTAAAATAAAAGGCTTCTCTGTGTTACATTAACAGCTATTTCTCTAGTTTCAAACTTTCAAATAAACCGCAGTACTTAAAAGTCTTACTCCTGAAGATTAAGTCTTAATCCTGTTTCATGTGACAGTCCTTCAAATGTTTGAAGATTGCTGCCATGTCCTTTTTTATTTTAAGAAATAATCCGTTTATTTATTCCATGAGTTTTACTTGAGTCACAGACATTGTGCTTGGCACTGGGTATCTGGAGATAAATATGGTCCAGCCTTCATGAAATTAATAGTTACCATGATTTGGTCTCCCATCATTTCATTCTGGTGGCTGTTTTCCAGACCAGATTATGAATTAGACCCCAGAGTATTTGCTCAGAGAGGCATATGTCTACACTCCTTTGTTAACGCCTATTGAATTGCATTATCCTGACTCAGTTTATTCATCTTTTAAATGATCTAGTCAGTAACAAGGTTCTTTCTGCCTCTGGTTTTCCGAATTCTATGAAATCTAGATTAATCACATTCTAATTAAAGGGGACCATCTAGATTAATATTCTGTAGTAAAGGAGACATCAGATATTATATTTTCTATTTGTCAAAAGCTGGTAAAGCAGTAAATAATGTGTATACATTTTAATAGAGCCAAGTAAGCTATTCAGCACTTTCTTTGTGCAATATGGTTCAGTCACCAGGTGTCATTCAAATATTCACCACGAGCCATTTCAAGTTTAACTTGTGCTTTGATAGTCTATTCTCATAAGCTGCTAGGAACTCTATAAAAATAGAAAGTCCACATAGGCAGTAATCTCCAGTCCGTGCTTTTCTCCACAGTATTCAAAGCCACTTCCCATCCTCTAACCTTTAATTTAACAGAGAAAGCCTGTTACAATAGAGCCATCTTTGTCCAGCTCTGCAGGCAGCTTCCCCTTTGGGTCACAGAATGCCAAATTCTGTAACAGACAGGTACATCGGTTATTGTTGCTCTGGGATTGTACAAAAGACAGTCTATTTACCAGCTGGAAGAAAAGGGTGTGCATTTACACTGTCATGAAAACTTTCTCCTTGAGACTGCAGTGACAAAAGTACTGGTTATGACAGTAAGGTGGGGCACATATAATCCTGTTTTTTAAAAAGTCTTTAAAAATCTTTCATTCATAGAGTCTAAGAAAAATAAATAGCCCTTGCATGTGAATCCACACCTTACGAAAACAGCATAATAAACTGCAACCTAGCTCTCTTGTAATACAGGTAGTGGGTTTTTATGGTTTCATGTGAGCAACAGCTTTTGACTTAAAAAAATATAGAAGAAAAATAACTGTCTTTCTTCATAATGCAATTAACTTTAAGATTTGTTCAGAGGCAGAGAGAAATGCAAGCATCAAAGCTGGAAGCTGGAGAATGATCTCTGAATCTCTGTAACTGAAAGCTGGGGGAAAGGTGCCACATTTCCACTTTATGTGCAAGCCTTAGAGATACATTCAAGAAAAAAGTCAAGTGAAGAAAGACCAGTGCCCTCAAAAAAGGTTCTTCACTGGGCGTGGTGATTCATGCCTATAATCCTAGCACTTTGGGAGGCCGATGTGGGCAGATCACCTGAGATCAAGAGTTCGAGACCAGCCTGGCCAACGTGGAGAAACCCCGTCTCTAATAAAAATACAAAAAAAGTTAGCCAAGTGTGGTGGCACACATCTGTAATTCCCGAAGCAAGAAAATCGCTTGAGGTGGGAGGTGGAGGTTGCAGTGAGCCGAGATCGCACCACTGCACTCCAGCCTGGGAGACAGAATGAGACTCTGTCTCAAAAACAAACAAAATAAAAAACAACAAAAACGGTGCGGAGGGGCTCTTCTTTTCCCCTCAGTCTAAATATCCAGTCACCAAATTCTATCTCATCTCTCTCTAGTATTTCCCTCATGTTGGACCACCATGGCCTAATTTCCAACACTGGAATTACCGCCACAGCTTCCCACTTGACCTTCTGCTTGCAGTGTTGACTCCTCTGTCCCTTCTTTGCAGGAAAAAAAACAATTTTCCAAATATGCAAATCTGGTCATATCACTTTTCTGCTTTGTTTTTCCGTATGTCGCTGAAGCACTCCGGGTGAAGGCTGAGTTCTTCAGAGAGGCCTGAGGAACACTTTAGCTTAAGCAATCAACACCACCTCTCAACCCACGCTTTCATGTGGTCACGTGCAATTACATTACTCCTGAAAAAGCATGCTCTCTTCTCTCCTGTGATTCCATGGCCTCATAGATGCTATTCCCTCTGTCTGGAGAGCCTTGTCAACTTGTCTTCTTGACAAAATACTTCTCATTAAGATTCACCAAGATCCTGGCAGCTGTACGATTCTACCATTGACTTCCCCTACCTGGTGTAAGGGGTCTTTTCTCTCTCTCTGTTATACCTTACAAATACCCCAATGATCTAACCTTACTGCTTAGGTTATTCTGTTACATATTGGTTTAAGAACTAAACGGAAGCACCTGAGAACAGGGCCTGGCCTGCTTTTTCGTGTAGCTGGCAGAGTGCTTGCGACTTTATAGAGTCACAAAATCAATTAATGAAATAGCACACAGTTTCAATCTCAATAAATAAATGACTACAAATCTAGTAAGTCAATATTTTTTCTTATAACTTTGTAACTGAGGAATATAAACCAAAACAGGAGAATGAACAAATAACATCTTAGACCTGTGACACCTGCTGGCACAAAATGACTCATCCTCTGTATTTTGGAAAATATTTCCATAAACAGAATCACCATAGTTGTGCTATGGAAGTGTTTCCAAAATGGGGTCCTGAGTCAAAATCTAGCCCACAATAGTTTAATACATGTAATACTTTTAATTTTTATAATGTATTGCCAACTCTCAAAAGTCAGGGTGATCAACATAAAATCTAGACTTTTGGCAAGTTATGAGAAATAATGGAGGGTTTGATAATGCTGGACCCACATTTTCTCATAACAGCATCACAAGGAGCTTCATGGGCAGCTAACTCATGCCTGTCTCCTTCAAATGGGCACAGGATCTCCCAGGCCCTGTTACCATTGCTGCCAGCCCTTACCACACTTGTATTTTACATGCCAGATATTTATGATTTTGTAGGCCCCAGAAAAACGTCTACAGATAGAATTTTAGTTTACAAAATAAACCAACTGCAGATATTGACAATAAGAGCGTAAGTGTAGTTACACTAAGAGCCACGGCTCTTGCATACCATTTCAATCCATGTTTCAGAGAGGTCGACTTACCTTAAAGTCTCTTGTCTAAATTATCAAATGATTTCTTCAACTCACTCTCTAGATTGCTATTTACGACATCAAATTTAGATTGGACAAGAGAAGACAAGTTACATCTCAAAAACCAAAATGAAATCATAGCCTTTGATGGCTGCACTCTGAAATGTATTAGACACGTCCAGTTGCTTCAAAGCAATGCTTGTTATAGACACTTCTCAACGTCAGCTGTCAAGTGTGGGTTTCATCTTAAGACTGACCTTGGACCGTGGAGGTGCTCGGATGTACCACTTGCAATCAACAGCCTCGCTAGCAGTAGCTTTGCCTTCCTTCATAATTTGTATAGACTCCACAATTCCTTCGGAACCGCCCATCTCAAACTCACACGCTAAATAACAAAATGCCAAACAAACACACAAAAACGGAGCTTGAATAATAAACCAAAAGTGTATTTCATAGCAGAAAACAAAGTCTTCTGAACAGTATTAAATATCTATTTTACCAACCTGGTAATGGTTTCAAAGCTCCAAGGTCCTTAAAGTCAGGATCTTAAAAATTGAGAAAAAGACAATTAGTCCCATTCTACATTTATTACTTACAGTGAGTTTAAGTTATTTATCATTAAGTTTTCCAGAAATCTACCTTAAAAAACACATTAGGGAAAAGTAAAAAACACATTAGGGAAAAGTAAATGATTAAATAAAAAGTGCATAATGATGTTGGGACTGAAATGTTAATTTAGTATTACTACAAGGTTTTTCTCAATACAAAAAACACTATTTAAATTTTTTTTCTAATGCCTTTCCTGCCTCTAATTATCAAATAAAAATCTTACTCATTACCTATAACTCCATAGGTAGAATAATTAAATTAGTCATATTATCTATCCTCTATAACAGGAGAACAGACGTTTTTGTAAAAAGTATCAATAGGTAATTCAAGGTTTGAGGCAATTTCCCTTTGTTCTAGATACTATCCTCTTTTCTGATTCAAAATATTCTGTAAAGTGTAGTAACACAGTTTTTAACTAGAATATTTGAAGCACAAATTAAGATGTAAAATCTAGAACTCCTCTCCTTTGGCGGACTGAACAATCCTGTTTTCATCAAATCTTTCTCTGCAACATTTCATACTATGCTAACTTTCAAAGCATTCCTCAGTATTCTAGTTTGTCAACTCAACACCCACTCTCCCTGTCTTCCTCGCAGTCAAGCCCAGGCTCAGCCACCTGTCCTCTGCTAATTTATGTATTTCAGGGGAAGCCTGCTGTGTCATGAGTCTAAGATGTTTTCTAATGGTGAAAAGGCAAAGTGGGGGTCTCGTTCTTGTTCCTGGAATTGATTTTGAGGTAGGTATGCAGCCAATGAAATATAAAGATGAGCCTTTTAGAGAGCTTCTGAGAAAGTTTTCCTCGTAATAGAGACAAGGTGTATACCATTTTTCTGGCTCTCATTGCAGTCATGCTTGTATCGGACGTCGTGGAATCATGCGTTAGCCAACTTTCAATGTTGAAGGTGTTAATATAATAAAAGGCTAACTGTGATGAAGAGCATAATGACTATGAGTCATTAATGATGTCACTGAGACATTGTATTATCTTATTTGATGCACATATATTCCTATTTTTAAAAAATTCTGAATTTTTAATTATTACAAGTACATAGTCATTGGATATATTTATGGAGTAACTTATTCTCCATAAGTTACATTCTTGGAGTTGCATTTCTCCAAGATTTATACTCTTTTTTTTCCATTTGACAAGTAAAAATTGTTTATGTTCATGGTGTACAATGTGATGTTTTGATACGTGACGTTTTGATATATGTGTACATTGTCAAATGGCTAAATCAAGATAATTCACGTCTTACCACATGTATCTATCATTTTCTTGCATAGTGAGAACACTTAAAATCTACATTCTGGCAATTTTCAAGTATATTATAGGATATATTGTTATTAACTACAGCTACCATGGTGATCTCTTGAACTTATTATTCTTCCTGCCTACCTGAAATTGGGCTTTTTGCTTTTTGAATAACACACGTCCTTGTAGCCCTTGCCACTTTGAGTTGAGGTTTCTTTGACTTATGAGTGGGCGAAGGCATCAATGACTACATGTTAAAGGAACTTGGCATACGATTTAAAAGATGACTGGGAAATGCATTTGTTCCTACTACCATGGCATCAGCTGTAAGTTACAATCTTTTAAAGTTAGAAATATTTTATGAGACATTGCTCAACAACAATTCAGGACTGCAATATAAAAAGTAGCATTCTTTCTGGAAGAGATTAGTTTAGGATATTAAGACTACGTGTGCTAATATGTATGTGGGTATCTAAGTGCGTTTCTTTGTATGTCTGTGTGCCTGGATATGCAAAACCTGTAACTACAGGCTGATTGTTAGTTTAGTTATCTTCATTAAAGGTTTTGTTGTTGTTGTTGTTTGCTTCTTGCTTTGTCAAACAGTTATGTGAACTGCTCTGTTGAAACTGAGAGGCTTGGATTGCTACAATCTGATCATATGAACTATTTAGACTTATTTTACTACAGACACTATTAGAAAGTGTTAATAAATTTTGAAACAAGTTACAGATGCCTTTGCAAAGCTGTTTTTAAAATAGATTTTTTTTGTTTGTTTTTTTGAGACGGAGTCTGGCTCTGTCGCCCAGGCTGGAGCGCAGTGATCTCGTCTCACTGCAAGCTTCACCTCCCAGGTTCACACCATTCTCCTGCCTCAGCCTCCCAAGTAGCTGGGACTACAGGCGCCCGCCACTGTGCCCAGCTAATTTTTTGTACTTTTAGTAGAGACGGAGTTTCACCATGGTCTCGATCTCCTGACCTCATGATCCGTCCTCCTTGGCCTCCCAAAGTGCTGGGATTACAGGCGTGAGCCACCGCGCCCGGCCGAAAATAGATTTTAAAAAATCTTTTTAGAAAAAAAGGAAAAAAAAACTGTAAGCAATCTCCATTTAAAAAATAGGGACATCATAGATCATTTGGAACAAGATGCTTCCTAGTAGAAATTTGTTTCTTCATCTAAATCAATAGATATATAGTTATTATTTCAATAAATACATATTTAACACCTACTGTGTAATAAAAGCCATGTTTTGCATAGCACTGCTAAAATTGGTTGTTCTCATCAAGCAGTTCCATTGATATTGACAAGATTCCCTATTCTTCCTTATTTTTCCATCAACCTTGATGACCTGTTATCTAGACTTTTTGTTATTCATTGTATCCTTCTTACTATTAAGAATAATGCTTAATTATATTCATAATTAATACTCATTATCTCCTTCTTGATTAGAAGGTTTCAGCCTTATGTGCCTGTTTCTACAATTTTTGTGGAATATAGTTGATACTCTATTTTCTAGTTTGAAGGCTAACATTTGTCATTTTTATAACTCATGCCAGGCAATGTAGAGAGAAATGCCAGTTCTGGGAACTGAAAATTTATTTTTGTCTTTGTATTAATAGTGATAGCACTGATAGTTTAAAAAACAAAACTTTATGAAAAAAATGTTTTTGTAATTCCATTTGTATTAATATCACAATAATGGATGGGCCATATGACCTGCAAAAACAAACAAATAAACAATATTCTTTTTTAAAAACAGCCTAAATTGAACTAAGATTATAAAGATTGATTGGCCAAGGTTGTTTGTGGATGAGGACATGAATTATTAGGCAGACACACGATAACGTTGGACTTGGTAACTAGTCTTCCACTCTGGATCTGTCCCTCAGCCTGTTCTCTACTTAGCAACCTAAATAAACTATTACACATGTAAATCGAATCATGGAACTCTCCTGGTTTTCCACTGCCCTTAGAGTAAGACCATCAATCTTTATAATGCATCTTAACGCCCTGTGAGTTCTTGACCTTGGTCCCTGGCTCCATGCTGCTGGTTCCACTCTCTTCTCTCTGATCACATTCACCTATTTCTCATACACCCCAGGCTGTTCCTATCCTCTGTACCAGGAACTTGTCCTTTTGTCTCTCTGCAATAACTTTCTCCTGGCTTTGGAGAGCTGGATCTTTCTCATTCTTTGGTTTTTGGTTCAAATATTATATTCTCAGAAACGCCTTCCTTGACAATCCTCTCTAAAATAGCAACGTCCCTAATTTTACCTCCCTCATGTTATTACAATTACAATTTACAATTATTTAACTATTTGTCTGTATATTTTTTTACCGTCTACTTCCACTGCTCCATAATCAAGAACTTCTCTAAGGATGGGTTCCCCAACCAGCTGTGGGCCACACAGCAGGAGATGAGCAGAGGCAGGACAGCAAAGGAAGCATCAACTGTATTTACAGCAGCTTCCCATGGCTCACATCACCACCTGAGCTCCTCCTCCTGTCAAGTCAGCAGCAGCATTAGATTCTCATAGGAGCTTCAACCCTATTGCGAACTGTGCATGCGAGGGATCTAGGGTGCACGCTCCTTATGAGAATCTAATGCCTGATGATCTGGGGTAGTGATGCTAGCACTGGGGAGCAGCTGGAAATACAGATGAACATTAGCAAAGAAGTTTGACTGCACAGAGACCATAATAAAGCAATCACTTCCAGATGCATATCAAAACCCTATCAGTGAGTGGCAAGTGTCACAAGCGGCATCTGGTGACAGGCTTTGTAGTGGCAAGTGAGTTAATGTACTTCAGTTGTACAGCTGCATGTGGTGGCAGGCTTTAAGTCAAAATCCGCCACTTATTTTAGTCCGCATGTGACACACCCATTATTTTATTTACTTCCATCAATGCGTCTTTCCCACACTGCACACTTGTCTCAGTCACAGTTTTGGTAAGCCCACAAGCTAAGCCTAGCCAAAATGAGTAAAAATCAAATGTCATCGGAGAGCTTCTTTGAAAAGGGTTAAAGACCCAATGATGAGACAGCAGAAGACCCTAAGATTGCCAACAAAAAGAAAGCTGCATTTAAAGAGAATACCAAGAGTCCTACTTAAATTACAGGTTCATTGCAACAGATAGTTCACATTCTCCAAGACCACTCTGTACAATGTGTGGTGACCAGTTATCCAAGGAAGTCATGAAACCAACAAAACTGCTTTGCCACATAGTGACCAAGCACCCTGCATTAAAAGACACAACTTCAGCGTTATTTAAAAGAAAACAAAAACATAATGAACAGAAGCAATTGTTGAAAACCATCACTTCATCAAATGTGTCTGCACTGAGAGCATCATTCTTAGTGGCTAACTTCATTGCTAAAGCTAAGAAGCCCTTTATTATTGGTGAAAAGTTGATCCTGCCTGCTGCTAAGGATATCTGTCATGAACTTTTAGGAGAGGCTGCAGTTCAAAACACAGCTACTTTCAGCTAGCACCATAACTAGATGAACTGATGAAATGGCAGAAGATACTGATGCACAATTGTTAGGATTAATGAGTCACCATGGTATGCAATCTGGGATGACGAGTCTACCAGTACTGACAACGAGTCAACAATATCTGTTTCTGTATGGTGTATTTTTCAAGATGATGTGCATGAGGATACGTTATGTGCACTTTTATTGCCAACCAACATCACAGCTAGAGAACTGTTCAAGTCTTTGAATGATTACATATCAGGAAAACTGAATTAGTCATTTTGTGTCTGTATATGCATGAATGGAGTGGCTGCCATGACTGGACGGCTTTCTTGTTTCCCTACCTTGGTCAAAGGTAGGGAATGTGAGTCTATGCACTGTGTCAGCCATACAGAAATGCTGTGCTGGCTAGCCAAAAAATGTCATGTGTACTTAGCATTTTTCAGGATGTGATTAAAACTATCAACCACATTAAAGTACATGCCCTTAACTCACATCTGCTTGCGCAGCTCTGAGGAGTTGGATGCTGAACACACATGTCTTCTCTTACACACAGAAGTGAGATGGCTTTCCCAATGTAGATCACTGGCCAGAGTTTTTTAGTTAAGAGAGCCACTCCAGAGATTTCTTGTAGACAAATAGTCTCCCTGGCAACACATTTCAGTAACACAGATTCAGTTACAAAACTTGCTTACTTGTGCGACACATTCAACCTGCTCAACAAACTCAATCTGTCACTTCAGGGGAGAACAAAAACTGTGTTCAAGTCAGCAAATAAAGTGACTGCATTCAAAGCCAAACTGGAATTATGGGAGTGAACAACGGAATTTCTGACATCTTTCAAACATTAGCAGAGATTTTGAGAGAGATGGAGCCAGGGCCTTCTTTCTCACAGCTGGTGCATGAGCACCCATCTCAGCTTTCAGAAGAGCTTGAGTGTTACTTCCTAACCAAAGAAGGCCCCGGAACTGGGAAGGAATGGATCTGTGACCCATTTGTGAATAAGCCAGGTGAATGGACTTTAGCCATGCTAGAAGAGGATCAAATGCCTGATATTGCAAATGATGGTGACTTTAAACGTGTGTTTGAGACAACTTCAAATCTCCATACGTGCTGGATTAAAGTCAAGGCAGAATATCCTGAGATTGCCACAGAATGCACTGAAAAGCCTGCTTCCACTTCCTACATCCTATCTTTGTGAAGCAGGGTTTTCTGCAGTGACAGTAACCGAAATGAGATCAGAGAGTAGACTGGACATAAGCAACACACTTCTGATGCCACTATCTCCCATAACCCCTAGATGAGACCGTCTAGTTGCAGAAAACAGGCTCAGGGCTCCCAGTGATTCTACATTATGGTGAGTTGTATAATTATCTCATTATATATTACTATGTAATAATGATAGAAATAAAGTGCACAATAAATGTAATGCACTTGAATCATCTGGAAACCATCCCCCACCCCAGCACATGGAAAAATTGTCTTCCACAAAACCGGTCCCTGGTGCTAAAAATGTGCTATAAGGGACTTTGTGTCTCTTGACCCTCTCTATCTAGGACCTAGAACAGTGCTTGGGCATAATAGGTGATCATACTCAGTACTGAATTTAACATGTCTCTTCCTGTAAATAATACAGTTACTTTACCCCAACTTGATTTTATTATATGTTGATATAATTGCAAGGCTTATACTTAACACTTGTCCAATCCACAGGTTCTCACAGTAAATGTATCACATTAGACACTCTATTAGAGAGCAGCCTCATGTTTAACAAACCTGTCTTTCTTTTTCTTTCTAGGCTCACATCTAGACTATGTTTCCCAGCCTCCCTTGCAATTGTATGTGGCCATGGAAGTGAACTCTGGCAAATAAATGCAGACAAAAGTTAATTTTTACTCGCAGGCTGGGTGCTTACAATCTTCTTTAAAAAATTCCTACAGACTCTGTCTTTCTTCCATGGTCTACCTCAAAAGCCATGCATTGGAAATGCGAAACTCCGTCAGCTTCATTTTATAAATGAGTACGTGGAGTATAGACAGCATTTTCCTTGACTCTGATTAGACTCTTCCTCAGTAAATAATATACTCCAATTATGTGAAATTACTAAAGTTTTTTAAATGTTATTGCAACTATTATTCTATGAGCCCAGGAGTGTTCCTTTATCCAAAGGTCACTATTTTCATAATAATACTAAAAATCTATTTGTCTTTTTGCATTCTCATTTTCTCAAAAATATACGGAAGAGTTTTCCAGATATTACATGACAATGGCACACTACTATGACTAATAAAGTATGTGAATGTATTTTCAAATATTCTAAGTTTAGGGTGTAAATAACATACATTTTCAGAGATTAGCTTAGTTTGTTCTCCGTGATTTTACTGGACACTTACTGGCTATTTTCAGTTCTTAATACAATCCCAGTAACCCGATTTTTGTTCAATACAATGTTATTCTTAAACTTCAAAATGTTTACTGAGGTTACACAGAAGCACAGCAAGAATTAAGTATGTTTGCTGCTTTATTTTGTAAATCTATTTACTTATCTATCTAATTTGAAATCTTTTGTATTTAACTTTTATCTAGATATATAACAATTATACGGCTTAGTAATATTTCCTCTTAAATAAAAGAAAATATAGTTATACCATATTTTTCTTATGGTGAAGGATGGACATCTGTCTTAGAAAGGGGAGATGAAAAGACTCACTGTCTCCACCACAGTCACACCATCTATTTCTAAATTATGAAAAAAGATGAACCTGACATTTCAAACAGGTTTCTTATGGAAGAATCTATTCCAAATAAAATCAAACAAACCTGTAAATAAAAATGAAAATATGAGAAAATGTATCTTTTCCTCCACTTTATAGATGTTAATAATTTCATAGGACTTAGAAAAATAGGCATTTTTGAATGATTTTATTCTGAAAGTTTGATTGAAGAGTTGAGAAAATAAGAATTCTAAAAAAAAAAAAACAGTATATTTTTAAACGTAGACATCATTAGCTCTCTAAAAGCCAAATGTCACTTTTCAAACTCAAAATAGTGAACTCATTGAAATGTCTCACAGTTATTGTGAGACCTTGGTCGAGAAGCTCACAGGAGGCTAATGAAACCATTTACACCTGCCATTGCTGAATGCCTACTGGATGAAAAGTCGGTAAAAGAAACCAGGACACTGCCACTTTCCCATCACACAGTAACTTGCTGATTAAAGTTTCAGCTTAGACAAGAAGACAGAGTTAATGCCATGTCTGGAGAATTTTACTTTTGTCTAAAAAATGAACGGATGTACAAACTTGGCTGGGCTTCCTTAGTTTGCTTGAATTCGCTGAATGTCAGCATGGGCCAATGATCAAGGATCATCTTTTATGTGAATGCTTGACAACAAATGGAAGTAGTGTTGAAATATTCAAATTTTTGGTTAACTTTCCAATCCTACGGTTTATACTGGGACATCTGGATTGATTGACATTTGCATTGATGGTGCAAAAACAATGGTGGAGAGAATTGCTGGTGTCTTAGCAATGAATCAGGACTGTGGCACCAAACCTTAGCAGCTAGTGTTCACTGCATAATTCACTGCCATGCAATTGCACAGCAGGAAAATAAAAAAGAATTTTACTTAACATCATCATGATGAAGCATTAAAAACAATTATTTAGATTCTGAAGTCTAGAGTAACAGTTTTAATATTCTGTAAGAGGAAATGTTAAGTACAGATAAGGCACTTTTGCTGCAGACTGAATTGTTTCCTGTTTTTCTTAAGAACAAGCACCTTGTAGTTGTTTGAATTGTGTGAGTTACTCATTTTTCTCATGGAGCATCATTTCTGCTTGAAAAGCATATTACAGTTGTTTAGATTTGGATGTTTGGCAGATATTTTCTTGAAAATGAACAAAATGAATCTGTTGATTTTTAAGAAAAACAACCGACAATATTTGTTGCCAATGATAAAATTCAAGTTTCAAGGGAAGGAGATGTATTTGCTAGAGTGCACTTGACAGCTTCCCAACGCTGAGAGAATTTTTAAATGAGATTGTTGTTGATGGGAACAAATGTGATTTTTGATTTGTGTCAACATTTAGCAGTTCTGCATAATAGTAATCCAATAACTGCCAAATAAATAATGCATGAAGTTAAACAAGGATGCATGTGGAACAGAGCCCTTTGAAGAGGAAAATACACTAATGGATGTTAATGTAACAGAATACAAAGAAATTCATCAATACGGTTTGATATTCCCTGTTGCAACTAACCTTTAAGAAGCTATCACTTGTTGAGCTTTGGTGTAGTACAAAAGAATAATCACCCCTCCCTGAAAAGGCTCTTAAAATACTCTCCTGGCCAGGAGCGGTGGCTCATGCCTTTAATCCCGCACTCTGGGAGGCCGAGGCAGGCAGATCACCTGAGGCTGGGAGTTCAAGACCAGCCTGACGAACATGGAGAAACCTCATCTTTACTAAAAATACAAAATTAGTCAGGTGTGGTGGCACATGCCTGTAATCCCAGATACTCGGGAGGCTGTGGCAGGATAATTGCTTGAACCCGGGAGGTTGAGGTTGCAGTCAGCCGAGATCACACCATTGCACTCCAGCCTGGGCAACAAGAGCGGAACTCCGTACCAAAAAAAAAAAAAAAGATACTCTTTCCTGCTGTTCCAACTACATATATATCTCTGTTAGACTGGGTTCTCTTCATCTACTTCCACCATAACAACACATCATAACAGATTTAATGCATAAGCAGGGGTGATAATCCAGCATAATAAACCTGACACTCGATTTGCAAAAATGTAAATAATGCCATTCTTCTAATTAATATTTTAATATTCATTAATATCTTCATATTAATTTATATTTTAATATAGTATGCTATTTACCTTAACACATTATTGGTTTATTGGTATAATTTGAATATTACTTAATAAATAGCTATTTAAAATATACTCAGTTTAAATGGCTAATATAATAAATATTGAATGATACAGCCAATAAGCCAAGCATTTTGAGTTCTTCAATAGTTCTTAGGAGAGGAAAGGAGTTTTGAGACTAAAAAGCTGCAGAACGTCTGCCCCGACCAACCTTATCTTTGTATCATGGGTACCTTCTTCTAAAAGAACTCTAAATTACAATTTAATAGCTCAGGCTTGCACGATGTATTTATTTCATAATCCAATGAAATTTCACACTGCTAGCCACATTGCAGATGAACTTTCTGGAAACTACTGTTAACTGATTAGATTATAACTGAATCATATCAGAGGCCTCCTCATTTTATAAATGAAAGAAATAGGGAATTGACAACTTTAGAAAAATACAACTTGTTTTGATCTAAGACCTAAACAGCTTCAGTGCTGTCTCTAGAACATTGAACCAATCATTCCATATTTCTGAGTCTTATTTTCCTTAACTGAAATAAGAATGTTGTTGGTTTAGGTTTTTACAACTCATGTATGCCATTATATCACAGAATACAGTGGTATTCCCAGAACAGGTCATGAGCACACGTCACTTCCTGACCAGGTGACACAACTATGTTTACAAACCTTCTGATTATAAAAATCAGCTTTAATACTGTGATATTTTCAACGCACAGCTCGACTACCTAACAGGATAGTCTTAGAAAACAATAGTTTTCCCCAAATTTCCACAATCTCAGACATCCTGAATTATGTCATTCATCCTTAATATTCTCCTTTTTACTGACAAGTAGACACTGAAAGTGGCATCAAATAAAATCTTTACTAATTTCCTAAGTTACCTAACAATCTCTATTATTTGCATTGGCTTTGAATAACTGGCCAGAATTTTTAAATTGTCTTGACTGTTACATTTTTATCAAATAAATGATAAGTAAAATGTGGAAAAACTAAAGCCATGTTACAGTGTTGTTCATAAACCTCAAAAATTTAATGAGCTAACATGCAGCACCAATATTTAACTGCAAACCATTTATTAATTGGCCATAGAAAAATGAATCCAGTATTTTGATAGAAATTAGTATTTATGTTACAAAAGAGAATGCAGACTTTAGAATCAATTTGTATTTTTAAGCACTCCACTATAATCTTCAAGAATTTTCCTATAATACAAACTAAAATACAAATGAATCAAATTTTTATGAGACAGAGTTCTCAAATATTCTACACAAATGAAAAGAATACAAGTTTGAAATATATCTACGTGACTAAAAGGGTTTTTTCTGGTTTCTCATTTTAATTCTTATTTTCATTTAGTTAGATCCACGAAAATAGCTAATACCATTGCAATAATTAATATGTACCAGATATTATTTTAATTACTTTAAATATAGTAAGTCCTTTATTCCTTAACACTGTATGATGTAGATAACAGTGCTATGCTTGTTTTATAGCTGAGGAAAACAGGCAGCACAGAGAGATTAAGTAACTAGCCTAAGAATACAGTTGTAAATGGTAGGACTTGAAATCAGAATTAGGCAGTCGACCTCCAGATTTCCATATTGTCACATTCTATTTGAATTCATTACAGACTTGTAAATGCTAAGAATGTCATCTGGTCTACTGGGCCTGTCTGGACTCTCCATGTGGCTGTTCTTCCTTCTCTCTTGATTTGGGAGTGACGTAACCTAAAGCAATTTTATATATAAAACAGATAAAATACAATTTTTTTTTGGCAGGGGAAAAATATGTTTGAGTATGATGTTGGAGCTATGGTTAAAAACACAAATATGTTCAAAATGTTTCAAAAATGAATTTCAGAGATCAAGATCCACGTAAGTAAATCTTTTTCATTTGTCCTACAGAGGAATAAATTAGAGCTGTGTGTTGAAAGCTAATGATGAGGTGTACTAAATGCTGCCCCAGGAAACAAGTATTTGTGTAGGCTTCGTGGGGGGTGGGTTGGTAGACGACATTACCTACGACGTCCTTTTCACCCTGAAGCCCAGTAATTCTGTGATTAGTTCTTCCAAGCATATGATCATATTTGGGTTCAAGCAAGTTGATCAAATTTACAAACCCTACAGTTAACATTCAATGACCAATCACTTTATTTTAGGTTTACTGATGGATTGGGTGTGGGAAGTGAAGGAGAAAACAATCAGGGACAATGTTTAGTTTTCTCATTAACATCAACAAAGACTCCATGAGCTAGGAAGTTATTCAACTTCCCACTCTCAACCTATAAACTCATCCAGATCCACTGTCATTACTGCCTATCTACCAACACTTTCTCTCTCTAAATCTAATTCTCCACCTACCGTATGGATTTTCTAATCACTCCTATACATAGTAGTTGGCATATCAATTATCTTCCTCCAATTCTGAAAAATTAATCTCTCTAAATCGAATTCTCTACCTATCTTCTGGATTTTCTCATCACCCCTATTCATAGTAGTGAGCACATCAATTATCTTCCTAAAATTTTTAAACTACCTTCTATTATCTACAACCTTTCAGACAATAAATCTGCTCAAGTCCCTTCTTAGCTAATAACACAACGCAAACTCCTCCTTCACCTTGCTTCCCACTGTCCACTCACTCTTCCTTGTTCTCATTCAATTCCCAGATGACTGACTTCCATTTCTTAGACCTGCGATCCATAATCAATCTTCACATCCAATCTCCTACTCACTTTTGAAAGTCCCATCATGTTTGTGTACACATCTTTACTGAAACAATGTCTAATTTGAAACTAACCACACCCTTCAATGGGGACATTCTTATTTCCATCCTTCCATACTTGTCTGCAACAGGTGTTGGACCCCTTGTTTTTTACTCAAGGTTGAAAACCAGAGTGTTTGTAGTTTTTGAAATCATTTGAACAAACTTTAAGTGCCATTTTAAATATCAATGGCAGAAAAATCTTAACAGCAGAGTAAAGAATAGCTTGCATAATCATATTGTTTTAATACTCTGAGTTAATTCACTCGTCTAGAAGCAGCATTGCTCTAGTATAAAATTCATATCACCATGTTTTAAACTTCTTTTAAAGGTATACTCTTTTCTCTAAGTATGGGGTTGACAATTATAGCTTCTCTTTTTGAGTCTGTCTACCTAATGGTTTTCATGTGGGCACAGAGTATATATAACCTGACTTTCTTTTCTAGTTTAACATAAATTTTATTCATATATAAATTTAAGAAACCAAAACTTACAAGATTTACAGGAAGAAAATTTTCAAGCCCTTTAAAATATTATTGATATGTGCTGGGCTTGTAAAGCTTTTTTGTTCCCTTATTTTATTTATTTAGCTGTAATTTGAAGTTTCCTCATGGTGCGTGTATTCACATTTTTAAACAAATTGAGAAAACGTAACTCTTATAACACGAGTACACAGAAGTTGGATTTTGTTTGTGTTCACATTAAGTAGGCTTTTACAATGTTTACTTCTGATAGATAGTAACAAGGCAATACTACTGTTCTACAGAGAAAATATGCATTTACTAAACATAATCATAGAAAGATGTGGGGGATAGAGTGAAGAAGAAATCATCAGACGATCAAAAATGGGCAGAAACAGAACAATGAAGACAAGAACACACACACACACACACACACACACACACACACACACACCCATACTGTCCAAATGCTGGAGTTTGCACATTTGAATTAGCTGTCATAGAATAAGTTTTGTTGTTCTTGTTGTTGTTGTATGTTGCTGTTGCTGTTGTTGTTTCTGTCCAAGGGCAACCAGGGACGCTCTTGATTGGTTATTAGCAATATCCCTGCCCCTTAATTCTCTCAGAATGCTGTTATTTGCTCATCCTAAGTCACACAAAGAATACATGAGCCCATCTCCTGAGCCATCTTTTTCACTAGAACTGGTTTAATAGGGCATTTCTTGTTGGCAGAAATGTGGTGCCAGTGCTATTAGTGAATAAAACGCCTCCATTATTATCCTCTTTTCTCAATTATGCCACATTCACTGTTTTCCCACTATCAATTCCAGCTTATTGATAAGCACAGAAACCACTGGCAATTAATCAGGAGGAGGGAGAAACAGCAGGCTACAGAAGGTTCTGGAGCTGATGCCAAGGCAGGTGATATTAGACTGGGGCTGAGCTTTTATGCCCAGAAAAGTGAGAAGACATAACTTCTCCTAAGAACTACATGAGTGTCTAGGAATAACGAAGTGCAGTCTTTGGGACCCAGGCTTACAAGCGTGACATAGGTTGCAGAGGAGGAAAATGCTGTCTCTGCTACACACAGGTTGGAAGCAGTGGTGGCACTGCAGATTTGTGTGTGTGTGTGTGTGTGTGTGTGTGTGTGTGTGGAGTGTGTGTGTGGTGAGGAGATGGCATTAATCTCACGTTGTCCTCTTCCATCCCAATTATGCCACTGTAAACTAAATAAATGGTGTCAATGAAAATCAAGAAGCAAAATATTTTACAAGAAAAGTTATGCTTTCTCAAAATTATTTAAAGATGTACGTTTAAGCATCATGGCAAAGCCTTGTGTGTTACAGCCACATAAATAAGATAAGGACACAATAAAGCTGTACAAGCCATGCTAACGGAGCTTCAAGACAAGACCTTTTGTGCTCCCAGTGAATTTGATGAATATTAGACCCTTCTAAATAGAGCTGGAGCAGCCTCTTGCTGGAAACTTTAGCAGTGTTCTCTGTTGGTGCCCTTGGCAAGGACACTGGAGTTTTCATGCCAGGCAGCAGTGGGACACATGGCAAGTGGAGGATCCATCATGGGACCAAGAGAGCAAATGCAGAATGCCAAGTGGTGCCTTGCCAGGAGCCTGGCACGGGTGCATGCATGAGGCACCTCTTGGTCAATCCTGGAGAAGCTGTTTGCACTGCATGAATTTCTGTCAGTCTGGAAAAGAGGTAAAGTTATCATATTCTGTAAAAGTAAATGTGTCCTTTTAAGTTATGATTCTCATTCCTTTACCAAGGGCAGAATCTGTAAGTTCTAGCCATCACTCTGCTCGTCACATCTAGAAAACTCAGCCACCCACTTTTTATAAAAGCCACACATAAGGCATATACTGACGCAGATAGGTAGAAATTAAAAAGGCAAAAAAATATATGCCAGACAAGCAATAAATAAATGATAAAAAGCTTTTGTAATGATATTATGTTAAACAAAACAGACTCAAAACCCAAATGAAAATAATCAAAAGTATGTCAAATACTTAATTTCTTAAAAAGCCACCGACGAGGAAAATTTAATATGCTGAACCTGTATGTAACTAACACTTATTGACAGAATTCTACCTTCTAAGGCATCAATTGCCTCGCTTCTAAGAGACTGGGGTAAAAAATATCAACCAGGCTTGGTACAAAGCAGTAGTATTTGCACGTATCAACTAGTTAATAGAGTGGATATGGATTTGCTAAAGTATAAAATGTTATGTAAAAATAAATTATCCCATGCATGTACAATTCAGATTTCGAACCTCTTCGATACATGAATAAAAATTATCTTAATTCAAAGAATATCTCAAATATGATTACTGCTCTATAAAATTTATTTACAAATCAAATACTGTTGTTGTAGCCTCATTGGCTATTCTGCACACTGCACTTATTTTTATTAGATAGCATTTAATGTTGAGATGAAAGAGAAGTTAACTGTATGTCTTCAAATGCCTGAGATCAGTAGGAAAATACCCTCAGAAAATTTCCTAACATAGTTTTTTCTGCATACTGCAAATATCAAAGTGATGATAGATACTTGCTACATGCCAAGATAGCCACTTTTCCTTTAATATATAGCATCATATGCTAGGTGCGCAAGTCCCTTTTACGTCTATTTAGCTCGAAAATAATACCTTCAGTGTAAATAATGGTAAAACCAAGCTAATCTAAATATGTATGAAACTTTTTCTAAAAAAATAAAACATTGTGTCTAATGTCACTGTTTGCAATTTAAGAGGTCATCTCCTGGAAGTGTACAACTATCTGAGAGCTTAAAGGATTTATTTGCATTCTACAATATCAAGTAATCTTGGTCCATTTTAAATACAGACTAAGTACATGATTACCAAAATATTCAAATCTTCCCATCTCTATTTCTTGTATTTGTCTCCTTTGTACTTATTTTCCCAATTATTACAGTAATTTAGGTTTGAACGGGCATCTGAAACCAGTAATTTTAATGGGGACTCTACTCGAAAATGGAAGTAATCATGTCAGCTGGCTAGTTTGGGACCACATTCTGCCTCTGAAAGAATTATCTCTAGAAAGCATAGTCTCCATCTTGGGGAATGTGAAGAATGATTATTCCTGGACCTCCAGACCTAACTGCCAGGGTGCATTTGGCATGCAAACGTATCATCTCTTAAGGACTGTAAGAATGGAGACCACTTACAGCCCATATCAAATACAACTGGAAATAGTGCTAAAATGGAAGTCTTAGAATTTTTAACAGTGTTATACCACTTCTTTCCACTGGCATTTAGAAAATCTGTAATTTTGAAAAGGCACTGCATTACAAAAGCACTCTGAAATGGTGCACTTGCTCCTACAATTCTGCTTAAGACACAGCTGTTTATGAGATACCTGCTCAATCTGTAGTTCCTCGCTCGTTTTTCTGTCATTCAAGAACAAGAGCATGGAAGGTGATTTCATTAAGAGGTGAGAAAAATAATCCGAGGCTTTCCCAGAGTAATGGTCTGCAGCAACATAAATCAATATCATATTTTTTAGGTTCGGTGATGTTAGAAGGAAAGAATGGGTTTTTCTTATTTAGTTAGAGAGGAAGATTTATGGGATGCCTTCTGCTTTACTGCTTTTAGACTTTTCATTTTGTTCTATCATTAACCTGAGCTGGAAACTGCAAAAACAAAATAAATGTGACTACTTCCTCACACTTTCCCTTCATCAGAAAGATACCAAGAGCTTGCAATTATTCTTTGTAAAATCTCTACTACCTCCTTCCCTTTCCATATCCGCCATGGTGTTCTTTGTCACGGCCTTCCTCACCCTCAGGCTTCACAGTACTCACCGTCTCCATGCCTTTGCCCCTCCATCCTACAGTCTTTGGCACTCACTTTTCTGACGTCCAGATCTGAGTATCTCACTCTGTGCCCACTCACCCTAACGGCACCACCTGTTCTGTAACGTGAAACCCATGACTCATCTCTGCACTCTCATTCTACCAATGATTCTCTTTATTGTCTTTACGGTTCCATTTTACACAGACAGCCTCCTCTCAACTCAGAAACTCTCCAGCTTCCATATTCCAAAAGAAACTCCCATCAGCTATGGCTTTCTTCTGGATGTTTTGGAATACAAACTACCTTTCATTGATCTCAATAATTTCAATGAGTGACATTGCTACAAATTAAATGATTAAAAATTTTTACAGACTATTTCAAAAAGTAGGGCCAGGTGGGGTGGCTCGTGCTTGTCATCCCACCTCTCTGGGAGACCAGAAAAGGAGGATCTTTTGAGATCAGGAGTTTGAGACCAGCCTAAGCAACACAGTGAGACCCACATCTCTACAAAATAAAGTAAAACGAGCCGGGTGTGGTGGCATGTGCCCGTAGTCCCAGCTACTTGGGAAGCTAAGGCAGGAGGATGGTTTGAAGCCAACTGTTCGAGGCTGCAGAAAGCTGTGATCGTACCACCTTAATCCAGCCTGGGTGACAGAGTGAGACCCTGTCTGAAAGAAAGAAAAAAAAAGTAACTCATTAATGAATCCATGGATTTGGGGTTCTGAAACCTTCTTTTGGTTCTTGGAGACCTTTCTCTTGGCTCTCTGTCTCGTTTACATCCATGCTTTCAGTACCAGGGAGAGGACTCCTAGTTCAACAGTGTGTGGGAATGAAGCAAGCAGCTCTGAGCACACAAATATCATTAAGAGATCTGGTGTTCCCACAGTGACTGCAGCCTTAAAACCGCAATTGTAAGTGTGATGCTAACATCTTCATTGAGGAACAACTGTGGGTAAAACTTCCCTACATTCACTGTATGGTGTTTAAGTGGTGAAATCACTGCATTATATGAAATAAGTACAATTATTCTCATTGAAGGCAGGAGAAAACGGAAGTTCACGAAAGATTATAAAGTGACTCAAAGGCACTGTTTAGTCAGTGGAGAGTCAGTACTTGAACACAGTCTGTCTGATTGCACAATTGTTCACAGCTGTGACCATGGACTTAATAAACCTCCAAAAGAGGCAGCAGCTTCACTGCTAGTTAGTCTTGACATTTGTGCTTGAACATTTATTTACCACTTCAGGACCAACACGTCCAAAATTTACACAGTTATCTTTCTTCCACTTTTTCCCTGTGATTTTCGCCAACGTCATCATTGAATTTTAAGTGATCCAGGCTTTAGACTCTAGTGACTTTTTGGTTTCTTCCTCACTCTTAACAGTTCCTTGCATCTACCTCAAAATGACCAAGGTCACATCAATTCCTTTCTTTGGAAGTTTTGACCTTTATTACTTTTTTTATTCTCAATTCCTGGTATATTTTCTTTTTTAGTAATGCTTAGAGCCAATCATTTGTTCCACCTAGTCCTCCTAATTTCAGTCTTAACATTTTTCAATCCGGTCTCTCTAGAATGTACCTCTGATGCTGCCAACTTCTTCCGAAATATTCAGTTTCTCCTATAAATAACTCATAAAACTTGAAGTTCTAGATACATTTCCTAACATTAATTCAAGATCCATCTCCTAAGTTTTCTCTTGGAGTCAACAGCCCTGTCAGAACAAACTACCTCTCATCACCATAACATATTCCCTATGACACATAAATTGTGTATAACTACCAATTCAATTTTTGAGGATTTACTTTAAAGTAATAAAAGATATTGATTATATAGTACTTTTATAATAATTGTTTTTAGGACCTCAGATGTCTAACCAAGGCTGGGAATCTGATGAGAGAGCCACTCTCCATGAAGCTGAAACAGGGAGATTCACCACCACTTACGTGAGCTGAATGTGAGACTGTCCAGCTCCTTCTCTACTGAAGGGGCTGTGGAAAATGATAAGAGGGACGATGCCTTGCTGTTGAGCAGAGTGAGGAGTGACAATGTGCGAGAGAATTTTCAGTCAACACTTGTCATTACAGGAGAACTGCACCTCAAATACGTAAGACCCGGATTATCCAAATATCTTAAACCATACATTTAAGTGACAAGGGTTACACGGATTATGCATGGGCTGCAATAAATACAACTACTTTCTGCAGGAATATAACTTCATTCTAGGCCCGAAACAATTCCCCCAAATAATTTTCCAAAGAAAATGAGTTGTTTACAGCAAAAAGTTAATCACAGGCGCATAAGACCTGAGGGAAGAACAGTGAAAACGAAGAGAAGAAATGAATCTTGAAAGATTCCAAATAGTAGAACTACCATGCACAGACCATAAAAGAACAATGTTTATCATGTTTTAAGACATTACAAACCAGACTGAAAATATCTGCAGGGAATAGGAAACTACCAAAAAATACCTCAGTGTTTTTGAAAAATAACTAAATAAATGTAGAAATGAAAATCACAGTAATTGCAATAAAAAACTCAATAGACAGATTTAATAAGACTATAAAGGATGCACTCAAAGATACCCGAAGAAATTTCCAGTGCATTGCACAGACAGATGAAGAGTGAGAAAATAAAGGAGAAGTTAAAAGGCAAGACACAGTGAGACACTAATCTTATCAGGTTTCTAGAAAGGGAGCAGAAAATGAAGGGCATGAAATATTTAAAGAGATAATTATTTAGAGTTTTCAAAACTGTTGAAAAAGAAAAAAATCTATACACTATGCAGAGAAAAAGAGTAACACACTCATGAAAGGAGTGGTAATTAGGTTGATACCTGATTTCAGTGGCACCCGGGAGACTGGAATGATGTATTCAGCAAGCTGAAAAAAAATGCTCATCCAGACTTCAACATCCAAGAATGAAGCTGAAGTGAAAACTAGAATTATCTGCCAAAAATCTATTTTCACTAAGGGAATGTCTGAAGTCTCCAGTTCAAGCAGAAGGTAAGTGATATTAGGTCCCCAATTTTAGATGCAAAAAGGAATAAAGAATAAGAAATGTGTGGGTAAACAGATGGGCACTCACTGAATCCAATAATAAGAGTAAGGCAAAAATAACAGATAAATCATGAGACAGTAATGTAAGATAACATCTTAAGATTCTGTGTTTTTCAAGGGAATAATGACAGCAGATTTTGAGAAGAGAATGTATATGTTGTAGTTTCTTGAGTAACCACTAATAGGACAGGGGAAAAAGTAATTTAATTCCAAAAATAAATAAAGGCAGACAAATTGCATGAGGAAATTATAGTAAGAAGAAGAAAAGTAGAAACTAAAAAAGAAAAAAAAGAAATAAAACAAAGGAGGAACAAATAGAAAGCATAAAATGTAGGATTGATCTAAACCCAGATATATGAACTAAACACAATCTTAAGTAACAAAGACCAGAAAACTGGACTAGAACACAAATCTAATAATGTGTTGCTCCTAAGAAACATCTCTAATTTAGGGAAACGTAACTGTTTAAAATGTTAGGAAAAGAATTATGCAAATTCAAAACCAAAGAGATCTGATATGGCAATTATAGGAATAAAGAAAAACTTCAGGGAAAAAAGCATTACTACAAATAACTGAGTTATTTTTAAACTCCAAAAGATTCAACTCTCTGAGAGATACAAGAATTTTAAATGTATATATACCTAATAACATAGGTACAATGTTATCATTGCATCAATGAAATATTTCCAGGATTCAAAGAGAAATAAAAATCTACCACCATAGGGACAGAGCTTATCAAAGAAAAAAAAATTTAAAATTATTATTATTTAGTAAAACAATTATTATAAAAATACTACAAAAACAACTTGTTTGGTGTTGCTAAAGCAGAACTTACAGGGATATTTACAGTTTTAAATCCCTGTGCTAAAAGGCAAAAATGCTCAACTATTTTGGGCAGCATCTATCTTGGTGATCTATTTTTAATTACTCATGTTGGTATAACTCAGTATTCATGTGTTTAAAGAACGGAACTCAATCTCTGCTTCACACCACACAGTAAAAATCAAAATCTGAAAAGTAAGCAAATATAGTATTTAGAAGACAACAAAAAAGAATCGCTTTATGATTTCTATAAGGGAAGATTCATTAAGTCACAATATGAAAAATAAAAGTAATAAACAAATTAAAATTAGGAATTTTCAACCTCCACATGACACCAGAGTGAGAATAAAAAGGTAAGCCACACACTGCAAGACCTTATCAACACTTATAGCCTTCATATCACCAATATCTAGAATATATACAGACCTACCATAAATCAGCATACAAAAGAAAGACAACACAACATAAGACAGGCAAAAGTCCTGGTCAGGTATTTCATACAAGAGGAAATTTGAGCCTCTAAAACGTTTAATACAAGTCATTTAATCTTATTAATAATAAACAAAATGCAATTAAAATAACAACGTGTGATCCCATTAAGCAGCCAACAAAACAGAAAAGGATGTAAGACTGACGACATCGAGTTTCACGTGTATGTGGAACAATGAAAACTCCTGTCCGCTGCTGACACTAGTGGACATTACTGCAACCATATGCAGGACGAATTTTGGCATAGATTTTGGACTGAGTAGGGTTTGAAAGACTCCTGAGAAAACTATCAGTTGTGGCTGGGAGAACAGGTAAGAAAATCCTACTGGATATAACACAGCTGTGTTATTTAGTGGCAGAAAGTCTGGCAATACTCCTGGGTAGAAGACAGGAAATATCCACAATAGACTTGTACATTTTACTAATGAGAGTACTCAACAGAATGTTGAAAATGTCAAAAGTCTTCTCTTAGGTGCAGACAGGTACAGATAGAGGTAAGGTACATATAGAGATCAACATAAGAAGAATTTTTAATCAGAATTAGGATCGATCTCTCTCTCTCTCTCTCTCCCTCTGTCCCCTTCTCTCCCCCTCTCCTCCACCCCTCCCCCTGCAATTCTCTATCTCTCCAGCCTGGAATTGGGGACAAAGATGAATTTCAGAGTGCTGAGAGTGAGCTGAGTGTGGCCTTAAGAGGAAGATCAAATCAAACAATTCAAAGGTAAAGCTGTAAAATACTTTGTTACAGCTACACAAAGGTGTAAAAAAGAAGCATTCATGCAACTTCTCAACTAGGTTTGAAAAATCTTAGATATCCCAAAGCACGCTGGAAAATGCCTGAGGAACTGGACTACTTATGTTGTTTGGTAAAACCACAAAATTTCAAAGGCTGTTACACCAGCGTTTATCTAAAGGGACAGAGACCATTCAAAATGAAAAGAAGTCCCTAGCATTCCACCTCCTACAGTCAGGAAGAAGGCTGGGAAAGCTCCTGACCTGCAACATGGGCCATTTGGGAGCGGGGGAAAGGGAGGAAGGGTAAATCAGACAGCAGAGCCAAGTATTCAGGGCATAGCACCAATGGCAATGGAGAACCTCTCCAGGCAGCAGCAAGGAGAATTTCCTGCTGCCAGCGTCAAAGGAAAAGGCAACCGTGCCTGGATGGATTTTAGAATCATCACCGTGGGTCCCCACCCCACTGTGGGCCTATTTTAACTCTTCCTGGTAGGAGTGACTACTATGATCATCCCACCATCTTCCCATTGTGGGCTGGCTGGGGGTGGGGAGCTTGCCTTTTTAGTTCTCAAGTCTGCATTCAGAAAACCACAGTTGAAGAGCTGCACCAATTGGCTGCTGCCAAGGAGTCCATCTACACTTGGACCCAGTAAGGATGATGGCTACAAGACTCTAAGATGATGTCGTGATGAGAAGACACTTGTGAGAGTCTTCGAAGGGGGTGAGTGCATGCAGCCTGTGGGAGGCATATGGGTTATTACAGCCAGGGGGCACCCTCCGGTACGTCTATATTCAAAGATGCTCTCCAGCAATTCCTCGTCTCCCTTTATAGGGATGACAGTTTCCCATCAAGAGGCAGAGTTTATTCCTCTTCTCTTGGAACCTGAGTTTACCCTGTGACTTCTTTCACCAATAGAATGGAGCAACATGCTGAGCCTCTGACACTAGACATGGCGGTTCCTGCTGCTACCTTCTGAAACATTCACTGTTGATATGCTCCCTCTTGTAGCCCAGCAAACATACCGTGAAGAAATTTCATCAATCACATGCAGAAGCCATATGGAAACGAATCAAGTCCCACAGCCCACAGCCTCAGCTTAATTCCCAGCTATGGCCAAGAACACCAGCCCACCATGGGAGTGAGAGCATCGGCCCCGCAGCCATTCCAGTGCTCAGGCTGTTGCCAAATGGAGAAGAACCAACTAGTCAACCAACAAAGATGTGATAAATAATGCATTGTCACTGTGTAAGCCACTAAATGTTAGAGATTTTTTTTTAAACCAACAAAGTAAAGATTCGGTACAAATACCAAAAGATTGCTGATATTCAAAAACCTACATATGGAGACAGAAACCGCCCTATAGGAAGGAGCCTGTAAGGTAGCACCAAGTATTAATACCGAATGCCTAATCACCTCTTAGCGTGAGCTAGGCCTAGTGACTCATTTCTAACAAATAGTGCTTCACTTCCAGTGAAAGTAAGAAAAGTGATTAGATGTCACTTCCAAGATTTGGTTGGAAAAATTGTGACTTCTGTCTTGTTCTTTCTCTGTCTGTTTCTGTCTGTCTCTCAGACCTGTCTTTTTCCTTCCCACCCCAACATGCTCATGCTCTAAAAGACATCAGTTCATACACGGTAAACTGCCCAGTGAAGACACCCATATAGAATGGAAATATTGTTTCTGACCAACGGCCAGTGAGCACTGAAGCCTGCTATAGCCCTGTGAATGAGCTGGAAAGTGGATCCTCATGCAGGTGAGCCTTGAGATGATTGCAACTCGGGCTTATAAAAATCTTGCACATGAAATCATCCATCTTTTTTTTCTTTTGGTGTTAAATAAGATCAGCTTTCGTAACCTTTGCACTGCTTGACTTTCAGTAGTTACTATTAATCAAAAATGCATACAATCAGTAAAAACAAAACTACTAAGATACTTACACATAGAGTGATAATTGTAAATTTGCAAGTGTACTAAATAAAATGAATCTGACCATGCTGTCTATTCACTGTTAGAAGAATCCTAAAGTAATAACATTTGCAAGTGGAAATGTTCCAAATTCTTTTGTGTGCTTTACTCTTGCGATTTCAAGATATTAAGAAAAATATTGACAGTATCACATAAAACAGATTCTGCCTATGGCAACAGGCTTTCCTATATTTAAGAAACGCTACAAAGGCACAATGAGCAGCTGAGGACATTTCACTGTGGAGGATTCTAACCTTGGGTCACACTAGCACAGTGGAAAAGGTGTAGAAGCCTGTCATATGCTTCTTCCTCGAAATTTTCATATGTGATTTCATTTTTAGAAAAAAATATTCACTTTACCATTTTCACGACTATTCTTTGGAAAATAAGATTTTATGCAACCTTATTTTTCCAGATTTTAAAGTCAAGCACGAGACATTTTCATCCCAGAAAATCCACTGCTTATTGAGATGTTATGATTGGCTTCATAATAAAAGTACTTGAAATATAATCTTTCTTGGGGAAAAATACATATCATAAAATATCATGCTCATTATAACTTTATATAAACATTTTTTCGTTTATCTATTAAATTATAGAAACAAGCAACATGTTCTTTTAAAACTCTCACAATAGTCACTGCAATTATATGTATAATATTCCAATTTTAACAGCACAAAAAATTAAAAATTAGCTAAATATATCAAAATGGAAATATAGTTAGGCGTATATGTGTATTCTACACCTAAAACACACACGTTTAAAATGAATTACATTTTTCCACAAATTTCAGATGAAAATGTTTTTGCATAAGAAACTCTATAGAGCTGTCCTTTATTTTTTTAATCTAACATTAGTTTATAAAGCCATGAGTGAATCTAAGTCCATGTCTTCCTCCCTTTTATCCCTCCTCCCTTCCCACCTTCTGTCTGTCTTACTGTCTTACTGTTTATCTCTTTCTCTCTCCCTCTCTCAAACTTCCTTCCACCTTAGTTTAGGTGGAAGCCCACAGCCTCTGACTGTTTTGTGGCATCATGTTCAGGATAAGGGAGTGCTGCCACCTATGTAATTATTCAGGAAAACTGTACCACATTTCATTGGAATGGTGTATATATATTGATAACAAACCTTTACATATATCTGCCTTTCCTTGTGTTACAAAAAAGGATGGGCTTCTAAAGAGCTCTATAATTGCTGAAATTCTGAGAACTGATTAGTATTTTATAATTAGATAATTCTATGATTTCAAAAATATTTGACGTTGATACTGGATTTATTTCAAAATGAGATAGCTTCATAACATTCCTAAGCTTTGCCCTAGTCATCAAGCATTTAATTAATTCTAATAATGCCGACACTAAAATATGTAAAGAAATCTGGATTTAAAAAACTTTGATTTGAAATATTTAATAGCATAAAAACTTTTAATATAATGCAATTTCATCTTTGAATTTGCATGTTTAAAATTCTTCTCCTGAAATTTGTTATTGGAAACTTTCTAAAATTTCCACCTAGTAAGAGAAAAATACCAAAAAATAATATTAAACACAAAAAGAAACACTACATGTAGAGAAAGTTCTAAGTAAAACTTACCAAAAGTGAAAAAATATATACTTTTTAAATGCATAAAATAATGTTAATTTATATTTAGAATGGAAAAGAACCTCTAATTTCAGGATATTACATTCAGACATTATATTAAGACCTGATTTCTGTTAGCTCATTTTATTAAATAATTTGCAATTTGTTGCAAAATTTATTTTGTTGGTGAGAGATGCATGCAATGAAAAATCAAACATGTAGATGGCACTCATCTGGCACCAGAAAGATAAAATGGTTTCTATTTTGCTTTTGTACCTAAAAGAAATGAAGAATATGTTTTGTATGAAAGCTACACAACTAGAAATTTCAAATTCATAAGGTACTCTAAAAAATTTTAAAATGGTCTTTTGACACATGGAGAGTCCTTTAATGTTCATTTAATTTATATATAGACAATGAGAGGAGGACGAATAATTTTTACTTTGCTTGTTTTAGGAAAAACCAACAATAAACGTATGCAGATAAAATTTATAAGCACGTTTCTAAAGTTTCAAATGATTACAATGTACACAGATGTAGAGCAATTAAACGAAGAGATTCACATGTTGGAAACCATTCAGACTGGAAAGCAAAATCAATGATGGAATATACAAGTGCGCATTCTCCTTTGTTATTTTTACATAACTATATTATAAAACCAACTCTTCCCTTCTCCACTCCACCCCATTCAATCTCCTGCTATTGGAGCTGTTTGTTCAACAGCCATCAGACTACTTTACTATAGCTTTGAAAACTTACAGGATGGTAAAAGGTATCACCTTGACTGGGCCACTTGGCCGGGGGGTGATCTCTGGACCTGTACCCAAACGTTACTCTGGATGCGTCTGGATGAGATTAACATTTGAATTAGTGGGTTCAGTGAAGCAAGTGGTCCTCTCTAACGAGGATGAGCGGCATCCATTCAACTGAAGACTTGGATAGAACAAAATGACTCACAGAGAACTCCTCCTCCCTCCTTGCTTGAGCAAGGATATGGGTCTTGACATGCCTTCGGACTCAAACTGAAAAACTGGCTCTTCTTGGGTCTTGAGTCGGGTGATTTTCAGAGTGGAACTACACTTTTGGGCCTCCAGCTTGTCAGCTGCAACTCTTGGGTCTTCTCAATTTCTGTAATTGTGTGAACCAATTCCTCATAATAAATCTCTAGGTAGATAGATAGATAGACTTATAGGTGATAGATAGACAGACAAATAGGCAGACAGAAAATCTCCTAATTAGAACCTTGAATACACAAAAGGCACAAAGGCCTTCATGATCTACTCCTGCGTATCTCTTCTGCCCATCTCTTGCCTGGGAAACAGCTCTTTCAGCTTCCTAATCTTGGAACAGCCTCCCCTGGCTGACAAATTATATCCTGTCCTCTCCTTAGCCCCGTTTTCTGTCTCCTGAAGCAGTTTTTTCTTCTAAGCATTCTCTTCTTCATATTAACTAAAAAAAAAAAAAAAAAAAAAAATGGGTCCAGGCACAGTGGCTCATGCCTGTAATCTCAGCACATTGGGAGGACGAGGTGGGCGGATCACCTGAGGTCGGGAGTTCGAGACCAGCCTGACCAACACGGAGAAACCCCATCTCTACTAAAACAAACAAACAAAAAAGAAACAAGAAAAAAAAAATAGCCAGGCGTGGTGGCACATGCCTATAATCCAACTACTCAAGAGGTTGAGGCAGGAGAATCGCTTGAACCTAGGAGGTGGAGGTTGCGGTGAGCCGAGATTGTGCCATTGCAGTCCATCCTGGGCAATAAGGGTGAAACTCAAAAAAAAAAAAAAAAAAGGAATCCTCTCCAGAAGAATCATGTACTACTTAGCAAGTACACCATGCCCTCTGTCAGAAATGTAACACTGATGATCTCATTAATCTCAAAACAATACTCATTGCATAGGGTGGCTATCATCTCAATTTTTAGAGTTGAAGAACGTGAGACGTTGAGGTGACTGATAAAATTGGTAAAGGTCACACAGCAAGCAGGTGGCAAAGTCAGAGTATGAATACAGGTAATCTTATCCTAAGGGCCATAATCTGACCTATTAAAATGTCTTTCTAAAATTTAACATAAAAGAATCATAATGGGTAAAGCCTGGGGCCTTCATGGGATGTCTTCCTCAGCACTCAACTGGGTTACAGACTTGGCTTTTTGTTAATTTTCAAAAACTGCCCTATGCAGGTGGGAGTGGGGCCACTGAGGAGCAGAGAAGCTGACATGTTATTCCCTCTCTGAGGTGTGATGCTCTAGGGGCATTTTTCCTGGACAGCTCTGTTGTCACAGTTGCCTGGGACTCGAGATAACCATGGAGGCTTCTTTGAAGAGTGAGGAACGAAGGTCTTGGATCAGCCCTGACTTTTCCTTACAGCTGTAGTGGAATTTGTGTGTGACCCACGGATACAGAAAGGATGGCAGAAATTATCTGAGAGCTTAACTAGGGCTCAAGTCTCAGAGGGTGGAGGGGCTGGGAAAGGATGGGCTCAGTGGGACAGCTGCCAACAAGGTGGGCAGGTGGACTGGGTGAGAAGCCTGACTCCATATGGGCTCCCAAAGCCAGGAAGCTGCCTGGGAAAGCGGGCACTGGGCGGCACCATGCCACAGGTCAGACAAGAACAGATAACAAGAAGGACAGCTCAGGAGCACCGCCACCGTCCCGTCCCCCCGCAGGACGTGGGGAGGCGGAGCAGGGAGCGGGAGCCATTTGCAGGGGCAGTTTCAAAGAATCTAACTCACCAAAGCTTAAATCTGAGTTTGAAAAACGAGAGAATTCGCTAGATAAGTTTAACTTTCCTACCGCCAAGCAAAATCGTGAGCTCAGACATAAAAGAGAATGACATTTTTCTATTCTGGGGTTTTGCACATCTTGTAATTGTAAAACATACATCAATTGTGCTGTTGTTTTCAAAACAAGTGGATTGTCATAGGAATAAAAGCTGAAGACTTCACTTGCGGTAGACACTGTTCTGTAATCTTGTTTATAAATTGTTAAGTTTGTACATATAATCATATTTCCCCCACAAGAACAGCAGAAGCAATAGCAATAAATTCTCTAAAATAATAAAAGAGAGAGTATGGGGAGAGGCATATACATGTGTGTATATGTTTATATTGTACTCATATCTATTGAGCACAAAGAACAGTGTGAATATTTTACCTACCAAATCGTTACAATGTCTCAAATGAGTGGGAGTACAAGGAGTTTGGGAGATTTAATATTTTCCTTCAAGCATCTCTGTATGTTTTGACTTCTTAAGCGCTTACATTACTTTTACAAGATACAGATACCCAAAAAGCCTCCCACGTATCTCACAGTCTTCTGACTTCTTTCATGTCCTTCCCATTTGTTTGTTACTTAATAAATATTTATTGGCTGTTTTCCGTATTCCAGACATTATGCTAGATACTGAGGATGCAATATTTAAAAAAAATTGCTAACCTCATGGCATTAATAGTCTGGTAGTGAGAGACAATATGAAGTGTCATGCAGTGATAAGCAATGAGTGCTTTGGGAAAATTAGCTAGGATTAAGGAGTCAGTGGGTGGTAGGTAGGTAGTAGGTAGGAGAGGTGTGAAAGAGGTAACTCTTACATGAGCGGAGCAGGGGAAGGCAGAGAGGGCAGAAAAGGCCTCTGAGATCACGTGAGGGACCTAAGGGAAGAGGGAGAACCAGCCTGAGAACAAGGGGAAGAGTTTGCCAGGTAGAGGGAAGAGGATGTTTCAAGACCTCAAGGCTCGTTCAACAAAGGGACATCAGTGAACCCCGAGTGGCCGCGGCCGTGTGAGAAGACGGGAGTTAAAAGGATGGAGGTGTGGGCAGGGCAGGTGGTGAAGAGCCAGGGTCAGAAAATTCCCCTGACTCCCTGATTCTCCATCACCTAATGAGCTAAACATGTTCTTTATGTTTTTCAATAGATTTTTAAAAATAGTCAAAGAAGGATATTTGGTGACATGAGAAAAGAATATAAAATTCACATGCTTGTGTCCATCGAGCTTCACTGGAACATATCCATGGGCACTCATTTCTGCCTTCTTGCCACAAAGATGGAGCCCAGTAGCTGCCACAGAGACATGTGGCCACAAAGTCTCAAATATCTACTCTCTGCCCCTAAACAGAGGAGAAGCTTGCAGCTCCCGATACACAATGTCCTAGACAAACAGGACAAAATGAAAAACCACTGGAGGGGCTTGTAAAGAAGTGACTTGGCCTGACTTGCGTTTTCAAACATCACTCTGGCTGCTATGTAGAAAATAGTGTTGGGAACAAGAGCTTGACTTCTTGTACAACTGCATGTCTGTGTTGTAGCATTTTGTTCTAAAGTAATAATGTTTACTCATCCACAACTTCTAATAGATTGGTTACACACTTTGAGAATAAGCCGGGTTTTTGTTTGTTTGTTTTGATCTCAGTAAATAGAGCTCCCAGAATTCCTAAATTTAGTGGGTACTTATCGAATAATTACTAAAGAACTACTACATTCAAATCTTTTGCTGGAATTTGGCTGCAGGTAAACTTCATTTCTAGTCTCCTTTCCATGGCATTCTATTATTGTGTGTCTCTTCTTTTAATACATTTGTGAGCCTCTATCTTAGAATTATGATCCCAAATTGAATGTATAATTATCTGGCTCTGTATACATAGTACAGTAGAATTAAAAGTCCCTTTTGAACAACAGAAAGTGTTCTGGGAAATACTCATTAACTGTTGAGACTATCATCACATGAGAATAGTTCCCAAACATTTATTTCATTACTTGAGACTAGAAGAGCAAGTTGAATTGCCATAAAAGAGATTTGGTGCCGGGCGTGGTGGCTCACGCCTGTAATTCCAACACTTTGGGAGGCCGAGGCGGGCAGATCACCTAAGGTCAGGAGTTCAGAAACAGCCTGGCCAACATGGCGAAACCCCGTCTCTACTTAAAATACAAAAAAAAAACAAACAAAAAAAGCCAGTCATGGTGGTGCATGCCTGTAGTCCCAGCTACGCCGGAGGCTAAGGCACCAGAATCACTTGAACCTGGGAGGTGGAGGCTGCAGTGAGCCAAGATCACTGCACTGCACTCCAGCCTGCGCGACAGAGTGAGACTCGGTCTCAAACAAACAAAAAATAATAAAAATTTAAAAATAAAGAGATTTGGGATTAAATATAAAAGTTCCTCTTGATTTTAGAGTAACAGAACAAGAAAAGTTATTAACTATTCTTGTAGAAGGCAAAATAAAACAAGAAATCTACAGCCATGGACTCATAAATCAACCACCATAGACAAGAAAGACAAATCCTAAACAGAGGATATAAAATAAACTGTCACAATTTAGGATATGATGTTATAACATGATTAGCAAGAGTTAGTCCTGAGGAAGACAAGGAAGTGACTTCGTAAAGAAAAACAATCTGCGAAAACTCAAAGACTGGAATGTACATCTCAGAGCCCTAACCTGGGGCTTTCCACATCACCTGAAGTATTACTGATTTCTACTTCATCAAATAATAGCTGATGCTGGTTTTCTATGTCTTCTGAAGTGATTTTGATAATTGTTTTCCTAAACATTGGCCTATTTTAACTTTTCAAATATATTGGCAAAAAGTGTTGATAACCCTTCACCTTTTCTAATCTAACTGTACTCATATATTGTAATTTCATTAATATTATTTATTTTTACCTTTATTTTTGGATCAATTTTTATTAATTCTTTTCAAAATACCATATTTTCCATGTATTATTATTTCTTAGTTTCTTTGTTTTATTTCATTAATTTCTGCTTTTATCTTTATATTCTTTATAAATCTACTTCTAAAAACATTTATTCTACTATTATTTTTCTCACTTTTGGAGATAATGCCTAAATCTTCAATACTTTCCTTATTTATTGAGAATTATGTTTAGGTTCTAACAGCTACTTTGAGTGCAGGCCAAAAGATGTGTTACACAAATCTTTGTTAATACTTGAATTAGCACAAAACTCTATTTTGTCATGTTTATCTTGCTTTCTCCTGGTAACCATGCGATCTTTAAAAGTGAAATTTTGAGTTTTCAATCACTTAGAATTTTTAAAAATCTTTTCATTGATTCTGTTTAAAAAATAAAATGTGATTTAAAACACTAGATTTTTTTAGTAAGTGTTGAGATTTTCTTTGTGACATATATGGTGAAATATTGCATATAATTTGTGTATTCTTAAAAATCATATATACTTCCTTTATTGAGTGCAGAGTTGTAAACACATTGATTAGATCAAATATATTCATTATCTTTTTGAAGTCTTTCATATAACTTACTTGTATTAGTGTAAAACAATAAGTACATTTAGAGAAATGACAAGTGTTCCACAATTATCGTGGTTTGCTAGTTTCCTGTTTTAAATACGTTTTTAATTAATATATTTTAAGGGTGCATTTTTGATATCTTACAGCTTGTTATTTTATTTGAACATTTTCTTATCACCATTACGCAGTTACTCCCTTCATTATTATTAATGATTTTTATCCTAAATTATAATTGGTCTGATATTAGCTTTTTAGTAGCTTTCTTTTACTTAACACTTATCTTTTCATATTTAAAAGTTTCAACCCTCCTACATGTGTGTCTGTAGGTTTTAATTTCAAATGTTTCTTATTAGCACTATCTTGCTGGGATTTTTTCCTCAGTGTAATTCTTTTCTCGTGTTTTTTTAAATTGGTAGATTTATTCTGTTTATATTTGTTAGTTATTTTGACCCTCATATTTTGTGTTTTTCTTATACCACTTTTTTTTCACAATTCCTTTTTTCTCTTTCTTGCTTTCTATTTGATTGATAACGATTTCTGTATTTCCTTTTAATTCTCTGATGGTTTGGAAACTATGGACTGTATTTCTGTTTCCGTGAGACAGGTTCACTGTGTGCTGGTGACACTTTCAAAAACAACAAGTTACACAAAAAAGTTGATTAGGAACACACAGGCATGAAGAGACAACAGAAGCCTAGGGTGAGTGTTCCCCCACAACTCAGGAAACTGTCTGACAGGAATAGAATCTTATTTGCAATGGGCCCTATTGTGCCACAGCTGACGAACCCTGGGGAAGCCTCCGATCCTAGGCTTTTACATCGTGGGTGAAGCATGACACACTGAGCTGAAGCACTGAAGATCAACCCATTTCTAGGGGGGCTGGAACAGTGCCCGCGCTGTTCTGGCTTGTCTCCCTTATCTCAGGATGCTGCACTCCCACCGCCTCCTACAGTTATTCTTGAAAACTACAGTGAGAAATCGGGGCAAACTGGGTCTGCCCAAGGATCCCCAGAGAACCGCCCAGCCATATTCAATGCTTTCTTTTTTTTTTTTTTCCAAATCCGTAAGTTACCTGGTTTAATATCAACCTTCTAATATTTTTAAAGGCTCAGTAGGGGGTTTGCCAAATTGTATGTTTATTCCCTTTTTTATTCTGTATGTTTAATATATCCATAGTAAAACAATTACTTAAAAACAACTGAGGACTTTATGCAACGTGAGTGACAATGAATCTGAGAAGCAAAACACACATGCTGCCCCTTCCGTAGTCTCTTTACAGTCCAGGCCTCCATGTACTCAGCAACTGCAGAATGACCCTCCAGCCCCAAACAACCATATGGCCATACGTGGAGCCCCTCCATAGGGTTGTAGCCTGGGTTGGAGGGACCTGCAGTACAGTATCTGGAACTCACAGCAAGGGGCCAGGCCCAAAGCAGGAGAAAATTTGAGAAACAAGATTGCAAGAAACTGTCCAGGGAAACATGGCAAAACCTCCTCTCTACTAAAAATACAAAAAATGAGCTGGGCATGGTGATGTCTGCCTGTAGTCCCAGCTACTTGGGAGGCTGAGTGGGGAGAATCAGCTGAGACTCAGAGGTCGAGACTGCAGTGAGCTGGGATCATGCCACTGCACTTCATCCTGGGCAACCAAAGTGAGACCCTGTCTCAAAAAAAAAAAAAAAAAAAAAGAAAGGGGAAAAAAGGATTACAGGAAATTGTCCTTGCTGTTTGGGCATGTTGAAAGGGACAGTTGCTCTGACTTACGACTCCTACAGCAATACTTCTGTGAGAATTTTGCACTTTGGAAAAGAACTCCAAAGGGAAGCTGGGCTTGGAGGTCTTTTCTGCATCAAAACTTGTGAGCTATGTTGAAGTTGTTTTGGTCAGATGTTATCTTTTGCTACTTGCAGAAACAGAACAAGCCATATTTGGAGGAAATTTTCCAAAATTAGTCCACGTAAGAGCAATAAATTAAAAATGCAGCCAGGCGTGGTGGCTCACGCCTGTAATCCCAACACTTTGTGAGGCCAAGGCCAGCGGATCACCTGAGCTCAGGAGTTCGAGACCAGCCAGGCCAATATGGCGAAACCCCGTCTCTACTAAATACAAAAATTAGCCAGGTGTGGTGGCACATGCCTGTAATCTTAGCTACTCGGGAAGCTGACGGGGGATAATCGCTTGAACCCAGGAGGCGAAGGTTTCAATGAGCCAAGATCGCACCATTGCACTCCATCCTGGGCAATAGAAGAAGACTGCATCTCAAGAAAAAAAAAAAGCAAATCAAGAGCTCCCAAAACAGAAGCAACATCATCATACATGAGAGCTAGCAGAAGCAACATACAATAAATCTTGGAGTTTGCAATTATCAAACACAGAATACTACTGTAGATATACATGCACTGTTTTAAAAGGAAACATTTGCAAAAATGTAACACAGTAAGAAACTACAAAAACAAAGATATTCAAAGTGAAATTTTCAATAAAATTTTTCAAACTATAATTGAAAGTTGGCAATATTTAAAGAAATAGTAGCTACATTTTTTGACAAGTGATTAAAAATTTGAAGTCACTGATCTAGAAGGTATAATGTATTCTACAAAAGAAATAAACAAAAGGAAATCCATACCTAGACACATGGCAATAGAATTGCTAAACACAGAAGATGAAGATAAAATCTTGAAGCCACAGAAAGAAAAGCCATGTCAATTAAAGGAAATGACAGGATGACTGCAGATATTTCAACAGCGAAAACGAAAGCCAACAGACAGTCAAATAAGGTCTACTAAGATCTGGGAGAAAACACCTGTCAACCTAGAATTGTCAGTTGGCAAAATTATTTCTTACAGTTGAAGGGGAAATGGGAAGATATTTAGAGAATAAGCAAACACTGGAGAATTTAGTCTCCAAGAGAACTGTTCTAAAAAAAAAATCTTAAGAAAGAAAATTACCCCTTAACAGTCTCAAATGCAAGAAAGACCATTCATTTGAGTGACCAAATGAAATGGGAAAAAGGAACACTCCAATTACCTTATTACAGCACAACTTATATTAGAAATTATAAACAAAAATAATTTCACTCAGAAATTGAAAAACACAATCATTATAAAAAAAGAATGGATTGAAGAAGACATTTTAAAAGACTTAGGATTAAATGGTAGTGCAAGGCATTAGATAACATCTAAATAAGCGAATAATCATACCATCTACTTTGTTCATGAAATTTAAGTCTCAAAACACTAAAAATGCAAACTTTCCTCAAGCTGATCTATAGACCAACCAAAATCTCAATCTTGATTTTCCTTAAAGAAACTTAAAAAGTTAATTATTAACTGTTTTCAGGATAAAGAGAAAAAAATATCTAATATACTCCAATCAGTTATTCAATCTTATTATGATATTATGTATCATTATTATCATTACTGCTATGATAGCAGTTTTACAATCTTAACAACTTTACCTGGACACACCTGGCATTTTCTGAACACTATGAAATTTAAATGTATATTTAAATGTATATCACATTAGGTTCTACAGTAGCTGTTAAAATAGTTCTATGCTTGGTTTACCCCAAATATATGCTTAATTTTTAGAATACAAGCTAATTAGCTGCTCCTTTGCCAAAAGATAAACTGAAAGAATATGGAATAATAAGAACAGAATAAAAACTCTAAGTAACAAAATAATATTTTGGGGGCACCTCTTAAATGGAGGGAGTACAGTGTTCACGCTGGTGCTCTAAGCTGGGTGTGCGAGACAGAGCTGCTCTTGCTTTCCTGTTCTGTCATATCAGTGCATCTCTAAAGGCAACACACCATATATAAGTATGAAGTTCTGGCTTCAGACAAAACTGCATTACCCTAGGATTGACTCAGCAGGTTGGCACACTTCTGAATATATTCGCAGTGTATCCACAGAGGAAAATAATAAACTTCACTCACAAAAAGAGACACAGACTCTTGGTTATACAAATAAAGGTTCAAGATAAAGGGATTTGGGGTGGATCATAGTGTGTGTCTGTGAGATTGCCTCAATTCAGGCCCACATCTACCTATGTGGCTGAAATATGAAGGAAGTACTATAAAACCTATGGCTTTATCATCATAGAGGATCATGCATGTAAGCCGTCCACAGCATAGAGGAAGCGGCGGCACAGGGAAGGAAGCAGCCCTCCCAAGAGACGGGAACAGCAGTGCTATCTTGGTGCCGGCTTGCGAGAGTAGGCATGGTGCTAACAAAATTGGCAAAGGCTGTTGAGGCTGCAGCCACACACTCAGCACCCTGGACAGCGTCCAAACCCCAGAAACGGGTTGGCAGGGAGGCCACAACTTCAGAGACATCAGTAGCGCCACATGTGTTTTCAGAAAAATTTTGTGAGATCACCTTTGCTGGGCGGTGAAAGGGACCAGGGCATCTAAACAAGGAGTCCAAAAAACAAACACAAATGACAAAAATAACAATGATCATAAGGTCTGAGGGTTGGCTTACAATTCCTCAATGAACAGATGTATTACAGAAGACTGCCAGAATTTTTTAGGAGCAGCTTTTGGTGTGGAGGTAGGATGTGGTGGGGAGGGGATGGATTTCTCCAGGTTACAGGCAAAGCATATGAAAATCTGTCTTAATCCTGATTCCTAGTTGAACTGAGTCTTGCATAAAGCAACAAAAGATGAATTTTAACCACCTCCACTTTGACTGCATTTTCCCTCAAATTCACCATCTCCTCTTTCTTAATCCTTCCATCACAAGATTCCTTTCACAGAAAAGGTTTCCGAAAGATTATGCTACACTTATGGGTTCCAGTTGTTCACTTTTTATCCCCTATTTTCTTCTCTGAACATTGAGTTTTCATTTACCACTGCAGGAAAAACTGTACTTGATAGGGTTGTCAATTATGCCTTCTGACTGCAAAATCTTCTTGATGAGGTATACTATTACCTCATCAAGGTAACAGAATATGTCTCTTCCTCTTGGTTTTCAAGACCCCCTTACCCCACTACCTGATACTTCACTGTGCTCTTCTGGCCAGCCATTTCAGTATTTATTTCTGGCTCCTCAAACAACAGCCCATCTATTCACTTGCCAGCAAACCTACTCAGATGGTCTGTCTTCGTCCTTCTCGATATTTCTTAGCTGAGCAATACCATCCACATCCATGATTTCTACCACCACCTCCATACCAGTGACTAACACATCTGATTCCACAGACCACATCTTCTAACAATGTAAAATCCTATTTAACAACTGAAGCCACAACAATGAATGAAAATGATCTATTTCTTCATAGAATTACAGTCTGGTGTGTCAGATAAAAGACACTGGGTTAACTCCACTTCCATATCTCAAAGGTACCTCAAATGAAAGATGTAGCAATATAACTCACTGTCTCTTCCTTCAGACAATCAGACAGCATATGTTATAAATTTTAACATCTCTGTAATTCTGAAGCTGTATCTCCCTGTGCATATTCAATGCTACCACTAGTACTTTAATTCACCTGGACATCTTTTACAGCTTCCCAACTCATCAACAATTCCACCCTCTCCCAATATACTTTCTATCTTGTGATCCAATGGTGATTCTATGTCTCAAATGTGATAATTTTCGTATCTAAAATATTTTGGCAGTTTCATTGTTTCAAGACTAAACTCAATTAGATTAGCATAAAAAACACTCACATACATCTTGTATAACTTTTCCAAACATATTCCTCATTACGTTTCTGTGCAAAGCTTTTATTTCACGCAAACTAAATCACTTGCAATTTTTGTGGTGGAAAAGCAATGCCAGTATTTGTCTTTGGGTATTGTAGTCATATAGTTTAGAACTTCCCTTTCATGCCTTCTTCCTAGGTAACTCTTCTAAGTGCTTCAATATAAGTGTTGGTGTTGTCTCTTGAAAGTGTTATTCTATATTGTAGCATAGTTTGAGTTAAAGGCCCTTACTTCCTTAAAGTGATGTACTTATCTTTATTATGACAAAATCACATGGTACTCCCTGTTTCCCTAAGTAGGATATAAATAGTGTCTGATTTTCAATTATTTGTTAACTCTAGTGCTTAGCACATTAGTAAATGAATAATTGATAGATGAATTGGATGATATATTCAGAATTCTTGCTAATTCTCCAATTTCCTAATTCTTAAAATTTGAGGCCATATAAAATAATTTGTAATTCTTAAAAAAGTAGAATAAAAATCACCCTAAAATTTATTTAAAAATTCCACAACAGCACTCTAAAAAATTTAATATGACTCAAAATATTTTGGGAAAAACATTATTGTTTGTAACAGTTAGTAAGTCTCAGGTCTGAAATTAGAGAAAGGTGCATTACACTCATAAAGATCAAGTTTTTTTCTTTTTCCCCCTCAGTGATATAAACCCTTCAGATTTTATTTACCTACATTTATCTCTCAGGAAAAACCACTTCTAAATAATACTTCAAAAGAATTAAAAAATAGCCAAGTAGTCCTCTTTAGATTTTATTAACCCATACATTGCAATAAGCAGATCTTACGACTCTGTCTCTTGAGCTTCTAGGTAACATCTGGTAGTTGATGTGTCTAAGTCCTGTTACACAACATTTTCTGGCTTCTTAGTGTCATCCAAGGGATTGATGTTTGACTAGACTAACCCAATTTATTCTGCCTGCTGCTCTCATTTGTATAGGCTGCTATTAATGGACAGGCTGAAGTATGGTTGATTACAATTCACTTTTTAGTACCAAACTTTATAGTGTTGAGGTTTATATGCATATTTTCACATGTATAGTAGAGCAGTGTAATAAACATACAGATTTATACACAAATTAATCATAATCATGTTTTCTGAACAGACAGATACACTTTATAAAAAATTGTCTCATAATTTATATAGTCTAGAATTCAGGCTTCTATTTCCAAAATGGATGACATTTTTAGAAGGCTATGTAAATGTCTCTAATGCTCTTCATATTCTCAACACTCAGTTGAAAAATGGGTCATCAATTCAAGAGATGGACTGTAGTCTCCATAGTCTCCACACAGCTCTAACCTATTACTTTTGTGAATTCAACTTAAAGACTCCATATATATGTTATTTAAATTCTCTGTAATCATCGGTAGAACTGGAGGAAACTTTGACGCATCTGTATATTGATACATCCATACAAAACAGCTTTCCCAAAATATGAATCTACCGTTTTTCACTGCCAAGCTGTTTGAGTCATAGATATTTCTGACATTTAAGCACTTCACCTGGTTAAATCCTCCTACTTTAGATCTGTACTTGAATGCTAATATTTCAAGAAGACTTTCTCTGACCTCTAGGCCGTTAAGTTATTTTGCTGTATTCTCTGATATCATCCTATTTTCTCCAGTATGACCCCAAATGCTTTATTCTACTTTAATGTCACATTTCCCACTAAACTACAAGCTCTATCTTCTTCATTCTAATCTGCCCTATTTTGAACCATGCTTGCACCATAATAATTCTGAAGTAAAACTGGTTTAGTAAATGAATTCTGACTCCATTACCGTCTCTCACTAACTCCCTGTTGCTCAATGCTTTTCTGACTCTCACGACATCCCCGAACCCAACTACAGGCCTGCCACATTGCTCATACTCTCCTATTATCTCAGGTTCTCAGTAGTGGGGTGAGAACCAGAAGAGGATATGACTCAGGGATGGCATGGAATTTTTGTCGTGCATATATCCGCTGACTTTCAAAAACTGAAAAATTAATGCCTTCTTTGGGGGCCTACTAAACTAGTCTTCATTTTAAAACAACTGTGTACAACTGAAGACTCTAAACGTCCCTGCACGAAATAGCTGGTGTAGCATCCCCATACAAAACATTATTATATATCTCATTAACTAGCTCAATTTCTTTCTTGAAAATATGTATTTTCACACTTACGACTTCCACCTCTTTAACATTCCTATGATAAATTAGCAAGTCCAAAGTGAATACAACATTTTAACACCCAACCTACAAGAGACAGATATATTTTCATTTAGATACTCGTTTTATTATTTAAAGAAAGGCTTAGTTGTGTTACTTGTATTATTGTCTTGGCAGACTTTAAAATCAATACTCTGGTATTTAGAGCTTCGGACAATATTTTTGTTTAAAAAACATTTTAATATTTTAATAAAATACAACATATATGCATATTAGTGTACTGTAAAATACGTATTAATTGCAAAATAAGTTTTAACTATCCTTAAAATGATAATATTGACTATCCCTACAATAATAACAGAAAAAATTTCATAAATGACAAAACTGTAGTTTAACCAGTTACTTTTTAGAAAGAAAGGAAAAGAGACATTAAATAGGTAAAGGTTTAGAAACCAGATAATAGATTTAATGAAGGGAGTATAAGAAAATTTCACTGAAATTTAAAAAGAACACAGAAAAACATATCTGGGGCAAACAGCAATTTCATTTTTAAATTATGTGACACTTAAGAAAGTTAATCAACTATTCTGAATATTAATTACTATATATAATATAAAAGCAATGAAAATCATGTAGTAATCTATTTCACAACACTATTACTCAGATCAAAGTCATGTTGGAGCTACAGGAAATTTATGTTTATAATTACTTAATTCATTTATGTATTTTTAGTTCTTCAGTCATCTTCAACTTTCTCTCGGAATGGGCGAATAATAATACGCTCTCTTCAGCTTTTACTGTTTGATTGTTTGAGCAAAATGTGTTAAATACATGTTAATTCCCAGTCCATGGCGATAAGAAACTAAAGCAAAACTCCTCAGCTGAAGAATTCACAATATTTTGGGGAGAGTGGAGACTATTATAATAAAAAGATTGTAATACAAGAATAAATTATCGAAAAAGATTATATAATTATAATCTTTTAATATCATATATAAAATAACATTTAAAATAATATATTACATAAAACAATATAATTTAACACAATATTACATAAAATATAATATTATATTAAAAGATTATAATACAAGAAGTCCCTCACATAGGAGAATGGTGAGGAAAGGAATCCTGGGGAAAATTGAACCTTCATCTGGGTTTCAAGGTAGGAGTTCTAATTTACTAAGTCCGAATATGTGGCAAACTTTCTCCAGAAAGATTGAGCAAACAGCATTTTCAAGGGCACAAATCGTGGTGCACCTGGAGATCAGCATGTGTGCTTCAAGATGGTGTTAGATCAACGTTCTGGGCACCACAGCATCCAGAGATGAGATGATGGAGAAGGAGAGATCACGAAACACTCTGTAGATCCTGCTAAGGAGTTTGCCTTTTATTCTGGAGGCAAAGAGGTAATTAAAGAAGTTTAATTAGACCAGTATATGATCAGGCATGAATTGTAGGAAGTCCACTTTAACAGCTGTTTGGGTAATACAGGAGGAGCAAATCCAAAGTAGGAATACAAGTTAAAACTCCTGTTTATTCTATTCTAGTAACTCAGGTATGAAATTAGGAAAGCCTGAATTAGTGCTGAGGTAGAAAGCTAAGACATAGATTCAAGGAATAATTAGAAAGCCTTTCTGAAGGATGTAGAGGTGAAATGAGAAGGAAGAATGATGGGTATTTCTACGGTTTATTGTTTGGTGAGCCCGAAGTTGGCAGAACCATTACTCCAAATATAAATGCAGAACAAAAGCATTACCTTCTTGCAAAAATATTGATATTCTTAAATTTGAGGAAGAAATGGGACATTCAAGTAAAAACTGCAGTAACTGTAGAAATAAATGGGTGAGAAGAAAATTATATTTCATGTATATTCTTCCACGTGTCGACACTATAACTAATGTTTGGAAAACACATATGATTTATGGTTACTTCCTTAGAAATCCCACAGGGTCGTGAGAGGAAAACAAATAAATACGTAAAGAGATAATTACAACACAGTGTGAGAGGGCAACAAGAAACATGCATATCTCTTACAGTGATAACACTGAGACGGGGCAGCTTCTTGGCCTTGACGTAGGAAGAGGGAAGGGGTAAAAGGAACGGAATGACTCAAGGAGTAGTATTCAGGGAAAATTCATAAAAGACAGAATTTCTCAAGTAGGCCATCTTCCAGTACTTGGATTTGAGCACAGCCCATGCTGTAGACTCACCGCCTTCTTTTAGAGCCCAGACGTGCCCTGCTGCTTCTCACCTCTGAGCAAAAATTTTGCACAGGCTGTTTCCACTGCCCAGGGTGCTCCCCCTTTCTCTGCCAGCCCGTGATCCACCATTCTTCTGCGTGGTTGACTTCCATCAACCTATCAACCTCAACTTGAAGTCTCTTTTTCAGGGAAGTCTTATACTTATCTCATAAGTTAGTTCAGGTACACTTGTCATACTCTCCTTATACATTTTCTTCTTCTCCTTTACCCCACTTATTGTAACTTTAATTAATGATTTAAATATGTGACTTAATATTTCTAACTGAGGTTCTTAAGACTGAGGTCCACATTGGTCTGGATATTCACCGTGTTCCCAGTACCTAGTACAGTAGAAGCTTACATAGAACAAGTACATAATATTTATCTGATTAATAAATGTATAAATAAATGAACGAGTTAAGAAGGACATCACAGGCAGGATAAACATAAACCAAAGCACAGAATATTTATATTGCAAATCGTTTTGCATGAATGGAGGACTTGTTTCAGAGGGAGGATACTGAAGGAAGGCTGGTTGTACAGACAGGGATGAGAGTGTTAAAGCCCTTGATTGTCATGGTAAGAAACGGTATACTAAGCTACTGAGCAATTTTAATCCGGGGATGGATACAATCAGATTTTTGTTTCGTGTATCTCGGATCTAACTCTGCTACATCAATAGAAAAGATGTTTGAAAGAAAGGAGATAGCTATTAAATTTGATCAGGTGAGATACTGGGTACAAAAACAAATGTAATGCCTGTAGGAATGGAGAAAAGGAAAAGCACATGAGAAGTTTTAGAATGCAGATCCCCCAGGAATCCGTGATTGACTGAAGATAGAAGGAAAAGGATAAGTCAAATATGTCTCGTGTGATGTGGACTTGAATTTCCGTGTAAATATTGTGCTAATCTTCAATAAATCAAGATGTATTATTGTTCAACAGAATAATAATATTCTATTGTTCACAAGAGAATATTGTGCTATTGTTCAATAAACAGGAAAAAACTTGTGCTTGGGGTATTTTTCAGAATGTGGCATTCATTTGGGGATCTGGGGCAAATGAGCGCAAGTTTGGACATCATAAACATGTGCAGGGTACATCTAGGGAATTCCTGGTACATAGCTCTGAATTCTGAATTGAATTTCCATAGAAAATGCAGTAAGATAAATAAGCGAATGCCAAGTGGTCTGGATATAAGAAAAAGTAATCATTGCATTGGTCAGTAAAATAAAAACTGAGTCAAAGTATTATTCTTCCTTACGGTGACAATATCTGTGACTAAACCTAATTAATCATTTTGATTTTCATAGGACGAACTGCACAGAAGTTAACAGCAACGGTTTAGAGTCAGACAACACAAGATGGAAATTTTTAGGCTGCAATTTTTAAAGTGGCTGATTTTTGGTCAAAGTTTCTTAGCTTTCCCAAGCTTCTATTTTCTTAATTATAATATAGGAATATAGTTATATATGTAACTGATTTACTGAACTTATCTCTATGGTATTCAAAGAATAATAATATTACTTTATTTCCAATTATATGCTCTGGCTAATGTAGAATTTCCTTTTCCTTGTCCTTGAATGAGAGCTTGGGGGGATCCTATAGATTTTCAGTTCTTAAAAAACAAACACCACCACCAACAAAAACCTTTTAGGACTCACTTTCTGATAGTAAAGCTGCGTAAGAGCCAACAGCCACACAAAACATTCTCCCTCCCCATCACCATCCTCTATGACAGGTATCTCTACAATAGCTACACAAAACATTCTCCGTCCCCATCACCATCCCCTATGACAGGTATCTCTACAATAGCCACACAAAACATTCTCCCTCCCCATCACCATCCCCTATGACAGGTATCTCTACAATAGCCACACAAAACATTCTCCGTCCCCATCACCATCCCCTATGACAGGTATCTCTATGAGAGACCTACAGAAAGAAAAAGGAAACAAGCCTGTCCTCCTTCTTCCTGGTTCCCTCACCCCTCTCATCTTCTGCAACTCCCTAGCTAAGAAAGAGGTTAAAGACAAAGGAGAAAAAGTTTGTACCTTTAGCTGGTGATATCTGTGGTTAACTCTAGGCTTCAGATGAATACATTGTGAGTGGCAGGTATTTACATCACGGTTCTCACTCAGAGGACATAGTTATGTGAGCACTTTGGACTCCTTCCTGACCAATTCTCTTTGACTGACATCTTAAGATGAGTCTTGTGACATCTCTAGGTTTCATCTCCCTGATATGCCACCTGGATGGGCAGGTTCTTTCAAGATGGTTTCAGCAGTGACCACTTGGCTTGTAGGTAACTTATACATTATTGTTAAACCAAGAGGTGGTAGTACAGGCTTGACTTAGTGCTTCCTGCACACTTCTACTGTCATCCCAGGCTCCTCCGCCCAGACTCCAGCCTGTGAAATTTTTCTAGTAAGAAGTGGGCACCATTCCCTTTGCTTGTATGCTTCTAAACCCTAAGGCATGAACTCTCTTGTTGCACTGTTCCAGTGCATCTTGGTGCTACTGGTTCTCTTAGAGAATCCCTAGCCAGGATAAAAATGCTTCTACTCTAAGACTTTGTAAATTTCAGTTTTCCATTTAATAAAGCCTATTGGAAAGTTAAAAGTTAAATATGAAGCACAAACTCATTTACTTAAATTTTATTCAACAATTGTCTTTAGAATTTTAGGAAGTTTTTTTATTTACCTATTTCTCTCAACCGTAAAGTTTTCATTAAAATTTTGGAGCAACAGGGAAAATTAAACTCTGCTATACTCATGATAATTATTCATCCTTCAGGATTGTTTTAGAAGCTAAAACAGATAAAGCATAAATGATCTAAAAAGATTTTGCCCGTTGTTATTATTATTTTCCTACTGTACCACTAAGCATTCACAACCGCTTGACCTTTAACAAATTTAAACTGTTGCTTAATGTCAAAAGAAAGTTAATAAAATAAATGATCAATTTTTTTATCCCAAGGCTGTTGTTAAGAACTGGGTATCAAGGAGAAACTCTACTGAGTATGAAATGAAGAATCTGAATCCCAGTATGAGTAAAAAGAAGCAAGAAGAATTTAAAGTTATAAAGAGTGGGTTTGGATATTAGCTCTCCAGTTATTAGTTGTATCAATGTGCATAAGCCACTTAACTACTCCAAAATTTGAATGATTCATCTATACAACAGGAACACAGGAAAAACGATACAATTTTGTTTTGAAAAATCAAGGGATAAATGTTCTTAAAAGCAGTTTTAATGGAACAGTGAACAATTTTACAATTTTAAAACACTGAAGCTGCAACACTCTTGGATGACAGAAAGTTCTATGCATCTCTTTGAGAACTGGAGGTTTAAGTGCCTAAAGGACTCCTAAGGTCACATGGACAAGTTCTTGATCCAGGGCCTATCAGAACATGGGCTTTGAAGGTGAGATAACTTTCTCTTATTTCAATAAAACTCATTTGCCTCTAAAATGCCTATTTCTTTTAACTGTTGTCACATGAAAGGTGCAGACACCCTCCCTAAGGTATAGATAGAGTGTAAATAGAGTAATATCTACATGAAAGGAACAGAAAAATGGGAAGAGGCAAACTTTTCCTGTGATCCAAATTTTCAAGCATGTTTAAGACATGTTATAAGTTTTTTGTCCTAAATTTAACCACAGCCCTTTGTATTTACCATAATTATATTTTCTGTTTGTCTGCTACTCCTGGAGAAGAGGGACAGACTTTTTATCCATTGCTTCCAGTGCCTAATATACAGTAGGTACTCAATGAACATCCAGTTAATAAATGCATGAACTATAGGAGCTAAAGAACGCTGCGATGCTGTTGGTCAGTTGTTTCTGCCTCTCTGTAGCTTGTCTTATAGTCTAGAAGTATATCCTCCACATTTAATTCCTTTGAAAACAGTATGGTTTTCAGTCTTTGTGAATCCTCATTTAAAATGCAGACTGCCCTAGCTGGAGTGAATAAAAGTCCTCATTATGTAAAATTCCTCATCAGTAAGGATTGGTTGACAGGGACATTCTCCAGTGAGGACACTAGCTCAGAATAATGTCTGCATGATTGAGACACCAGATAAGATTCTGAGGTGAGAACTGAGGAAAAGGAAAGCCTGGCAGACAAGTGAGGAAGTGCAGAAATGGAAGCTACCCACGGGCTCACCACAGTTCCTCCTTTCCATTTGCTACATGCGGGCAGTTAGGTGACCTAGCCCAGAAGCTATCATCCACATGATCAGAGCACTAATTAAAGGCAAACAAACACTGCAACAAACAAATCGCTGAGTGCCAGTCAAGTATCTCACATTTCAAGCATCATCCTTCCAACGATATGAGCAATAGGAGGGCAATTACTGAGGGTGATTTATAAAGATCTTAAAAAGCCTGTTAGTAGCCTAGAGAAATTTTCCACAAATCATGCATTATATAACCCAACAGGAAATTTGAATTTGCTCCAACAGGAAATTCAGAGATTTTTTTTTTTAAAAAGAAAGAACTTCTTGGAAATTATATTCTTAGACTTAACCAACCATTCAGATAAAAGATTGTGGCTAACTGAAGTTTAAAGTAAGGTGAAGTAGGGTAAATTTCCTAGTGAGACCAGTCAATGTTTGTTTTAGGGATTCAGGTAGAGTGACTGATATTAGAAATGATCACAATAGTACAGTAAAGAAAATCTTAGTACACACTAAGCAGAACAGGTGAACGTCAACTATCAGATAGTTAAATGTAAGGCTGTTAACTACCATTTGCAGAGTCCCACTAACCCATGTAGTCTTGAGCACTCTTCTACATAATTTTCAAAAGAGGGAGTTCTTTCCTTGCCCCTATTAGCAGCACAAGCCTCAAGAACAACAGCTGTTTATTTAACTGCCAAGTTTCTGTTTTGGTGACTACTCTTCTTCTAGCTGCTGTTTTGGTCTTCAGGGGAATGGAGAGGAGGAAGCTGAAGCCAGGCTGATGGCCAGACTGTGTTTAAAAAATATATTTAGGAAATGTGTTTTTTGGTATTTGAAGTAATTACCTAACCCAGGTTCTTGAGAAGCTTGAACAAAATTTGCATTGTGGATCAATGACTTTGCTATTATATTTGTGTTTTCTGAGATGGCAGGATGAAATGGTTTCTGAGACCAGTCTATAAACAGGTCCACGGTGAGAGAAGAAGCTGCACAGGATCCTTTCGAACAGGTTACACTTACAGAATCTTATTTAATCCTTGAGAAATTGGATCAAGCAGTATAACGAGCAATTGGCAGAGAAATCAAGCTCAGAAAGGCCATTTTGGCCGGGTGCGGTGGCTCACGTCTGCAACCCCAACACTTTGGGAGGCTGAGGCGGGTGGATCACCTGAGGTCAGGAGTTTGAGACCAGTCTGGCCAACATGGTAAAACCCCCATCTCTACTGAAAATGAAATAATCAGCCGGGCATGGTAGTGTGCGCCTGTAGTCCCAGCTACTCAGGAGGCTGAGGCAAGAGAATTGCTTGAGCCCTGAAGGCGGAGGTTGCAGTGAGCTGAGATTGTGCCACTGCTCTCCAGCCTGGGAGACAGAGTGAGACTCTACCTCAACAAAAAAAAAAAAAAAAAAAAAGTCACTTTATTCTCACTGATGGAGCATGCCCGAAATGGAACAATCACAGGTCCATCTTGCTTTCCAAATCTGCTTTCCTTTATCTGCTGTGTTTGTTTTACTGTGTCACATGCTCTGCCACCTGCCAGCAACAACTACACCAAGGGCTTGTGCCACCTTGAAATTCATGGCCAAGGAAATGTGACTAAGAAAAAAGACATTTAGCTCTTTCTGAAATTTTATGAAAAGGTAAAGCTGAATGATGCTATTTTTCCACTTAGTAAAACAAATAAATAAAATGTATACAGAAGTTTCCTGAGAGGGAGGGAAGATACTGCACTGTATTTGCAACTTTTCTGTAAGTTTAATATTATTTCAAAATTAATTGTTTTAAGGTATGCAAAAATGCAGAGTAGTGCCTGTGGGGGGAAATGTTCAAAATAAAGAAGGCTGAAGTCAATTATTACCTCAGTATTTGAAACTGTTATTCATTTTTTTCCACTAGTTGACAACACATCGATTGAGGGAATTATTTTCCTGTTGTAAATATTATATATTATATGTATACACATGTATGACAACAAAGAATATTATTGTTACGAGTTTCGAATAAACTCATGGGATATAATTTATAAGCACTGTTATTGCTAATATTGATTATTATTTTTGATGGCTAATATGGCGATGGTGATGATGATGATGATGATGCCACCAATGATGAAGTCAATAATACCATAATTAAGGTTTTGTAAATCCAGGGGAAATTTTTGCTTAAATCATGATATAGGGACAATTATTAATGTTGTATCAAAGATGTTAAGAGCATAAAGCAAAGATAAATTCTAGAATCACCGAGAACAACTGAAATCATCCCAATAGAATCACAAAGATTGAACAAATTGGTGTCTTTGAGAAGTTAAGCCTGAAGCCAATAGGCATTTACTTGTTGACAATGGGATAGCTCAACATGTAAAAATCTCAGCTTTGCTAGAGAGATGAATCTGGGTTCTTCATTTAAACATTTTAAGTCTTTTAATCCCAAATAAGGATGGCAATAATACGTCATAGGTATAGCACACCTCATAGGTATAGCATACCTCATAGGTATGCTATAAACTAAAATGAAACAATGCGTACAAAGTGCTTTGAACAATACTTGGCATATAATAAGAGCTCAATAATTCATTACTTTTATTAAGATGAATTTCTTATAACGGCATTTTTAGAAAGCAGAAATCACTGCCTCATTATACCATTATTTCACTTGAATTAATTTTGAGTACCTAATTTATCACATATTATTCTGCTGGAAAATTTTATGGGGAAATTTGGGAGGGGATGTTTTAATCTAATAAAGAAAACCAAACATGCTTGATAAGAAAGAAGTTATTTTTGTAAACATGTAGGAATATGTATCAAAAATGCTTTCCAAAATATTTTACCCGTTCTTATGCCGATCACTTAAATTGTAGTCAACGGTCATTAATATTGTTAACTTTACTGTGCTATGGCTTGCAATTGCAATTAGTGTAAATCCTAGCAGAGAGAATCAAACAACAGATAGAGGAGTAAAGCAAATATTGTCTAAATGACAAGGAAATAACGAATAGAAAAAAAGTTACTCTTTTCTCTACCACCCTCCTTTTTAAAAGCTGAACCAAATGTATTTCCTCAAATCTTGCAGGACATCTGAAATCATCCTGATAATAGAGATACTATGATATTTTCAAAAGTAGGTAGAAATAAATGAGGCCATTCCTAAAAGGAAGCATGACAAAGTTATACCGGAAAAAAAATGAACTACTAAACCCAATATTAGTACATGATCTGGTCATTTCATATGCGGTGTAGCTCATGTGTACCCTTGTGCCTTTCAGAAATAGACCAAGAAAGCTCCTTTTTTGGTAACCAGCCTCAGGAAAGTAGCTACCGCCATAATTCAGAAAAAAACGTCCCTCTGTAGGAGAAAGCTTCAAGCATGGGACAAAAGAAAAACTCTTCCCTTACCTTAAAATATAAAGCGTATTTTTAGGGTCAGTCTACCTATCCCGCCAAAAAACTGGTGCCAATTGGTAACTCGCTAAGATTGTTTGTAAGATAAGAGGCTAGGACTGAATAAAATGTAAAATTCCAAAATACACAACACCGTGTTCTAATTTGCTTAGATAAGCGTATTAGCTCAAACTCATATAATGTTCTATTTTAATATGCGGATGTCTCAGTAGTTGCAGTTTTGTACTTAGTTCTCCAACAAGCTCCTCTCTCCACCTTTTCTGGTCACTATTCTCTGTTTCAGTTCTAAATATCTGACATGCTCACAAAGGTATCTCATTGTTACGTCTCTTGAAACGTCTTTAAAAGCAAACAGAACATTCTTTTATTTTTCCAGCAAAATATATGACATTAACCAACCACCAAATTACTAAGAACAGCAGCCACAGTCGTTTCTACTTCTCTTTCTCAACACACAGACTTCATCTCACCAAATTTTATTGATACCAAGTTTCTTCTTTCACTACATTGTCACAGACACTACTGTAAGATTGCTTCTAACACTTTCTTATTGCATCATTTTTAATTGTATTTTAATCGTCTTATTTTTCTGTTCCTTTGTTCTCTCTCTGCTCAATCATCCACATTCTGATACATCGCACTCTTCCAATGGAGGTCTCAAACATCACTATTCAATTTAAAACATTAATATACTTCCCACACTTTCTAAAATTGTCTGTGAATCACTGGCATGATTTCCAGAGTTGTTCGCAATCTGAATCAGACTTCAGTCTTACCTAACCTCCTCTCCTTTCAAAGTTACACACCTACTTTTCAAATGGTCTTGTCTACCAGATACGCATGAACAGATTTTTTCGTATCTGGCGTCTCACTCATTCTACATGCTTTATTTCATTTTATTCATTTATTCATTCGTTGACTCATTTAGATAGTCATTCAGGTAAATTTCATTAAGCATCAGTTGTGGCTAAACACTGATGAGGCACTGGAAATTTAAAGATGTAAACCGAGGTTGTTGGGTTTTGTTTGTTTTTTTGTTTTCAGGAAGCTTGGTGTCCATATAGAGAAAGAATGTTTGATTGCAGTGCACTTCACAAGGGTGTGATGGAGCTGTGGCTACGTGAGCACGTCACACACCTCATCCATCCTGAGGACACAGTGAGGGCTCTGTGGGAAGCAGCACTGAAGCGCAGGTCTTAACGTGACATCAAGTGTTACCCACTTCTCCTCCAGGTGCACCCCACATTACGCACATGCCATGGCGCTCACCAAACTGGGTATAAACACACTGTAAGCTCAAGAGCAGATGCTGCATCTCAACCATTCTAACATCTCAACATTTTGTATACAGTAATAATTTAATGACCAAGTATGGGTTAATAACCTGTTGTTGAATGAATCTGTGAAATGATGAAGCAGAGGTTTCAATGTGATCTCATGTGACCACCTGTGAAGTAATATAAGTAGCCTGACTGTATCATTAGGGAGAAAAATCCGTAATGCTATCTGTCAAGTGCTGATCCCATGAGAAATCTGGAGCTCTGAGAGATTAAGTCGATTGCTGCTTCTCAAAGTCATAGCCAGAAAGTGGCTGAGCCAGAATTCCACCTCAGACAACCTAGCACTGTAGTCCATGTTTAACTATGTTTCATGCAACTATTGTATATATAACATATACAGTATAGAAAAATAAATGATATATGATAGTAATATTTAATATTATATGAAACTAAAAATCTAAGTTTATACAAATATGAAAAACTGAAGACCTACACAAATAGACCACAACAATGATTTGGCATCTGGTCAGTATGTCTCAAAACAACCGAGCATCATGTAACATATTTTAATGGCAAAACTCAAACAAAATTATTTTTAGTGGAATGTGTATAGTGAAGTATGGCCTCAAATGATTAGTAATATTTTTCCCTTCTGGGGAAGTATAGGTTACAGGAAAATAACTTCAAACCATTGAGAAACTTTTCTAGAACATGGTATAAAAGAATATTTCATCCAAACCATACACTAAATGTGAGATATTGCAAACAACAGAGCAAATCACATGTTTATAATCATATTGTCTTAAATTAAGAGTTGGCCCTTATGGCGTATTACTTTGCAGTCTAGAAGAGAATATATACATTGTTGTTAGAATAGAAAGCTATTTCCAATTCAAGCTAGAGACTGAAAAGTCTAGCACAATGAACATAAATGTCAGTGCCAGCAAGTTTAACAGGAAACTAAATACCCTGTCTATTCGTATAATCACTACATATCTCCTACGCTGAAGGCTCATAAACAGTTCAGATAGAAACTGTATCTGGATTTTTTTCCAGAAAATGTGAGAGCAAACCAAAAAAATAAAGATTGGGGCTGACTGGGTCAAAAGATACAATGTTGATTCAGAGCCAAGAGGAGCAAGCAGGAGACCACGGAAGAGGCACAGCCTAGGAGTTGTCAATAAAAGAGATGCGGCCAGGCGCTGTGGCTCACACCTGGAATCCCAGCATCTTGGGAGGGCAAGGTGGGTGGATCACGAGGTCAGGAGTTCAAGACCAGCCTGGCCAATATGGTGAAATCCCGTCTCTACTAAAAAAATTAAAAAATTAGCTGGGCATGGTGGCGTGCTCTTGTAGTCCCAGCTACTGGGGAGGCTGAGGCAGGAGAATCGCTTGAACCTGGGAGGCGGAGGTTGCAGTGAACCAAGATCGTGCCACTGCACTCCAGCCTGGGCAATGGAGTGAGACTTCATCTCAAAAAAAAAAAAAAAAAAAAAAAAAAAAAAGAAGATGCATAGCCCCTGCTTATGTAAGTGAAAGAAAGAATAAAATGGACAAAATTGAAATAATGTCAAAGGTAAAACACTTATAAACAGAAAATAAGCATATTTGTATTTTTTTATAATCTTTTTTTATTTAAAATTGAGACGCAGATATTACTTAAGGATGATTATTAGGAGAAAGTCGTGTGCACGTGCAAAAAAGCTAGAAATAATTTTCCCACCAGTTAACCTATTATTTACAACAGCAGATCTCTGAAAGACCAGTTCATTTTATGCCCATGGAAATTCTCTCTGTTTTAGATCTTACTTATCATTGCCATGGCAACCCTCATCTGTGCCTTCCTATTTCATCGGGACAGCCACTGACCATTCCACAAATTCTACTTTGTTTGCGCGCCAAATTTGCCAAAGGAAGTACGCATTCCTTTCAGACTGCATGGGCAAGCAAAACGGAAGTTGGAGAATGTTTTAAGGTTGCACTGGTTTTTGTTATCACACCTGTAAAACTGCATTTCTCTCTGAATTACTTACAGAAAACTCTTGGGGCTTTGAAGTGCAAATTTCTGAAGAAAAGTTCCCAGGGAATAGAACAGTCTTCTGATTTGGGGTATGATGAATAGAAAACAGAAGAGAAGTGACATATTTATGACTAATATATCCTCCTGCTTTAAAAAGTCAGCTATAGTTCTTTCGTGGGCACATGCCCTGCTGATTGTGAACAGTCATACTTTAGTGTAATCACTCTGTGATTCTTGGGGTAGTATAGTGGAAGTGAGGTGTCTGAAGGTAGCTGGAAAGGGAAAATGCCATGAGGACACATTGAAGCTGAATTTCAAGCAAGTCAGCAGAGCTGTGGAATGGTGGGAAGCGAGCCAGCTGAGCAAGTGAGAACAGACAGCATAGCTCTTTTGAAGCAAAGGCATCAGGCAAATATGCCATGAAGAGGCAGAGCCTTAAAGAGTGCCAGGTTCTACAAATAGCTATTATTGCCACAAACAAAAACACCACTGTCCCATGCACATCTTTGGGAAGGATTGCAAGTTATTCTGTTGGGGTTTTAGCCATATTTATGCATAAAAATGGCATTCATATAAAATCAGATGATATAAAAAGATATACACATACAGTTATCTAGATATAGATTTTTAATCTAAGTGTAGGAAAGTCCAGAACGGAGAACTGTGTATCCTGCATTTGGTGCATTTGGAACGAAGGTATTTTCAAAGTTTGGACTGGTAGACCCAAATTATTATGTTCTCCATCCATCCACCAGTAAAACCTTACATTGTTTATTTACATTCTGTATCACTCCTCAAAGTGATATGAAGGCTGAAATGTATCTCACTGAGGTAAAATCACAGTTTTAGCAGAGCTGTGTTCCTTACTACAGGCCCTAGGGGAGAATGTTTCCATTGCCTTTTTCAGGATCAAGAGACTTCCCACATTCCAGGGCTAATGGGCCTTTCCATATTCAAAGCCAACAGAGATAATTTGAGTCTTTTTCACATTGTGCCTTCTGGCACTGACACTTCTACTTCCCTGTTCCATATTGAAGGCTGCCTATATTACACTAAGCCCTCCCAGAAAAGCCAGGATAATGTCCCTATCATCAAGTCAACTTGATGGCGACATTAATTTCCTTTTGCCATGTAACATAACATATTCACAGGCTCCAGACTCAAAATGCAGACACCATTATGTGTCATTTTTCTTCCTACCAATCCTAAATCTGGCCACCAAGATTCATATCAACCCCACAGATGAAATAAATTCACCCATCCCATGTTGCCCAAAAGTCTCAACAGCATCAACTCAAAGTCCAAATTTCATCAGCTCAAAAGTCCCACATCACACCATCTACATCATTAAAATCAGGTATGAGTGAGGGTCTGGGCATGATCCACTCTGAGACACAATTTCTCTCCATCGTTGAGCCATAAAATTCAAGAAATATGTTACCGGCTCCAAAAACACAATGGTAGGGCAGGCAAACAATAACATCTATGGATATTCCTGCTCAAAATAAGAAAAAGTAGAAGAATTTAAAAAAGAAAGAAAGAAATTCACCAGTTCCAAGCAGTTGTGAAATACAGTTGACAAATTCCAGTTGGTTTCAAGGGCTGAGACTGTACTCTGTCATTTGAGCTCTACCTTCTGGACTTAACTCCCCACCCTGTGGACTTGAGGTTTCTGCCTCCTGAGTCAGCCTACTGACACAGTAGCACACCTGCAGCTGAATAGTTACATAAGAATGTTTCTTGCTTGTAGGCATTTGAAAGTTCTGACGCCCTTTTTCCATTTCAATCTTTATATCTGTCTCCTTTAGTTCAAGATGGCAACCTTTATGCTGATGGAACATTCTCAAGAACCATGTGTGTCTCCTGTGTATGTCCTCAGATTCACTCCATTAGCCAAAGATTTTCTTCATAGAATTTTTTTTCTAGATAATCTCATCCTATTTTTGGATTCTGCTGAGATGACTGACTGAAGAGCTTTATGAGTCACACTCCTAATCATTTCAAAGAGCCTTTTGTGAGACTGAATTCTCTGATCTTTTGATCTTTCTAGGGGATCAGCAAAAAGTTGTCCAGCTCAGTTTATTCTCTAAGGCATGCTTTTCCAATCTCATCCAAGGGGCTTACATTTTAATTGACAATAAATTCCTTAAAGTTAAATATCCAAGTTAATTGCATAATGTTCTGCTTTTTTATTTATCCATATAACTCCAGGATATAATTCTACTAAGCTTTGTGATTCAACATAACAGATATACCCTTTCCGTCGGTTTCCAAACACATATTCCATTTTCTGTTGAGCTGTCGTCATCAGCACCTATAAACTTCATACTTCCACAAATAGTCTGTTGATGAAGATTTAGGTATTCTTTAAGACATGCATGTTTTCTCTACCATGCTTCTCACTTCCTTCTGTGTCCTTGTGCCAGAGTCAGTAAGATTCATATTTCTACTAACAGTAAGTTTAAGGCAATATAGACGTTTTTCTAACATGCTTCTCAAAATTCTTCCAGCTTTTGCCAACTGCCTAATTCCAAAACTATTTCCAAATTTTAAGGTTTTTATTTATTTATTTTACTGTAGCACTTCACTTTTAGGAAATAAAATCAAGTATTTGTTTCTTATTTGTTGCTTTAACAATTACCACAACTTAGAACCTTAATAAACAACAGGAATTTATCTCTGGTTCTGATGTCAGAAATCTGAATGGGTCTCACTGGCCTAAAAATCAAGGCATTTGCAGGGCTGTGTTCCTTTCCTTGGAGGCTGCAGGAGACAAGTCATACCTGGTCTTTTCCGTTCTAGAAGCTGTCCACATTCTTTGGCTTGCTGCCACTTCATCCATCTTCAAAGCCCACAATAGCAGCTGGAGTGTTTCTTACATCCCATCACCCGATCCTGACCCTACTGCCTCCTTCGTTACATACTGAGAAAGCCTTGTAATTACACTGGGTCCTCCCAGATAATCCAAGATAATCTCCCTTTATTAAAGTCAGCTTATTAGCATTATTAATACAACTTTCCACCTTCACATCTCTTTGCCATAGAACTTGACATATTCATAGATTGCAGAAATTAGGACATAGACATCTTGTGGGGAGGGTATATTATCTGGCTACTATACATGGCTTCTAGTTTTTAACAGACTATGAACTCACTGTATGAAAGCTAGGGTCTTGCAGATACTATATTTCTACAGTGTTAGCATAGTGGATCAATAAACAGTTGTTAAATAAGTGTAGGTGGCTAATATCACCTAGTAGAAATCAAGGTCTTCTGTGCATTCACTTTAAGAATATTAACATGAGTTATACTCAAGTAGTTGTAATGGCATGCAAATTATAAAATATAATAGGAAAAATGTTTTGGTCTAGACAAAGAACACTATGGGTTGTTTATAATTCCTTGATTTAGTTTTCAAATAATTAAATAAAAATAAGCCTCAAATTGTCTGCAAATTGTTATGAAAGGAAATGTTTAGGAGAATAAATAGACTCGTCAATATTTTCTTAGGAAAAATATACAGGGCTTTAGTAATTTGAAAAGCATGTTTCTTGAATACAATAATGAGTTAAATGTTAGTCAGAGATTTCAGAAGATTTTACCAAGAAGCCCAGTAACTAAAGACATTGAGATGCATGAAAGTTCAAAATGGAGATTGAGTGTAAGAATTATTTATTTGTTTTGTTTTTGTCATGTTTCTTGAGTTTTTCTCTTGTCAAGTGATACAATTTATCTTTAGGGAAATTTAGTGAGGGGTGTGGGTGCTGGTCATTTGATGATGGGATTCGACATAGAGGTAACCTTAGGACTGACCCAAGCAAGGCCTCTACCATTCCATAAAACAACATTTTGTAGATTAGCCAACAGTCCCACTTCTGGATGGAGCCCTGCTCTGGGGAATCTGAATGTGCATGGAACGAGCTCATTTCTGTGCTGCAACTGAGTGTCTTTCCTGTGTACTGCTGGGATCAGCAGCCCTGAATAGAGGGATGGAGTGGGAGGTGAGCGAAAGGAACCGGCATCACAGGAAAAACCCAAAGAAACCTGGGTGTTAGGGAGCAGGAAAATTCGTGGGAGATCGGCCGGGCATGGTGGCTCACGCCTGTAATCCCACCACTTTGGGAAGCCCAGGCTGGCGGATCACCTGAGGTCGGGAGTTCGAGACCAGCCTGATCAACGTGGAGAAACCCTGTCTCTACTAAAAATACAAAATTAGCCTGGCGTGGTGGCGCATGCTTGTAATCCCAGCAACTAGGGAGGCTGAGGCAGGAGAATTATGTGAACCCGGGAGAAGGAGGTTGTGGTGAGCTGAGATTGCACCACTGCACTCCAGCCTGGGCAACAAGAGCGAAACTCCCTCAAAACAAAAAAAGAAAAAAGAAAGAAAGAAAACAAAATTCGTGGGAGATCTAGGAGAAATAAACTAAAGTTTTCCCCTTGAGTATTTAACATGTGAGCCACAAGTTTCAACTAATGAGAGCACGGTACACACAGAAGACTATGTCAGTAATAATAGGTATTTGAGAAGAACAGGAAATGAATCATGCACTTTAGGCTCAGATGGGTTGAGAAGGCACAATTTTACAATTGAGGTAGAAGGAGAGACGAAAAACCATCCTTTCTTTGGACATTGCGAGTGGAAAAACATTTCAAACAACATGGAGAAGATGAATTTTAAAATCATGTATCAGTTAATGGTGAAACGCGGGTGATATATATAGTATTATCCCTTAATTAAATTTCTTAATATAACCGTACTAAAATTACTTGCAATATGTGATGTAATTAAAGTTATAATCTCAACACTTTGTAGAAGGTGTATCAGCACCGTGCTTATATAACTGATACACAAGTAGTAATTTAATATTTACAGAGTACCTGAACCCAGGCCACACATTTTCTCTAGCACTCTGCTCTCTTGATTTTTAAGTAGAAAGGTTGAAGGAAATAAATTCCAAGGTCTTTTCTAATCTAAGGAAAACATATATCAATAATGGAAATATATCTAGGACCCCATGTGTTCCAATCTCAGATGTACTCTATTTAAAACATAGTCCGGCGATTAGCCGATAAATAAATATAAACACACTTAAGTACTCTTCTTTTCTCCACCTCTCCAGGAAACAAGATGAGGAAGACACCTTTCTTCCTTTTCATGTTTGTTTGTTTGTTTGTTTCTTTTTGAGATGGAGTCTCGCTCTGTGGCCCAGGCTGGAGTGCAATGGCATGATCTCGGCTCACTGCAACCTCCGCCTCCTGGGTTCAAGTGATTCTCCTGCCTCAGCCTCCCGAGTAGCTGGGACTACAGGCACATGCCACCACGACCGGCTAATTTTTCTGTATTTTTAGTAGAGACAGGGTTTCACCGTGTTAGCCACGATGGTCTCCATCTCCTGACCTCGTGATCCGCCGGCTTCAACTTCCCAAAGTGCCGGGATTACAGGCGTGAGCCACCGTGCCCGGCCGGAAGACACTCTTTCTTTATGGGAAACTTCTTAAAAATCTTCCTTTTCCTTTGCCACTGCTTTCAATATTCTCTGCACAGATGGGAGCTAATCCTGGAAATTTTCTCTCCCACTCTCAGCTTTTCTCCTGAACACCCACCTAGACCAAACAAGATTTCTGTCTCTCTTCATTCCTCATCCCTCCTCCTGAGCCCACTATTATACAGATAAGGTAAGCCAAGTCATGGACTGGCCAGAAAAGTGAGAGATGGAAGAAATCACCTTCACATGAATATCTTGATTATTCAAAAATATCAATACATTGATAATTTTCTTTTTCTTTTTTTTTTTTTTTTTGAGACAGGGTCTTGCTCTATTGCCCAGGCTGGAGTGCAGTGGCATGATCTCAGCTCACTGCAACCTCTACCTCCCGGATTCAAGCAATTCTCTCGCCTCAGTCTCCCGAGTAGCTGGGATTACAGGCGCCTGCCACCACGCCCGACTAATTTTTTTGTATTTTTAGTAGAGACAGAGTTTCACCATGTTGGCCAGGTTGGTCTCAAACTCCTGACCTAAGGTGATCCACCCGCCTCAGCCTCCCAAAGTGCTGGGATTACAAGCATGAGTCACCGCACCTTGTCACACATTGGTAATTTTCTCAGTGCTGTGATTCTCTGTGATTTTCAAGTTTTTAAATTCATTTCTTGAAAAATATGCCTCAAGAATAAATGTGATTATGCTCCTTACCTTTTCCATTTAAGAGCCTCTGCTAGGGCTGAAATGAGAATATTTTGAGTCAGTAGTATAAACAGAACATTCAGGTTGGTGCAAAAGTAACTGCAGTTTTGCCATTAAAGGTAAAGGTGATGGCAAATCCGCAAGTACTTTTGCACCAAGTCATAGTTAAAAAGACAACACATACTGACCTAAATTTTTTCAATCTTTTATTTTTATGTGGAAAAAAAAATCGAAGTCCTTCTTTTAGCTGGATGTGGTGGCTCACGCCTGTGATCCTAGCATTTGGGGGGCTGAGGTGGGCGGATCACTTGAGGCCAGGAGTTCAAGACTGGTCTGGCCAACATGGTGAAATCCCATCTCTACCAAAAATATAAAAATCAGCCATGCGTGGAGTTGCATGCCTGGAATCCCAGCTACTCAGGAGACTGAGGCACGAGAATCACTGAAACCCGGAGGCAGAGGTTGCAGTGAGCCAAGATCGCACCACTGCACGCCAGCCTGAGCAACAGAGTGAGATGTCAAAAAAAAAAAAAAGAAAAAAGTCTTCTTTTAATCTCAGCCTTTAAAACTTTCTAATTTTTCATATTTTTGTGCAAAATTTAAATGAAACTTTAGTTGTTGAATAAATAATACGAAGATTTTTTTCTTTCTTACCAGAGCACCTATCAGAACTCTGATTATCTAGCTAAGAAAATTTAGAAACTTTCGAAATGGTTAATACATATATATTCACGTTTCTGATCCAAAGAGGAAAAATATTGCACCGAATATTTGAAATAACATTGAATCCATGACAATATTTTATTTTAATAATATATTTCATTTAATATGCATAGAAATCCGTTTAAAACACTCCATTTAAATCACTGCAGTGCAGTGTATTTCTCCCTTTGCCTTTGAAGTCCATCAAAGCATGCAGCTTGAGAGGTGGCTAGGAGTTGGGCAAAAAGTCCCTAAAACACTTTGAGCTCCCCAGATGAAAGGTGCTATTTAAGTACAAAATATCGTAATAATTTCAATATATTTAACAACTCCACTCACTTCAATGTCAATGCCTAACTCAGTCCTCACCTATTTGGTACTTTGAGGTCTATTCCTTAATTTCAATTTCTCCAGTGGGATGTGTGTAACTTTGTTCCTTAAAACTAGTACAGGAAAACTATCATTGAAAAGGAAAAGTCCATAAACATCCCATTCTATGTCTGTAAATGACAGAAAATCTCCCCACAAGGAAGTAAATTATAAGACCAACAAAAGATACCTGTCATTAAAGAGACTGGAAGGGCCACCTTCTCCAGGAGCAGAGCATCTGAATGATCTGGGTCATGCCAGTGGAATGAGGAGTACAGTAGATACTGTTACATTTTCTTCCTTACATTTTCAAGTGCAAAGAAAATTTAGGCAAGGCAGTTGGCTGCAGGGAAGTGTTATATTCTGCTCAAAAGGCATTCTTAGTTTGAGTAAAAAAGTCTGTGAAATATGGAAAGTGGTATTCCCTCTTCTAAAAATTCATTAAATATTATCAAGTATAGTCTTTTCTATTTTTTTGTTTTTTGATGTTAAATAATTTATACAAGTAATACCAAAATATCTTATTCTTTCAAAAATTAAAGCATTATCAATAAAGTTGAGTCAATTTTTACTCCATCTTGGCCTCTAAAATCCTCCTTATTCCCCTCTTCCTGCTATCCCTTATCTGAGGTAACCGTTATTGTTTTAAATTGCTTTTATCACAACATATTTTCTAGTCATTTGATTTTATATACCAAACTTGATTTAAAACTTGTTTAAAGACTCTTTTTAAATGAGAAAACAATATAATTCTAATACAATAAACACTTTTGATATGTCTTCTATTTTTTATTAAATTGTTTGAGTTATCAAATATTCCATGGCGTAACTTTTAACATTCTTGGTGATTCTGCACTTATTTCTTTTTCTGAACTGGGATAGCATATTGCAGAGGAGAGGCTCAGTACACAGAAAGAAGAGAACTCTTCAGGGCATCATCCACAGGGTGCTCACAAGGCTCTGCGCCCCCTGGCCCTTCTACAAGCCTCACTCTTATCCTTTGAAGACCCAGGATTTGAACCAGCTGATTTCTCCTTGATTACTGCTCAATCTCACAATCCTTCTTATGCATGCTAGACTATAATCCTAGGTGATTCACCGCTGCACTGTGGACCTGGGTAATGACACAGTCTGTAAAAATAACCGTCAGCAAACCAGAAAGTGAGGATTCATCAAAATGTGCCAGGAGAAAAAGAAGGGCCTCCTTTAAGCCCATTTCTATTCTCTCTCGCTCTGCCTCCGTATCCTCCACATCCGTGCGGGACCTCCAGTTGGGCTGTTCCCACGTACAAATGGGAATTCAGAAGCACAGCTACTATGAACAGCAAGAGCTTGGGACTGAAAGGCTATTATTTTAAGTTCAGTAGGAAAGAAAGTCATAGACTCAGATACAAAGAAATAGAAAAAAAATTCTGGCGATAAAAGCCTACACAAATTAGTTTGCCAGTCAGGCAAGATGGAACCAGGAGACTGGACACTGGGACCCATGGCTGTGTGGGGGCTAAACCACCATTGGAAGAAACAACCTGTGTTAGGAAGATGAATTATCAAACCTTTGGTTCAATATTTATGAAATATGCATGCTATACATCTCAACTTCAATACCTGGATTCCATACTACTCTGAAGTGTTTTGATTATAATCTGTCCACCCAGGTATGTTTGCTTGCAGGAAGAAATGGACTTTGTAATACTCAGAATTCTTAATGAAAATGTATATGTGTATTTAGTATGTATACATATGTATAAATATTGTGTATATATGTATATTCATTCCTGTTAGCTTGGCAAATGTGATTCATTTCTAAGAGATGGGTACACTCTCAATGTGTTTACATAAAGTTTCTGAGACTGCGAGATTACATCTAGATTCCAGATTGTGATAAATTCATTAAAATAATAGGGACCACCAGGCCTTTCTGCTGCTATTACTGCCTTGACATTTTCTATGACTGACATTAGAAATAACTACAACTCCTACTCGGAAGTCTGGGCTCATCTAAAGTAACTAAATTTCATAGACTAAAAAAAGTGACGTAGTATAGGTAGGAATTTTGTGCACCCACCTAAAAATTTCAGGAACTGTTTTTAAGTCTGAGACACTTGTTTTCCCAATAACCTGTACCAAGCATGCTTTGTTTTTAAAAAGCACATGATAAAACTAATAAAAACAACAGCTATCGATAGTTGAGTTCTTACAGGCACTCAAGAAATTCATAAATATGCATTTGTTAATTGTCTCAAACTATTCTGTGAGTTGCTCAATATTATTTTTATTTTATAATTAAAAATATTGAGAGATAGAATATAAAGGACCGTGTTCAAAATTTACGTGATGCAAAGAAAAGAAAAGCCAGAACTGGAAGTCAGATCTAGTTTCAAATTCAGTGCTCCTCGCAGCTGTCCTGGAGACCATCATCTCTCTAAGATGAACTGGTAGGCGGAATTTCATCTCCAATGTGAGTTCACTGCAGAGCCCTGGCAATTCTCGTAACGCTTCATAACATAAATCATTAAGCTGACTTGAGAAATTCTTCCTCCTTCAATTTCCCCAGGTCACCAGTTGAATGACACTACTAAATAAAAATTAAGCCAAAATGACAACTATAGCCTGCCTGGCTTCAGATTCCCTAAATGCTATCTAAATTATTACTAATCCCTTCCCACTTCCTATTTCAATAAGTAATTGGCTTCCTTAATACTGCCTCTTTCTAGAAGAGGTGTAGATGGTTACGTCACTCAGGCAATGGCCTTGGGCCACACAATGTCAACTTTTGCTGTCATGTAAGTTTTCCAAGTCTCCTTTTTATGGTCCTAGCTTTCCCTCATATGCCAAATGTAGGTTTCCCCAGAAGTTTTGCTCTAGTTGATCTGAGTAAAAACAGAAGCCTCAGCCCATCCTTAACCTGTCCTACTTCATGGAAAAATCTCCAAGAGTTCCGTTCTGATTCAGTTGTTCGCAGCAGTGAAATCTCATTCTATAAATGCAGTATGGTGGCTCTAAAGAAACAAAAAGCAAAGAACAAAACCCAGGGAACAAAAAGGTTTTTTAAAACCTAGAAGAACAGATTGGGTGCCACCATTTATGTCATCTCAAATAGAGCCAGAAACATGGATAGCATTGCTTATGTTGACAAAGCATGACAGCTGACACTACATTCTTTGTGAAACCACAATTTTAAATCCAAGACATTATTTTCATGATCACCAAAACCAGAATGAAAATATAACTTATGAAACCTAGAACATGCCGTATGTCACTGTCTCTAGGTACAGGTTATATTCAAAATTATCAGTTAAGAAAAAAATACCTACCTTCCCATTTACAACTCTAGCACTAATAATCTGAACAAACAAATTAAGCTAACATTTGTACCTTTTGGGAATACTTCAAATTAGTTCGACTGTAGCACATGAAATACCCATGATTTCTGTGAGTAATCCATTATCAGCAAAGCATAATTAAAACCACAATCCTTTAGTGATATTATTAAAAACATTCCTAATGCTTAAAGCTAATATATATGCTACAGTAAATACTTGATTTAACATACCCCATGATGTCATAATGAAAGTCATCATTAAACTTATATTAATAATTTTTAAAATTTTAGTTTTTTAACTGAGTATCAAAGCTGTATTTAGATGTTACTTCTTTAACATGGAATACAAACTTCAACCAACTTTACATATATTTGAAATTATGCTATTGCCTAACTTAAATAAAACAATACATACAAACTGAAAACAAACTATATAAAAAATGGGCTTTATGTAATTTGAATCATTTTTCCATTTAAATTAATGCATGTAGTGTTCTTGCAGTGAAAAAATGTGATATCCTATTTTTATTGTAATGAATGGTAACTCTTAATCAAGTGGGCCAGGCAACAACACAGGATCTTTTTAATTCTAGCGAGTTAAAAGGAAAATTGATACAGATTGCATAATTTGATAATTGCACACAATTTCTGCAAGACCTTGTAAATGAGTATTTGGCTGTTACAGGTCTCAGTTTTCCTTTCATCAAAACTCTTAAGAATTTGCTTTCCTGAAAAGAGAGCAGACTACTTCCTAAAGTAGGATCTATTTGATTGAAACACGGTAATTTTCAGAACAAATAAACTTTTGATTCAAGTTCCCCAAAGATCATTTTGGTGGATATATTTTATAATACTACAATTGTCTTTTCAAGTTTATTCAGCTCCTATGTATAGTTTCCTTATCACAGACTGTCTCTCCAATTACACATTCCATCATAACAAAAGTCCACTTGATGATGTGGCTGATGCCCATTTAGAGCCTTGAGTCACTACTCTTTACCTCTAGTATAGGCTGTTTTAAGGAAAACATCTTTTCCTTTCAGAATTTGTGTAGGGAAAAGAAAAAGCACTGTAGATTTGGTTTTAAATAGAACTGGAACATTCTCTGAGAAAGTATAATGTTGTCTTACACAAGATTTTGTACTATGAAGATAGAAAAATGAGGAAGAAAAAGAAATTTTTTTTTTAAGTACTTACTTACCAGGTGTGAAATTGTATCGAGCTGAAAATCCCATAGATTCCAGCTCTCCATCAGCAAAAAATTTAATCCATAGAAATCTTCCACTGGATTTTATGACAGGTGGATTTTGTTGTCCACAGAAACGTCCAATTATTGGAGAAAAGCCAAAAGGTCCATCTCGAACTTCAATATGATCAAATTTGCACTCCCAAGACGGTTCAATAGAGTACTTTTCATCAAAGTAAAGTTCAATGCACTGTCTTGGAGCGGCTGTAAAGAAGAAAGATTGTGTCTAGGAGGTCATTTCTTACATCTTCAGGTTGATGTTTTCTGATTCTATTTCAGATGTTATTTGTACATCTTCTCTCAAACTTTATGGATGATATGCATAGAAATATAAAGAAAGCATATGATACTATTCTACGGGACACAATTTTCATAAAAATGTCTAAGGAGTGAAACTTAAAACCGATGATGTTGCATAAAATATTATTCTGATACAAGATGACCATTTTGACGTTTTGCGCAGGACTAACAAAGCACAGTATTTTTATGAAAGGCTGTTAACTTGGAGTTAGAAGGTCAAGGAATATTTTTCTGTCTCTTTTCTCATATTTCCAGGAATACTCAGGTTTAAGGTAACAAATCACTTGAGAATTGTTTGGCATAGAGTTATATTAAATATAATCTTTCAAATAATCCAAGCCATGTGTCTAGATCAGATCCAAATGCATATATAAGGACATTAAGAGTAATTTTTCTACAACACAAACCTGATCACATCCCTCTCAGGTTTCAACCTCAGCAGCTGGACCATGATCAATGCATTCAACACACATTATCCGTTAAGAATATCCTGCGTCCAGGACCCTATCCCCTCACAGAGAGCCTGAGCTCAGACCACTTCAGACATGTCTTGTCTTCTAAGAAAGTAAGCTCCTTCACACTTTCATGGATTTTCTTACATTTTTGAATATCTACATACCCAACATTATCTCCTCTTTACACAGGAAAGACTTGCTTTAAAGAAGCCTCCTCTCTAAATCTGATCTTGAAAGACAAGAACCATATCTCACTCACCTTCTTTCTCAGAGCTTAGCATAGTATTTGTCATCGAAAATTTCCAAAAAAAAAAAGTCTTTCAGTAAATTATAAATGAGTGTATATTCATAAATGTTTTTACAGCTCTCTAAAGAATCAGGGAAAGCTTTATAGGGCTGGCAACTCTATACAGCACCACATGAATGCTTTTGCTAATGGTCTTTCATTCTTCCCCTGGTACGTCCAAAACAGTCCAAAATTCTGGCATCTCAGACTTACATTCAGCCAGGATACTCCAGAATGGCCATAAAATTTGCTGAAATGTCAACATATATGTATCCCGGTTAGTAAACAGCTGTTGCCTGAAGCCCTCTGAGTGCTTCCCTGCTACTTGGCCCTTTTCAGGGACTAAGCCCCTGTAGACACTTGAAAGTTAAGACTTAGCACAGTCGGGCCTGCTCCCTCTACGGTCAGCAACTATGCAGAATGGTGGCTGTCCACACCCCATTGCTTCTTAAATATACACGGAACATCATCCATGATGACCTAAAATGTAAACTCTGGTATGCGTGGTTTTCAAAAATGTATGTAAGATTGAGACACACAGTATAACTTGGAAATTGGAGACCTACAGAATAAAATGTAACTCTGATGCTCCCCAGGTATAAAATTAAATATCAACAGTTTAAAGGCAATTCATTTTTAAAATGAATTATTTTATGAATAATCTTTAATTTCTAAAAAAGTTTCAGACTCATACATTGAAAAGAGACATTTATAACTCATGCAAGAAAAATATTTTATCTATCACTAAATTGTATGAAAAAGGTGAACAAATGAGTAACCACAATAATGACAGATTTGAGGGAGTTTCAATGACGTGGTTTTTTTTTTTCTTTTCTTTTTTTTGGAAATTTGAAAGTACCCAAAGAAATGACTAACCATGTTTTATGCTTAAAGTGCCAGCCTTAAAACAAAAAGGCAAATCTGAAGGAGTTAGACCCATTTATGTATCAGTACTAAGTATAGCGCTTGCATACATTATCATCCTATAGTATGTATGTACCAGTTTATTTCACAATAAATCAGTATAACAAGTTTTATGATGAAACAAATTATTTCGGATTGTAGGTTAATTTAAATAACGTAAGGCTAGGGAAAGATAGAGCAATGAAGACAGTCCTTAGCTAATTTACTTAGAACTCTATCTGTCATCTTTTAACACGCACTCACCAATTTCCCCTACTAAGAAATAATGGCCATCTAACATGAATTCACTTCTCCATACCTTCGCTCTTATTATTTCATAAGTTCTGTGGCTGAGTCAACCTCTCGATGTTCCCCAGGAAACATTCCGCCATTATGGCTTTTGGTAGGCAACATTGTATGTGGATGATTTATTTTCTTTTGGTCCAGCATGTTGAAGTTAATGACACACAACCAGAAATGAAACCTACATAGCTGAATTTTAGAAGGTAGTGAAATAACTTTTTAAAACTAAGTTTGCCACATACTTATTGTGCTAGATTAAAAATGAGTGATTATGGCACATAGAAACTATTTGAAGCTCTCTAACTCTCTCAACTTCAATTTGCTTCACCTTCAAGAATTTTCTTCACAGCTGCCCTTCCTTTTAACATTTCTGTAAGTTATATTTGATCTAACACTGAGGTTAGTTCATGAGAGGTCTCAACCACTTTGAGAATCTTCAGACGCACTGAGAACTATGAGCACTTTCACCTGGATAGTGCACATATATACAGAATATTTCCTCCATTTTGAGGGAATGTTTAGGCCACCTGACAGTCAAAAAGGGATCCTCTTTTTCGTGACTGGGACCTCGCTTGTATTCTTCATCACAATGGGTCATACCTCTAGAAATCTGACCACTTATGTATCCCTCTTTCTCTTCTATTTTAAATGTACCTTTCTCTACAGAATATTCATTTTAGAATTAAATATGTGCAATCTGCCCCTTTAAAAGAGAAAAAACCACCCATCTCCACTATGCCAATGGGAGTGCTCATCGTTGTTACTAACAAACTCTTAATTGCTTCATGTAACAGATGCATTTCTGTTTTTCACTTATTTTTCTTTGCTGTAACAACTGGCACTTTGACTACTCCCTGCTTCTCAAGACCCCATCCACTCTGGCTGCTGTGGCATCGTGCGCACCTGACCCTCCTGCCTAACTCTCTGGCTTCTCCTACTCATTCCATTACTTTTTTCCCCATACTCTGTCCCTCTCTTATGTGTTATTTTCTGGAAAATTTATTCTACATCTTATGTTCTCTCATTTTAGATGAAGACACCGGGGTGCCACGGGCATTCCAATGGAAGGTTACTACAATATAATGGTGGCTGGGGCTCTATCTAAGGTTAATTAAATCAGAATTCCTGGGGAAAGGCCCAGGCACCTGCATTTTTAAGAGCAGTTGAAAAATAGTGCTCCAAATATTCTCTTGGATAATTTTATTCATACTAACAATCTCAACAACAATCTCTATATTTATGACGTACATATATACATTTTCAGCACACATCTATCTCTCCACTGAGCTAGAGCTACATGTATCCAATCTTTTTGTGGAGCATCTCCATAAACACAAACTAAACACATTATTTTTCCTTTAAACCAATTTTTCCCGTCTATATTTCTTTTCTGGGATGGCAATTCCGTCTATCTAACAAGTTATCGAGCAACAAATATTAGAACAGTCCCAGGATACCCTATTCTCTGATCCCCTGATCCAGCCACTCATGATCCTTTTTTTTTCTTTTTTTTTTTTTTTTGAGACAGAGTCTCGCTCTGTCACCCGGGCTGGAGCGCAGTGGTGCGATCTCGGCTCACTGCAAGCTCCGCCTCCCGGGTTCACGCCATTCTCCTGCCTCAGCCTCCTGAGTAGCTGGGACTACAGGTGCACGCCACCACGCCTGGCTCATTTTTCGTATTTTTAGTAGAAACGGGGTTTCAACATATTGGCCAGGATGGTCTCGATCTCCTGACCTCGTGATCCGCCCACATCGGCCTCCTAAAGTGCTGGGATTACAGGTGTGAGCCACCACGTCTGGCGATCCAGTTTCTTAAATACCTCTCAGTTCTTTCATGTACTCCATCACTGATGCCGCTTCTTTAGTATAAGTATTTATTATGATTTACTTGGACTTTTGGAATTGTTTCTTAGTTTATGTTCTTTTCCTTCAGTTGCTTCATCATCAAAATCTCACATTATTCCTCAAGTTAAATTACTTCAATGGCACCTCATTGTCTCCAACATAATGTTCAAGATTTTATCCAGTGGGCACAGAAGGAATACCAGGTACCTCTTTGAGACTGCTTCCCTCTTCAGCCTCCTGCTGTATTTTCCTCAGATTCTGCAGAAGCCCTAGGATGCGCCACGAAGGTCCCCAACCATATCATAGCTCTGAACTTCCGCATACGCTGCTCTATGTAGAGAATAATGCCTTCCCTGGACATTCTTCAGAAATGAAGGTGAGCATCTCTTCTTCCCTGTATTCTTCTCTTTGGCTTCCCCGTCGCAACTACTTTGTGCTAATCCTAGGGCCCCTTTAGATTGTTTACAAAAAGGGACATAGTCCCCAGAGAATATTGTTAAGTCCTATGAGGCAGGTAGCGAGTACCTTTTCTATCAGTTGTAAAAGGAATTTGCACTGCCAGACCTTAGGTTTTCAGTGTTATCCTTTTAATAGCATAGCTAATTGTTTTGCCTTCTTACAGTGTGGTTTATCTTTGCTGAAAATTCAACTTCAAGTAGTAAGGGTGGGGGAAGATCTTTGGCCCAATAATTACCAAAAAAAAAATCATTTCTAAATAGAGAGTCTTAAAATTGGGTGAACAGAAAGCCTGCTTCTTTGAAAAATCTATCAAATAAATGTGTCCCCATTTATAAGTAGTAGAAAGTGCATCTATCTTTATCATTAAGACAGTCTTGCCTGTGTGTGTGTGTGGGGGGAAGGTGGGTGCTTCCAGGTTTTAGGCTATTTAGGTACTAACAGTTGGAATACTGAAAACTTCCATCACCAGATGAAATGCTTCTACATTTTAAACGTTGTACTTAAGAGAGAGGTGTTGGCCGGGAGCCATGGTTCACGCCTGTAATCCCAGCACTCTGGGAGGCCAAAGTCGGTGGATCACTTGAGGTCATGAGTTTGAGACCAGCTGGCCAACATCGTGAAGTGCCGTCTCTACCAAAAATACAAAAATTAGCCAGGCATGGTGGCGTATGCCTGTGATCCCAGCTACTCGGGAGGCTGAGGCAGGAGAATCGCTGGAACTCAGGGGACTCTCGCTTTGTCTCAAAAAAAAAAAGTGTTTACAAGGTTAGTGTAAATGGGAAACGTTCAAAGAGAAGTCTCTTTCCAACACCATTTATCTTTCATGTTGGAAAAAAGTCATGAAATAAAGGGTCATAATTTACAATCCTGACCTTGACTTCAAAATGAGATGTCACTTGTTAACACAAATAAGGTAACTATCTTTCAGATTGGTGTTTAGAAAATGTGATTATAGATTCATCTTTGACATTAATACGATTTTTGTAATTTATAATACTAAAGAAATGTAACATGCAAGTTATTCTACTAATTGTTGAGCTAAAAAAATGCTAGTTTCTCACACTTACACAGTTAATATTGTGCCAACTATGCGTCCATTCTACTGCATGAGAACTCTAAATCAATTAAGCCAACAGCAAAATAAACTCCTAAGTTGTTCATCTGTTTTTATTGCACAGAATTTGCTTGTTCATAACCCACTACTAGTTAATCTCAATAATTAGCCTGATTCCAGATTTTACAGTTATTGATTCACTCAAGAGATATTTTTGCGCATGATCTCCAGATCAATTTTGTAATGCCTATACGCATATTCTTCATCCAAAGCACAGAGATGGCAAGGTTTTGGCTTAGTGCTTTCTTAACTCTGGCACTGTCTCCCCTTACCTTCTATGATGTAGATGCATTCCCGGTCAGGGGGATACTTGCTGGGATAGTTGGGAGAGGTAAAGATACCTCCCTCTGCATGTTTTGTCCAAGTTCCACACTGCACTGACTTCTGTGTTTCTGAGGTGGTTTGCTTTTCTGTTAAAAAAAAAAAAAAGTTTTAAAAAGAGCCATCATCCAATTTTCTATTGTACTAAAAATAGAGGACATTCTTATAATATCCATTAGTAAATTAATTTTTAAATGTTGTCTTAGCCAAACCAATCAATTATACATATTATAACAGGTTCAGATATTCTGGAATATTAACAGTAGGAGGAAAATAGGAAAATACAAAATAATTCGAGGTCTTCCACTAGCATTTTTCTAAGTAAACACACCTGTTCCTTTCTTGGTTGCCCCAGACAAATGGAGGATGATTAAACTTGCTACAACTGAAACAGAAAAGAAAAATTAGAGATAAAATACACTGAAATGATCAAATCCCATAAAAACATAACATAATTTCAAGATAAAATAATATCAAAGCAGATTAATTTTTTCATTGTTAACTGTTAGAAGTCGATTCAGAACTTGCAAAAACCAATTTGAAATGTACAAATCAGGAAACCTTGGGACTCCCTTAAGGAACTAATGCAAGTTAAGAATGGATGAGACCCAAACTCCTAAGGCAAATACATCATTCACTCTAAAGGCAACATGTCAATTTACTCATGTCACACACAGTACAGTGGGACTACAGGAGTCACACTGTATCTAAACTACCCTTAGGGAATGGCTCTGCCAGCATCTCTGAATGAAGAGAGGGGCCAGAAGGTAAAAAGGAGGAAAAGGAGAGGCAAACAATGAGAACAGCTCCATGACTGTTCCTGACATACTGCAGTGTGGCTGTATTTTAGAAAATAAATACTTAGACAAATCCTACAGACTGTGGAGGAGGAGAATAAGCAAGAAACAGATTAATGTGGATTGTGGGCATTAAGCACCATTATTGGAATGTTGCCTACAAAAATGTTCTGAACCTCCAAGTAACCCCGTCCCTCAGCACTTTCTAAGCTGTGAAATTAATCTCTTCTAACCTTAACTTGATTTAATACCAAATCAATATATAGAAATTGATTATTAATTTGAGAAACGTGATTTCCGAAAGCATTATATTGGGTCAGGTTTCCAGTGTCAAAGAGACTGTGATCTGTAACTTAACAGTAAATCTGCAATGCCATTATAATCTAAACTTGTTTTACTTCCGTATTCTTGATCTAATCAACATTTTTACAAGACAAAACACTAGCAAAATAGTAAGTAAGCTAGTCTTCATAATTTGATTTTTCTTCTATTTTTTCTTATTCATTTTGTCATCCAACGACATAAAAGGTCTATGTTTTCACATTTTCACTTAAAATGAATTCGGGGGAGAGAACAATTCACAAATATTTCCTGAATTAAAGCTCACCACAGGCTTATACATTTATACTTAAACATCACTCTAAGAAACGTATCTAGGTCTTGATATTAATATTTAAAATATTGTCAATTGTGTGTTACTTTATGCTCTAGCCAGTTCATTTGCATTTTAAATTAAGGCACTGGCTGCTGTTGTTACTGTGTGTTTCCACAGGAAAAAAAAAATCAATTTAATTTGTCATGATTCTGCTCACACCCAGAACACACAGGTATGCACATCCTTCAGCATCAGGATGTGTATTTGTTTACTCCGCTCTTCCTGTTTTGATGAAATCACATTATAGACCACGTACTGTGTTTAACTCAGCAGCAAACCCCTCTCAACTGCGTGGCCCGCGATCAACACTCTCATCTTTGCTTAGTAATGATACATTTCCACCACACATTTTCTTATACTGCCTTTTACTCGATGACTCGTGATACTATTTTCCTCTCATTCCTTCCCACCTCTACACTGCCCGCGTTACCACACACCCATAAAGCGACATCAGCGGTCTCCAGGGCGGAAAGGGGTGGAAGCTGACCCTCGCCCTTCCCTCCAGCGCTGGCTTCAGGTGTGCCTTCTGCTACCTCCTGTACTGCGAACAGGGGCCCGCCGAGCTCCGGGAGCCCCTAGAAGAGGAAGACTCCTCTGGCCCCACTAGGTATCATCCGCGCTCTCCCGCTTTCCACCTGCGCCCTCGCTTGGGCCAATCTCTGCCGCACGTGTCCATCCCTGAACTGCACGCTATCCTCCACCCCCGGGGGGTTCCTGCGCACTGAAAGACCGTTCTCCGGCAGGTTTTGGGATCCGGCGACGGCTGACCGCGCGCCGCCCCCACGCCCGGTTCCACGATGCTGCAATACAGAAAGTTTACGTCGGCCCCGACCCGCGCGGGACTGCAGGGTCCGCCGGAGCGCGGCGCAGAGGCTTTTCCTGCGCGTTCGGCCCCGGGAAAGGGGCGGGAGGGCTGGCTCCGGGAGCGCACGGGCGCGGCGGGGAGGGTACTCACTGTGAAGCACGCTGCGCCCATGGATCATGTCTGTGCGTTACACCAGAGGCTCCGGGCTCCACTAATTCCATTTAGAGACGGGAAGACTTCCAGTGGCGGGGGGAGGACAGGGTCGAGAGGTGTTAAAGACGCAAAGCAAGAAGGAAATAAAGGGGGGCCGAGAGGGAGACCGAGAGGAAGGGGGAGCTCCGAGCCCACGCTGCAGCCAGATCCGGATGAGTCCGTCCTCCGCCCCGGGCGGGCTCTCGCTCTCGCTGGCCCTCAGCGCCGCGCAGCCAGCAGCATCCCCACCGTGACGCTCGCATCACACCCGGGCGCCGGCCGCCACCATCCGCGCCGCCGCCGTCAGGACCCTCCTCCCGGGCATCGTCGCCGCCGCGGGGTCGGGAGGACGCGGCGCGCGGGAGGCGGCGGTCGCAGGGCGAGCCCCGGGACGCCCCGAGCCGGGGCCGGGGCCGGGGAGAGGGCGCAGCGAGGTGGGGGCCAGTCCAGACCGACGGCAGCGACGGAGCGGGCGGCGGCGGCGGCGCCGGCGGCGGCGGGGTGGCTCAGTCCCCAGTCTCAGACGCGCCGCGCAGCAGGTCGGAGCAGCCTCCCCGGGAGGATGTCCAGCGGCAGCGCTCCTCGCTCCAGCCCTTGGGGATCTTCCGCTGAGGCATTGAAGGCAGGAAGAAGGGGTCCGTCATCGGCTCGCCGGGCTGCGCGCCACCTCTGCTATCTTGCGGAAAGAGGAGCGGGTGGGTGGGCGTCTGGGAGGCGGGCTGGAGGGCGGTGCAGGGGAGCGGGGCGGCCGGGGGGGGGGCCGGGGGGCGGGGAAGGGAGGGAGGAGAAAGGAGCCGGAAGAGGGCAGAGTTACCAAATGGGCTCCTTAGTCATGGCTTGGGGCTCCACGACCCTCCTGGAAGCCCGGAGCCTGGGTGGGATAGCGAGGCTGCGCGCGGCCGGCGCCCCGGGGCTGGTGCGCGGCAGAATGGGGCCGCGGCGGCGGCAGCAAGGACATCCCAGCCGCGCGGATCTGGGGGAGGGGCGGGGAGGGGGTGAGGACCCGGCTGGGATCCGCGGCTCGGCCCGCCAGGGCGCAGAGAGAGGATGCAGCCGCAAATCCCGAGCCGGATCCTCGTGCCGGACGGAAGGCGTGGAAGCGGGAGGGGCCTTCGTGTGAAAATCCCTTGTGGGGTTTGGTGTTTCACTTTTTAAAGGTTAGACCTTGCGGGCTCTCTGCCTCCCACCCCTTCTTTTCCATCCGCGTAAAGGAACTGGGCGCCCCCTCTCCCTCCCTCCCTGGGGCGCAGGTTTCGCCGCGGACTCCGCGCTCAGCTTGGGAGACACGGCAGGGGCGCGCCCCAGGGAAAGGCGGCCGTAAAAGTTTCGCGGTTGAGCACTGGGCCTGATGTCCAGTCCCCCCACCAAATTACTCCTGCAAAGACGCGGGCTTCTTGCAATTGAGCCCCCCACCTCGAGGTATTTAAAACCACCCCAAGGCACACACGGACCCCCGTTCCCCCGCGCCACTTCCTCCTACAGGCTCGCGCGGCGCGTTAAAGTCTGGGAGACACGAGTTGCGGGGAAACAGCACCGGAAGAGCCCGGGCTTGTAAAATGCGAATCAATGAATACGAAATAAGGGCAACCGCGAGGCAGCGCCGGGAAGGGCTGGAGCGCGCGGGGGTGCAGGGAGTCCCTCCCTGGGCGCCGCAACGGCACCTCCTCCCTTTCCCGGCTCCGTCCCGCCCTCCCTCGGCCTCTGCGGACGCGACCCACGCAGACCACAGCCGAGCCCGCCGGACCCCGGGACTACGGAAGCCATCCCGTCCGGCCACCCACACCCGCGCCGCGGCTGGGGCTTGGGTTGGGGACTGTGGCGGCGAAGAAGCCGGGGTAGGAAGAGCTAATGGCAATGGCGGGGTCGCCGGGGGGCGGGGGGTCAGCAGCAGACGCTGAGCTGTGAAGACTAGGGTGGCCCCGAAAGGCCGAGGAAAGGAGAAAGGGCCATGAGAAGAGTCTGGCGAGCGCTCGAGGCCGGGGGGCTGCCTCCCGGCTCTGGCCCGGCCTCCGCTTCCCGGCACCTGCTGCTGGGGCGCCCACGTGCGCGCGGGGCTGCGCGGGGCGTTGGGTGCTCGTCGCAGTCCTGCCCACGCCTAGCGCAGCGGCTGTGAGTGGGTGGAGGTCTCCTGCCAGTAAGTTGGGATGAGGGACGATGAGGTGACCCCCAAGTCTGGAAGGGATTCAGAGTCTCACACGCGCCCCCAAGCCTCCTACCACCACACCAAAGTGCTGGTTCCTCGATTTCCAGGGTGGGGTAAAGTGACCGAGCAAAGGGGATGGTGTGTTTGTGTGTGCGCGCGCATATACGCGCGCGCGTGTTGTGCATCCGTGTAATGAAAGTTGGGTCATGGGTCAACCCGGGAGTAGAGCGAGATGGAGACCTAAAGAGAGAAAGCTGAGAGAAGGGGGAAGACATGGACAGGGTAAGAGAGAGAGAAAGGAGAGAGAGAAGAAAGGGAAAAGAGGAGCGGGGAGAGAAAAGAGAGGCAGGAGAGAGAATGAGGGGACAGAAGAGAGTAGGGAGACGAGAAGGCGGAGGACAGAAGAAATGGGGGAGAGGGAAGAGGACAGAGAGGCTGCGCGCCTCTGAATACGCCAAGTCCAGCAGAGCTGGAGGCCTGTGAGAGGAGCTGCAAGCTTGAGCAAAGGGAGAGAGGTGAGCGGATGAAGGGAGATTGGTGAGTATCCGCCCACGCACCTACTTGTAAAAAGATCAAGGGGAAACACGCAGAAGGTCCCGCGGGAGTCCTGTGACCCACGTGAGGTGCTCGTGCCAGCGCGGGGTGGGAGGTGGTGGGCAATGTTCGTCGTGGAGTTGAGGAAGAAATTCTCCAGCCTTAAGGAAGCAAAAGAGTTCAAAGATCAGTGAGGCTGCTCAACAGAGGGATATGCAGATGACAGAATGCTTGGAAAACGCTTTTGGGGATCCGGGTCATCTATAGAGGAGAGGGTGGAGGTCTTGCAAAAGGACCAGTCGCAAGAGTTGACAGTTGAATGTTGGAATCTTTCTTATGGTTGGATGGCACTTTCTTTACATCCAAAATATGCGTTATTCGTGAAGATGACACAGTTCTACAAAGAAAGTGGCAACATTTAAAATTATTTGTAGAAAGTTACTGCATTTCTCAATCACAGTTTGAAGGCAGAGAAAACTTGGTTTTACCATAAATGCTCTCATTCACCTGCCCTCTTCTGTCCTCTTTGCCCAGAACAGTTTCCCAGGACACTGGGATTTTGTAACCTGCCAAGGAAGGGGCTACGTTGCTAAACAAGTAGTCCTTTTATGGGACACAGGAAATTAGGAAGGAACTCATAAGGAAGGTGAAAGGGTCCTAACCTTTTGTCCACGCCTGTATTTGAAATCAAATATCTTGCATAAACAGTGGTCTCCATTTTTTTTCTTTTTTTAATGAATTAAAGGCTGGAGCGCAGTGACTGGATCACAGCTTGCTGCAGCCCCAACTTCCTGGGCTCAACTGAGCTTCCCACCTCAGCCTCTGGAGTAACTGGGACTACAGGCACAGGCCATCATGCCTGGCTAATTCTTTTATTTTTTATATTTTTTAGAGAGGGGGTCTAGCCATGTTACCCATGCTGTTCTCAGACTCCTGGCCAAAAGTGATCCTGTGGCCTCCCGCTGATCTTTAATGCCCAGTGCTTTCTCGGGCAATGCGTGGGGCTGAGGCATTAAATTTTGCTGAAACCTCAGTGCTGAGGGAGTGAGTGTGCACGTTCTGGACCTAGGACAGGACAGAGGCCTGGCTAGCTCAGGTGCTCTGATAATCAACCAAGAGACTGGGCCAACACAGATGCTGAGGCCCGCGCTGCACTCTCCTACTCTTTCCAGGCTGCAAGTGTAGCATTGTTATTGACAATTCCATTCATTTTTCTTCATACACACCCATACACGCTTTTCACCATCCACTACATCCTGTTTACTTGGCAAGCTGCCTTCTCATTTTTGAGTTCCAGAATCCACACTTGCTGAGTAATGCTACCTCCCTAATAGGGACCCATAAGATTTTTCTTTCTGAGAAAAAACAACATATGGGAAAAGTTCAGTTTCTCCCAGAAAAGGTTGCGCAAACATATGGTCAAATTACAAGATGATGTCGTTATTTTGAAAGGAAGAGCATATAAACTGATAGCTTTTGTGAGTTGAGTGTGCCATCCTGGAAGATGGTGCTTTGTCGCAGTTCCCCAAGGTTAGCATTGAAATAGTGACTACTATAGAAGATGGTGCAGAATTAAAGCCACTTGAACCCAATGAAGGTGTCATTAGTAAGTTGGTTTTATTTCTCAGCTTGCAGCTTCCTAACAATGAAAGATCATATGGACTTCCAAAATCCTAAAAAGAATTGGCGTAGGGTACAAGCCCTTCTAATTCAAATGCACATAGTATTTGTCTACATACATGTACTTCTCTATAGGAAAAAATAAAGCTACAGTTCTACCAGGGCTCCTTTGTTAATTAATCTCCAGTACTGGCATCATCTTAAAAGTTGTCTATCAGTAAAAGAGGTGATGCTACAAAAAATAACTCAAATGTAATAGTGCTAATGACACATCCATATTACAATAATATTTTCTGATTTTTACATAATTTATTTACATGGTTGTGAAGTGTAAAGGTTTTTGCATTTAACAATATATGTCATAATACTAGTTTCTCAAAAACAAGTAATTTGCTGGTAAATATAGGAATGTTTTTTGAAAATTCTCTGAAATAGTCTAACATGAAGCTGGTTTTAAGCAATATTGAAGAAGCTCTCTTCAAAAAATCTATAGGAGTATCCTAACGCAGTAGAAAGTCTCCACGAAATAGAAGACCTGTCAAAATCTCTGAAATCTTACATTTAAACCAAACAGGATATTTTATGATCACCACTAGGGAAAAATAAAATATAGTTTTGTTAGAAGTACAAATATATTGTATTCTTAGGCAGCACAAGAATGTTTGCCTCTTGTGGGAAAGAACTTTCATAGCACTTCCTTTGCCAGTTAGCACTTTCAGATACATGATCCTTCAATCCATATCAAAACTTCAGAAAAAAAATTTTCATTTTGATTGATATTTACTTCGCAGTGGCTTATAAAAATAATACCAATTATTTTTATGATCACTCGACTAATTATAAGCTCATCCTCTATAAATCAACATAAACTTCAGGAACATTTACGAAGATACACCCCAAGATTAAAAGTGTAAAGGCTCTGTACAGAAGCCACCTTTATAGTATAAGTATTGTACCACAAAGTCCACGCACTGCTATTTCAGGGAAAAAACAAGTTTCCACTCCTAGAAGACGGCATATTTGGAAAATATAAGCTAAACTAAAGGGTAAATCTACATATTCCATGTCAAAATAACCATTAATAAATACAAACAAAATGTTACTTCAGTGTGCTAAATCAGACATGTGAAAGTTTCTCATGGGTTAGACATACTTTGTGTGTGCGTGTGTGTGTGTGCGTGTGTGTGTGTGTTGAAGTCTCGCCCTGTTGCTCAGGCTGGAATGAGGTGGCACGATCTCGGCTCACTACAACCTCTGCTCCCTGGGTTCAAGCCTGCCACAACCTCCAGAGTAGCTGGGATTACAGGTGTGCGCCACCACGCCCGCACAATTTTTTTTTATATTTTTAGTAGAAACAGGGTTTTGCCATGTTGGCCATGCTGGTCTCAAACTCCTACCATCAGGTGATCAGCCCGCCTCAGCCTCCCAAAGTGCTGGGATTACAGGTGTGAGCCACAGCGCCCAGCCTTTTTTCATAATTATATAAGTTAATAGCATCACATAAACTTAATAACTTTGGCTATTTAGCACATACTTTAATCTTATTATGATATATTATTATGTGGATTTGGAAACTAACAAAAGCCATGATTTGCTTGGTGAAAGTAACCCTGGATGTTAAGGTAGGACTTAACATCCAGGACTTACCTGACTTAAATACATTTTGAGGAGAGTACCAAGCTTTTGTGCATGAAGGGAAATGTTAAATGAAAATCTTCCTTTTTTAAACACTAATTACCTGATTTACCTATTCTTTCTTTGAGTGTCCATTCTCTGTTATAATTAATATGTGTAAGGAAATGTCCTACCATGTTTCCATTTACATTTGCAAGACAAGATATGAAACATAAACTAACTTTGTTTTCAGTTTTAGGTTAGATAAATTTACAAATAATATATTTTCAGAAAGTAGCAATGTATATAGCAGCAGAATTTTTGCCAAATAGTTATAGTTACAATAATTTTCAAAAATTAAGGCAAAATATATTTTACTTTTTAGTAAATTATTATTTAAATATTCTCTATTATAGTTTTATAATTGATAGATGCAGTTAATTTTTGGTATATATATTTTTTCTTTTCTTTTCTTTTCTTTTTTTTTTTTTTTTTGAGACTGAGTCTTGCTCTGTCACCCAGACTGGAGTGCAGTGGCGCGATCTTGGCTCACTGCAACCTCCACCTCCCGGGTTCCAGTGATTCTCCTGCCTCAGCCTCCCAAGTAGCTGGCACGTACCACAATACCTGGCCACTTTTTGTATTTTTATTAGAGACGGGGTTTCACCATATTGGCCAGGCTGGTCTTGAACTCCTGTTCTCAGGTGATCCACCTGCTTCGGCCTCCCAAAGTGCTGGGATTACAGGCGTGAGCCACAAGCAATCGATAATTCACCACAATTTCCAACACGCTCACTAACTCCCTGACACTATGTAGGAAATATCCAGCCAGGCGCAGTGGCTCATGTCTGTAATCCCAGCACTTTGGGAGGCCAAGGTGGGTGGATCACTTGAGGTCAGGAGTTCGAGACCAGCCTGGCTAACATGGTAAAACCCTGTCTCTGCTAAAAATACAAAAATTAGCTGGGTGTGCTGGTGCATGCCTGTAGTCCCAGCTACTTGGAAGGCTGTGGCAGGCGAATTGCTTAAACCTGGGAGGTAGAGGTTGTAGTGAGCCGAGATCACACCACTGCACTCCAGTGTAGGCAACAGAGCAAGACTCCGCCTCAGAAAAAAAAAGGGGTGGTAGGGGGGGAATATCCACACTACTTTCCATTTCATTTGCACTAATATGAAGTTTTGCATCTCTATCAAAACTCTTAAGACACCAGTTTTTACTAATTAGCACACAGGATATAGTTGTGATTTGTTAGGTCTTACTTGCCCTGCCTATGTATGTATTTCCGTTGGCAATCCTTGATCTTATCGTATCTTATCATTTTTTAAATGAAGAAAATGAGGCCAAAAGAAGTGCAGTGATTTCTATAATGCCACTTTTTTTGGTAACTCCATAACTGATAGAATCCAAGACCTTCTACCATACTGGGGAGGGGGGCGAGGTGGGCCGGGGGGGGAAGCTACATAGATGATTTCACCGGAGTTCAAGGGAAAGCCCTCATTCTTTCTGCATGTTGCCAGTCACTCACTTCTAGCCAGAGTGTGAGTGCCTCGAGGCCACTGCCAAATGTAATAAGCTTTATGACAGTTGATCCCAAAAAGAAAAGAAAAAAATATATTAAAAAAGGGCAATTATCGGGGAAAAATAAAGCAAATTCATTGTAGGGAACTGCACAGGGATCAGAAATCCCATGGCATGAAGATGGTAAAAATGAGAGAGAGCAGAGATTATCAAGTTATTGAAAGTCTTACTGGAATCACACACATTTATAGACACACATGCAGTATAAGGAGAGAATAGATGAGTAGAAAGGGAATATAATATCCTAGCTGAATAATAATAACTTGACCTCCTAGAAAAGCGACAGTTCCTTAATACGATGTTAAATCCTTAATGTTAAAACATGATGTGTAGAAGTTGAGAGCATTGAAGTCAAGAACATTTTGTTTGAATACCAGGTCTATCAGTTACTAGGTATATAATAATTACTTAAACTTTCTTAGCCTATGCGCTCTCCTCTGTAAGACAGTCCTAATAACACATAGGACTATTTAAGAGTTTAAATGGGAAGACATCAAAAGCACTGAGCACAGTGGTAGCATATATAAATAAATATTTATGTTTTGTTAACACGGTCAGTACTGCCCATGATTGTGAACAGCAGCATATGGAAGCTGTTCCATGCAAGCCTAGAGATGGCTAATATCCATATCTATAAGTGTACCCAGAACTATGCAGGTACCTATACCTACTTCAATATCTATGTCTACACCTATATTTGTATTTATGTCTCTATCTGCATCATCAAGCATATGTCTTTTATAGTTTAATATAACAATGCTGATAGAGACCTAAGTCAAGAAAGGTTCATATGCCTCAAAGCCAAGCTCAATAACCAATACGAAAAATGTGAAAATCTCTGTAGGAAACAGAAGAATCGTGTCCTTGGTGGAGGAAACTGGAGAAGGCTAAGGGCTATAAGTGGGGACGTTCTGAGAGATAGTTCTGTAATAATGCCATCTCAGAGTGATAAGGGTAAAGTAATAACGAAAAAGGAAAAGGAATATTTCAACTTAATGATATTTCATAATATAATTATACAATATCATAAGACTTCAAAACAAAAACAGGCATAGAGGACTAAATAGAATATTTTGTACAAAAAATACATGACTAGAATCACGATAATAACATTTAATAAAATTGAAGACAGAGAAAAATTCTTAAAGATTATGGAAAGAAAAGAAGACGGTAATAACAACAAACAGATTATTTCAGAAAAGAGCAAGAATTAGACTGACAACCATCTTTGGAAAAATGACATTGGGCACAAAAGAATCAATGGAACTGTACTGTCAGGATGTTAAAGAAAAACTTTTTGAACCTAATATTTATTTATATGCCTGTAAACTATTGCTTAAATTTTAAAAGAAAGATATTTTAATATACTCAATTTTAAAAAAATACTTAGATGATATATTATAGCAAGAAGAATGATGACTTCAGGAGGATATTGCAATCTGGAAGTAAAGATGAATAAAGTCTTATGAAAATTCATTGTCTAAATAATTGATATATATTGTGAGGGGTAAGATGGGAAGAAAAGGGAGAGATGTGTTGTAAATTTCTTGTCTTGCTTGGATAAAAAAGGTAGATATTCAATATCACTAGATATTGGAAAAGAGTGTTAGCGTAGCTGTATGTTAGTAAGTTAGGTGACTGATCTGAGAATAAAACAGAATATTACATGTTCGTGTTGGCTAAGGAAAACTTAACCTGCCCAATGGAATATGCCAGTAAAAATAATAATAATAATAAATGAAGCATGAAAGCAAAATAAACTTTTAAAAAATAAAAGTATGCTGGCAGAAAACATGAAAAAATGATACAAATAATCATAAACCTATATGGGTTAAATGTTTCAGTGAGAAGAGAAAATATTTCTGATTAGCTATCAACTAAAATAAAATTCATGAACATTTGTGTAAAGTATGTATTTAACACAACATATAGACATATTGAGAATATATGACTTGGAAAAGACATCCACGTCAAATAAGTATACTGGGGTGACAATTATATACTAGGCAAATAGCATCAAAGCAAGACAATTATAAGAAAAAAATGTCCTTATACACTGTCAGGAAAAACGTCAAGTTGATATAATTGTCCCAAATACATATGCAGCTAAAGTTTAGCCTCGAATTGTTTTTTAGAGTGAAAAATAACAGACATTGTGTTAAATAATAATTGTAGTTGGAAATTTTTAACACAGTCCTCTCAGAAACTGACTAAAACAGGTTTTAAAATTAGCAAATATTAAGAACATACGAGTAAAAGTCAGTTTATTTTAGATAAGTAGGGATTTAAATTCAACAAAAATAAACACATTTTAAACTCCTATAATACATTTATTTAAAATAAATATATTTTTGCCAAAAGAAGTGTAAGTTCAAAGAGTTAACATACAGATTATATCCTATGAGATATAATAATATTAGAAACTGATATCCAAAGTAAAGCTTAATGTCACAGGTCTGAAAATTCAACAGTGCTTACAACAATAATACAGTTATTTAATACAGGGTTCTTAGATCAAATATGAAATTGTGAAAGTTTGCTATGTATAGTTTAATGACAAGTATATAATAACAAATATCTAAATCTTTCATCAACAGATGTCTGAATCTGTGGCCTGTTATAAAGTAAGGTTTAGACGAAAACTTTCAGTTTTTAATACAACAGCACTAAATACTTGGTATAGAACACATAGTAAACTCAAGAAAAAGGAAAAATACATAAAGAAATTACTAGAACTCAAGCAGACCAATAGAAGAAGAATATTTATTAAAAGTAAATTCTAGTTAATTGAAAAAAAAAATTAGCCAGATAAACTTGTAGCAAGATGATGAGGAGCAATAAAAAAATAGAAGTCCTACCAACAACATAAAGAATGAAATGCTGAGAAAATAGAGATAAAAACAGCGTAGAGAATATGAGCAACTGCATGTAAACAAATGTGAAAACCAGGATGAAATGGATAAAGTTATTTTTTAAAAAAAACTGTAAAGTGCAAACATTCCTGAAGAAAAAAAATAATTTATTGATATACCCATAACCGTAAATAAATGGAATTGCTGATTCTGCTCACTACCTCTCACTCCACCAAAATAAATACCTAAACGAGTGACTGCAGGCTGATTGAATGGACGAATACACAAATGAATGAGTCCCTGGACAAAAATATATTACATCTAAAGTTTATGACATGTTGTACTTCTAAGGATGTGATAATCCCCTTTGCCTACAAGGTGTTCCAGAAAATTTTGTAAAAAGAGGAAAAACTGTAACACTAATTTCAAGAAGGTGGTGTAGCCTTGGCATCAAAATGAGATGCACCGAACTCTGGTGTTGTGTCCAGCATTATCCTCCTGGGCATATGTCAAGGTCCATTGACCTGATCTCCAATGGCCTGCAACTGCAGACATTTTCTAAGGGCTTCTTCTAGCTGCTGGAGCCCACTTTACTCAGCCTCACAGCAGGGAGAAGTGCCAACAACCTTCAAACAATGACTGCTGGGGTTTTGTCTCCCTCACCCATCACATAGTGCAGGCCTCCAGAGTTCCCAGCAGGGTGACCGACTAGTTTTGCATAGTACTGATGTGCTTGATAACAAACAGTTACATGGCTGTCTTCCTGTCCTGGTCTCAGTTCCCAATAGTCTCTGCTAGTATATTCTGGAAGAACCTCCGAAAAAACTATACTTAATTCTTATCCCAGGGTTTTTGTCATTGTTTTTCTTGGGAAAGGCAATTGGTACCCAAAGTGTTCCCAGGAGGGAGATTGCCTGGCTGGATTCTGGATGTGGACCACTCCCTGCCTGTATAGAGCAGGCATTCCATTGATGGGATTATTGGAACAGCAGTGCCCCGGCATGTTATCCCATCACAATTGCTAAGGCTTTTGCCTGTGGAAAACTGGGATAGAAAATAGAACAGTGTGCCCTGGTTTATGTCTTATCTCTAGTGTTTCTATATTAAAGTCAGACTCTGATAGGGAAGAAGTAGGACGTTAAGACCTGGGGTGGAGACTCCAGGGTGGCTGTGCTTGAGAATGTTGAACGCTCAGATTCCCCTAAGTCCTTTGCATCAGCACAAGTGTCTCATCTACACCTGCTAGAGAATAGCAGCCTCCCCTCATCTCAAACCCAGTAATTCCCCATCCTAAGGCAAAAGCCATACAGGATAATCTATACTTGCTGTCCTCAAGATCTGACCTCACCTCCCTTGATTGATTCTAAACCAATTATGAGGTTCAAGTCTCAGCATGTCCTCACTGGGGAAATTCTGTTTCTGTCTGGGGAAAAAATAAAGATTATTAGCAGAACCTGAGAATGGATCTTGTGGGTGCTATATGCATTCAAAACCAGCATCTCTAGCAGATTCACTGAGAGCCATTATTTTCTTGAAGTTTCAAGGAAACCTCCCAGTAGTTTAATAGTAGTTTATTATTAGTGCTTACGTACTTCAGGTGTCCTTGCTTAATTCAATCCTGAGTCACAAGCAAGTTCCCCAACATCAAAAATATCTTACTGATGCCTATATTTTGTCCCCACCACCCCTGTATCCCAGCCTGGTAACTGCCTTTATATCTAGGTTTTGCTATTAATAGTAATTCTGTTACTATCAAGTTGAGTTCAGAAATAGGAAAATAGAACTAGTCATACTTTCTCACGCCGAACACATAGTTTATTATATTCACACACAGTTTTCTCCTTTTGCCCCACAAAACAATGTTACGTTCAAAGTTCAATGAGGCATTCCTCATAAAATTTAGATAGCTGGCATGACAATTCCTCATGAAACCTTATATACAATCTGAAAAATTGTCTCAACTTTAAAAATGGGAAAATATTTGTAACATTACATCTATAGAAGTTTATAGCACATGTTAGAGAAGATTCTCAAGAATTCCGGGTGATGGTCAAATTAATGCCCAATACATTATTTGTGGGAATCTGTGGTCATAACACTCACCTTAGTGAGTAGGTATTTATCTTTTGTTGTTATTTTGGTTTCTCCTGAATTATTTTTCAAAGTGACAAAGTCATCCAGGGAAGAACAAAGCTCATATATAAAATATTTTTTTTAGTTTTATCTTTTCTTTTCAATAATATTCTGTATTGAATAAACAAAGTAAATTTGCAAGGAAGTGAGAGAATGTTGGTGATATGGTTTGGCTCTGTGTCCCCACTCAAATCTCAGCTCAAATTGTCAACCCCATGCACATGTCGAGGGAAGATCCTGGTGGGAGGTGATTGGCTCATGGAATCCATTTCCCCGATTATGTTCCCGATGCTGTTCTCATGATAGGGAGGGAGTTCTCACAAGATCTGATGGTTTAAGCGTGGCAGTTTCCCCTGAGCTCTCCTTCCTGCTGGTATGTAAGGCGTGCTTTGCTTCCTCTTCACCTTCCGCCATGATTGTACATTTCCTGAGGCCTCCCCAGCCATGCAGAACTGTGAGTCAATTAAACCTCTTTTCTTTATAAATTAACCAGTCTCTGGTATTCTTTATAGCAGTGTGAAAATGGACTTATACAGTTGGGTTAATTCATGTAGAGTCAGTGTGCTGTACAAAAATACACTTCTTTTTTTTTTTATTATACTTTAAGTTTTAGGGTACATGTGCACATTGTGCAGGTTAGTTACGTATGTATACATGTGCCATGCTGGTGTGCTGCACCCACTAACTCGTCATCTAGCATTAGGTATATCTCCCAATGCTATCCCTCCCCCTCCCCCCACCCCACAACAGTCCCCAGTGTGTGATATTCCCCTTCCTGTGTCCATGTGATCTCATTGTTCAATTCCCACCTATGAGTGAGAATATGCGGTGTTTGGTTTTTTGTTCTTGCGATAGTTTACTGAGAATGATGATTTCCAATTTCTTATACAGCCACAGAATATGTTTTGCACAACCAAGACCAACTTAAATAGGAATATTCATAGTACAGATTACTTTTTTAAAATATTGTTTTCTGATAATTTAGGTCTGTAAAATAGGGAAAAGAATTAAATGAAAATATAGGTGTAAAGATAGATGATAGATGTGGATAAAGAGCTAGTAAATAATCTTATGTTGGAATTTAATACCTTATTTGTCTAGCATTTACTAAGTACCGTCCTATCCATGTTTTTGAAATAAAGGTTTTATCTTTACTTAGGAAACTTATGTATTACTTAAAAAGAAGAAAAGAAACGTGTTCTTACTCTTTCACCTAGGCTGGAGTGCAGTGGTGTGATCATAGCTCACTGCCTCTGCCTTCCTAATAGCTGAGATTACAAGTGTGCACCACTATGCCCAGCTTACATTACTTTAAAGATAAAATGCATTGCTCTTGTTACCCTCTGCAATAAGTATTTTTTATTATGTATTCTTAATGTATACCTTTAACTCATATTCTTTTATTTTAGGCATACAACTTAGGATTCATAACTACATATATACGGATAGAAGTGCATGAACAGAAAATCTGCCCTTCTGGAATACCAAATGCAAAATTAAAGTGACTACAAGCAGAATTTGGAGAAAAAAATAAAAGATGCAATATAGTTTTTAAAATCATTGTTAAAATATAATGAGTCTGTACTTTGCTTAAACAATAAAAAAGTCTTCGATTTATACTGAATTCTGTTTTATTTTGGATAAGCTAATAATCTTGAAAATGTCTTCTGTGTCATTTTGGTTTTATTCTAGTGAAACTCCCATTTATGTAGTGCAAATTATATACAAAACTGTGTTCCCTAAGGGGATCCCTTTAATAGAAACACCCAAACTCATTCAACTCTTGTCCTTTGTAGTAGCTATTTAATAAGTCTATGCTATACATTCTAGGAATATCTGAAATTATGAAATTTGTCAATTCTTCTTACAATTATGATCCTCAATATAACTCAGCATAAGTCTGACTGTGCTTCTGAAGTCAGTTAGTTTATTTACTGTTATCCATGCTTAGGTGGAGAGAGAATTTCCAGGTGCTCAATTACTCTGTGAGATAAGAATTTGTTAGCAACTCTATCAGGTCATCTTTTTAAATAAGTTTTAAGAGTACATCAGAGAAAAATAGGTAGCATGAAATCAGATTTGGCTGTTCTTTGTTGTAGGAAACTCCATTTGATAAAGAAAGCTAAGACATAACACATCGACACACAAAGAAGCTTACTAAATTTATCAATGGAATAAAACATGAAATCAATAAAAGTCAAACTCATCAAATTATTTTTCTCATTTAGATTCGTCTTGACATAAAACAAATGGATCATGATACATCCCAAGAGAGACTTAGGGTAGGGAGCACTTAAGGTAAACTCACTTTTAGAAGAGAGTTTATGAGGATGCCAGTTTTCAAGGATCATGATATCTTATTACATGTTTCTGTAACTTTCAAAAATTTATAAATTCCATAACTGGTTGATATACCTACCCCACTTTAAACATATAGGTACAATTAGTTAAAGATAATAAAGTAAAACAGGAAGATGTTTTAAGTGATCAGAATAGCTTAATAATCTATCCTAAGTGGGTGAATACAATTCTTGATAAATTGTCCTAAAAGGTGCTGGTGTATGCCCTTTAAAAAAACCTTTGTTTTCATTAAATTATAGAAAAACTAATATGTTGATTTTATTCTAAATTGCAGAATTAAGTGTCTAACAGATTTCTGATTAAACGTGCAAAGGATGGATATATTTTCGATAACTTTTATTTTTTAAAATACTGCATCTACTCTCAACTTTCAAGTAATATTTGGACTAAATATATAATTCTACACTATAATTGTGTAGAAATTTGATTTTTCATTGTAGTCCAGATCTCAGTTATTACTAACATTTCGTGCTGATTCCTAAAGCTTAGTAACTGTTTCTTTTCCCTGTGGTGACCTTAAGGCGTTTCTCAATTTTATTCAGAATGCAGTTCCCCAACATCTTTCAATCGGAAACTCCTGACTTTTGGGAAGATGTATCCTCAGATTGGTTTATGTTATGAATCTTGTTTTTGCCTATGTGCACTTTTAAAATGGTCTACAATTAGCATATTAATTGCGATGATAGAAAGTGAAATGTATCTGTTCATGTATGTCTTTAGCAGTTGCAGACAGCATTCCAACCCCAAAAAAGTGTCAGAAGTTTCTTTATTTTATTTTATTATTATTATACTTTAGGTTTTAGGGTACATGTGCACAATGTGCAGGTTACTTACATATGTATACATGTGCCAGTGTCAGAAGTTTCTATTTCTACCCATCGTCTGTTTTGAGTCAGTGAGGAAAAGTATTGGCATAAGCTTCTCAGCACAGAGGTGAGCTCCTCCTCACCTTTCCTTGGCAATCACTGAGTCACATACTCCTGCCTAAATTAGTCCCTGGTCAGGGAAGAAGAATCAAGATGAGTGGCAGAAAAATCAGATCCATTTCCTCTCTGTCCAGGGGTTTTTCGCTCTTCGTTTAGGACAGGAGCTGATGTAGGTGAGGGTCCAGTAATTAATGTGTGTGTTGCACATTTCCTACTTAATGAATGTTAGTTTCTACTTAGTTACCCTATTCTTTCCCTGCCATTGCATCCTGGGTATGTTGAGAGTGGATAATTTGTCTTGTTTCCCCTAGGGAAAGCAAAGTATAACGAATAATTTGGAATTTGATGGAGCAAACTATACACAGCCATGAGATCCCGAACTTGAAGCTGAAGCAGTAAAAGGGTGAAAACATGGGGATTTTGTGTGGGATGAGTGCATTTATTGTAAACATGTATTTTAATGTATGTATAGGATGAAGGGTATGAGTGGATGCTGTATATCTCTATTATTCTGTTTTCACACTGCTGATAAAGACATACCCAAGACTGGGCAATTTACAAAAGAAACAGGTTTAATGGACTTACAGTTCCACATGGCTGGGGAAGCCTCACAATTATAGTGGAAGGCAAGGAGGAGCAAGTCATGTCTTGCATGGATGGCAGCAGGCAAAAAGAAGAGAGCTTGTACAGGGAAACTCCCATCAGATCTCATGAGACTCATTCACTATCATGAGAACAGCATGGGAAAGACCTGCCCCCATGATTCAATTACCTCCCACAGGGTCCCTCCCACAATACATGGGAATTCAAGATGAGTTACGGGTGGTGACACACCCAAACCATATCAATATCTAAAGGGAAGTCGAAATAGGCATTGATAGTTACTATATAGTCATTAATTGCTCACTTTGTAGGTGCTAATTCAACCCCAATTTTTGAAGGTATTTATTTCTTTGCTTAGAATTTCAGCACAAACAATATTAAAATTCATGATGATAATGCTTTAACTGCTGCCAATGTTTGTGCTGGACACGATTGTAATTTTTCTAGGAAAAGTCTACCTTGATCTTAGAGAAACTAGAAAGAGATTTACTTTCTCTTTCATAACTGTTATTATATGAATCTTATGCTATTTCAACTGTGTTCCAACAATAATGTTATGGTTCTCTTGCAATCCTGAGTCTGAAGATCCAACCCACATATGGAGGAAAGAGGAAAAAGCCAAGAGAAGAACATCCATGATGACCCAGAGCCCAGGAATGGGGGACCTGGAGGCTGCCGGATCCCTGAATTTCCTGTTATTAAAAAAAGATAAAATTTCTCTATTGTTTAAGTCGTGATTAGCTGGATCTTCTTTTACATTTAACTAAAAGTTTCAAAACTGTAATCCTCAAAACAATATTCAAAATCTGCCTTTTGGCTTAGAAGTTTCTTTTGTCAGTGTATATATATGTCCACTAGAATGAGGCTATATTAAATTTATGTATCAACAGAATTAATCACTTAAAACATGAAAACATTATTTTTAGACAACATGTATTTAAAATGACATTTTTATTGACATCTAGTCAATACATAAGTAGTACACAAAGATTTATAAATATGGAGATAGTAGCATTTAAAGGCCATTATTTTATTGTCGCCAAAATAAGAGAAATTAGGAGAAACATAAAGTGCAGTCAATTTATAATCTCTATTCCAAATGAGAATCTATAATCTTTATATAGAACTAATCTGTTTATTTAAATGGACTATGGAAATTAGTTTTGTCAAAGGAGAGGAGGATAAAAATAACTTCTAAATAGCACACATGGAAAATGTGTGGCCATATATATGAAGAAATTATTTATCTGGTTTAACTAAAATATTGAAGAAGAAAATGAATGCAAAAAAGCATTTGTATAAATACAAAAATATTTTGCTAATATTACCACCATAAGGGAACACCTATAGACCTCATTTAAAATCTGTTAAGTAGACCAACAAAAGATATTTTCAATTACTTAAATGAAACAAGTACCTGGTTTGCTTTAATTTATACTTTGAATGCTCAAGTCAGTAAAAATAAAGCAACAGACACTTGTATCAGAAACAGCAATGCAGGGTTGGTTTAATCTTTGAACAAATCAGTGCAATTTCTCACATTAACGAAAAAAGGGAAAATTATTATTATTTTAATAGAAGCATAAAAATTACTAAGAAAATTTCAAAGGCTATCCCCAGTAAAAGCAAACTGGGAGCAAATTGGGAGTAAACTGTGTCTTCCTTAATGCAATAAATATATTAATGATAAAACTGTAGTGGTTGGCATTCCTAATGAAAAACTATTGAAATAATTTCTTTCTACTAGTTCAATATTGTGCTGGAAGTCTAACTAAAGGCAAGCAGAATAAAATGTAAGATTTAGACAAAGTTAAATAAAACTACCAATATTTGATGACAATATAATTGTGTGTATAGAAATTCCAAAAGAATTTACCAGTAAAGTATGACAATTAAGAAGAGTCAGTAGGCTGGGGGTGGTGACTCATGCCTGGAATCCCAGCACTTTGGGAGGCCGAGTCAGGTGGATCAAGAGGTCAGGAGTTCAAGACCAGCCTGGGAAACATAGTGAAACCCCATCTCTACTAAAAATACAAAAAAAATTAGCCAGGCCTGGTGACGGGCACCGGTAGTCCCAGCTAATTGTGGGGGCTCAGGCAGGAGAATCACTTGCACCTGGGAGGCAGAGGTTGCAGTAAGCCCATTGTACTCCAGCCTGGGCAACACAGTGAGACTCAGTCTTTAAAAAAAAAAAAAGTAAAACAAGGTCACTGGCTATAAAAATCAACATTAGAATTATATATGTGTATGTATGTCTGCAAGTAACATAATGCTTGCACATACACACATGTACACACACATAATAAAGATACAGTTTTAATAGCATCACAAATGTAAAATATCTAGGAATTAACCTGACAAAAAATATGCAAGGCTTTTACACAGAAAATGATAGAATATTATTGAGAGAACATGAAGAAGATTTTTTAAGCGAAAATATTTAACATTTTCATGGACTAGAAGACAATTTGTGAAGACATTAATTGGAGCCGATAACTTTATATATAGATCCAATGTAATCCTTACGAAAATCTCAACTATTTTGAGACAATGGCAAACTGATTTTAAAATTTAAATAGAAGTGTTACAAGCCAGGAATGTTCCAGTTTCTCCTGAAGAACAAGAAAGTGGGAGAGTATAAGTATCAAGATTATTATAAATCTGTATAATTGATACAGTGTGTTTTTAGTTCATGAAGAGAGAAATGTACCAATGAAACAAATAATAAGGTCTAGGAATAGATCCATGAACACAAGGTATAGTTGATTTGTAACAAACATAACAACAAAAACGGAGAAAATTAAGAGTCTTTCAAAAAATGGTGCTAATTATACAGGCTGAAAATAAAAAGAAAGTTGATCTCTCCCCAATATATATGAATAAAAAAATTTTTAAAAATAAAATTGTTAAGAGGGTAGGTCTCAATACAAAAAAAGTACCTTAAAAATTAAAAAAGAAAATATTGGAATGAGTAAACAGTTTTAGGTCTATTCTTCAAATGGTATGATACACAGCAATAAAATGGAACGTCAATTGTGAGTAAAAACATGGACAAATCTCATTAGCAATGTTGAGCCAAAGAAGCCAGACACCAAAGAATGTTCACTTTAAGATTCCAGTTGTGTAAAATTCAGAAAGAATAAAAATTTCCCATAGAGTCACAAGGCCAGAGAATGGTTTCCAAATAGCAGGATGAAGGCAATCAAAGAAATGTAATGGAGGTTTTTGGGGTGCTGGCAATATTTTTTTTTATATCAAGGGTTAAATAAATACTGTTTTGCTTTGTGATAATTTATTGATCTGGATATTTATTTTCATTCTGTCTATATTATGTTTAATGCTTTAATAAAAATATATTCACATCACAAAAAGTGGGAAAAAGCGTGAAGTATTACTACAGACAAAGCAGAACTAAAGTAATTTGACAAAAGTATAGTAAAAGTGAGCAGCAAAACTGATTTTTTAAATTTAAAATAGCCAGAAATTCAGTCAAAACTGACCATTCTGACAAACCAGAAGATACATAATAAAATATGCAAATTATGAGATAAAATGGGTAAAAACAAAAGCTAGAGATAAAAAAAGAAAAAGAAAAGCATCCTTAGGACTGGAAATCTGAAATCTAGACTGCATAGTAAAATATAAATGACCATATATGGTCCGAAAACACATTACAAAGCTGAATAGGCCAATAAAGTGAGAAAAAATAGAAAAGTTTGTTAAAAATTATCCTCTTTCAATATGTCTCTTCCTTTCCAAAATAATTTATTAGGTTCAGCTACTTTTATGAGGAGATTTATATAATATTCAAGAAATAGTTGACTTTTAGTTTAAAATTTTCTTCATGTGAAGAAAAAAATTTTAAACATCACAAACTTCCACAAAAAGAAGCAGACTCTTCAAAAAATGCACTTTATCTTTTGGAATGGATTCAGATTTAAAGAAACATTACCAAGACAATATAAAGAGTTCCTGCATTGTCCTCACCCAATTTTTCTTAATTTAACATTATATATTACCATGATACATTTCCAAATTAAGAAGGCAGTATTGGTACATTAATATTAAGCAATCTCTATACTTCATTTGATCTTAATAGTTCTTCAAGAATGCCATTTTTCTCTTCTGCAATCCAGTTCATGATACCAGGTTGCATTTAATTATCACGTCTCTATTCTCTGTGCTAGTTTCTCAGACTGTTATTCAGGACCTTGACAGTTTTGGTGGGCACTTGTCAGAGATTTCATAGAATGCACCTGAATTTAGGTTTGTCTGATGTTTTCTGCCATGATCTCACTGAAGTTATGGCTCTGGGGAAATTCCAGAGGTGAGGTGCCATTTTTACCACATCATATTAAGGGATGCATGACACACAACATGTCTTATGTGTAATGTTTAATTTGTTATGGTAACATTTAATTTTATTAAACTGCTTAGCGTTTTCAGTTTTCTTCACTATAAAGTTATTATTTTCCCTCTTTCCATACTCTGTTCTTTGTGAGCCTCTAAGTTCTGCCCACCTTCAAAGAGTGCAGGTGGGAATATTTAGCTCCTTCTGGAAGCGGAATAGCTACTTATACTATTTGGAATTTTTCTGTAAGGGAGATTTGTCTCTTTATCTACGTTTAACTGTTTTTTCAATTTTTTATTTTGTGTTTTGCATATATTTAATTTATACTTCAAGTTATAACTTAATACTGTGTTATTCATTGTGTTTCTTATGTCACTTCACCTTTCACTACTGGGACCTCTCTCAAGTTGAATTCTTTGTCTTTTTGACATGCACTTAACTTTCCTTTCCTAGTTCCGAATACTTCTACTCTTTCTGGAAGAAGATGCTTCAAGCTCCATCGTGGATTCTCCCTGACCTAGTCCTATAATCAGTTGTTTGTTTAAAGAGAGCTGGTTCGGCCGGGCGCGGTGGTTCACGCCTGTAATCCCAGCACTTTGGGAGGCCGAGGCGGGCGGATCACGAGGTCAGGAGATCGAGACCATCCTGGCTAACACGGTGAAACCCCATCTCTACTAAAAAAACACAAAAAAATGAGCCAGGCGTGGTGGCGGGCGCCTGTAGTCCCAGCTACTCGGGAGGCTGAGGCAGGAGAATGGCGTGAACCCGGGAGATGGAGCTTGCAGTGAGCCGAGATCGCGCACCGCACTCCAGCCTGGGCGATAGAGTGAGACTCCGTCTCCAAAAAGAAGGAAAAAAAAAAAAAAAGAGAGAGCTCGTTCATTTCATTGGAGAAGGATATTAGAATCCCAAATATGAAAGTAAATGTGCTCTTTGCTATTGGGATGCCGATTCTTCTAGGTCTTGTCACTGGACAAGACTCAAAAATCCTTGTGTATATGGTATCCCTTGTATACACAGCCCTACAACCTCCGCATCTAATCATCTGTATGTAAATTGAGCTAAACAAGCGTCCATACTGATGTCTCCAACTCTAATCCAGTGTCACAGGGTTCATATTAGCCTTCTGCTCTTTATCTCGAATCCTTCCCCACCCCCACGGTACTGAGCAACTCAGTTCCTTTTCCCTCCATCCCCTGCAGGAAGGTTATATTATAATTATAATGTAGTTAGAGTCATTTGACACAGTCTGTATTCCACAGTCTGACATCCTGGATGTGACGGCTAATTTTATGTATCAACTTGACTAGGCCATGGGCTTCCTAGATATTTGGCAAACACTATTCTGGGAGTGTGATACAGTTTGGATATTTATTCCCACCCAAATCTCATGCTGAACTGTAATCCCCAGTGCTGGAGATGGGGCCTGGTGAGAGATGTTTGGGTTATGCGGGCAGAGCCTTTGTGGCTCTGTCGTGCTGTCTTCACAATAGTACATGAGTTCTCATGAGCTCTGGCTGTTTTAAGTGTGTGAGACCTCTCCTGCATATACTCGTTCTCTCTCTCCTGGTTTTGCCATGTGAAGTGCCTGCTCCCACTTCACCTTCCACCATGGTTGAAACCTCCTGAGGCTTTACCTGAAGCCAAGCAGATGCTAGCATCATGCTTACTGTCCAGACTGCAGAATTGTGAGCCAATTACACCTCTTTTCTTTATAAATTGTCCGATCTCAGGTATTTCTTTATAGCAATGCAAGATGACCTAATACTTTGTGTCTTTGAGAGTGTTTCTGGAAGAGATTAATATTTGAATCAGTAGATATTTGAAACAACAGATTACCCTCCCTAATGTGAGGTGGTTTCATCTGATCAGTTGAAGACCTAAATAGGACAAAAGACCGTTTCTCCCCTGAGAAAGAGAAAATTCTTCCTGCCTGACTTCCTTCAGACTGGGACACCTTGTTACAGTTCAAGGTGAGATTTGGATGGGGACTCGAGTCAAATCATATCAAGGAGTGATACTAGAATTTATTTCTTCAACAAATATTTACTGAATATCTTCCATGCACAAGGTACAGTTTTAGATGCAGTGTTTGCTGTGGTTGAAAAGACAGAAGGATCATTCTAGAAAGAGATGTAACAAAAAATAATCACATAAATGAGCAAGATAACTTCAGTTGGTATTAGTGCTATACAGGAAATGAAATAAGGGGCAGAGTTGAAAACCGACATATGTTTTATAGTCTGTTACTGTAGTTTTCTAGCATACGAAATAGATAGTTGGTTAATATACAATTATCATTGCAAATAGTCCTTTGGGTTCAATAATACTCAATGCAGCATTTAGCTATATTCATAAAGCCCTAAGGTGAACCTCCATTTCGCTCCTATTTTATGCAGATACTTAGATCAACGGGCTTTATCTGAATTAGATTTCACTTATTAGGGCTAAGAGGGCAAAAGAGTGAAGTAAGTTGCTACTACAGTTGTCCTCTGTGGATTTTGCCACTCAATATCCTTTCATCTTTTTCCTGGTAAAAGCACCCTGATGTTTTTCTGAGGAATCATGTTCCCCATTGTTATTCGATAAGCATTGTAGAAATTTGGTTTCACTCCTGATTCCATGGTTACATGGATTTGTGGTCATGCAACTAATGCATTAAATTTGATGGTTAAAGTAACTGATCACAACATGCCACCAAATCAGGCAAATGAGATATAATGACACTATTTACACTATTTCTATCAAATATTCAGATCGACGCCATTGGTCCAGGTATCTGCATAAAATAGCAGCCAAACTGATGTTTATCTTAGGGCTTTACTATATATCTAAATGGTCTGTTGAGCGTTATTGGACCTATTGAACTATTTCGTTATGAAAAGACATTATATCACTAGATTATAAAGCTATATCATATGAGATATTAATAATATAGGTTGGCTTGAAAAGAAGCAGGCAGCTTTTGAGGCTGCAAGCTGTCACAGAGGAAGGAACAAGCCTGGGATGGCAAGGAGTGGCAGAGTAAAACCAGTGTAGTGAAAATCAGAACGCAAGAAAATCATTCCAAATAATTTCAGCATCTGAATTAAATTGTGCCTAAAGTCTATTCCTGCGTTTTTAGTTTTAAAATAGGTTCAATTTCAGTTTTTAATAGGTCCAATTTTTAAAAAGTTAGTTTGCACAGATTTATCCTTACTTGCACAGGAAAGAAATCCTAACTGATTTAACACTATTTAAAGCATTTTTGTCTAATAAAATCTAGTCGCAGTCATGTTGTGCAGATGTTGTAGTATAGAGTCTAAACTCTAGTTTCTGTCCTGCCAGGAGGTGGACTTGAAAATGAAGAATACAGATAATCCATTGGTTGTTGTGTTATGTGGTATCTTTTTTTCACCTGTTTTTCTGGGTTTGAAATGTTTGTTTGAACTGAATTTTTTTTAACTGTGGAAAGGAATATGAAGCTCCAAATCTACTTTCTTAACAAACTTTGAAGTGTACAGTACAGTATTTTTGCAATAAGCACTACGTTGTACAGCAAATCTCTAGAAGATTTTTTACCTCTCATAACTGAAACTCTATGCCCACCGACCAGCAACTCCCATTTTCCCCTCCTTCCACAGCCTCTGGTAGCCACCGTTATTTTCTACTTCTATGAGTTTGATTACTTAAGATAACTCAAGTAAGTGGAATCATGCAGAATTTGTCTTACATGACAGGCTTCTTTCCATTAGCATAATGTCCTCAAGTTTCACTCATGTTGTTGCATATGACAAGATTTCCTTATTTTATAAGGCCTAATGATATTCCATTGCATGTATACTGCATCCTTTTTTAGCCTTTTATATGTCCATGGACATTTAGGTTGTTTCCACTTTTTGGCTATTGTGAATATTGTTGGAATGAACATGGGAGTGCAAATATCTCTTTAAGATCCTGTGTTCAATTATTTAGAACAAATATCCAGCATTGGGATTGCCACATCCCACTGTAGTTCTATTTTTAATTTCCTGAGGAGACCCCATACTGGTTGGCTTAGATACCATTTTACATCTCCACCAACAGTGTACCAAGGTTCCAATTTCATCACATCCTCACCAACAATGTTATTTTCTGCCTTTTTTAAAAAAGTTATTTTATATAATGGCCAGCCTAACAGGTGTGAAGTAATGTTTTATTCTATTTTGTATTTGAATTTCTCTGGTGATTAATGATATTGAACATCTTTTCATATACCTGTTGTTCATTTGTATGTCTTCTTTTAAGAAACGTCTATTTAAATTCTTAGTCCATTTTTAATTGGGCTATTTGTAGGGTATTTTTTTACTGTTGCATTGTACAAATTTAATATCTAAATTATATATTTTAGATATTAGCCCCTTATCAGATATGTGGTTTGCAAATATTTTCTCCCAATCCACAGGTTGCCTTTTCACTCTGTTGATTGTTTCCTTTGTTGCACAGAAGCTTCTCAGTTTGTGCAGTCATGCTTTTCTATTTTTCTTTTATTTCCTGTGCTTTTGATTTATACAGGAATAACTACATATAGCATTTATGAAAGCAGTATCTTTCTTTTGAATAGCATATATTTATTTGTTTGTATTGAAATCATTTAGTAATTATTAGAAACCATGAACTCTTCTAAGCAACTCACGTATCTTAACATATAAAAATGATAACCCTGTGAGGTATGTGTATTTTATTCAAATTTTCCAGATGAAAACACTTGGGCACAGTGAGATTGAGTGATATACCAAGAAGCAGATTCAAACAAAAGCAGTTTTGCTGCAGAATTAATATATTTAAAGATTAGATCACATTGTCTTTCCACAATATTATCACTTGTTTAATTAAATAAATAAATGACTGTATTAATGTATGCATGAATTAATGGTTAAATGAGTGAAAAGAGTAGTGAGATTATAATAAAATACGACTTAGAAGTGACGTTTATCTCTTCAAATATTCAATTAATAGAATTTCCATTTAGAAATATTTTGGGAATAAGAACCAATTTTGGAAAATTGAATTAACAAAAATATCCTTTATGTAAGTCAGAAGGAAATTCCATTATATGCTTATTTCAAGAGATAAAGTATCTCTAAGTCTTGGTGATTGATGAATAATTGCCTTTTTTAAAATAGGAACACTCAATTTTGAGGCATGAGACGATAGTCTGTTATATTTTTGTTATTATAATATCTGCCTGGAGGCAAACCCACAGCAAATATAAGTATTCTCATATCCATATTTATAAAGACATGTATAAAAAGATGGCTTCATGGCCACTTTGAACATGAGAGGAAAAATTTAAGGATAAAAATATGCTGAGAATGGCAGTATGGAAAGGTTGAAAGATTCTGATTGTTGATGAAACAGTTGGGCTGTTGAAATTAACTCTAGAATTTTTAGTAAGTGAATAAAATATGCTACTGTTGCTTAAGTCAAATGTTATTTTTCCATAAAATGCATAATTGTTCTCCAATGCACACTAAAATATTAAATCTGATTGTACAGTTTAAAAGGTTGTGTTTAGATTCATCTGTATGGAAATTCAACTTTTGGTAATAAAAAAACACTTCAGACACATAGGTGCCTTAAGGAACTAACCCATGAAACCCATAAAAAAGTGAGTTATGCATTAGAGAAATAAAACATCAAATACATTCATTGCAGCTGGTAATACCAGAAGTCACATCGGCCTTCTTCCCTTCCCTTTTTAAAAAACATCCATTTCAGGAATTTTCAATGGTAAAAATATTGTTATAAACGGAGTCACTTCTGAAGGATGCATGTTGCAAAGACTTGCTGGAAGAGGGACCAGGTGTCTGGAGAAGCGAAACAGGTGGAGGAGAAGGAGGTGGAACCCGCCAGTCAGGACTAAAACAGGCTGAGGCCTTCACATATGTGTGTTCAGGAGAAACATGGGTAGGATGGGAGCAAGCTGCAAAACTCCTTCCTCTCTCTTTCATATTCACTCTCAAGAAATATGCTCATGTTTATGACATAATGCCTTCCTATTTTCACATTTAAAATTACTGGGTTTGTTCATTTCAGATATATTGAAGTGTAAAAATGAAAAAAAGCAGATAAGCTAATTTTGATCTCTTTTATTTTCTTTCCCTGTCACTATTGCCTAAGGACAATTTCTCATATCTGGTGAGAAGATGAATGATAGAACTGAATATTTATTTAATTTCACAGACTACAGAAGTCATGCATGGACTGCAACAATGTAGCAGCTCAAAACTGCATTTATCCATTCCATGTTCTATGTTCAGTTATTAATCTGTTATATCAAAATCTAATTATACTAAAATTTGGACCGAACAAACTTTGGACCACTGATGAGACTAGTCCATTGTGAGAACTTGGAATGAATAAAATGTAAGAAAGAAAATGGCATTCTGTTTCCAAATTTTTTTTTGGCTAGAAAACAAAGTAAAGACAAATATCTATTCCAGTTATTGGAAACTTCATATAACTTTATATAACATTTGATAATTCTTAACTTGAAAGACTGTGATTCTGCAGTTGATCTGGGACTCCATTAAGAGAGAGTCTCCATGTCCCTACAAAGGACAACATCGCACACCCGGGCCTGATGTGGGGTGGGCAGAGGGGGGAGGGATAGCATTAGGAGATATACCTAATGCAAATGATGAGTTAATGGGTGCAGCACACCAACATGGCACATGTATACATATGTAACAAACCTGCACGTTGTGCACATGTACCCTAAAACTTAAAGTATAATTTTTTTTAAAAAAGAGAGAGTTTCCTTGAACTTATCTTTAAAAATATATTTAATTTTATCCATAAAATACATGATCATAGATAAAAATAGGCCAGGTGCTGCGGTGGCTTACACCTGTAATCCCAGCACTATGGGAGGCCCAGGCAGAAGGATCACTTGAGCCCAGGAGTTTGAGATAAACCTGGGAAACATGGTGAAACCCCAGTCTCTACAAAAAATAAAATAAAATAAAATAAAATAAAAAATAGCCTGGTGTTGTGGCATGTGCCTGTAGTCCCAACTACTTGGGAGACTGAAGTGGGAGATCACCTGAGCCCAGGAGGTCAGGACCACAGTGAGCCATGACTGTGTGTCTCACTGCACTGTAGCCTAGTGGACAGAGCAAGACTGTGTCTCAAAAATAAAATGAAATAAATAAAATAAAAATTAAATTAATCTTGAAAGCCTTTTAAAATATCCCCATCTTCTTTTCCCCTATGTTTCTTTCCCTTTGAGTCAATAGATTTGTCATCCTTTAGATTTTCTTTTGGTAGTTACGTATCTTTAAAGCTAAACAGATTACTATATATTGATATCTCAAGTTTTGACACTACCTATTTGCTTCTTGCTATGAGGGACAAGAATTTAGCTACTGTTCACCACACACCGCCTCCCCTGCTTCATCCTTCAGTGAGATACAGAGTATATTCAATTAAACAAGCAATGAATATTTAGTATTTAAAACAATATGATTGTGTAAATAGTGTTCACTGAAAAGTCAAATACTACATCATGATTACATTTCTTTCACTTAAAAATTTTTGCTTTTCACTAGGGTTTCTGACTGGTATGGTTTGGCTGTGTCCCCACCCAAATCTCATCTCGAATTGTAGCTCTCATAATTCCCACAGGTCCTGGGTGGCACCCGGTAGGAGGTAATTGAATCATAAGAGAGGGACTTTCCCCAGCTGTTCTGGTGTTAGTGAGTAAGTCTCATGAGATCTGATGATTTTATAAAGGGGAGTTCCCCTGCACACATTATTTTGCCCATTCACCCATTTGGTTTTTAAAAGGACCCTCTGTTTCCTGTTTCTTGTGTGTACTGCACATTTGGCATTTGCTGCTCTCCCAGCTTCCTTCTCATCCCTAGCTCTATCCATGATGTTTTTTTTTTTCCAAGAAATTCTTTTATCTCACTTTAACATAATGTAATTTCTATGGAACTGCCCCAAACTTCATAACAAGAAGGGGAATCTGGATAGTTAAAATTATTTACTCTAGCTAATTCACCTTCTCTCTCTCTCTCTTTTTTTTTTTTTTTTTTTTTTTTTTGCCTAAGTTACTAGCTTTGGCCAGGAAAAGAAAAAGTCAGACTTTAGACTACTGTTTTTAGACAACTGTTTTGATTTATATATATTTATATATGAAAAAATATATATATATTTGTGGGAAAGAAGCTCTTGCCTTTCATGAACACGAGGCTAAGAAGATGTTGTGTTGTGTCTGTTGCATTCACTTGCAGTCGAAAGATTAAAAGAGACAGAACTGAGTCAAGAAGTGAATGAGAAGACAGTTAGCCAAAAGATGGAAAGAATCAATTGTAGGTGGAATTGCTTCAAATTCAAACCAAACTTGCCCCTAAACATCAACACTATACAAATAGGCCGGGCGCATTGGCTCACATCTATAATCTCAGCACTTTGGGAGGCCGAGGCAGGCAGATCATTTGATGTCAGGAGTTTGAGACCAGCCTGACCAGCATAATGAAACCCCATCTCTACTAAAAATACAAAAATTAGCTGGGCGTGGTGGCAGACACCTGTAATGCCAGTTACTTGGGAGCCTGAGGCAGGAGAGTCACTTGAACCTGGAAGGTGGAGGTTGCAGTGAGTCGAGATTAAGCCACTTCACTCCAGCCTGGGCAACAGAGCGAAACTCCATCTCAAAAAACAAAAACAAAAACAAACACTACACAAATCAATAAAGAATTTTCCTGCCATTTCGATGATGATATTGATGATTATAATGAACTGCATATGCTAGTTTGTATTTGGTTTTCAGTAATTTAGAGTTAAAAGTGACCTAATTGATACATGTGATCTAATATTTTTTGGTTTAATTGGCTGTTTATCTGGAACAAATATCATGTAATTTCCTGGGAAAAGGTTGCAAGGCGAGAAATTTTCTGAGTTCTTCCATGACTGGAAAATCCTTTAGTGGATATTGATTTCATTGATAGTCTGGTGAGGTATAAAATCTTAAATTAAAAATAATTTTCTCACAGCATTTTGAAAGAATTTAGAGTTAAGGTACTTCAGAGTTAAGGTTAAAATATTATTAGACTTTATTCTGTGTAATTGCATTTTTTAAATTTCTAGAAGTGTTCAAAATGCTCTCAATATTCCAGATTACATGAAATTTGATGAGAATGCTCTTTGTTACATTTTAGTTTTTCTTCATCTAGCTAAAGTATCTCAGTGTGTACTTCCAGTTGAAAACTTACTCATATATTTGTTTGCCCATAGTTTGTTTTATATTTCTAACAATAAGGTGAGAAAAAGATAGTAGGACATCTGGGTACATTTATAAGATGTGTCTATTGTCAGATTTGTTCTAGAATTATTGGAAGCAAGATAAATGTAAATATTCTGAGAAATAACCAAATTTCAGACTGTGGATTGCTTTTGTAGAAGACAGTTTAATTTCCCCAGGGATGAAACCTTAAATTTCATGTCTGGGCAATGGGAAGGAGATAGACATGAGGCAGGCAAACCTCTGTGCATGAAGATGGAGAATGACAGCATACAGTCATATGTGTAGACTTAATTAATTCTCCTCTTTTCAGTTCTGATGAAGTTCCACCCCTCTTTGTACCTTGCATCTGTGGCACTAAGTAAAGTTGAAGGGTCAGATACTGGAAGAAGGGATGGAAAAGCTAAAATGCTAGGGCGGACACTGTGTAAGAATGGAAGAGCTGCAGATGGTTATGATCCACCAGAAAGCCTGCAGGATAACTATATTATATGGAATGAACTGCTGCAAGAGCACCAGCATCTCTGAATGTTTGGTTGTGGCTCTCTTCTTCACACCAAGGCAGATGGTAAGAAATGTCATTACAGAATTAGGCAAACTGATAGTAGTGGGAACAAGAGGACCCTAGAACAACAGAGACCAGGTGATTAGAAGGTCACAATGACCGTAATGGTTTAGGAGGGCAGTAGCCAAAAAATCTGATCCACTGAAAGTTGTGGAGATGATAGAGCACAGCAACCCTGAAAACAGCATGGGTAGAAAGCCAGCAGGGTGCTGCTGAGCTTGTACTGTCAGGAGAAATCGAGGAGATATGACCAAAATTCTGAAGGCAGTTGCCCAAAAGTGTTAACATCCTTTTCTTGATTTCTGGATCTGAGTCAGTTTTATGAACTGGAACTCACTGACTGCAGGGGAAGCCATGTTCCCAGAGGGAAGGACCCACACCATCACAATCAGAGTGCTTGGTAAGGAGTCCGCAGGCCTTGCCCAGGGGCCATAGCCATTTCCTTGGGTGAATGCCTACTCAGCATGTTAGTTTGCGAAGGCTACTGTAACAAACAACCACCAACTGGAATGTTTAAACCACAGAAATGTAAGTAACCCCAATCCATGGGTGAGAAAAAAAAATAAGCCACAGAAATGTATTGTCTCGCAGTTCTGGTGGACAGAAGTCCCAAAATCAAGGTGCCTGGATCAGTTCCTCCTGAGAACTGCAAAGGAGAATCTGTTGTAGGGCTCTTTTCTTCTTCTGGTGGCCACTGAAATCTTTAGTGCATCTTCGTTTGTATCATGGAAGCATCATCCTCTTCTCTGCCTTCATCTTCACATTGGGTCATCTTGGTGTGTGTAACTGTGTCCAAGTTTCCACTTTTTATAAATACACAGTCATATTGGCTTAAGGGCCCACCCTACACCAGCATGAGCTCATTTAAACTTTTTACATCTGCAATGACCCTGTTTCTAAATAAGGTCAAAATCTATGGTGCTGGGGTTAGGACTTTAACATATTAATTCTGTGGAGGACCAAAATTCAACCCCTAATACTGGAAAAAAAACTGATAACAAGTATTGTGAGGTGTGCTGGATACAGGGCACTTGTCAACATTGCAATCTGAAGACCCCAAGCTTAATCATGGCCCCAGTTAGAATGGAGGCACATGGGAGCCAGATAATAAATGGGTTTTATTGAGGGTGGTCCAAGCAGAAGTCTGAGAAACTCCCCTCCACTGTCAGCCGAGAGAGCAAATAAAATAATATTGCACTGTGGTCATAGGGATGCTGAGTCAGCACTGATTTTCAGGATCTAAATCCTGGGAAAACTAACTATGGCCGTGAGTCTTTTATTGTGGGGCTAACAAGTGAAGAATGATTTTTACACTTTTAAAGAATTGTAAAAACCAACAAACAAAGAATATATTGCAGAGACTACACGTGGTTCCCAGAGCCTAAAATATGTACTTTTTTATTTATCTTTACAGAAAAATGACTCTGCCACCCTGATTTAAATGATTCAAGACCCCAACACATTTCTGTTTAATTGACCATCTGGTCAATGTAGACAAATGGTGGATCCTGGAGGGTGACAGTGCACTGCTGTGGACCCTGCTAAATATTAACCCCAATGGCTAGAGCAGATAAACACGGCACAGTTACACACCATTCTACCATTGACAGGTCAAATATATTAGTTCCTGTTCCATCAGAAAAGAGGATGATGTCAGCAGACAATATCCAGCTATTACCTCATTCAGGATTTTGCCTCAGCAGCAGTGAGCTGCCTCTCCTGTTGTAGCCCACATCCAATAAATAATCTAAAGCCAGGTTATAAAGGCTTGGCCGTTTCAAGCCTGCACAGGACAACTCTGTCTAGCTGGCTATGCTCCAGCTGGCCCCAAGGCTTGTTGAACTCGCATCACACTTCGCTTTTTGTCTCTGAGCAATCTGCTTTACCATCTTCTCTCTGGCACTGCTGGCTGTTGATCCCTAATAAATATCTCCCACATCACACTGGATCTCAGCTTCCACTTCCAAAAAAGTCATTTTATAATGGTCACCAGTTGGACTGCAGTAATTCATAAACTTCTGCTCTGATTTTATAATATAGCAGTTAGTATTACTTTAATAGAAAAAATTAAAATATATTTAATTCAATTGAAGAAATAATATGAAGAAATCAAAAACAGGCAAATAGATAAATATTTAAATTAAGTCAAGATAGTGGATCAAAACTATACTGCATTGCAGCAGTAGGGATGACAGAAGTTAGCACCAACTTTAAGGATCTAAATTGGGGTAAGCTGGCTACAGCCGTGGGTCCCTGGCTTGTTATTGGATGACTGATGAGCAAAGAATGGTTTTCATATTCAAAAGTCAAAGTAATGACTTGTATTAAGTCACAGGAGTGAATACTTTTATACTGTAGGAGTTTGCGCTTCTTGTCCTCCCTTTGACCTAGGTCCAGCCATGAGGTTTCTTCCTTTTCCTGTCAAATTCCCCAATTAACCTGATTGTCCATGGTGAGATCAAACACAACCTTGAAGCCTTCATATCTACTTTATATAATCCTATTCTTCCCATTATCTTTAGTTTGAACAACAAGTAGTAATGCTCCCACTCTAAAGAAAAATCAAGATTTTTATGAACATAAAAAGTTTTCAAATATATAAATACTAGTTCATGGTTATAAATGTGAAATGTCTTGGCCATTCCATTTCCATGTTTTCTCATACATGTTATTTGCACAGAAAGTAGTGTGCTTTCACCTGGGGACAATGTTCCCGCCTCAGAATTGCCAACGTACATGAAAACGATTACCCTGACATCCAAGAGAAAGGCGATGACAGACCTTGATCACATAATTTTCCAAATAGCATAAGCTGTTTATTTCTTTTTAAACATTGAGAGAGTGTCTTGTTACATTGTTATTGAATTGCTAGTAGAGTCTTTTTTTGTCTCTTTGAACTGAAGGAAAGACAATTCATAAACGATGTGACTTACATGGAAGATATTTTGTCTTCGTTTGGTTTTAACTTTTCCTTTTTCAGGTAGGTGCCACAGGAATGAGCTAGTAATAGGTTTGAAAAGGATGCAGAAACCAAGCAGCCCTGTGATCTGAGCCATAACCATGTAGCTGCAGGCATGCAGGCATTTGGCCGCAGCAGGCTGGAGTCATGAGAATGCATCCAGGACATACAGATTCAACGAGTGTGCGAGTTTTTTTATCTTGTTGTGTCAGCCAGATGAGGAATTAGTTTGGAAGAAGAACATTTTATCCTACTGATATCCATTATGTTTTAAATGTTCTCTTCATTTTGACCAAAGTACAACCTCTTTGATGAGGATAAGCTACACAAGCAGATCTCCTCCGTATTATAAAATTCTAATTAAATGCAGTTAATTGAAAAATTAACCAAGTTTTTATTTGGCAGATTGTATGACTAGAGCATTTTAATTAAGTGGAATTTCCAGGGGATATTGATGATAGCATTTTGTTTTAAATTGAGAACAAAATCTTTTTACCCCAAGAGAATGAAAGCAGCATATAGAGACCATATTTCTTTTTCATTAAAGAACAATGACGTTGAATCTGTTTATAGGGCTTTGCAGTACAACAGATGACTGCTGTATATTAGTCGTTAGCCTCTAAAGCAGTGAGAAGATTTCTGGCAGACATAGGTAGAAGATGGTTTGTGAAGAGTTGGCTGATTCACAGTTATTCAACAAAGTCTGTAATTGCAGCAAATATATTCATCTTATTCTGAACCTGCATCTGCAAAATGGGAATGAAAAAGTTCAACATAAAAATTCTTAGCAATTGGTTTTTAGACCAAGATGTTTCTTTACCTTTGTTTGCTATTTTTGTACATGCCTCTCAAATTGAAGAATTAGTTAAAATAACCTGATATATGCTATGATCATTATTTTGAAAAGCATAAAACATTCTTTGTAGCTGCATTTTCATTCATTCTCACCACATCTTATTTTTTTCGTCTTCCTGTCTTTGCTAGGGAGAAGTCAAGCACTTTTCTCTGTCTTCCCTGCATTTTCAATGAGGAAAGTTAAGACTGGAAAAGTGAAGTGACTTAATCACGACAAACGTAGAATTAAATGATGAAGGTAGAGTGGAGGACATTTCAACTCTACCCAGAGATTTGAGCTGTGGGAGAGGAGGGAAAGAAAGGACCACCATTCAAAGAACTTCTGTCAAATGTTCACTGTTTTAAAGACGCAATAGGTCTCAGTTGACGTAAGAGACTACAAATTGTACGCTAATATTCAAGCATTGATTTGGATAAATAAACGGGTGGCCTTCTAGTAACATAAATAAAAATGAAATTACATAATTGTAATAAGATAAAATCAACTAAGCTAAATTATTTTATTTCTTTTTCTTTCCTTTAGTTTGCTTTAATAAGAACCCCTATGAACACGAAGAATTATTATTCATATTTAGTGCCAAAACATGAAGCATTATTATGGAGACCAGCCTGACCAACATGGTGAAACCTCATCTCTGCTAAAAATACAAAGATATTAGCCAGGCGTGGTGGCATATGCCTGTAGTCCCAGCTACCTGGGAGGCTGAGGCAGGAGAATGGCTTGAACCCAGGAGACTGAGGTTGCAGTGAGCTGAGATCATGCCACTGTGCTTTAGTCTGGGCGACAGAGCAAGACTCCATCTAAAAAAAAAATAAAAAATAGTACTTAAACGAGAGTTTATTCATTAAAAGTTATACGTTGTCAGAAATATTATAGTTATCCTTTAGCATATTATAGCTAAAGAGGTGATTGCGAGCTTCATGCTGTATCTATGGAAACGGTATAGGCTTATAAAAATAACAATAAATCTTATCAGAATATGCATCAAATCTATTTTATGTTATTTATCTTTAAAGATGCTAGCCACTTTTCAACTCTGAGCTTTTGTCAAAATGCTACTTTATAAATATTGATAATTAATTTCAGTAATCTCCTTAGGTTTACAGTAATATACTATGTGGTACATGGGACATTGACATTAATTATTAAGATTATAATGCAAATTTTGACTGAAACTAAGAATTAGTGAAATTAATGTATTTTAAATATTTAAAAATGTATCAAGCATATCTTATAGCTACTTCCCTTAAGAGGAGGACTTTCAGTAGCCTACAGGGCAATCTTCTGATTAAATTACTTGAGTTTACATTGTTTTGAATGAATTGAACATTTAAATGGATATCAATGAAAACTTTCAGAATATTTACATACCATAGACTATATTTCCCCCAAGTAAATAACATGAAACACCAAGTATTTTTCTTATTTGTATAAATTTAATGGATACAATTACAGTTTTGTTACAGGGATATATTGTGCAGTGGTGAAGTCAGGGCTTTTAGCATAACCATTACCGTCACCATGATAATACATTGTATCTATTACATCATTTATCACCCCTTACCTTCCTCCACCCTCCCTTCTTCTGATTCTCCAATGTTGATTATTCCACATTCTAGTCCAACTGTACACATTATTTAGCTCCCACTTAGAAGTGAGATGATGTGATGTTTGACTTTGTGTTTCTGAGTTGTTTCAATTAAGATAATTGCCTCCAGTTCCACCCATGTTGCTTTTACAGAAGACATGATTTCATTCGTCTTTATAGCTGAATACTATTCCGGGGTATGTATGTAATACATTTTCTTTATCCAATCCTCCATTTATGAACACTTAGGTTGATTCCATATCTTTGCTATTGTGAATTGTGCTGAGATAAGTCTATGAGTATTTAACAGCTTTCATGACATTGAATCTGAGAAAGAGGAATTGATATTTTTCTTAACATAGAAAACATTCATTTGGTTCTGATGTGAACTCATGAAACTGTAAATTCTGTAAATTTTTCCCAACGTGGAAGATTCTTTTAGTAAGATGGAATATTCCTAATTCCAGAGAAGCAAGCTTGTAATCAATGATGTTTTAAGTCCTGGTCAGAGTGGAATTTAGCATCATTTTACTGTTAATGTTAAAATGAGGTTAGATTTCGATGTTAAGTGATTTTCATTCTAGACTCAAGTGCACAACTTTTCCATTTCAGACTTTTATGTTTAAGTGTACAATGTGCTCTTGGGCATACTAATCACAATTCAATTGACTCAGTGCATTCTGCATACATTACTCAAAATAAACAGCACATTGTTTTACCTATTCTTTTACTACAAACCAAATACTATGCTAATAAAATTGAGAAGTAGTACAATAAATAATTGCTTCTGAAATTCATAATAAAGTGCTGTGTTAATTAAAACAATTATACATACTAATGGATTGCTGTTCACTACCTATACACTTGCTAAGAGTTCTCCTGGTCATAAAAAAGTCACAAAGGCATATTACTGTTTTAAATCCATCTACCTAATAAGCCCCAAGTATAAATAACACTAGTCAAGGAGGATTAGGAAAGAAGTGTAGGCAATTATTAAAGGAGCAAAAGAAGCTACCAGAATTTACCACAAGCTAAGAAATGTATATCGGTGGGAGCTGTAGTGGGTCGAATAGTGTCCCCTGCAAAATTCCAGTCCACTGGGAACCACAGAATGTGACCTCATTTAAAGCAAGGGTCTTTGCAGAGGTAATTAAAGGTTTGAGATGAGATCATCCTGTAGTAGAGTGGACCCTCAATCCAGTGATGAATGTTCTTAGAGAAGACAGTAAAGGAGAGGACAGAGACACAGAGAGGAAGGTCATAGGAAGATGAGGCAGAGACAGGAGGGCAGACCCAAGCTAAGGAACACCAGATACGTCAGCAGCCACGGAAGCTAGGAGCAGAGCATGGAATAGACTTTTCCTCAGCGCTTCCAGAAGGAATCAGCTCTGACAATACCTTGATTTTGCTCTTTTGGCCTCTTGAACTGTGAAAGAATAAATTTCTGTTGTTTTAACCCAAATTATTTGTAGTAATTTGCTATGGCAGCTTCAAGAAACTAATAGAGGGGCATATTAATTAGTATTTATATTTTGCGTCTACTTTCAGTTGATTTCAAAAAGAAAAAGGATACACAAGCTGATATGAATGTATTAATTAGGAATCTTTCCCACCTCTACACTAATTCACAACTTTCTGTGATTTTTGAAAGTCCATGCCTAAAAGATTTTTGAAGGTCCAGATCTAAAAGAACTGTCCATTTCTGATCAATTTTAAATTCTAAAATGCAGAATATACTCAAAAACAAAAAGAAATGCAGTTATATTTTAACTGAGATTATTTTAGATGAAGATTTAATTTCTTATATACTTATTTTTACATCTGGATATCTTATAGATGATATTTTAAAGCCAAGCTTAATTGTCTACTATTGTTTTATGGTTACCATGTAAAGTCTTTCAGAAATATTCCTGTGTCAGTGTATGTTTTTAACAATTGAATATTTCTATGAGTTTAGGAAGTTAGATGATTCCAATTGTGAACAATCAATTTCTTCTTAGATTCCTAGGTAAACATGACTATAAGTGTAATATGACTGTGCTTTAACTGTTTGAATGTTCCTTGCATGTTTGTGAAAAATTAGCATTCACATATTTAGAAAACAACTGACAATTTTTAAAAACTGCTTTGAATAAACTGCAAATTAGCAGGATTTATGCTCCTGATAAATAAGTTGTTTTTTAAGAAGGAAAAGAGTGGGTCACCTTGGAGTGATAATGTTTCTTTGAAAAGCTCTTTGTTCCTTTCTTCTCCTTATCATTGTTTCTTATTTTCCACCCATTCTCTTTATCTCCATTGCACTTGACCTAGCCACATTATCCTTCATCCTTAAGGGACCACACTTCCTCCTGGCTGTTCTCTGGCTGGCTGTTCTTGTGGTGTTTTCTTTGCCTGTTCCTTCTCCACCATATGAGCTTTACAAAGAAGAGGCTGTACTTCCTCAAGCTCTCTTCTCTGTCAGGAGTCCCAGGATGGGGCACACACTCTCTGTGTGCTTTCTCATTGCAATGTTCCCCACCCTTCCCTGTCTCACTCCTCACTTTCTTTTTCCCTTTTGCTGCCCTGGGGTATCACCTTCCAAATAAAAAGTATTAGTGCATAATCTTTAACTCTTCTCTGTTTCTAGAGTACCCAAATTAAGACTCATGGCTTTACATACTATCTATTACTCTTCTCATTTAAATTATAGCTCACACCTCTCCTCTGATTTCCAAATTGCCTGTTTGACAGCTCCAAACCCGCTCTCCCCTTCCGCCTGTCTTTGCCATCAGAGCAAATGGAAATTCCCTGTTTCAGCTGGTCAAATGAACACTTGGCTGTAACCCTCAATTTATGTCCCTCATACTCCTCATCCAATCAATCAACACACATTGTGAGCCTTTCTTCAATTCCACTCGGAGAAGAACTCCTTCCGCCTTTAACAATGTCTTGGTCCCACCTTCGTTCCTTGCCTTTGTGGATCCAGTTGCCTTCTGAAAGGTTTTTCTGATGCCATCTGACATCCGAATGGTGTGATCTCCACATTGTAACCGGTAATACTTAGGCACGTCAAATCCTTTCACCCTGGCCAGACTACCCCACTGGCTTTCCTTTTTAACTAATATTCTGGTCTCTAACTTTGCTCTCAAAAGGGATCCTGTTGAGCAAAGCACTGTAACTTCTCTGACTTACCTACTCCTATTTCCCCACTTCTTGCTTATCCATTCACTTCATCAGACAGGCCCAAGTACCTTTTGTAAGTACAACAGGTCTGTTGTATTTACTTTTCAGTCTGGCTGGTAGTTTTTCCCTCAGGAAGTCTTTGCTTTCTCCAAATCTCTAGTCAAATGTTATTAGTAAGGCTTGACCTAACCACCCAATACATAAAAGCAGCTCCCTCTACCCCTTCTTATTGCCCTCATCCTGCTTTACTTTTTGACAGGAGTCCTTTCCACTATTTTGCATGCTGTATATTTATTCGTTCATGTCTTCCTTATTTTTCTCTCCACTGGAATAACAACTCCAGGGCATGCATTAATATAGTGATATATCCTTTTCACTAAGGTAATATCTTATACATGATAGTCTCTCTAAGAAAATATGTTATAGGAATGAACAAATGTTCAATCCAACTTAATTCACAAAGTATTTATTGATCACTTTCTGAACACAGACATGTGGCGATAGATACCAGAGATGCCGTGCGGCAATGAAGAGCCTGAAGTCTGTGCTGCTCTCGAACTCAAGATCTGCACAGCAGCACCTGCAGTGAATCTTCCACAGGCTCTTGCCTCTCAAGCTTATCTTCACTGAGCTCCATGTACCCATCGTAATTCTCTGCTCAGCTACATTGTACGAGTTGAGCACCCCAATCCAAAAATATGAAATCTGAAATGTTCCAAAATCTAAAGCTTTTTGAGTGCTAACATAATGCAATGATTGGAAAATTCCACACCTGATCTCATGTGACAGGTCACAGTCAAAAAGCAGGTGCAAACCACACAGTGTATTCAGCATCCCCAAGGGAAAAAAGACCCTCCCAGTTCTTTTCCACTATGATGCATCTTTTCCTTACATGACCAAGTTCCCCCAGGCAAGTGCACCCACAAAGGGTAATAAAATGGCACATGTGTAGGCAGGATGGTTGATGGCAGGTTCCCCATGATGCCCTATGAAGCCAAGACCTATCACAATACTCACTGTGGTTTTTTGCCTATTTTCTGCTCTGCAGTGTAATGATATTGTGGAAAATGTCAAAGAGGCCTGAAGATATCCCTATGGGGAACAGTGATATAACAAGGGAGAAGCATTTATGTTGATCTATATAGTATGGAGAGTCAAACTGTTGAAGAAACTGGACAACAGGGTGTGTGAAACCACTTACAGAAGAGTATGGTTTTGGAACGGCCACCGTATAGGACCTGAAGAAACGGAAGGATGAGCTGTTGAAGTTCTATGTTCAAACTGATGAACAGAAGTGAAAGAAAAACAGAAAGAAACTACATAAAAGTTAAAATGAAGATCTTGATAATTTATTGAAAAAGTTGATCCATTAGAATTGAAGTGAACACAGGCCACTTAGTGCTTTGCTGATCATGAAACAAGCAAAGATCTATCACGATGAATTGAAAATGAAAGGAAACTGAATATTCAACAGGATGGTTGCTGAAATTTAAGAAATCACATAGCATTAAATGTTTAACGATTTGTGGTGATAGAGCATCTGCTCATCACAAAGCAGAGGAGAAAATCATTAACAGCTGTGCCAAGGTCATCACTGATAAAAATCTGACACCAGAACGAGTCTATAATGCAGATCAAACACCCTTGTTTTGGCATTAGTGCCCCAAACACTGGCTACTGCTGATGAGACAACCCTACAGGCATTAAGGATGTCAAAAACAGAATAACTGTGTGGGAATGTGCTAAAGCAGCAGGCACACGTAAGTGTATAAATTTACTATGATAGGCAAAAGTTTGCCTCCTTGCTGTCTGTAAGAAGTGAATTTCTTACCAGTCCATTACTGTGTTATGCTAACAAAAAGGCATGGATGACCAGGGAAATATTTTCGGATTGGTTTTACAAACATTTTATACCAGTGGCTCATGCTTACTGCAGGGAAGCAGGACTGGAAGACTGCCAGATTTCCAGATTTTGTTATTCCTTGACAACTGTTCTGCTCATCCTTCAGCGGAATAGCTCATCAAAAATAATGTTTATGCCAGGTGCTGTTCTGCAAATGTGGCATCATTATTCAGCCATGTGACCAGTGTATCCTTAGATCCATAAATATTAAAACACTTTCTTGAACAGCATGCTAGCAGCAGTAAGCAGAGGTCTGAGTGTGGAAGGTTCCCAATGGAGTTTAGCCTGAAGGATGCTATATATGCTGTTGTCAATGCTTGGAACACAGTAACTAAAGACACAGTTGTGGATGCCTGGCACAACCTCTGGCCTGCAACTGTGTTCAGTGCTGATGGTGAACAAGGTGGTGACTCTGAAGAATTCTGTATGTCCAGTGAGGAAAAAAAATGCTTTATCTTCTTACGTACGCAAAAAACATACCTTCAGAGTTCATCTATAAGCTGAAAGAAGCAGTTATTGAGGGAGTTGTTAATATCAATAATGAGGCTCCAGTTGTTAATTCTTTAGCAAATAGTTCTGAATCAAGGATATTATGATAACAGTGATGATGACGATGGCATTAACGCTGCAGAAAAAGTGCCGGTAGACGACATGGTGATATGTGATAGGTGTATTGAAGGACTAAAGCAGAATGTATTTGGAACAGAACAAGGAATCATGTCTGATTATAAAATCAAAGAGAGACTTCTAAGACAAAATACACTGTCAATGAAGCAGATGACTGCAGGAAACATTTCAAAAAGCCATGCAGCAGAACGTTTCCTCATCCCTAGAGGATCGACTTCCCAGTCCCTCAACTGCTTCCCATGTTTCTTCTCCCTTAAATCAATCAATAATTAATTAATTAATAATAAACACCATGCACAGCAGCCTTTTAAGTATAACAGCATCGTAGGTGGAGACTGGAAGCCTGCATTGTTTGTTGTTGCTCTTGTCTAGCACCTGATACAGGTGTTGTGGTGACGCTACTATGCTGCTGAGTTACCCTGAACTCATTATTCTCACTGTTTTAATGGTATGACTTTTTTTTTTTTTTTTTTTTGAGATGGGGTCTCGCTCTGTCACCCAGGCTGGAGTGTAATGGCGTGATCTCAGCTCACTGCAACCTCCACTTCCCGGGTTCAAGCAATTCTCCTTCCTCAGCCTCCTGAGGAGCTGGGATTACAGGTGCCCACCACCACGCCCGGCTAATTTTTGTAGTTTTAATAGAGATGGGGTTTCACCACATTGGCCAGGCTGGTCTCAAACTCCTCAGGTGATCTGCCCACCTTGGCCTCCCAAAGTGCTGGGATTACAGGCGTGAGCCACCACACCTGGCAGGTGTGACATATTTTTTACTGTTAACTACTTATGTGTAAATAAGTATGAGAAGATGATTGCTTATTGGTAGTATCTAAATTCAGAGTCAGGAATAATGGCAATGCCAAACAATCACAGACATCTACACGGGTGGCTGAGATAGTGATATGTTCCTTTCTGGTGGCTCAGTGTACACAAACTTTGTTTCACACACAAAATTGCTAAATATATTACACAAAATTACCTTCATACTATGTATATGAAGTATATCTAAAATGTAAATGAATTTAATGTTTGGATTTGTATTCTACCCCCAAGGTATCTCATTATTTAGATGAAAATATTCCAAAAAAAAAAAAAACCATTGAAATCAGAAACACTTCTGGCTCCAAGCAATTCAAATAAGGAATATTTGACCTGCATTATAAAAATTTTTTAATAGGCCTGGTTTTTATTATACAGTGAGAACAGAGATATGTTTTTCTTTTCTCCTCTGCTTTGAACTGGCCCTGACCGATCCCAAGCTGTGCTCAACTGCGTCTTTGCCAGCCCATCCCAAAGTTCTTTCTGTTTTTGTTGGTGACCTCACTATGCTATCACCATTCTTTGGCACGGCAGTTTAAATACTCGTAGTAATGTCCTAGTTCCTCAAACTTTCAGCTCATATCTGATGTCTCCCAGTCCTGATCTTAAGAAAGAATCAGGCAGCTATCCTTTACATTTGGAAATACAGTTAGTAAAAGTTAACGTGTCCCTTAAGAGTTCTGGCTGCAGATTCATTGAACCTTCAACTCTTTGTCTATTTCCTGACAGTTAGTGAGTTTAAAGCATGATGGCTATAATCAATTCAGAATCCATATAATGAATTTAATCCTTTAACATCTGGTAAATAAAGCATATTATCTGTGACAAATATTGGTAATCTTTGTTTGGTGGGTGGAAGTGGTACATACACCATTCTGTGGTAGCAATATTTGATCTAAAAACAAAAACTACCATAAAGTATTTTCATTATGTGAGTCAAACGATCTTTGTGATACTTTCTGTAGCTGTGAAGTATTGAAAGTGATTATCCTCATTCTAGAATCTGAGGTATGGAATAGCCTGTTTTCAGTAGAATGTTTTCCCCTTTTTTACCTTGTCATGGATTGCTGTATTATGGATTCAAAATATTATAAAATACATTAAATAGAAAATACTGTCTACTAAACAAATGAAAGTATAAAAATGGCTCCTCATAACTAGTGAACTCATCTACATTTCTATCATCAAAATGGCACAATTTAGCAGGACAAGAATATAAACCCTTATTTTTAACAAATTTTTTGGATAAAACATGACAAATTGATTTTACATGTAATTAATGTTATATCTACTACAAATTATAAAAATCAAGGAAAGTGTAGCAACATGAATAGCTGCAATTTCCACAACAGTGGTATAGAAATATATGATTGAAGTATTGAGATTTTTAATAAACATTTTATATTGGAATAATTTTAGACTTGCTGAAAAGTTGTAAAGATAGTACAGAGTTCCAATCCAGTCCTCATTCAGTCTACTCAAATGACAACACCCTACAATACCATGACACTTCATCATGACTAAGATGTCAACATTGGCACACTACTACTACGTCAGTCTACACTTCATTTACATTTCACTGATTTATTGCTCCCATTAAGGCCTTTTATTTTTTTCTTCCAGGATTAAATATTGGATACATTGCATTTACAGCATGATGAATTTGGGTAAATAGATTCTCATAGGGAAGTTTAAAATGTGTCTTCATATAATTGGTTACAAGCAAGACCACATTATACAGCAATTTAAATAAAAGACCTTAGGTTAAAGAATAGGATACTGCAGAAAAATTGTAATAATATAAAAAATTTCTTTCTTCAATAGGCTTTATTTTTATCTCCCCTATTATGTGTTTGACATTTCCCTTTGAAAAATTTTTTCTTTTTAATTATATTCAGATATAAAATCTTAGAAGTGACTTTAAAAAAAAATCTGTGAAATGCAGGGGAATAATTCAGTTGTTTAACCTTCACAAGAATAACTGTTCTAAAAATCAAGTGATTTTACTACATAACACTTCCTATTGTAGAAAATAATAGTCACATTTGTCACATTCAAAGAGAGTCAACTAAAAATCCACATATTTGTGTTACAAATTTCAAAATTTTTGCATTTGAAGCAAAACCTTTAGACTTTTGATAATTATAATGGAAACTCTAACTACTTTTAAAAACCTGGTGTGAAGACTGTAGTTCAACAAATTCAGCTTTAAATTATTATTATATACAAGGAGAAATTTTGTCTTCATCATTCTTACTGCAGAGTTACATCTAAATTTAAAACTGAGAGATTTCTTATGTTTGTGTTACATGGGAAGGATCAATTGCTCATTGAAATAGCAGTGCAAAGTTTATCAACTTTATATGATGGAAAGGCTAACTATTAAATGCTGAGACAGAAGCATAACATCTATTTCTAAGTGCAAAACCATTCTCAGAGCCTTCTCAGGACCAGTGACCAAGCATTTCGGCATTTGTAGGCATGTGTTTGTTTTTCACGCTTCAAGTCGATATCTACACGTTAATTTCTTAGAATAGAATAAATACCATTTTAGAATGTGACAGTTTCAAACTGTAATAAATAGAAAGGACAGTTGTGTAGATAGATACTTTAAAAATATATATTTAGTGACTTCTTCACTCTGCATACAGCAGCTTATTTAAGGGTAAGTTATGCTAATCTTAAAGGTCTTATACTTATTTTCTTTCAATAACACACAGTACATTTCAGTGAAACAGTTGCTGCTATGTATTTTGTTCTTTTCAAAAAAGGAAAAGTTGAAAGAGTTAGCATTATTTCCGCTGTTCTACACCCCCACCTCATTTTCCTGATCTGTCCAGATTTGTCTGACATAGGCATTATTTGAAAGGAAGACTTACCTACATTGTCTTTATACTTCAAAAGATGCTCCGGAAGGATGAATTCAGGGAACTTCCTGTTTTCACCTTTTCCTGACCCTGGAGGGCTCTATTAGTTCAAGTGTGTATGTTTCTTTTCAATAAGCTATCTGTAGTCTGCAGCATGAACCATTTGCATTAATCCCACCATCATATGGATTCAAGGAGCACTGATGTATTTTTAAAGAGTGCATTCCTATTTTCATGGAATCCTAGAATATACTCTGTAATAAATCTGGGTTCACAGTAAAGTTCTTCAGCCACAGTTCCTCCTGTGTGGTCACAAGTCTTTTTTTGACACAAGTATCATTTCAGACCTCATGACACTAAGTAAAGATGAGATAAACTGCAATGATTCAACTGACTTGAGAATAATGAGGGATGAAGGCCAAAAAAGAATACGAATCTGTCCACAACCTTGTATCAAAATAGAAATCAAAACAAAACAATTCAGAATATCAACCTACTTGGATAAGGAGGAAGTTATTATGGCCATATTTTGGTGTATAGCTAAACTTTCTTAAATGACGTCTTTTACTACATACAATCCAGAATTGAAAGATTCCATTTCAAAAAGAACATTTACAGTTCTTAATTTTCTAATTCTCACCACTTTGGGTACTACCACCCAATAGCAGTCAGTGACACTAGCTAGCATACAGTCTAGTGTGTGGATTACACCACCTAGACTTCACTCCCAGTCAGTGCTGCTTATCCTCAGTTCTTAATCTCAGGCCTTTGAGAGCTACTTTACAATTATTTTTAGATAACTATAGCAGAACTACTTAATTTGACAGCTTATTTGATAGTTACATTTTAATATAACTCGTCTAATTTTTTAAGTGACTTAAAGTTTTATGGTACATACTAGGTGAACAAATATGGGGTGCATGAGATATTTTGATACAGGCACACAATGCATAATAATCACATCAGGGTGATTGTTATGGGGTATCCCTAATATGGGGGTATCCATCTCCTCAAGCATTTATCCTTTCTTTGTGATACAAGCAATCCAATTATACTATACTAGTTATATCAAAATGTACAATAAATTATTGTTGACTGTAGTCACCCGGTTGTGCTAGCAAATAGTAAATCTTATCCATTCTAACTATATTTTTGTACCCTTTAACTATCCCACTTCACCTTCCCACCCATTACCTTCCCCAGCTTCTGGTAACCATCATTTTCCTCCCTATCTCAATGAATTTAATTATTTTAATTTTTAGCTCCCATCAGTAAGTGAAGACATGTGAAGTTTGTCCTTCTGCACCTGGGTTTTTTCAGTTAGCCGAATGGCCTCCAGTTGCATCTATATTGTTTCAAATGACAGATTTCATTCCTTTTTATTGCTGAATAGTCCTCCATTGTGTATATGTACCAAGTTTTCCTTATCCATTCATCCGCTGATGGACACATAGGTTACTTTCAGATCTTGGCTACTGTGAGTAGTGCTGCAATAACCATGAGAGTGAAGATACCTCTTCAGTATATGGATTTCGTTTCTTTTGGGTATATACCTAGCAGTGGGATCCTGGATCATATGTTAGTTCTGATTTTAGTTTTGAGGAAACTCCAAACTGTTTTCCATAGTGATTGTATTAATTTACATTCCTGCCCACAGTGTATAAGGGTTTCCTGTTCTCCGTATCCTTGCCAGCATTTGTTATTGCCTGTCTTTTGGATAAAAGCCATTTTAACTGGAGTGAAATGATATTTCATTGTAGTTTTGATTTGCATTTCTGGGATGATCAATGATGTTGAGGAGCTTTTCATATACTGGTTTGCCATTTGTATGTCTTCTTTTGAAAAATGTCTATTCAAATATTTTCCCTATTTTTTTATCAGATTATTAGATTTTTTTTTCCTTTTGAGTTGTTTGGTCTCCTTATGTATTCTGGTTATTAAGCCCTTGTCAGATAGATAGTTTGCAAATATTTTCTCCCATTCTGTAGGTCGTATCTCCATTTTGTGGATTGTTTCCCTGGCTGTGCAGAAAATTTTTAACTTGATGTAATCCCATTTGTCCATTTTTGCTTTGGTTGCCGTGTGCTTACAGAATATTATTCAAGATGTCTGTGCTCACTCCAATGTTCTGGAGAGTTTCTCCCAATGTTTTCTTTCAGTAGTTTCATAGTTTGAGGCCATAGATTTAAGTCTTTAACCCATTTTGATTTGATTTTCGTATACAGTGAAAAATAGGGGTCTGATTTCATTCTTCTGCATATGGATAGGATGTCCAGTTTTCCCAGTACCATTTATTGAAGACACTGTAATTTCTCCCATGTATGTTATTGGCACCTGTGTAGAAAATGAGTCAACTGTAGATGTACAGATTTACTTCTGGGTTTTCTGTTTTGTTCTGTTGGTCTATGTATCTGTATTTATGCGAGTACCCTGTGCTTTTGTTTACTGTAGCTCTGTCGTATAATTTGAAGTTAGGTAATGTGGTTACTCCAGTTTTATTATTTTGATTCAGGATAGCTTTTGCTCTTCTGGGTCTTTTGTGGTTTCATACAAATTTTAGAAATTTTTTCTTCTATTACTGTGAAGAATGCAATTGGTATTTTGATAGTGAGTGTATTAAATCTGTAGATTTCTTTAGATAGTATCAGCATTTTAACTATATTGATACTTCCAATCCATGAACATGAAATATCTTTCCATTTCTTTGTTTTTTCCTCAATTTCTTGCATCAATGTTTTTATAGATTTCATTGTCAGGATCTTTCACTTCATTGGTTAAGTTTATTCTTAGGCATTTTATTTTATTTGTAACTCTTTTAAATGGGATTACTTTCTTGATTTCTTTTTCATATTGTTCACTGTTGACATAAAGAAATACTACTAATTTTTGTATGTTAATTTTGTATCCTACAACTTTACTAAATTTGTTTATCAGTTATAATAGTTTTTTTGGATGGAGTCTTTAGGTTGTTCTACATATAAGATCCTATCATGTGAAAATGAGGATAATTTGACTTCTTCCCTTCCTATTTAGATGACCTTTATTTCTCTTTCTTTTCTGATTGCTCTAGGTAGGACTTTCAGTACTATGTTGGATAACAGTGGTGAAAGTAGGCATGCTTGTCTTGTTCCAGATTTTAGTGGAAAGGCTATCAGTTTTTCTCCATTCACTGATACTAGCTGTTGGTCTGTTATATATGGCTTTTATTGTGTTGAGTTGTGATCCTTCTATCTCATTTTTTGACGATTCTTATCATGAAGGGATGTTGAATTTTATCAAATGCTTTCTCAGCATCAAGTAATATGACCGTATGTCTTGTTCTTATTTTGTCTTTCGTTCTGTTTATATGATGTATCACATTGATTGATTTGTATATATTGAACGATTTTTGCATCCCTGGGATAAATCCCAGTTTGTCATGATGAATGACCTTTTTAATGTGTTGTTGATTTCAGTTTGCTAGTATTTTGTTGAATATTTTTTCACCAATGTTCATCAGAAATATTAACCTGTAGTTCTGTCTTTTTGATGTGTCTTTGTCGGGTTTGGTATCTGAGTAATACTGGCCTCATAGAATAAGACTGGAAGTATTCCCTTCCCCTGTATTTTATTTATTTTTTTTTTTTGGAATAGTTTGAGTAGGATTGATATTAGCTCTTCTTTAAACGTTTGGAAAAATTTAGCAGTGATGCTATTGGAGACTTTGTTCATTTCTTAAAATCCCTTTTTTTCCCCTAAATTTTTTCTTGCCTGTGTTGATTCTGAGGAGCAGTCTTTGAGCTCTGAGATTTTTTTCCTCTGCTTGTTTTTTTCTGTTATTAATGTTTCCAATTTCATTATAAAATTCCTGGAGCAAACTTTTCATTTCCAGAAGTTCTGCTTCGTTTCTTTTCTTTTCTTTTCTCTTTTTTCTTTCTTTTTTCTTTTTTTTTTTTTTTTGAAGTCTCCCTCTGTCGCCAGGCTGGAGTGCAGTGGCATGATCTTGGCTCACTGCAACCTCCGCCTCCCAGGTTCAAGCGATTGTCCTGCCTCAGCCTCCCGAGTAGCTGGGACTACAGGCACAAGCCACCACGCTCAGCTAATTTTTGTATTTTTAGTAGAGATGGGGTTTCACCATGCTGGCCAGGATGGTTTTGATCTCCTGTTTTTTTCTTAAAATGGCTATACTGTATTTCCACTTGAGATCATTTTACTGGTTTCCTTGGACTGGGTTTCAACCTTCTCCGATATCTCCTTGAACTTCCTTGCCATCCAGATTCTGAATTCTGTGTTTGTTGTTTCAGCCATTTCAATCAGGTTTAGAACCATTGCTGGGGAGCTGGTGTGATCATTTATAGTTAAAAAGAAACTCTGCCTTTTAGAGTTGTGAGAATTCTTGCACTGGTTCTTTCTCATCTTTGTGGGCTGATATTCCTTTAATCCTTGAAGTTACCATCCTTTCAATGAGGCTTTTTACTTTTGTATTCTTTGATGCCATTGAGAGTTTGACTGTAGTATACGTTGGGTTCAGTCAATTGATTTTGCTTCTGGATGCTCTCTGGGGGCCAAGGCTCAGCTCAGCACTCCTGGTCTGCATGGTGTAACCCTGGGGGCCTAGGGCCAGGCTCATGAATTTGTTCTCTGGCCCCTCGAGGTCAAACACCTGCTGTACTGGAGGGGTCAAGACGTTTAGATTTTGGATTTCTTCCTGGTTCAATCTTCATGGGTTTTATATGTCTGGGAATTTGTCCATTTTTTTTCTAGGTTCTCCAATTTATTGGCATATAGTTGCTCATAGTAGCCTCTAATGATCCTTTAAATTTTTGTGGCATCTGTTGTAATGTTTTCTTTATCAACTCTGATTTTATTTATTTTTTCTTCTATTTTTTCTTAGTTTGGCTAAATGTTTGTCAATTTTCTTTATCCTTTTAAGAAAGCAATTTCTCATTTTGCTGATCTTTTTTGTTGTTAAGTTTTAATTGTATTTATTTCTGCTCTGATAATTATTTTTTCTCTACTGTTTTTGAATTTGATTTGCTCTTGCTTTTCTAGTTCTTTAAGATACATCAAGATGTTTATTTGAAGGTTTTTTTACTTTTATGATGTAGGCATTCATTGCTATAAACTTTACTTAGTACTTCTTTCACTCTACCCAATAGGTTTTATTATATTGGGTTTCCATTTTCATTTGTTTGAAGAAATTTTGAAATTTCCTTCTTAATTTCTTCATTGGCCCACTGGTCATTTAGGAACATATTGTTTGCTTTCCATGTGTTTGTGTAGTTTCCAAAATTCCTCGTTATAGATATCTTTATTCAATTGTGGTCAGAAAATGTACTTTACATAATTTCAATACATAAAAAGAATTTTAAGACTTGTTTTGTGACCTAACATTTGGTTATCCTTGAGAATGATCCACATACTAAGGAGCAGAATGTGTATCCTGCAGCCATTGGATGTCATATTCTGTAAATATCTATTAGGTCCATATTTTCTATAGTGCACATTACGTCCAATGTTTCTTTGTTGATTTTCTGCATGGAAGATCTGTCCAGTGGTGAAAGTGGAGTGTCTAAATCTCCAGTATGTATTATATATATAGAGAGAGAGAGATAGACTTATCTCTCACCTTATTAGTTAAGGTGATTTTCTCTGGTACAGGCATGCTTCATTCTGTTTTACTCCTTTTTCTTTTGTCTTTTCTGCCTCTATTTTCAAATAGCCTGTCTTAAATATCACTAATTCTTTCTTCTGCTTGATCAATTCTGTTATTAAAAGATTCTGACACATTCTTCAGTGTGTCAATTGCATTTTTCAGCTCCAGAATACTTTCTGCTTGATTCTATTATGTTATTTTAGTCTCTTCGTTAAATTTATCTGGTAAGGCTTTAAATTTCTTTCTGTTGTCTGAAATTTTACTATTTTGAATTATCTTTCTGAAAAGTTGCATATCTCTGTCCAAAATTGGTCACTAGTGCCTTATTTAGTTTGTATGATGAGGTCACGTTTTCCTGGTTGGTCTTGATGCTCGTGAATGTTCAACAGTGTCTAGGCATTGAAGTATAGGTATTTATTGTAATTTTCACTGTCTGAGCTGTTTTGTACCTGTCCTTCTTGGGATGGCTTTCCAGGTAGTCACAGGGTCATGGGCGTTGTGATCTGTTTTTGGTTACTGCAGCCATATCTGCATTAGTGGCTCCCTAAGCCCAGCAACATTGTGGTTTTCACAGACTTGTAGAGGAGATGCCTTTTTGGTATTGAGTAATGTCTGGAAGAATTCCCTGGATTACCAGGAAGAGACCCTTTTTCTCTTCTCTTACTTTTCCCTAAACAAATGAAGTATCTCTGTGCTGAGCTACCTGGAGTTGGAGGAAGGGTGACAGAAGCATCTCTGTGGCCACCAGCACTGGGACTGCCCTGAGTTAGACTTTAAAACAGTACAACACTGATTGTCACCCAAGGCTCATGATGACCATTGCCTGGCTACCACCTGTGTTCACTCAAGGCTCAAGAACTTTACAATCAGCTGGTGGTGAATCCAGCTATGTTTGTGTTCTACCCTTCAGTGTGGTGACTTTTTCCCAGCCTCAGGCAGGTCCAGAGATGCTGCCTGGGACCCAGGGCCTGGAGTGGGGGAGACTTAGGAATCTACTTCATGCTCTATTCTACTGTGGCTGAGCTGACACCTAAGCTGCAAGACAGAGTCCTTCTTTCCTCTCCTTTCCTCATGCAGAGAGTTCACCCCTGTGGCCACCACCACCCTAGGCCCATGGCAAGTACTTCCAGGATACTGCCAATGTTCATTCAACTCCCAAGGGCCCTTCAGTCAGCTTTTGGTGAATGCTACCAGTCTTCAGTCTCTCCCTTCAGTGAAGTGAGCTCTGTTCTGACTCAGAGCAGGTCCAGAAATGCCATCCAGGAGCCAAGGACTGGAATCAGGGACGCTGGGAGCCTGTTTGGTGCTCTATCCCAATGTGGCTGAGCTGGTACCCAAGTTGCAAGATGAGATCCCCTTCCTTTATTCTTCCCTCTCCTTTCCTCAAGCACGAGACTTTCCTTGTAGCCACCACATCTGGGAATGTGCTGGGCCACACCTGAAGCCAGCACACTTCTGAGTCTCACCCAAAGCCTGTGACCAATATAGTCTGGTTCCCACTGCTGATTATTCAGATCCCAAGGACTCTTTAGTCAGCAGGCGATCAATCCTACCAAGACTAGGTCCTTTCCTTCAAGGCTGCAGGTTCTCTTCTGGCACAGGGTGTATATAGAAATGTTGCCTGGGAGCTAGAAGCTGGAATGGGGGCCTTGGAATGCTGCCTGCTGTCCAGTTCTACTATGGCTGAGCTGGTATCCAAGTTGCAAAAGAACTTTTCTTTATTCTCTCTTCTTTCCTCAAGCAGAGGATAAGATTCTTTTCCGGAGTTGCATGCTGCACTGACGGGTTGGGGGAGAAGTAATGCAAGCACTCACTTGGTCACCTCAGCTGGTGTCTCACTAGGTTGCATGCACCCCAAGTTCACTGGATCCCACCCCAGAACAGCCTCAGGACTTGCCCAGGAATTGCAGTCCTTGTGGCTTAGAATGCCTTGCAAATTTATTTAGGACCCCAGAATGCTTTAGCCCATTGTGGTAAAGCTTGCTGAAACTCAGGTTTCGACTGCTCAGATGGATGATTCCCCTTTGGCTAGGACTAGTTTAAATACTCTGTCTGTGAAAGCCAGCTGAGTTCTGCTGTGTATTGTTTTCCTTTGTAATGGGACAGCACTGATTTCCAATGCAAAGTCCCATAATGACTGTGCTCTCCCTCCCATAAGTGTACACATTCTCTCTCCACACCACATGGCCACTGCCAGGGGATGAGAAAGGGGTTGTGTAGATGATTCAAGACTGTCTTTCCTATCTCCTTCATGCCAATTTCTTTAATATGATGTTAAAACCATATGACCACCTACTTGATTTTTGGTTCTTATAAAGGTGTTTTTTTGCATGTGGATACTGATTCAATTTGGTTATCCCATGAGTGAGACTATAACTGGAAGCTTCTATGTAGCCATCTTGCACTGACTTTTTCAGTATAATCTTTTTATTAAATGTATCACTCACTGTATGATGTTTACAACTTCCAATCTCTTCAATTACTCTTTCTTTCAGCACCCTTTTTGTGGTTTTATTTTGGCCATGGTTTTCGGAAAGAGAGAAGATGAACATTGGGTAAATATTCTGATTGGTCCCTGCCACCTTATACAAATAATGCTGGTAATATAGAAGCATTAAATCTCTTGAACCAGAGAGATGAAGGTTGCAGTGTGCTGAGATCACACCACTGCACCCCAGCCTGGGCGACAGAGCAAGACTTCATCTAAAAAAAAAAAAAAAGCCTCATCAAAAAGTGGGCCAAGGATATGAACAGACACTTTTCAGAAGAAGATATTTATGCAGCCAAGAAACATATGAAAAAAAGCTCAACATCACTGATTAGTAGAGAAATTCAAATCAAAACCACAATGAGATACCATCTCACACCAGTCAGAATGGCAATTATTAAAAAGTCAAGAAACAGTAGATACTGGTGAGGGTGTGGAGAAACAGGAATGCTTTTACACTGTTGGTGGGAATGTAAGTTAGTTCAACCATTGTGGATGACAGTGTGGCGATTCCTCAAGGGTCTAGAACTAGAAATACCATTTGACCCAGCAATCCTATTATTGAGTATATACCCAAAGAATAGAAATCATTCTAGTGTAAAGACACATGCACATGTATGTTTATTGCAGCACTATTTACAATAGCAAAGACATGGAACCAACCCAAATGCCCATCAGTGACAGATTGGATAAAGAAAATGTGGTACATATACGCCATGGAATACTGTGCAGCCATAAAAATGAATGAGATCATGTCCTTTGCAGGAACATGGATGAAGATGAAAGCCATCCTCCTCAGCAAACTAACATGGGAACAGAAAACCAAACACCACGTGTTCTCACTCATAAGTGGGAGTTGAAAAGTGAGAACACATGGATACAGGGGATACATGCTCAGGCCAGTGGGTTGGGGCAGAGGCGAGGGGAGGGAGAGCATTAGGACAAATAGCTAATGCATGTGGGGCTAAAAACCTAGATGGTGGGTTGATAGGTGCAGCAAATCACCATGGAACATGTATATCTATGTAACAAACCTACACATTCTGCACTTGTATCCAGGAACTTAAAGTGAAAAAAAAAAAATCGTATCTTTAAGTACCTGTAAGTTGCTTATTTCTCTAATACGTGGCAGACAAGGAAAAATACACTACTTTATCAGGCTCTTCCACACAATGATAACGATGATGATAATTATAATAGTAACTAATATTTCTTGAGTGTTTACCTTGTGTTATGTATCATGCTAAACACTTTCTGCATCCTGTCTTGCTCACATTGCCATTTTAAAAAGAGAAAACTGAGTCTTAGAAAATTAGTTGACCAAGGTCACAAAAGTAATAGCGGTCTTTCATTGACTGGATCCCAGGCCTATTTTACTTCGGAGTCTACTTTCTTAAACCCTGCACATATTTCTTCCTTAAAACATACACTATCTATATATGATTAGACACTTCTTTCCTATTACATTTTCTATTTCTTATTTGGCCTTTCATTTTCATTTTCAAAGAGCATTACAAATACTTTTGTTACAATTCTACATGACGGCCTACTAGTTTTCTACTATCAAAGTATTTGTTTAACTGGCATTTTACATCCTAGAAGTAAATGATAAAATATTAAAATAAAGAGCCAAGGACAGAGCCCATCTGGATGACGCTCTTGCACATCAAACAGCAATCTTAGGGAATGCATATTTTTCTTGAAATATCCACTATCTGCTATTACTCAGCCATATATTGATGATATTTCAAGATGAAGGCATAGAAATATAAAGGCTCAGAGATCTGCTGCAGAGAAGACTCAGAAAAAATGGAAAGAATTTGAATTTAGCAGCTTTTTGCAGAAGAGTTGAGAGGGTACTGGGAAGTGAGATTTGTAGGAATTGATATAGGGTCTGAGTTAGACGTACAGAAATAATCCGTAGGAGCAAGAGAAATACCCCAAGGCTGCGGCAAACTCTGCATCATGCAGGAAAGGGATGCTTTCTGATTTTTTATAAGAAAAATGGAGTGTCCTCTTTGATAAGGAAATAGAGAAATTGTGAGATCTCATAGACTATCATCAAAGAAAAAAACCCAGGAAGAAAAGTGTATATTATAAGGCAAAACTCCAGTAATAAAAAATAAGGTATGCGAATTAGTCCATTTTCACACTACTATAAGGAAATATCTGAGACTAGGTAATTTATGAAGAAAAGAGGTTTAATTAACTCACTTTTCTGCAGGGTTAACAGGACTCACAACTGGATGGCCTCAGGGAACTTAAATCATGGGGAAAGGTGAAGGGGAAGCAAGCACTTCTTACCATGGCGGCAGCAGCAGAAGAGAGAGAGTGAGCAAAAGGGGAAGTGCCACACACTTTCAAACAACCAGTTCTCATGAGAACTTACTCACTATCATGAGAATAGCATGGAGGAAGTCTGCCCCCATTATTCAATCGCCTCCCACCAGGTCCCTTCCCTAACATGTGGGGATTACAATTCAAGATAAGATTTGGGTGGGGACACAGAGCCAAACTATGTCATTCCACCACTGGCCTCTCCCAAATATCATGTCCTTCTCACATTTCAAATCACAATCATGCCTTCCAAACAGTCCCCCAAAGTCTTAACTCACTCCAGAGTTAACCCCAAAGTCCAAGTCCAAAGTCTCATCTGAGACAAGGGAAGTCCCTTCCACCAATGAGCCTGTACAATCAAAAGCAAGTTAGTTACTTCCAAGATACAATGGGGGTACAGGGATTGGGTAAATATTCCCATTCCACATGTGAGAAATTGACCAAAACAAAGGGGCCATAGGCCCCAAGCAAGTCTCAAATCCAGCAGGGTACACAGTAAATCTTAAAATTTGAAAAAACTTTCCTTTGACTCCATGTCTCACATCCAGGGCATGGTGATGCATGGGATAGGCTCCAATGGCCTTGAGTATCTCCAGCCCTGTGACTCTGCCCCATGGCTACTTTCATGGGCTGGCATTGAGTGTCTGTGGCTTTTCCAGGCTCACAGTTCAAGCTGTTGGTAGATCTACCATTCTGGTGTCTAGAGGATGGTGGTCCGCTTCTCATAGCTTCACTAGGCAATGCCCCAGTGAGGACTCTGTGTGGGGACTTGAACCCCACACTTACCCTCTGCATTGCCCTAGCAGAAGTTCTCCATGAGGGCTCCACCACTGTAGCTGACTTTTGCCTGCAAATCCAGGTTTCAGAGGATGCAAATACATCCTCTGAAATCTAGGTGGAGGTTCAAAAACTCTTGCCTTCCAACACCTGGAGGCCCAACACCATGTGGAAGCCACCAAGACTCGGGGCTTGCACCCTTTGAAGCCACAGCCTGAGCTGCACCTTGACCCTTTTTAGCCATGGCTGGAGCTAGAATGGCTGGGATTCAGGGTGCCATGTCCTGAGGCTGCACAGAGCAGCAGGGCCTTAGGCCCTGCCCACAAGACCATTTTTCCCTCTTAGACCTCTGGGCCTGTGATGGGAGGGGCTGCTGTGATAATCTCTGACATTCCCTGAAGATATTTTCACTGTTGTCTTTGGGATTAACATTCAGCTTTTCTTTACTTATGCCAATTTCTGCAGCAGGCTTGAATTGCTCTCCAGAAAATGGGTTTTCTTTTCTACCACATGGTCAGGCTTCAAATTTTCCAAGCTTTTATGCTCTGCTTCCCTTTTAAACATAACTTCCAATTTCAGACCATCTCTTTGTTAATGCATATAGCTTTATGCACTTAGGAGCAGCCAGGCCAAATCTTGAACACTTTGCTGCTGAGAAATTTCTTTCATCAGATGTCATATATCATCAAAGTTCCACAGATCTCTAAGGCAGGGGGAAAATGCTGCCAGTCTCTGCATAGCAAGAACGATCTTTACTCCAATTCCCAATAAGTTTCTCATCTCCATCTGAGATCATCTCAATCTGGACTCCATTGTCCATATCACTATCAGCACTTTGGTACAAGTCTCTAGGAAGTTCCCAACTTTCTCACATCTTCCTGTCTTCTTTTGAATCCTTCAAACTGTTCCAACTTGTACCCATTACCCAGTTCCAAAGTCACTTCCACATTTTCTGGTATCTTTGTAGCAGTGCCCAACTCCTGCCACAAATTTTCTGTATTAGTCCATTTTCATACTGCTATTAAAGAACTACCTGAGACTGGATAATTTATGAAGAAAAGAGATTTTATTGGCTCATAGTTACACAGGCTTAACAGGAAGCATAACTGGGAGGCCTCAGGAAACTTACAATCATGTTGGAAGGCAAAGAGGAAGCAAGCACTTCTTATCATGGCAGCAGCAGAGAGAGAGAGAGAGGAAGTGCCACACACTTTCAGACCACCAGATCATTTGAGAACTCACTCACTATTATGAGAAGAGCAAGGGGGAAGTCCACCTCCATTATTCAATCACCTCCCACCAGGCCCCTCCCCTGATATGAGTGGACTACAATTGGAGATGAGATTTGGGTGGGGACACAGATTCAAACCATATTAGTATGCAGTGGTAACTGGGGACAACAAGTCTGAGGCAGTGTCCCTGACTGAAAGAATGGTTAAGACAACAGGCAACATGCTACCGTCTTAGAGCCAATAGCCGTTTGAGAGAAATGAAAGGCAGAACTCTACCAAAGGACAACACAGGTGCCAAGTAATCAGGTTGACTTCAGGAAAACTGGAAGGACAACAATTTTATCTGACTTGTGAATTAGGAGATAGGTTGTTCTAAGTCCCATTAAATGATTGCCCTTGGAGTTCATCTCTGGGAGTAGGGAAAACAAAAGACAATTATGAACCACAGGCTGGAATTTTCCATTGTTATACACAGGCATTTAATTTGTGTAATGTAAACTTTGACCAGGGCGTTTACTTGTTTTCTGGTTTAGCATCAGTCACTAAAAAGTAAATAAAATTACCAGGCATGTTGTCTCATGCCTGTAATCCCAGCACTTTGGGAGGCCAAGGCAGGTGGATCGCCTGAGGTCAGGAGTTCAAGACCAGCCTGACCAACATGGTGAAACCCCATCTCTACTAAAAATACAAAAATTAGCCAGGCGTGATGGTGGGCCCCTGTAATCCAAACTACTCAGGAGGCTGAGGCAGAAGAATCACTTGAACCAGGGAGGCAGAGACTGCCGTAAGCCAAGATCACACCACTGCACTCTATCTAGCCTGAGCAACAGAGTGAGACTCTGTCTCAAAAAAAAAAAAAAAAGTAAATAAAATTAATTTTCAATACGTTTTACAGGCAATATTTTATGGTTCCTCTTCATTTTAATTGGTTTTAATTATCTCAAGAGTTTTACTAGAACTTGAAGTAACAGTGAACTATGTTTAACCTCTTTTGTTGTAATTTTTAACAAATATTTGTTCATTTTTGCTTTTCTATAATCTTTTCTTTGGGGGGAGGGTCTTTACTTAATTTAGATACTAATAAGGCTCATAATGCCTTAGTATTATCTGGCTGTACTTTTAACCCTCATGTACTTCCATTTTATGTTGGTCCTGCCCTTTGCATTTTGAACAACATTTTCCTGCAAGAAAAAGCAAACAAAATAGGATTTGAGTAGTTTGCTTTCTACCTATCACTGCTAACACTGAGGTATTGCATGAAAGCATATGGTAACTTCTTTAAAAGAGAACTGAAGTCTCAGTAGATTAAGAACATTGAAGTTTATTACTTGCCCATGTCAAGTACAATTGACATTCAGGGAGTGGGCTTGTTTCTTCCCCAGACACTCATACAGGTCATCTTGCTAATGGCAACTTTGCCATCCTCAACAGATGGCTTCCCAGGCCACCTTGATGTTGACATCCTTCCAACAGAAAGGGAAAGACAGAGTGTGGGGAATCACCTGGGAAGTATTTACGGATGAGTGCTGGGGTGTACAAAACACATCTAGAAACACCTAGGGGTTCCTAAGATCTCAAATGCAGAAATCACATTGTAACCTGTTTAACAGAAGGTATGAAAAATTGTGTAGTTAAACCAGTATATTGTGACAATTTTAGAGAAGTAACTCGGGGGAAGGGCGAAAATTCCACTCTGTTTCCGGGCCATTTTGATGGGGCACTTAGGAAATATGCTAATGCAGACCCAGATCCCCTGGAAGGGTGAACTCTCCTGGGTATGCATTTTATTACTCAATCTGCCACTGATGTTAGGAAGGAAGCTACAGAAGGAGAAATGCTACACAAGGCTGAGTTGGCTCAAACTCTGCCCATGACCCAGCTCTTAAACATGACCTTTGATGTTTACAACAATAGGGACAGCACAGAGAAGGCAGAGAAAACCAAAAGAAATAGGCAGAAATTGCAATCGTCAGTCTCCCCCTGCCTCAGGGTTAACTATTGAGAAAGTGGCAAGAGATCAGTGTCTGGGATGCCCGGATGAGAACCCCTGACCCAGTGGCCCCTGGGTTAGAATCAGTGTGCCTACTGTAAGCCAGAGGGCCATTGGAAAAGGGATTGCCCCAGGCTCCAAAGGGATCCTGAGCCACTCAAACCCATTATGGCCAAGAGAACAGAGGACTGACTGGCCCTGAGATCCTCCATGGCTCCCACAGCACACCTTATCACCTCCACAGAGGAGCCTCAGGTAACTTTTGATGTGGCAGGTAAGAATCCTGAGTTTTGCTGGGAGCAGTGGCTCATGCCTGAAATCCCGGCACTTTCGCCCAGGCGGGTAGATCATGAGGTCAGGAGATCGAGACCATCCTGCCTAACACGGTGAAACCTGTCTCTACTAAAAATCCAAAAAATTAGCCCGGCGTGGTGGCAGGTGCCTGTAGTCCCAGCTACTTGGGAGGCTGAGGCAGGAGAATCACTTGAACCCGGGAGGTGGAGGTTGCAGTGAGCCGAGATTGTATCACTGCACTCCAGCTAGGGCAACAGAGCGAGACTCTGTCTCAAAAAAACAAAAACAAAAACAAACAAACAAAAAAAAGAATACTGAGTTTGTACTGGATACAGAGCCACCCTTTCAGTTCTGACCCATTTCTCAGGGCTAATGCCTCCTCACCCTTGTACCATAATGGCGATTGATGGCCAGCCAAAAATTAGGAGGTTCACTCACCCCCATTGGCTGTACCATTGGGAACCATAAGTTTTCCCATGGTTCTTGCTTATTCCTGAGTGCCCTATTCCTTTACTGGGAAGGGACCCACTTTCTTAGTTACAGACCACAGTTCAATTTGGAGAGCCTCACCATAAGGGACACTACTTCTAGCTCTAAATGATTGACTTGATACCGATAGAGACGACCTCTCTTCCACTGCATATTACTTCTCAAGTAGATCCTTTTGTTTGGGACATAGAAGTTCCTGGTACAGCTGCCAATTTACCCCCAGTCCAGGTCACTTTGAAACCCAGTGTTGGTTACCCATAGAAAAAACAACATCCTTTGAGACCTGAAGCACAACAGGGCATACAGCCCCAGATAGAGAACTTTCGAAAATATGGACTATTACAACCTTGTCAGTCCCCATGTAATACCCCCATCCGGCATGTAAGGAAACCAAATGGAGAATACAGATTTGTTCAAGATCTGAGGGCAGTTAATGAGGCAGTAGCCCCAGGCTACACAATAGTTCCTAAACCTTGGACAATACTGACCCAAGTCCCTGAAGATGCTAATTGGGTCATGGTATTAGACTTGATGAATGCTTATTTTGCATATCATTACACCTGGATGCCCAGAATATCTTTGCTTTTGAATGGACTGATCCAGATACTCATGCTACATCTCACTTTACCTGGAATGTCCTCCCCCAAGGTTTTAGGGAATGCATCTCTTTGGGAATGCATTGACAAAATAATTAAGGGAACTACTGTTAACAAATGGATCCCTCCTACAATATGTGGATGGCCTATTGATTTCTGGCCCTAAGACACTGATAAGAATACAATTCAGATTCTTCATTTTTTGGGAAAAGGAGGGTATTGGGTATCCACCCACAACGCCTACATTTCTGTTCAAAAGGTTAAATAATTGGGACACATGTTCACTCTGGGACAAGAATCCTGGCCCAGGAATGAAGAGACCATCTTGGCACTCCAGATCCCCTAAGACTAAGAAACAGTTAAGAATCTCTTGGGAGTGGCAGAATTCTGTTGAATTTGGATTCTTAGGTTTGGAATCCTAGCAAAACCACTCTATTAAGCTCTAAGAGGGAATGATCACAAGCCTTTAAATTGGGATAAAATCTGCCAATAGGTATTGCTAACCCTAAAAGGAAAACTGAGAATGACCTCTGCTTTGGGACTCCCAAACTTAGAAAAACCTTTCACCTTCTACGTGGCTAAAAACAAGGGACAGCTACAGGTGTTTTAACAAAAAGGCTCGGGAATATTCCTAAACCAATGGCTTATTTCCCTAAACAGATCAGGTGGCAGCCAGATGGCCAGCATGCTTGCAAGCTTTGGCTGCCACTGCTCTATAGGTAGAAGAATCCAGTAAGTTTACCTTGGGACAACAATTAGATGTTATGACCTCCCCACCAAGTATGGGGTGTTGGGTTCTGGAGGCAAAAGAACATCAGTGGCTAAGAGGGGGCCAGTTACTTAAATATCACACCTTTCTTCTTGGCATCCCAGACAATAACCTTAAAGTATGTCAAGTTTTAAACTTTACTACCCTGTTGCTGGACCCCACAACCCAAGAAACATCCTCAATTCATCCACTCCTGTGGGGGAACTATGGAACAGAACTACTCTTGCAGGAATGACATTAAAGATGAACCCCAGCCTATTCCTAATGTTAAGTGGTTTACAGACAAAAAACACAAGGCTAACAAGGTATTATTGATGCCAAAGCTTTACCTCTCCAGACTTCTGCTCAAAAAGTGGAATTAATGGTTCTAATTAGGGTCCTCCAACTGCAAAAAGACTTAAGAGTCAATATATTTACTGATTCTAAATATGGGTTTTTATTACTCCATGCTCATGCTGCCATATAGTCAGAAAGAGGACTATTAACAGCCAAGGGGTCCCCCACAAATCATCACCCTGAGATCGTCACATTTTTAGATATTTTCCAAATCCCAAAAGAAACAGCAGTTAGTCATTGCAGGGAAACCCAAAAGAGAGGCATCTCTATTATTAGAGTAACTGCCCTGGCAGATAGAGTAGCCAAGGCCACCACTAATGCTACTGACGGCTGCAATCACACCTGATACTCCATCCATGTCAGCGGATGGACATACTATACACCTGAGAAAATTAAATGGGCTGAACAGAAAGGCTTACAAAAGGATTCCTCCAGATGGTAGCTAGAAAGAGAGAAACTTTTTATCTGAGGCTGAGCAATGAAAAATAACTAAGCATTTCCATGACTTCTCACATCTGGGACAGTTCTCTATTCAAATTTGTTTCCCAAACATTCTTTGGAAAGGGGTGATTCCAGACTACAAAAAGGGTCAGCATGGCCTGTGAACTCTGTGACATGAAGACCCAAGGAGCCACCACTGTGTTATACTCAGTGGCATATTTAGATCTCCGCTGGCTGCTAGATGTTCCTACTATAACTTTGATATTTGCCACCACTGTGTTATACTCAGTGGCATATTTAGATCTCCGCTGGCTGCTAGATGTTCCTACTGTAACTTTGATATTTGCCACCACTGTGTTATACTCAGTGGCATATTTAGATCTCCGCTGGCTGCTAGATGTTCCTACTGTAACTTTGATATTTGCCACCACTGTGTTATACTCAGTGGCATATTTAGATCTCTGCTGGCTGCTAGATGTTCCTACTGTAACTTTGATATTTCTGTGTTCAGACCCAGTGTCTTCTCTCAGAGCCTTTAGTACTAACCCCTTTCCAGAGTAAAATAGTAGATTCATGCTTATGTTTCCTATCCAGTTTACTGTTTCATATGCATCTCATTTAACATTCTTTAAGGCTAAAATCATTTTATTTTCCCAATGAGAAATCAAATAGCAGTTTATGAAAACCAGAAATGTAATAATAACTCAGAATTAATTACTCATTAGCCAATTATCCTTTAGATTAGAAATTACAATTCAGGTTGGTAAAAACAAGGCTATAAACAGTACTTAAACTGCAGAATTGGGAAAATCTCTGGAGGATAACACTGAGAGTGGGGCCATAGTTTTCCCATTTTTGGCTCCTTGGTTTTGGCCAATAATCTCATATTCTTATTTTTTACAAAAAAAGCTTCTCTAGTGCTGTTAAAAATCACGATCAAAATATATTTCAATATATTTTATACACATTATATTTTCCCATCTACAGAGTTAGAGTTTGCTTGCCTGTGACTGAATAGGTTATAATACTAAAACGGGTAATTTGTTTATTTATTTTTTGAGAACAGGAATAGAGAAGCTTCAGATTATAGGGTTTATTGTTAATGAAGATTCTTTTGTCCTAGGAAATAAATATATTTTAACTAATTTATGAACAAATGTGGCAAGAAATAACAAATAAAATACATCAATTAAATATAAACACAAACGATTCCTATCATAGCTATGTAAATAGACACATTTTATAAAATGTTATATAATATACAGGCTAGTTTGGTAAAATTATATATATGTAAATATATCATGGATTTAAGTTTCCTGGCAACCAGGGCAAAAAAGAGAGATACTTTTAGTTATGAGAAGGAGAATCATAATAAGTTATTTAGGGAAGATAATTTTCCTCCTGACTTTAACTCTGAAGAGGAGGGATCATATGGTGCTTTTCTTTAGTCACGCAATAATAAAATGGGAAAAATTCTTGACGTACTTCATCTGTAAAGTCAGAAATTGACTTCACTTGTCTATTTTACCCATTAACCTCCCAAAGAAAGCTATCAGTAAAATGCATTGAACCTGTTCAAATATTCTAAACTGTTACCAGTTTTGGGGTGTAATCACTTATGCTGTGCTGAAATGTGTCACTTAACCACACTGTATCATGAATTACAACCTTGTGTCATTTAAGAGGTTATTCATATGACAAATTAACACATTTGTCACAGATCCCAAAATTTAAAGTCTGAATTGGAATTTGGTTTTAAAATGCTTTTTTGATAGAATATTTGATTCCAAAAAGCAGAAATTGAATCAAACTCAATTTAGATAGTATTTTAAAATATATAAAAATTAGTTTTAAACTAGTGTGGCAAGTTTTATCCTGTGACAACTACATTCAAACAGAAGAGATTATGAGACTAAACCAAATAGTAATCAAACTAAACTATGACTTCTAGAATCTTTTATAAAATAAAGTTTCATGTTAGTGCCTAAATTTTGAATGCTGAAGTCTGTGTTGATCAATAAGTTTTAGAAAAATAAAAATGGACTGGAATGAATGAAGATAGTTATGCTAAGGATAAAATAATCTAATAATATAATTTTACTCACCTTGTCACCAAAGGGCATATGTCCCTAGACATAATCCTGAGAAAATTGACTATCCACAATTTATACTGTACAAGGAGCTGTAATAATGTCCTGGGCTGTGAGATTCAAGTGGATATTTTTCTTTTGGTTTCCCATCCCAAAATACTCCAGTCATCATCCCCAGTGGTAAGTTATTCTTCATTCTGTGGCTTATTCTCAAAATGTGGGTTTTCTTTACATTCTTATGCTGCCCCTCTCCATTGCCTCAGAACCATATCCTATCAGTAGATTTTTCCATTCTGAAAGCTGCCTACATTACAAGTCTTATCCAGTGGGTATTAATGTGGAAATAATGAAGATGTCACATTTTTAGAAATGTTTCATAGCCTCTCACCTTCATGTTTCTTTAAAAGTGTTAAGAAGTTATATTTTAATGCAGTGACCTTAACTGATAAGAATTATTCCCTCTAAGACTACCAAAATACAATTTTTTTTAGCATTTCATTTTCTACAACTTGAAAAAATTATATTTCTACCAAAAGTTGCATTTCAACAACAACAACAAAAATACTCAATACCTACTCCAATTATACAAACTCACTTTTGGTTAAAAAACATAACTGCTGGAATTATCATCTTGGGTAATTTATATGCATAATAATGGGCAATGTCAGTATAGTACATCCCATACCATTCTTTACTTATCTTTACTCTCAGAAAATTATGACTTAACATTTGTATCATCAAACACGTCACAATTTTGGTCTCATATTGAGAAAGCATAAAGTATCATAAGACCCTGTTGGCCATACACCAGTGAAATTAGAAGGGCTTAATGACATTGAGAGTGAAAGACCAAAACTATAGGTGTGAAATGTGGAAGACTTTCACTGGAAAATTAATTATTAATGTAACAAAATCATGAAATCTTAATGCCAACTGGTATTATGGAAAAATACAATGGGTTGAATAAGAATTATAGTCATAAGAAGACATCACAGCACCCTACTCTGAAGAATTCACTGAAAGAAAGGGACAGAAAGCAATGGGACTCACATTCAATTTAGACACGCACATAAAATTTCAATAAAAATGAAAATAAATCCTTTTTAAATCTGGAGGAATGGTTAATCTATGATTATCCCCAAAAATATGATCTGAAAGTTTAATAAAATGATAAGATGGTAAAATAGCAATTCATGACACTCCTAGGCACATACATGCTCACAAAATCAATACAGTGTTCTCTCCAAGGTTGTACAAATCTTTATATAGATTTTAGAGCAAAAGGACTATATAGATAGGAAATAACCAGAAAGTCATTTGTTTATCTTCCTTAAAACAGTTCAGAGATGTCAATCAAACTTTGAATGACACTTGTCATACTCACTACTCACCTTACGTAGGTACTTTTCCCATCACTTTATCAATCCAGAGTTTGTTTAGAGTCACAAGAATAAGGATTCTTTGTCCAAGAAAAGCTGCATAACTAAATAATCATGATTTTGGTGAGGCATTTAGGTGTATATAAAATCCATGTTCCTTTGATTTTTTTGTATTAATGAATAACCTACTACAACATGATTAATTCATGTCATTTACAATTTGATCAGGCACTAGCATCTCTTGTGCATCCTACTAACAATAGCTAATAATAAATTAAGTGGTTAGGAATACAAAAGTAAAAAAAATCATATTGTACAATATCACTTATGTAGTGTTCATGCCAACAATATTTTACCTGTTTTCTAAAAATGAAGAAGAAAGCAAAGAAGAGAAATCCAGAATCCAGAATGTGGGAGAGTCTGCAGGACAACTGAGTTGGACTTTAAAAACATAATATTTTCATAAAAGACAAACAAATATACAAGGTATTTCTCTACATTTGATTAAAATAAAGAGACATGAAAATCAAATAGCCTGTGTGAGTCATAAGAAAAAAATATTGTAGGTGGTATTTTTGACACAATTGGAGACAATTAAATATGGTTCTTTGGGATGGAAAGATTAAGCAGCAATTCTCCCAGTACCAGTGGGTGTACCCAGGAATAAAGAAGGCAAGTGAACTGTCTCCTTGGAAACATTTCATTATTGGACCCTCTCACAGCAAGCTAATAGTTTTTGCTAGCAAGAGAGTTCTTATCATGAAACACTTTAAGAAGGATACACCTGGATGTCTGGGATTATTTACAATAAAGAAATTTGTATTCTGAGGGTGGATGGGGCATGGTTCTTTAGAAAGTATCTCACATAAGCTCACAGAACTTATGTAACTGAGTATAAAATGTTTTCATGACTAAATAGCTTTCTTCTATGTAGGTGATATGAAACGCATAACTTGCTTAGAGACTGCTATTGTACATCTAGGCCAGAGGAGAGCTCAGCTGATGGTCTCAGATCCCTCCCTCCTTTGCTCTCTCTCCTGATTACTTGCCTTTGAAACTGCTAGTAAATCAAGACGCATGTAAAATTGTGTTTCCTGTTAATCTGATTTGATTAATGATTCTTTGTGTTAAATAATACACTTGAAGTCATTGTTAAATCAATATTACATTTCTGTTGTAATAATATTTTACATAATGTCCTTCATTATTCTTTTAATATTTTCTATAACTGTAGCTGGCTAATCTTTCTCACTCCAAATCAGGTTGATCTTTTTTCTTTTCTTGATTCTTAACTTCCTCAAGGGATGTATCTATTTTAATAATCTTTTTAAATAATTAGCTTTTAGATTAATTTTTCATTTCAAAAATATTGTATAAAAAGACATATAGGCTATATGCAATACACAGATGACAAATCATTTGTGTATATTATATATGTAATTCTGGATGTCTAATGGGTTTTTGTTCTTGTTTTTTTTCCAATTTCTTATTGCTCTTTCAATTGTTTTACTTTTTATAATTTCTTACTGTTTTCTAGCTAGGTTGTTATTTCAATTATGTTCTTTTCTTTAGCACTTATCAACAAACAGGTTTCTAGTTTCCAATAATCAAGGTATTTAGGAAATTTTTAGTTATTTCTAGTTTTATTGAATTATGGTTTAAAATCTATGCTTTTTAAAACCCATTAAGATATTAATTACAAAACTATGCATGATCAATTTTCCCTAAGGAGGTATATACCCACAGTCACACAAGGTGTATACACACACTTACACAAAATAGTATATAGTATACTATATCATTTTTTAAATAATTTTTTTAGAAAAATTATTTCCACAATATCGCTCATGGAGCCTGTACTTGAATCCTTATATATATTCTTGAAATTTTGTTTTTTTGTTTGTTTGTTTATGTAGGTGTCACATGTCACCTTTGTCTACTCTATGTCACTATGGGCATTTTGTGAGGTTTGTACTCTTTGATGGTAGGATTTCCTTGTCTGTTCCTTGAGGTTTATAGTAGATGGTATCTGCCCCGAGGCTTGTAATGGAGGAGCTGGTAGTCAGGAGACTTCCAGGTCACTGTCCAGGCAAAAAAACTGAGCTTCTGCCTCCTGGGCTCCAGCTCGACCCCAGTCTCAGGTGGAGAGAAAACTCATCACACTTGCTGGCTGTCTTCTCTTTGGCTTAGGGTCAGGGAGTTCAGACATACTCTAAGGGAAAATGAGTGTTTTACTTCGCTTGGTGGATACACAGATATTTTCAGTCCAGCTATTCTGTGATCATTCTGGTGTTCTCTAATGCCTGTGTTTGCCCATGTTTCTGATACAGAGTGGTGAAAGTGCTGAGCAGGGATAGGAGGAAATTATTAGCCCTGGACTTGTTTTTCTTTCCTCCATTCCAGGAGAATGCAAATGTAGCAGTGACTCTTCTACTGTGCAGAGGAGGGCCTCTCCCTAGCGGGTGGAAGAGCAATGACATGGGCTTTTAAACCTCGATCCCTGAGTGACTTCACGGAGAAGAGCTGCATCATGACCCTGACCTGGGTGGAGGTGACACAATAAAAAAGTAAACATCAGTCCTTTGCAATACACTCCGTTTTGTGGTCCTTTTGTTAAATACATCTTAGTAACCAAAATGGTACACAAAAATGCCTCTTTCCTCACACTCTCTCACACTTTTAACAACAGTTGTCAAATAGTTTGATGTTTGCTAACTGCTCTGTAAAATTGTATCTTATTGTCATTTTCATTTCTTTCTTCTTATGAATGAGATTAGTAACATTTTATGTTGATTGAAATCATTTCTGATTTCAGAGAACTCTGGCATTTCCTTTAGCTATTTTTCTATTGGTTTATATAACTCTTGTTATTATTTATCTTCAGGAATATCAAATCACAGTGTCATATTTGTCATAAGTGATTTTCCCCATTTTTTTCATGTTTTATATATTTGTGATGATTTTTTGGCCATGAAGAAAATGGTGATATTTTAGGTAATGACCTTTATTGATCTTTCAAAACTGATTCTTGATTTCTGTTTATGCTTACAAAGATCTTCTATACTCCAGTGTTTTTTCAAAATTGGTATTTTCCTTTAGTATCTCATGATTTATTTTGGTTGATTTGCACAGTTGATGCCTCTGGAATTTATTTTGGTAAAGGTTTGTGAATTTGTGATTCATTCTTATTTTCTTCCAAATGGGTGCCAAATTGTCACAACATTTGTTGAATAATCCATCTTGTCACCATAGATTAAATGATGATTTTACAGTGTTAATATTACAATAAAATATTCAAATAAATATGACCCTGTAGAACAAACACAAGAACCCAACATTATTTGCACAAATAGTATAGAACTGTAGTTTAGGTCTGCTGCCCTGCATAATTTTTTAAATTATTAATTCAAACTTTATTGGGAGTAGATATTAGAATGGTGTTGAAGGAGATCAATAGAGAGCAACAAAAGTTTGCATTAGATCTCTGGACATAGTAAAAGGTTTCTATAGAAGATGTTTTGTGTTCTCACTTGTCTTCTCACTTTTACAAAATATTTATAAAATATCTATCAAATTCTTTGAACTTTTATGTTATTAACAGAGATCTGATTATTATTTCTTGAGTATTAATTCACAGTGTGAATTCACTGTGAATTGTTATCCACCTGTATTACGTCTAATGCTAGTTTTAATTCAAAACATATTTTGCTAAATTATGAAAGACAGAGTGTTTACTTGTTGATTTGTATTGATTTATCCTGTATGCTCCATAGATGAATGGCTCATACATGGTAATATGCTTCCAGAACCTTCATAAGTTTTTGGAAGTTACGTGAACTATTGTTGTATAAATTGACTTTATTCAACATCATCAATGGAGTGTGATCGCTACTTGCTTAGGAATGAAAAATGTAATATCATATCCAAATTATTCTTTTTCAGACAAATAAGGATCCTCAAGCTGCATGAAACTGAGAATAAATATTGTTAATCAAGCTTGCTACACTGGAGGCATCTGCCAATTAAAGCAGTTTAAATTTAATCGAAGGATCTATCAAAGAGAAGGGTGTATAAAAGTTTCTGTAAAGGAAATACAACCCACGAAAGAAAGTGTGCATGATGAAGCTGCAGTGGGCAATGGTTTATAGTGTGGAATGGGCTGAGGTTATCCTATGGAAACCCAGGCTGTGTTTTCGAAGCGAGGGGATGGTTTAGGGGAATATCATGTCTATATGGTAATCAAATACAGGATTTTGTCCAAGCAAAATGATTTGGAAGGGCTTCCTGATCGACTTTTAGATAATTAATACATACTCTTGCTCATAAAACTGATGGTTTCAGGCTCAAGAAGCTCGTGTCCCTAACCTCACCTTGCCCGCCAAACTGGCCCCCAAAGTCCGTGACAGGATCATTGGTAAGATACAAACCTGTGAACAATGGTCTCAGAGACATCTCTCCTCCTCCCCTGCCCCATTCTAATAGTTTTGAGGATAAGATATTGACATTCTTGGGAAAAAATAAATAAAAGAAACCTGGAAGAAGATTACTTCAGTGACAAATTCTACATTACCCATGTGAAGACGAAAGAAAGTTAATCTCTTTCTGTCCCTTTCTTAACAAAAATCAGAAATTTCATGCCTTTATTTCCTTCCATTTTTTCTCCTTTAAAATAGTTTAAATGTTTCTCAGCCTGAAGAGCCATAAATATAAACCTTGATTTTTTTTTCTTCTTTCTTGAACAACTTCACTGTGTGATAGGTTTTTGGCTACTTTTCCAAGAAACATCCTGTGAGTGTGTTTCTGAATAAGGCAGTGATTTATACTTACCCCAGTGTCGCCATAGGGCCAACTCTCACATCCTCCTCTTTCCGGAGCCACTAGTTCTTAGGCACGGCCTTACTGCTCTTATATTCCTCCTTTCTTTCTTTCTTTTTTTTTTTGATGTTCTTTGACTGTCCTGTGGGAGAGTTTGTAAAGCAAATTGATGTCATACTCTAGTCTCTGCAGTTTCTCCTAGTTGTTTCTTTTTATAAGATCTGTGCATTGATGACTTTCTTTTTTATTATTCCAAATAGAGATTTACTGTAGAAAATACAATAACTGCCTTCCCCTGTATTTTGGTGTCATGTACTCTTATTTTCTATTTTCAAATGTTGAATATCAAGAGAAGAGGGTGATGCAGAATCAAAAGAGTATGCCTTAGGTGGTGGTTTTGCAATGCTTGGAATAAAAAGAAAATGAGCTACAGTGCTTAATTCTAATTAAGAAGGGATCCTTAACTTTCCCTCATATAAGAATAATAGGTTTCTGATAATGTAGAATTTTTTGAATCATTGGTGTTTAAAATAGAGAAAATGTAAGTAGCATTATGACTGTTTTGAATAAAATCATATAATGAAAAAATGTGAATTGGTTAACAGCAAGATGTTAGCAAAAATAGCAAGGAGCCTAATTCATTTATTCATTCAATAAATATGTATTGAGCAGCTACCATATTCACACACTCTTCTAAGTGCTAGCAACACAGCAGTGAAGAAACACACAGGGTTCTTGCCTTGTAAAGGACAGGCATCTAGTAATAAACATTTAAAAGATCAGATATTGGGAGTACCATGAAGAAAAATGCAGAAGAAAAAGGGGTATAAAGGAAAGGCAGGTTAAATATGAAATAGAGTTGTGGGCAAAGGTTTTCTGATGCAGCATGCTTTGTTCAGACTCCTAAAGGATATCAGGCTGATTTGGGAAGAGCTTTCTTCATGACCAGAGAGATGTCCCAATTTCTGAATGTCTTGTCTCTGAATAAATCACCTGCTGTTTCTGAAAATGGGATGTTTTCTCTTAAAATAAACAGAACAAATAGCTGTTGGGCTCCCAGGCTAACTCACAAATCCTAAATAGTTACTAATTTAGCTGAGTTTGTGCTTGTTCCAATAAGCAGTTTGGAGAAGTAGTGAATAAGAAATACTCACAACACATTCAACACCTGTCCCCAAACATATCCTATATTACAGTGTCTGGGCAGAGGGAGCTCCACTCAAGTGAATTCAAAAACCGATTGACACTAAAATCCAAACAAAATTATGTTCCTGATCTGATGAAGAAAACAAGAAAAGAAACTGTCCGTTCTATCTCCCCCATGCTGATGGGCACACTTTTAATCTTGGGGTCCCTTACATGACATTCCAGGCTGTTTTCAGGAAATGTGCCTGACAGGTGGGGAAAGTCCATAGTCAATCTTTGGAAACGTCACCCTTGCAGAATGGGTGGGTTGGTGGCAATCTGTGAAAAGCAGCTGCCATGGGTAGCTTGCTTTCTCAAACCCGGCATGTACCCACACATCTAACTCTGTTCATGGAGTGTCTGCTGCTCTAGGATTTCAAATAGGTGCCACTCTCATCATCCTAATCTATGGCTCCTCTAGTTTCGGTGATCTAGCAGCAATGGGAGCATTTTCACAGGTGTTTTGCTACCATCCTCTCGACAAAAATGTTGTCTAGGTAAGTACGGTCTCCAATGTACAGATGGCAAAATTAAAACACAGATCAGTAAGTAAGCAGATGCTCTGCACATAGTGTATTAATTAGAGTTCTCTAGAGGGACAGAACTAATAAGATAGATACATACATACAGGGGAGTTTATTAAGGAGTATTGACTCGCACGATCACAAGGTGAGGTCCCGTAATAGACCATCTGTAAGCTGAGGGGCAAGGAAGCCAGTCTGAGTCCCAAAGCTGAAGAACTTGGAGTTCAATGTTCGAGGGCAGGAAGCACTCAGCACGAGAGAAAGATGTAGATGGGAAGACTAAACCGGTCTAGTCTTTCCACGTTCTTCTGTCTGCTTTTATTCTGGCTGTGCTGGCAGCTGATTAGATTGTGCCCACCCAGATTAAGGGTGGGTCTGCCTCTTCCAGTTCACTGACTCAAATGTTAATCTCCTTTGGCAACACCTTCACAGATACATCCAGGAAGGATACTTTGCCTCCTTCAATCCAATCAAGTTGACACTCAGTATTTACCATCACAGACAGTAAATATCAGAGCTGAGATTAAAATCCAGGGCCTGATCACTCCAAAGAGCACAGATGAATCTCTCTATCAGTGACTCCCAAATTTAAGTATGCATCAGAGTGACTTGGAGGTCATGTTGAACACACAGACTGCTGAGTCCCACCCCAGTGATTCTGATCCCATAGCTTAGGGCTGGGGCCCAAGAATTTGCTGTTCTAAGCAAATTCAAGTGATACTGGTGCCTCTGGTCCAGGAGCCTCATTTTCAGAACATCGACGCGTCCCACACTGACCCAGAGAATTTAGTTTGCTTTTAGAAATTTTGAAAGTTGGACTTTGAAATTATCACTTTTATTTTTTAATTTTAAAGTTTTTATTAACCTAGGGTTACTTTGCTATTGTGAGTTAATAATAAAAAAGACAGTGGCTCTGGGAACCATTTTTATTCTTTGAGGATTCTGCCATGAGGTGGAGTTGAAGCGACTAAATGTTCCACTGTTGGAAAGCAGCAATTACTTCTTCTAGAATTACAGCATCAAGGGAGTTAAGCAGTTCTGTCGCACCAAATACTAGGGGCAACAGCAGCTTGTAGAGTGTACTGAACTCTCAGGAGCAGCTTCACATAATCAGCATTATCAAGTCACTCTTGGGTAGCTCTTTCTACATAACCCGTTTTGATCTGGTGAATCCGGAATACTGATCTGGCAGCCAGCCAGGGCATAGACATTACAAAGCACTTAAGGATCTTAGAAGATACATTGCCAAATACTTTTTATAAGTGACTTACGACTGTTGAAGTTAAGTGAAAATGAAAAGGAGAACAAGTCTCTTGGGTCTTTTTCTCTAAAACACCATTTGCTGAAATGTCCCATCAGCAGATATGAATTGTTCCTGAGAAGCTGGAAGGATTCAACAAGGCGTACCCTGCAAAGATGTAGGCATCAAAGACATTTGTAATTTAACCATTAAGAGTCAGGCAGGTGCGATGGCTCATGCCTCTAATCCCAGCACTTTGGGAGGCCGAGGCAGGTGGATCATGGGGTTAGGAGTTTGAGACCAGCCTGATCAACAGAGTGAAACCCCATCTCTACTAAAAATACAAAAATTAGCTGGGCATGGTGTTGGATGCCTGTAATCCCAGCTAATCAGGAGGCTGAGGCTGAAAAATCGCTTGAACCTGGGAGCCAGAGGTTGCAGTGAGTGGAGATTGCGCTACTGCACTCCAGCCTGGGCGACAGAGTGAGACTCCATCTCAGAAAAAAAACCAAAAAACAAAATAGAGTCAATTCCTCATACTCTGTAGCTTAAGTAACTCGTATTAGTAACTCATGAGCAATGGATTTCTCCTAATACCCTCTGGGTGGTTAGTTGCAACCTTTTCTTGGACAGCACTAAATCTGAGGGTATCTTCAGTGTGACGGGAAGGAGGCAGGAAGAAAGCACTCTAAGTTTTGGAGAGAAATTGGGCTTTTCGTGAAGTGCTAGAGCATCAGCCCTGGCCATGGCCATGGTTCCTAAGATGCGGAAAAGTGCTTATTTTCCCAACTGTCTCAAACGTTGGTTTTCAAATATTTTGCTAATTTCTTTGGTAACCTAAATATTTTCCCTCACATTTAAATTTGCATCTTATGTTTCTTATCACAAGTTAAAATAGTTGTAAAGGGCAAATTTTGCAATGTTACATATTGACATTATGAACCACAATTATTTTATCTTATTGACATATATGCCATAGATAATAAATGCCAATGTCATTCAATACCATTTTATTTCCAATACCAGAGTCCTTGTAAAATTTACAGAAAAAAATCTCTTCTTCAGCAGTCAGAAAGTTTACATTGTTGCATTTTCCTTTTTGAATTCCTAATGGCATTTTATCTTCCCCACAATATCACATCATAATATAATATGCTTTTATTTTTGAAAATATTTTACTGACCATCTATAATGTTTCTTTGCAAATAGATGTATATATGTATGTTATGCATATATATATGATTTAAAATATTCTTGTGATCTTACATTGCTGTGAAATTTTTCTGCCCAATGGTATTACAGTATCACCATTATTATTCTATAAGGATAACCAAAATATCATTATTATTATTATTGGTATAAAGATAAAATGCTTAGTAAATACTTAAGCATAAAGAGCAAAATTTCATTGGAAATGCACCTTTTAATAAGATGGGAGGGATACACATGTACCTTAAGCAAAGGATTTTTTTCGGTTGGAAAATAAAAGTCTAGCACTCCAGTGAGGTTTACTCCCTGGGACAATGGCCATAACAAGACTCAGGAGAGCTTCACCAATTACTAGCTGTGTAATTTTGGACAAGTTAATTGATATCTCTGTGTTTAAGCTTCTTTATCTGCAATATAGAAATGGAAATAGTGCCTATCTTATGAATCATGAAAAGTACTTAAAAGAATGCCTAGTATATATCGTAAGTGTGACACAAGTTTTAGCTACTATGATTAATGCTATTATGAAACTTTTACCAAAACCTCACCTGCCTCTGGCCCTGTCTTGTCCCCTTTGCTTGGGTAATTACTACTCTTCACTATTATTTCTTAAAGTTAATTTTTATTTGGGAAGCATTCTCTTACTTATATCCTCTGAAGCCTTTATTCTCCATTCCACGGCATTGATCACAGCTTTGTAATGCCATGATTAAGAAATACTTTCTTCCATATGAACTGTGTCTTGGGAACATTTGCAGCCCCTCTACCTACAGGAAGGAAACTCTCCATATAAATTATTTACATGTATTTAAATGATATGTCCACAAGAACAGTTGACATTAAATTAGTATTAAGAAAGCAGCATGTTCTCTTTTGGTGTTACGTCTAGTTAAAGAATCATCATATAACTCTTAATGTATTATGTGGCATTCTTAAAAAGAATGATGGATTCAGTGGCTTTGGACACATAGGTTTCTACAAGGTGATGATACTTCAGGAAGAAACAAAGACACCCACTCTTTTGCATTTTCCTGGGAGCTGACCTCGTTTCTCATGAGTCATGGGTTAGCCTTCCACCCTATTTTCTACTTCTATCTAGAAGTCAACTTAAGGATTGTGGCCAGTGGCAGGTAACCTGGACTGAAAGAACTCTCACATTCCAACTGAGTAAGAAATGACTTAAAAAAAAATCAGAAGAACATTTCCAATGTCAACCATCATTCTATAGTGATATCACCATCAAGGCAGATCCAAGAGGACTTTGCTATGGGGTTAGGGCAGAGAGAGCTGAGCAATGATTTTTTTTTTTTTTTTTTGAGACAGAGTCTTGCTCTGTTGCCCAGGCTGGAGTGCATTGGCGCTATCTTGGCTCACTGCAAACTCCACCTCCCAGGTCCACGCCATTCTCCTGCCTCAGCCTCCTGAGTAGCTGGGACTACAGGTGACCACCACCACGCCTGGCTAATTTTTTGTATTTTTAGTAGAGACAGGGTTTCACCGTGTTAGCCAGGATGGTCTCAATCTCCTGACCTCGTGATCCACCCGCCTCGGCCTCCCAAAGTGCTGGGATTACAGGAGTGAGACACCGCGCCTGGCCTAAGCAATGATTTTAAGTTGGGTTCCATGATGTAGCAGCCAAAATTAGCCCTGATAAAAGCTCCTTTATAGCCAACTGAAATCTACATCTCAGAGAAACTATCCATACAACTTCCCAATAGGTTAAGCTGAATCTTCTTTTTCATTATTAATATCTTTTAAATTTCTGACTATTATGAGTTCTAAAACACTACTGATATTTTGATTAGAAAACGTGATGGCTTACTCAGAATACTTCAACAAGAATTTCAAGATAGTTGGATATAAGTTTTAGTTGGACAAATAAAAAGTCTTAGCATATATTCAAGACTGTATATAGCATATTTAATCAAGAGTCCTTGTTGAATATTATTGTGTAAACTTAAGGAATTCCACACCTCTTCAATTTCAGCTTAAAATATTTCAACTTCAAAGAATAATCATGTTAACTTCTCAGAAGTAGGATGATGTGGCTAGTTTTCTGTTATAATTGATCATGAATTATTTTGAATTGTAAACTTCCATATGGATATACATTTTGTATTAAAAAGTGACATAGTTGAAGTTGCCAATTTGCTTGGAGTTCCCCCTAAATTATATTCAACATAAATAAATAAACCCATCAATATATAAGTGTAAGAAATGTAAAATGGACTCCACAAATCACTAAAATTAAACTTCTATGAGCTAATGATACTCACTTAAGTGGTTTCAGAACTTGCTAAGACTGAAAAATACTGCTGAAGTCTTCTCAAATCTATGGGAAAAAGAAATAGATTTTTGTTTTGGATAATCAAATGTGTCAAAGCAATGGAAAATTCTCACTAATTTTATAATGGAAGCAAAGCACACAAAAATGAATTTCCTGTTTTCTTTCATGACAATTTGGCCCAGTGTCCCCGTGTATACTGTGGGTACCTACTCAGAAGTTTATAGGAGCATTGGCTCTCTGTACGTTACCTAATATCAAATTAAATTTAGTGTATATGAAGAATGTTATTTTATTCTCTGTGTATGCAATCTCTCTCTCACACACACACACTTACACACACACCAATTTTTATTGAGAATGTGAAATCCCTAGACAAAAGATTGAGGCAATAGTTTTCTAGAAATATTCAGGATAAAAGAAGGAAGGTAAAATATTTTTAGTTAAAAGTCCCTAAAATTATACAGGGTGTTACCATTCATTCTGTGAGAACCTATAATACAAAAATTAAGCAAAGAAAAAAATTTCTACTCTTCTTCTGGCATTGTAGAAATTAACTATTTGTTTGGTTTATCCACTAAACAGTAGTCAGAGCAGACCTACACAGTACAACTTTTCACCTATTGGGCCAAGCCAAGAACTTGCTCGTTTTCACTCTCATGGTTGTATCATTCAATGTCAGGCCAAAAAACTGATACGGAAAAACAACATTTTATTTATATGATGAGAAGTCAGGAATAATGGACAGCAAAGTGATACAACTACAAGCTGAAGTTACTGAATATCTATTAAAATTCGTTTATGAGCATAAGCCCAGGAAATAAGAAATCTGGTAATACTCTAACATTCACAGCATTTTAATCTTTATTTTCTACACTACTCAGTGTTGTCGATGGTTAATACGTTTAATACTTGAAATTATAACTTCAAAGAACATTAAAAACCTATAGCCCTCTAAAAACCATTGTTTATGTGTGGTAAATAAGATACAGAACGACCTATCAAGAGTCAGAGGTCCCAGCACGAGCATGTTGGACATAAGGAAGTCCAGCCTTGCGCAGAGAGGAGGGACCTTCACGCCCTGCATTCCCTGCCGGGAGCCTAGGACAGAAGACAGCTGTGAGGGGAGGAAGGAGAGGCACCCGGGAAGAAGTGTCCCATGCTCTTTCACTATTGTCTTTGGTAAATGTTAGAAATTCATTATAAGCAGGCTGGGCACGGGGGCTCATGCCTGTAATCCCGGCACTTTGGGAGTCCGAGACAAGTCCGATCACCTGAGGTCGGAAATTCGAGACCAGCCTGACCAATATGGTGAAACCCCATCTCTGTTGAAAATACAAAAATTAGCTGAGCATGGTGGCACAGGCCTGTAATCCCAGCTACTTGGGAGGCTGGGGCAGGAGAAACGCTTGGACCTAGGAGATGGAGGTTGCAGTGAGCCAAGATCGCACCATGGCACTCCAGCCTGGGCTACAAGAGTGAAACTCCATGTCAAAAAATAAATAAATAAATAGAAATTCATTACAGACATAATATCCATGACTTGTAGATTGAAATCTTTCAATAAATTATCTTTGACAAAGTGTAAGGAAACACCTACCCAATCAAGTATTTCTTTTAAGTCCTTAAAAAGTTTATATTATTTAAAATGTAAAGATATAATATAGAAATAATTACTTTAAATTTTATTAAAAGTATCTTTAACATTAGTCATTTTATTAATTGGAAACAATAAATAGTAAAGACTCTACATCCTGCAGAAAACTTCTCAATGTCATTAAAATATAAGTCACATGTAATTTCCTACATAGGGTAGGGTATATGGAATAGAATAAGAAATGATGTTCAGTTTATTGATTATAAATTACTTAGCAATCACTGAATCTGAAACATGATCTTTTTTGTAGTAATTTTAGTTTAGATTTCTTTAAGTGCTAATTCAGCACAATAATACAAAATTTCATTTTAATGTTAATGAGTCACACATTTTGAAGGCTTTAATTTCAGGAGTATTATCACAAGAGCAAGTGCAACGTGAACTAGCTTGTGCCTCACGTCTCTGGTGTATTTTTGATTTTTCCAGTTTTTTTTTCTGTAGATTCTATAGGCTTTTCTATGTTTACATGAACTTCATAGCTATTTTCATTTTATTTATTATCCTTTTTATTTCCTAAGATATGAATATACTCAAAACATTTTAAAGACATCACTAAATATTTTTTATTTAAAGAATAATTCCTTTCCAGGGACATGGATGAAGCTGGAAACCATCATTCTGGGCAAACTAACACAAGAACAGAAAACCAAACACCGCATGTTCTCACTCATAAGTGGGAGCTGAACAATGAGAACACATGGACACAGGGAGGGGAACCTCACACACTGTGGGGCCTGTTGGGGGGTGGGGGGCATGGGGAGGGAAAACATTAGGAGAAATACCTAATGTAGATGACGGGTTGGTGGGTGCAGCAAACCACCACGGCACGTGTATACCTATGTGATAAACCTGCACGTTCTGCACATGTATCCCAAAATTTAAAGTATATTAAAAAAAAAAAAGAATTGAGTGTAAAGACAGAAACTTTGTGTGTTAAAAAACAAGTTTAAATAAAGTAAGTACTGAAATTTGTAGAAGAGAGAATTCTAAAGGATACATTGATGTGTATATAAAATTAAAGAGAAGGATAAGGAAAATAAGTGTAGTAAGTATACACTAATGTCCAAAAAAACTAAATGTATTAGATATTGGCATGGGTTGCATATATGTACATACACTTAAAGCTGATTACTGGAAGTTTTTATGCAAGTGAAAAATATTATTTGTAACTTCTCAAGGCTCTGAGAATTAAAGTAGAAATTCAAATCATTTCTGGAAACCTAAACAAATCATGATATCTCTACCAACAGTCAAAATTTGAAAGATAGAATTAGTGGGAAAGCTTATTGTTTCACACAATAGGTTCTCAATAATGGCATGCAGAAATAAGTAGAATTAGTTTTATATAGTTGCATTTAGCAGAATAAAGATGACTATGGTTATCTTACAGAGAGATTATTGCCCCAAAGAAGATACATGTTTATAATCTTTCAGTACTCTTTTCTTAACAAATTACAGAATTATAACTTGAGTAGATATTCAGTTCCCACCAAAAAAAGGAAATTCAGTGGCTATTTTGAAAATAAAACGTCTAGGACTGGCACTTGTCTTAAACATTAAAACTGAAACCAAAAACTGTAATATTGGATTAAACAAAAGCCAAATATACTACTTAAAATGAATATACTGTAAACTGCACATGAAGATAATTAATAAACAGGGAAATAAGGCCAAAACGATAAAAAAAGGGCAAATGTTATGACAATATCAAAAATTTCCTTAAGTAATGAAAAAATTAAAATCTATCAGGAAGAGGTAGTCACCTGAAATATAGCTTTAGTAAATTAAAAATAAAAACAGAATTATATGTGGATTATTGATCAATCTATAGTAACAGCTTGAAATTTTGTCATATCTTCAGGATTTGATTAATTAAGCAGAGAAAAATATTAAAAAGGATACAGAAGATGACACCATCCAAAATAATTTTACCTAATTGATCTACTTTAATATGCAATAACATACACTCATGGAACATACAACACTTTTTTTTAGTAACCACAAAATATTTATAATGGTGCATGTACTGAGATACCAAGGCAACTTTAAATATTTTAAGATAAACAATAAAATTTAACATAAACAGATAAAATAAACTAGAACTCTTTTAATTGCCGGAAAGAGCATCTCGAATATTGATTCATAATAGCTACTACAAAGCAAAAAGATAAGTTGTAGAATGAATAATATGGAGAACAGGGCCTTCTAAACCTAGTTAGCTCATTTCCTCCTGTCTGAACCTGGGTCCCCCTGAAAGTGGAACTTGAGAAAAGAAAGTAATATTAGGGAGCAGAGTAGAGGTTTAGAAGAGGGAAAAAGGCAGGAAACCTAGCACAAGAGTAAATTACCTAACTACTTACCACGTAGAAAAATAGAGCTTGATTCTGAAAAAGTCTTCTGAAGATCCACATACAATTTATATCAGAAGTTTCAGTTATTAGGAAAAAATTAAAAGTATCAATTGCCTTCTGTCCTTCATAAGTCACTTGCTTGTGACTCCAGATGCTAGCAGAGTTCAGCAGGCATCTGGGGCCGCAGTATCATAGACTCTGAGCAGAGATGAATCCATGGTAGGTCTTAAGACTGTCATCTTCATTTGTTGAGGAGTCATCTACATCATTTAAGGCAACTTTTCTCTGGATGTTTTTAAGATTCCTTCTTTGTTTTACATTTTAACATTCTATAACGTACTTTTGTGGGGTTTTTTTCTGTATTTACTCTGTTAGAGGTTACAGAGCTTTGCAAATATTTTCATTGAGAGTTTTAATACTTTTGAGGTGTATGTCACCTATTACATCTTCAAATGTTGCTTCTATCCCATTTTTGCTTTCCCTTCTTTTTCTCAGACTGTAATCACAGTTATGTTAGACCTTTCCATATATTTATCTCTTCCATTTGTTTCTGTATGTTTCCTGCTTTTATCTCCATACCTTGATGTGTAAATTTTCTTCTGATCTAGCTTTAGTGTACTATTGCTCTCTTTAGGTGTGTCTAAACTAATGTTAAAGTGATGTACTCACATATTTCTGTTTTATTTTTCACTTGTAGAATTCCACTTGATTATTTTGTACTGTGTTTTATTCTTTCAAAATATTCGATATTACTCACAGTTACTTTGAAGTTCTTGTTGGTTAACTGCAATATTGTGAAGTCCTGTGGCTCTATTTTTCCCCTTATTTTTAATCTTTTGAATTCGGTCAATGCCTATCTTTTTAATGCATACCCTTTTCTGATTAAATGACAAGCTGTGTCTGAAAAATTATAAAGACAGTTGAAGAATCTGGATGATGTTGTTTTCTGCAAGAGAGGACTTATACTTCCAGCAGTCAGTTAGGATAAGGGCAGGTAATTTTGCTCCAAGTAAAGATTGATCTACTTGAACCTGGCCTCAGTTTTTATGAGAACGGGCTTATCCGGGTTTGTTTCTGTTCCTACTGTGGTGATTATTTTATCTGAACTAAAAGCCTGATTTGTTTAGTGAAGCAGATTTTCTTGCAGAATCCTGAATTCAATTCCATTTCTACTTCTACCTCTATAATCTCTAACAAAATAAAAACAGAAAACTACAAAAGCACCTCATAGTACAACTGTGAAAATGTAAGACAAAGAAGGAATCTTAACAACAACCAGAGAAATGTTGAATTAATGATGTAGATGACTCCTCAACAAATGAAGATGACAGTCTGAAGACCTACCATGGATGCATCTCTTTGACACTGCAGAAAGCTCTACTCACAATTCCAGCTGCTTGTTAGGATGGGCAAATGCCCCAAAGACCAACATGTTGCCAAGGTCAGGACGCCCCTCTGTGGACTTCCTTCCCTCCATAACGATGGGTCCTATTGTCATGGTCACTTTGTTGGTGTGCTGATGCCTATAAATAGATTTTTGAAATTGCTTTTATAGCTCTTCTAGCTGTTGTTAGTGGGACAGTTGATCTTCTAGAATTAAACATAAAATTTAAAAATATTTGTTTTATAAAAAACAATCAAAATAGGTCAATTAACCACTATTCTTATTCCTTTTCAGTAAACTCACATTTGTGTTAGAATGTGTAAGTAATAAAATGGAAGAATAATAATCCAGGATAAAAAGGTATTCAATCCTCATTTGACTGACAAATACATTTCAGAAGTGTTGAGTAGAATTTTGATCAATGTGCTTCGGGAATTTATCGGTGCTCAACTACTGAGTACTGATGCATGAAGAAGAATGCCAAGTACTTTAAATATTGTTTTCAATTAGCATGAGAAAAATAGGAATTGATAATCATGTCCAGAACAATATATCCCAGATCACATAATACATGTTAGTCTGGCAACATTTTGGAGACCATGCAATGCAAATTAGCTATCACGTAGTGAAATAAGAGAAAATAAAAATAACTTGTTTTTAGGAAATCAAATAAATTAGAGCAATGACATTCTTTATTGAAACTGTGCACACATAAAAATAAGTAAGAATTTGGAAGATATGAATTCACTAAGCACATTTCTGATGGGTGATTGCTTTAATAATAAATTATTTTTTCTTAGTAAAAGGCAGGTCTCTTTTATATGTACAATTGCTTGGTACATGTGAATGATTGCTTAAATGGTGCCAATTACTTGACCCAGTGAATATGAAAAGAGGAAGCTTAAATTATTGGCCTTATAATAATTTTTATATAATAGGAAATTACGTATAAATTAACAAATGAGTCCAAAAGCTAAAACCATAAGATTCCCCCCCCCCGCAATCCCACCCCTTGTCCGCTCACATTACTCTTCTAAGAGATTGGCATACTTCTCTAGACGCACTCTTGTTCTCAAAGTGGACTGATCCACATTTGTACCCTCCTGTCCTCTGTCCTGTGGTCAAAGACTCACGTGTCCCTTGGAATGTGTGGTAAAAGAGTTAGGACTAAAAGCCTACTCCAAAATATGGTCTGAGTTTTACTAATTTGATGCTGAGTAAATGAAAAAATATGTCAGAGTTTTCCATTTAAGAAACTTATCAGCTGAAATGCAAATAAAATGTATGTGACATACAATTTAAAACAACAAAACATTTATAAGGCACATGATAGTATGGGGTGGGTTTAGAGAAATTATATTATTCAGTACTTGGTACCTTTTAGCTGACAATGTGGTAATAGAGACAAATTATAACTAACTTAAAGCTTTTGTGAATTCTTTTACAATGTGGTATTTCATTTCTCAACCACCCTATAGTCAAAGTTCAAATTTGTAGATTACAGTTAAATAAGTCCTTATTTGAAGTCAGAGTAGTACTTCTTTTGAGTTAAAGGGGTTTTTAGTTCAGTTGTGAAGTTGAACATCACCTACAATGTAAGTTAAGAGATGGAGTGAGCAAAATAAAAGCCTAGAAATTGCATGCATACTAAAAGATATCTTGAAAACAAATCGCATGTCAGTCCATGTGCTCATATTATTTAAAAATATTTTTTTCTAGCAGATCAATTGCTCATAGACTTGTAAAACAACAAATTGATATATAAAAGAAGACATTTATGGGCATTATTTTTTTTTAAGGACAGATTTCTAAGCTGGGCCCTAACCATGCCTCCTATTGATTATTTTGTACATAACTCATTTTTGGAGAAATCACTTTAATTATGTTTTTATTTTTCTGGATAAATTTTATTTCCTGTCCTCAGGGCCTCCACCAGTTTCCAGTTGAGCATGTACATAACAACGACCATGGCTGTACCACATATGTAAAATAGGTGCATAGAGAAAGGTACCCACAAACGTGAATAATTTTAGCAACTTTGGTTAACATTATAGCAACAAACTCCAATAATAAGCTTTTGTTGCAGAAATCCTGAAGTTTTATATAGATGACTTAAAATTCCATGTGTCAAGGGGTCTCCAAGACTACCCCCATACTGCATGATTCATTAGGAGGTCTCGGAACTCACACGCTCAACTCTTGGTTATAAGTGATTACCATGAAAGAACACAACGCAAAGTCAGCAAAGGGCAAAAATGCATGGAATGAAGTCGGAGGAAACCAATTGCAGGTATCCAAGAATCCTCTCGCAGTGGAGTCACGCAAGATGCACTTAATCCCTCAGGGCCATGCTGAGGGACAGCACATGAGAAATGCCTTCAGGTGATGCTCATTAGGATTCAGTCCCCAGGTTTTATAGGGCTGGTTGCTTAGCCATCCTGTGTGTACTACATGCCATAATTCTAGACTCTCAGAAGAAAAGCAGTTTGAGGAGAAGCCATATTGCTTGCATAAACAGTTTAGGGACAGTGAGTCACCCTTATCAAGGAATCATGGGAATTGTCCTGAAATCCGAGTTCCCAGACATCACCCAAGGGTCGAACTTGTTGGCAGGATTTTTTAAGTGAGAGCAGCCTCAGGCGTGCTCTGTCAACGTTCTTCTGCACGATCCCTTTGATTCTGTGGTCTTATTTCCCTTGTGATTTAAGTTCAATTCACATGGGATACTCATGTTCAGCTATTACAGATACATCAACTATAATAATGATAGAGAAACAATAGTGTATTGTTATGTTATATATTATTTTAAAAAATTCTTAATGTAAAACCCAGGAAACAAGTTCTTTTTGAAAGGTAATTAGCAAAATATGGCAAGGAAATTTTCCTTCATACATCACTGATCACCGAGGTCTCAAAAGCAAGTCTTTTACTCAAAAGTAATTCAGCTGCATTGATAATACTCTTCAGGTTTAAAAAATAATTTCTTCTTTGTATACATTTGCAAGAACTATTAAAAATATTCTATTCAAATGTGACAGATCTATTCAAGTGCTTTTGTGAAAAAATTTAGTAATACCTGTGATACATTAGAGATAATGGCTAAATTTATATCAGCAAGAATATTTTGAGCCCTCATAGAATAAATCAATAAGAATTGCCGCATAAATGAATTTTGGAAGTACTGATTTGTTACTTAACTGTGTGACATATCATTATGGATTATTAGAAGTTCAAGATCTCAAATTATTCATGTAATATTAGCTGCATGACCTTCTTATAAATGTCTACTCAGATAAGTTTATTTTTTGCCTTGACCTTTGAATTCAGGATATGTTTGATGATAATTATTCTCTACATGACACTGAAGTTGAGGTGGTAGTTAAAAAATGAATATTAACTGCACTAGCATATTCAGTTTTAGTACTAGCAAACTATTATTTTTGCCCTAACCAAGATTCTAAATATTTTTGAGAGTCAAACAATAGCAACAAGCATTAAGCTCGTCAGTAACATATGCATTTCAAGTAGAATAATTACTGATATCTGCTGTGACATTCAAACCACAAAATTTTATTGATTAAACACAATAGCGATGTATTTCTGACTCACACAAAAGTCTACATGGGTTTGGCAACTTTCAAAGGGATTTAGGTTATTTTAATTTGGGGGTTTTACCATCTCGTCATGTCATCCTGAGTCCTCTACAGGCACTGTTAGAACACTGGATTTTTAACCCCTCAGCCCCAAAATGACAGCATCCCCATGTACAAACCATTGCCCAAATGGGTTGCATGACTGAAATCCAACTCCAAGGAAGTCTGGAGAAATGTAAGGGAGTGATTGGAATATTCAGTTACTGTGGTCTTTCCTGTACTTATTCCTAATCTCTTTTTTCTTCTTTACACAGATCTTTTCAGATCACTTACCTTTTGTGGTTTTTATTTAACAGACACAAAAACAAGTAAACAGACAATTACACAGTCTATCTAGGTAACTGTCATGATAGAAGTTTTAATAGCTTGCAGAAAAGTAGAGGCAACTGGTTTGCCAATAGATAGGGAAGTTTACCTAGAGAAAATGTCATTTGAAATAAACTCAATTCTAATCTTACAGCTTGAACAGCTATGCCACTCTACTGCTGTGTGCCATAACTGCCCACTTAGATGCTTTTTATTCAAAACAACATTTAATATTGAATATCAATTTATAAAGTATTCCTTTTCTCTTCAACTTTATTAAGGATACAAAATCAACATACAAAAATAAATATTGTTAAAATGTTTGTCCTACACAAAGCCATTGGCAGATTCAATGCAATTTCTATATAATATTATGAGACATTTTTGTAAAACTAAAACTATTTTTTAAATTTAGTTTTTGAGCTACTCTGTTATGTAGTTACTCTTATGCATAAATAGTTCTCTGCTTGTCCAAAAATAATATTAACTATTTAAAAATAAGAATGACCAACAGAAATATTTAAAAGATTCAAGTGGAAATGCAATTCTAATACATTCATACATAGTGATCCGATCTAGCTTTTATATTAATAATATGTAACAATATTGTTTGGATATCAGTTCAGCTGCTACAACTGAATGGCCTGAAACAATAGTGCTGTAAAAAAAGGAACTGTTGTATCTATGCAAAAGAAATGAAAAAATATATATGTCTATAGGAAGACATGTACTCAAAAGTTCATGGCTACTTTATTCATAATAGTCAAAAATAAATGTCCATCAACACTTGAAAAGACATATAAACCATACAATTGAGTACTCAGCAATAAAAAGGAACCAACTACTGATACACAAAACAGCATGGATGAAACTGAAAATTATTGTGAAGAATAAAAGAAACCACAAAATCGCATACATACAAGGTACATGTATGTACATCATACTCTATGATTCCATTTGTATGAAATGCAGACTAGTGCATAACAACAGAGGGCAAAACTGTGGTTGCCTATAGATGAAGGCAGAGTGTGGGGTAGAGGTCTAAGGAACATGAGGAATCTTTTGGGGATGATGGAACTATTCTGCACCTTGACTGCCATGGTGTTTTGATGGATGAACACATTTGTCAAACTCACTCAGTTGAATACTATAAATTTACTTGGTAAATTGTTCCTTCTATTTTGGGTGGATATTTTTGCCAAAGCATGTAGCACACTGCCTTTGCATTGTTTTGGCCATTGAATGTAGAACATGCCTCTCTTTCTGGTGAGACTCTGAGCTACCAGGTTGCAAGAATAGGGGCTAATGGCTTTTTGAACCTAATGTTATCTAGCATCTTACAATATAATATTTGAATAATAGATACGTGTTATACTAGATGTTCAGGGATAGATAAGGCAAAACCCCTTTCGCTGAATAACTCAGAGATTTATGGCAGAAAGAGAAAAGGACATATACAACACACTGTAAGTTAAGTGCTGCTACTGTGGTCAGTGCGTGAATTGTGAAAGAGAGCAGACAGCAATAATTCTTCAAGGTTGAGTTAAAATTCCACTTCATTTGGAAAGCTTCAATGAGTGTTATAGGGAATTTTTTTTCTCTATTTTCAATGTGTGTAGCAGTTAAAGATTATAGCATGTATCTTCTTCTAATTAAATACTGTAAGTCAGGTCTTCATGTGTGTCTCCATGAATATGAGCTCATAGCGAGCTACAAGCTTCTTTATAATTCTTTGTGTCTCTAGAAAAGCACAGTGCATTTAGGTGATGTCCAGTAACTGTGTCTTACTGATGTCTACGTACTCTTGATGAGAATAATGAGAATCCATTTTACTAAAAGACTCCTATGCATTTGAAAGGCTAGTCTGCCAAAATGCATTATAAATAGCATGGTATATAAAAAGGTATATGAGGCTTAATATCAGAATAATTACACTATGATTAACCCTCATGTCTAGATTTAAGACAACTGTGAAAATCTCCTAGAGGAGCCTGGCATTTGAATAAGCTTTTGTGGTATAATTATACTTAAGTAAATATTTTATATAAGATTGAAGCAGAGGAACTGTATTCAGTCATGAGTCTGTGGATTAAAATACCAACATCCCTGCACTAATTTTGAAATGCAAATAAAAATTATCATTTTATAAGTAAAATTTACCGTGAATTATAAACTATATCAATTACATTCTGAATTATTTGGGAAAATTTTGACAACCTGAGAACAAAATACTTTATTGCACCTCCTGATAAATTCAGTAATGGTGGTGATCCTTGTAGTCACATCTATGAGAAAAATTTCTGCAAGTTGCAAAGAGAGCATCTGAGATTCCAGAAATATAGCTGCAGTGAGTGTGTTGATTCTTGTATTAGTCCATTTTCATAATGCTATAAAGAAATACCTGAGACTGGGTAATTTATAAAGAAAAGAGGTTTAATAGACTCACAATTTCACATGGCTGGGGAGGTCTTACAATCATGATAGAAGGAGAAGGAGGAGCAAAGTCATGTCTTACATGGCAGCAGGGAAGGGTGCATGTGCAGGGCAACTGCCCCTTATAAAACCATCAGATCTCATGAGACTTATTCACTATCACAAGAACAGCATGGGAAAAACTTTCCCCATTATTCAGTTCCCTCTCACTGTGTCCCACCCATGACATGCAGATTATCAGAGCTACAATTCAAGGTGAGATTTGGGTGGGAACACCACCAAACCATATCATTTCATCCCTGCCCTCTCCCAAATCTATGTTCTCACATTTCAAAGCCAATCATGTCTTCCCAACAGTCCCTTAAAGTCTTAATTCATTTTTGCATCAACTCAAAAGTTCATAGTCCAAAGTCTCATCTGAGACAAGGCAAGTCTTTTCCACCTATGAGCCTTTAAAATCAAAAGCTAGTTAGTTAATTTTTAGATACAATGGGTGTACAGGCATTGGATAAAAACACCCATTCCAAATGGGAGAAACTTGCCAAAATGTGGGGGCTACAGGCCCCAGGCAAGTCTGAAATCCAGCGGGACAGTCAAATCTTAAAGCTCCAAAATGATCTCCTTTGAGTCCATGTCTCACATGCAGGTCATGCTAATGAAAGTGGAGGGCTTCCATGGCCTTGGGCAGCTCTACCTCTGTGGCTTTACAGGGTACAGCCCCACTCCTGAGAGCTTACATGGACTGGTGTTGAGTGTCTGTAGCTGTTCCAGGCACACAGGGCAAGCTGTCAGTGGATCTACCCTTCTGTAGTTTAGAGGACAGTGGCCCTCTTCTCACAGCTCCACTAGAGAGTGCTTCAGTGGGGACTCTGTGGGAGCTCCCACTGCACATTTCCCTTCCATACTACCCTAGGTTCTCGATGAGAGCTTCGTCCTTGCAGCAAACTTCTGCCTGGACCTCCAGGCATTTCCATACATCCTCTGAAATCTAGGCAGAAGTTCCCAAACCTCAATTCTTGACTTAAACATACCCACAGGCTCAACACCACATGGCAGATGCCAAGGCTTGGGGCTTTCACCCTCTGAAGCCATGGTCTGAGCTGTACCTTGGCACCTTTTAGCAAATGCTGGAGAGGCTGGGATGCAGGGCACGAAGTCCCTAGGCTGCACACAGCAGGGGGGCCCTGGGCCTAGCTCACAAATCCATTTTTTATTCGTAGGCTTCCAGGCCTGTAAAGAGAGGGGCTGCCGTGAAGGTCTCTGACATGCCCTGGAGACATTTTTCCTACTGTCTTGGGGATTAACATTTGGCTCCCCATTACTTATGCAAATTTCTCCAGCTGGCTTGAATTTCTCCTCAGGAAATGGGTTTTTCTTTTCTATCAATTCAACAGGCTGCACATTTTCTGAACTTTTATGTTCTGTTTGTCTTTTAAACACAAGTTCCAACTCCAAACCATATCTTTGTGAATACATAAAACTGAATGCTTTTAACAGCACCCAAATAAACTCTTGAATGCTTTGCTGCTTAGAAATTTCTTCCACCAGATACTCTAAATCATCTTTCTCAAGTTCAAATTTCCACAAATCTTTAGGGCAGGGGCAAAATGCCACCAGTCTCTTTGCTAAAGCATAACAAGAGTCATCTTTGCTTCAGTTCCCAACCAGTTCCTTTTCTCCATTTGCAACCACCTCAACCTGGACTTTATTGTCTATATCACTATCAGCAGTTTGGTCAAAGCCATTCAGCAAGTCTCTTGGAAGTTCCAAACTTTCCCACATTTTCCTGTCTTCTTCTGAGCCCTCCAAACTGTTCCAGCCTCTGCCTGTTACCCAGTTCCAATGTTGTTTCCACATTTTGGCATATCTTTATAGCAGCACCCCACTCCTGGTACCAATTTAGTGTATTAGTTCATTTACATACTTCTATCAAGAAATACCTGAGACTGGGTAATTTATAAAGAAAAAGAGGTTTAATGGACTCACAGTTCCACATGGCTGGGGAGGCCTCACAATCATGGCAGAAGGTGAAGGAGCAGCAAAGGTACAACTTACATCATGGTAGGTAAGAGTGTGTGTGCAGGGGAACTTCCTTTTATAAAACCATCGTATCTCATGAGACATATTCATTATCATGAGAACAGCATGGGAAAAACCCACTGCATGATACAATTACTTCCCACTGGGTCCCACCCATGACATGTGGGGATTATGGGAGCTACAATTCAAGATGAGATTTGGGTGGGGACACAGCCAAACCATATCCATTTTTATGCTACTGTACCTCAGCTTCAAATACATCTTGATACACTTTGCTTTAGGATGCAAGAACCGGCCTCTTCAAACCACATTTCTTCTTTTACCAATACATGGAATCCCTTCTTTGAGCTTCTGCATAATATCATAAGTAGATATTTCAGTAAACATCTGTGTTCCTGCTTAAAAGGCATATCTTTCAAACTTGTAAATTCTAAAAATAAGCCAAACATTTACCTTTTATCCTTCCAAACTTTTACAGATTTTTTGCTTTGTGCATTGCACCTGATGACTTTTTAATGTCTTATTTTTAACCTTTGCAGACCTCAAAAGCTGAATAACGTGTATGTGTATATGACATTCTTCCCTAAATTGTAAGACAACTGGTATGGTTTCAGTGTCCTAATTGGACCCTGCTTCATATAGCTAGGTAGGCATCTTGTACATGAATGTAGAGTGTGCTATTTGAGCTCTACTACCTACATTTAGTGGTTGCCAGACGAGTGGTTCAGTGACAAAGGCTGCAACATCAGGTGAGTGAGACATGGGTTCCAATCCTTTTTCTTCCTGTCACATGATCCTGGGTAAGTTATTTAACTTCTTGCACTTCTTGCATCCTTAACTCTCTAAATGTGTAATAAATGTGTTTAATGATAATTAGATTGAAGATTTAATACAATTAGCAATTGTGGATGAAAACTCTGAGCACATAATTATTGGCAATCATCCCTTCTGCAGTTAGAAATTACTACTTCCTGTTTATCTATAGATTGTCTTTTGTGATTTCTACAATCCATTATTAGGCCTCTGTGATAATAAGTTGTAGGTTCCTGTTTGAACTCAGGTAGAAACCCAAGCTTCCACCTGAATATCAGGAGAAGATTCCCTTCTGGGTTGCATAAGCCTTAGAAATGTCTCTATGATCCTACTGTACTGTGGCCATTGGTTTATTTCTTTTAAAATGAGATGGTGAGGTCCTTGTGGCCAGAGAAGATGTGTCATTGGCATATCTGTCAGTTTGCAATAGACTTTATCACTCCTACCTTAAATTAGCTGATATCCCTAGGCCTTAAATTAAAAGCCTGCACTTGACTGTAATGCGCCAGTTTAATTCTGGCCACATTCACCGTATGAAATGTTAGAGTTGGATAATTTGAACTGCTAGGTTTTTGCTCAGCCTCTTTTCTGCCTCAGCCTCTGCCGTGTCTTTACTAGGCTAATAAGAAGCCAGAGGCATAAGGAAGCCCTTGAGCCAAGGACATCTTTCCAACTTGTCCAGTGGGTTTAGAGAAATAAGAGGTAATGTTAAAATTGGATTTTATATTAGTCACACTTTAATAGTCTATTGCTTTGAGTAAGTGAATACTCATTTACAGAAAAAAATATTTTCTTATCTTTGGATCTGGAAATCAAGTTTTGATTGGTCTAAAAGCCTCAATCGTTTTCTAAAAAATCTTTAGTTCTATAGTGAGCATATAGTTGCCTTTCAAGAAACTTTGGAGGAAAGACAGGCTAGAAGGGGTAGAAGACAGAAATTTAATATTTTCATTTAATTAAATAAATTAAAAGGCAGATGAAGGAAAGAAGGAAGGGAGGCAGGCAGGGAGTCTGGTATTTTTCTCCTGAAGATTGTTGTGTTTTGTTTTGTGTGTCTGTTTGTTTAGTAGCATGCCTGGGCTAAAGCAATGAAGTATACATTTTCTGTATAAGTAGCCATAAGTTTTTTTTTATTTGTATGTACTTTTATTTTTACTTTTATGTAGGAATTTCTAGGGGTTAGCTAATGATCGGAAATAATTTGTGCTGAAATTAGACCAGCCAGTAAGACTTCCATCCTCTGCCGACAGAACCTTTTGTGAGTAAGGGAAACATTAAAAAGTTAGGCTTCTTTTGAGTCTGCCTCCTGTATAACTTTCCTTACTTATTTTTTAAAATAAATGTGTTATTTTAGGGTATCTTTAGGTTTAAAGAAATGCTGCCAAGATAGTAAATGGAGTTCCTATATAATTCATACCTAGTTTCTTGTATTCTTGACATCTGACATTAATAGGGTACATTGCTCATAATCAATAAGCTTACTATTGATGCATTATTAATAATTAAATTATTCACTTTGTTAAAATTTCCTCAGTTTTTACCCATTTCGGGATCTTGTACAAGACATCTCCTTTAACCATGAAGTCTCCTTTGGCTCCTCTATACCATGAGAGTTTCTCAGATTTTCCTTGTTTGGGATGACCTTGACCATTGTGAAGAGTACTGCTCGGCTATTTTATAGAACATCCTTCATGTTAGGTTTGCGTGGTGTTTTCCTTGTGGTTAAACATGGGGTTGTCAGTTCCAGAAGGAAGGCCATGGAATCAAGCACATTCTCCTCACCTCACACCACAGGTACATCCTAATGACAAGCCTTATCGCTGTTGATATTAAACTTTACCTCCTGGCTGAGGAAGTGCCTGACAGATCTATCCAGTGTGTGGCTACTCTTCTTCCTCCTTTCCACATTGCCCACTTTGGGAGAGAATCCTAACATGCAACTGACACTTAGGCAGTAGAGATTTGGGTCCCGCCACCTTGAGGGCAGAATGTCTACGTAAGCTATTAGGAATTCTCCGGCATGAGTGATGTATCTCTTCTCTCCCATTTATGTACTTAATTACAATTTATTCATCAGCATAGACTCACAGATACGTATTTTACATTTGGGGTTGCAACCCAAGAGTATTTTTTGTTGTGTTGCTCAAGTCGTCCTAGTTCTGCCTGTTAAAACCCCTTTCTGTGGGATCCTTTATTCGTGGACATAACCCCATTATTGTATTTTTTTCTTGAGCAACTCCTTTTTTTCTGGTACTATAAGATGCTACAGGCTCATATTCTATGTTCTCTTCCCCAGCCCTAAAACAAGCCATTTCTGCAAGGATTCTTATTTCTCTTTTTAGAATGGTATTACAAACTAACGTCTGAGCACTGAGTACTCAGTGGCCCAGTTACCCTTCACTGGGCCCTTCCAGGTCTCGTCTGCTCATGCATTACACTTCAAAACCTTGAGGCCATAAGCATGTGAATATCTTTGTCCCCCTTTGGTCTTGGCTGTTTATGTGCTCAGCTTCAGCCAAGACTTGCTTGCTCCAAGTGAGAAGGTGACCTCGGGCTAACAGAGCCTAGAATTTGGCCCTTCCTCTCTTGCCTGCCTCCAAGAAGTCACTGCCATGGACAGAGCTGCTGGGCATGGCCATCACCTTTTGTTGCCAAATGAGCCAGCCCCTGATAACTATTGCAGAGAATCAGCTCTATTCACTGTTTGCCATGCCCTAGCAGAAACTTGGCACTGCCAAGCTGGGAGCAGGTGTGGAAGCACCCCCAGGCCAGAGTACCCTAAGCTCCCACTGCTCTTTCTAGATGCTCAGCATCTATGATGGAATTATGAGATGTGGCCTTTGGGAGTCGATTATGTTATGAGGGTGGAGACTTAATGGATTGGATTAGTAGCCTTATAAAAGAGTCCCAAGGGAGAACTTTTGCCCCTTCCACCACGAAAGGACTCAGTAAGAAGACTCTGTCTATATACAGAATGTGGGGCCTCACTAGACAATTTTTTTTTTTTTTGAGAAGGATTCCTCCTCTGTCTCCAGGCTGAAGTGCAGTGGCACGAACTTGGCTCACTGCAACCTCTGCCTCTCAGGTTCAAGCGATTCTCTTGCCTCAGCCTCTCAAGTAGCTGGGACTACAGGCATGTGCCACTACGGCCAGCTGATTTTTGTATCTTTAGTAGAGATGGGGTTTCACCATGTTGGCCAGGATGGTCCTCGATCTCTTGACCTCATGATCCACCCACCTCGGCCTCCCAAAGTGCTGGGATTTTTGGCGTAAGCCACCACGCCTGGCCGACACTGAATCTTCTGGAATTTTTATCTAGGACTTCTTAGGCCCCAGTGCTGTGAGAATTAAATATTTGTTGTTTATAAACCATTCAGTCTATGACATCTTGTTATAGCAGCCCAAATGGACTATGACACTGCCACTTGGGCATTTAGATCCAGCAGATGCAATGGAGATCCTGGTATTTTGTGGTAATGAGGAAGTGGTGTGGCATCTCTGGAAAGCCCAAACAGCAAAGCTAAAATGCAGACACTATGATTCTGGAGCTAGATATACAATGCCATCTTTAGCAGAGTACATTCCAAACCTTGCTTCTGGCAGACTATGAGGCCCTGAGAGAGAATAAGAGACTGAACTCCTCACCCCAGGGAGCCAAGCGACAGTGTAATTGGAGCTGCTCGTCATCAGATGGTTACAGCTACACCCCTCAATATGACTTGATGGTCAGGCAGGCTACAGGAATCCCTCATGCAAGGGACATTGCACATTCAAAATCAGGCTTAAGCAGGCTGAAGGACAAAATGACATCACACAAAAAGGTAGTCCAAACCTTCATGCTATCTGCCCTTGTAGCACTGATATTTTTCACTCAGCTCACCCCTCTGGCCCTATGGTGATGAGAAGGTTCTCTTCAATTGCCTGATAGAAAACACCTCGAGCCTCAATTAAGAATGGGATATAAGTAGCCATAGATAGATAGATAATTGCAGGTCAAAATGCACTGTATAGCATCAACTTTGCATTCAGAGGTGAGCCTGACAGATCTTGGTGAGGACATCCTTCCCCTAGGCAAAGACGTTAGCAATACACATTGTCATCAGCTTCATATTTTGGGAGAAGGGACATGTGATAAGGAAAAAAAATCCACTCCTGGACAGTGAGGAATGATTTGGCTGGGAATTCAGGAGCGTTCAAGGAGCAAGGTTGAAAGATTGGAGATATAAAGTTATGGAAAAGCGATGCGTGCATTCAGCAGCAGAGACTCAAGTTGATCCTTGATATGGCACCAATCCTGGAGGAGACCAGCTAGCCATGTGATGATAGTCTTTTTTGCCAGACACTTTCCACCTTACAGCAGGAAGTGTGTGTCCTCACGGAGAAGGAGTCATGTCCTGGGATTGCCTTCCTTCCCTGCAGTGGCAGAGCCAGCCACTGCACTATGCAGTGCTGTGTGCATACTCACAGATGGAAAATTGTCACAGAAACTCATCCAGCATCATTTAGACAAAGAAATCTGCTTTATGAAGAAGGTGGGGCTTTATGAGCAATGTTTTATTAGATATAGAATATACTTTGACCCAACAGCCAGTAGAAGATAACAGAAAAAGCCTATTTGGGTAATTTGGGCTTCCTGTCCTCTCAACTTCAGGCTCTGGTTGAACAGGGGTCCTGGCTCCCTAAGAAGACATGCTGGTCCCAGGGACATAGAAAGTGACCCACAAAATTCAAAGTTATGGCCAGATCCGGTCATGCTGGGTTCCTCATGATAGTGGGCCATTAGGCAGAGAAAGAGTTAATATACTGCTGGGCAATTGACTGACATTTTGAAGAGGAGAGAGGTTTGCTCCTTCATGATGGCAGCAGGGAGAAGTATCTGGAACTCAGCAGGTCCTTTGGGTACCTGCTGTGGGCTTCCAGTTCCAGAAATAACTGTAGATATGCAGTTGCTGCAATGGTGGCCAACAACATAATAAACAGGTGCAGAAACCCTGAGGCACTGTTTCACTGTGCGAATAGCATCCATCAGCAAAGTGTTGGCTGAGGGTGAGAGTTATGCAGAGTTAGTGAAGGAAGAATGAGAGGATGACTCTAAGATATGATCCTGAGATTAACTGGAACAGTGGGAAGCATAACTTGATCCGTTAACACTCTCTGGTGAGGCTTTTTTTTGTATCCAGCTACAAGGGTTTAGAAGACTCAGTGACAGTTAACCCTTAACTGGGTCTGAGTGTGTCAAGGGATGGTCGGGAGCAGATGTGGTCTACGCTCTACCCAGGCTTTCAGCTCTGCAATGTGAGGGCACTGCTCTAATAGCAGGAAGCTTCAGTTAATACTGAGTCATGCAAAGTGAGCACTGTCTGTTGGCTAAATAATTTTTCAAAGATATTACATATATATTATGTATATATATTGAGACCGAGTCTCGCTCTGTCACTCAGGCTGGAGTGCAGTGGTGTGATACCAGCTCACTGCAACCTCCCCCTCCCAGGTTCAAGTGATTCTCCTACCTCAGCTTCCCAAGTAGCTGGGGCTATAGGCATGCGCCACCACACCCAGATAATTTTTGTGTTTTTAGTAGAGACTGGGTCCCATCATGTTGGCCAGGCTGGTCCCGAGCTCCTGGGCTCAAGTGATCTACTCGCCTCAGCCTTTGAAAGTGCTGGGATTACAGGTGTGAGCCACCATGCCCAGCTGATATTATATCTTTTTAAGGCATATTTTTGATAAATTTCCCATGAGATTCTATAATTATATTAAATAATTTAAAAATGAGTCAAAGGGTTAAAAATGGCAGTTATCCTGCTGTTGTGTGTTTGTCTGAGTTTGGAATTGTCCCTATTTCTATGTGGTGTGCTTCCTTTTAGACTGTAAGATTCTGGACAGCCCAGAGTAATTCGGTTTTAAAATTAATACTCTTTAAATTAGCACTTGGTAGGTTATTTTCCATAATGAATTTCCTAAAATCAAAACATGGCTGCTTCTGGCTTGAGATTCCCATTGTTTGCAAGCCTGGATCTTTATACTGGCTCATCCTAGAGTGAACATTAGAAAATCAAATACCTTTCTGTGTCCGTAAACATCCATCAAACAACAAACGTGGTTTATCAGTATCATCGACTGTGTGTTTGGCTAACCGTGCATACAGAGTGGTTATAAATTACTGGAGAGAAAAGATAAGTTGAGCATCATGAAGTCTTGTGGGTGACAAGGCAATGGAGAGAAGGTGTCTGTGGGCTGGGAGCTCAGTTAAACATCCCCTCCGTTCGGGAGTGGGACAGCCCAGAGGCAGTAAGAAACAGGACAGAGAGTGTGCAGGGGAGCACCATACATGGCGGGGCAGCATGAGCACTGCTTTCGCGGTTACGATGTATAAGGTGCTCATTCACTCCACTGATGTGTATTACATAAGTCCTGTGAAAAAAAGAATGCACGGGTTGGAAACAATTTTACAGACAAGTTCAACCAGTTTGGTACCTGTTTGCACGTTCTGAAGAGTATTCAATTCCTCTTGTACATCTTAAGATGCTTCAGCTTCAGAATCATGAAAGCTGAGCCTTTTATTTGATTCCACGGTATTGATGAATTTGACATGAAAATTCTATGAAATAGTATACTTTTAAGTAATCATTTCCAGTGATTTTATGTATGTGTGTGTGTGTGTGTATATATATATGTGTGTGTATATATATATATATATATATGAGTATATATATATATAAGTATATGAGCCAATGGGTCTGGAGTGGATTTTTGTGTGTGTGTGTATATATATATAATTATATATAATAATCACTTAGAAAGTACTGATTTATATATAATATATACTACTACTAATATATGTATTACATATCATATATAATAATATGATTAATATATTAATAATTAACATAGTTTAATACAATAGGTATATATTATACATGTAATATATGTATATAATAATGTATGTAATATATGCATATAAGATATGTTACGCACATTATTTATAACATATGTGTAAAATAGCATATATTATAATACATAACATAATTTACATAACAATATATATAAATCAGTTCATTCTAAGTGATTATTTCATCATATAATTTGTAGTCAATTATTTTATATATGTGACAAATATATATATATATATATATTTTTTTTAATGTTTTTTTTTTTTATTATACTCTAAGTTTTAGGGTACATGTGCACATTGTGCAGGTTAGTTACATATGTATACATGTGCCATGCTGGTGCGCTGCACCCACTAACGTGTCATCTAGCATTAGGTATATCTCCCAATGCTATCCCTCCCCCCTCCCCCGACCCCACCACAGTCCCCAGAGTGTGATATTCCCCTTCCTGTGTCCATGTGATCTCATTGTTCAATTCCCACCTATGAGTGAGAATATGCGGTGTTTGGTTTTTTGTTCTTGCGATAGTTTACTGAGAATGATGGTTTCCAATTTCATCCATATCCCTACAAAGGACATGAACTCATCATTTTTTATGGCTGCATAGTATTCCATGGTGTATATGTGCCACATTTTCTTAATCCAGTCTATCATTGTTGGACATTTGGGTTGGTTCCAAGTCTTTGCTATTGTGAATAGTGCCGCAATAAACATACGTGTGCATGTGTCTTTATAGCAGCATGATTTATAGTCCTTTGGGTATATACCCAGTAATGGGATGGCTGGGTCAAATGGTATTTCTAGTTCTAGATCCCTGAGGAATCGCCACACTGACTTGCACAATGGTTGAACTAGTTTACAGTCCCACCAACAGTGTAAAAGTGTTCCTATTTCTCCACATCCTCTCCAGCACCTGTTGTTTCCTGACTTTTTAATGATTGCCATTCTAACTGGTGTGAGATGATATCTCATAGTGGTTTTGATTTGCATTTCTCTGATGGCCAATGATGATGAGCATTTCTTCATGTGTTTTTTGGCTGCATAAATGTCTTCTTTTGAGAAGTGTCTGTTCATGTCCTTTGCCCACTTTTTGATGGGGTTGTTTGTTTTTTTCTTGTAAATTTGTTTGAGTTCATTGTAGATTCTGGATATTAGCCCTTTGTCAGATGAGTAGGTTGCGAAAATTTTCTCCCATGTTGTAGGTTGCCTGTTCACTCTGATGGTAGTTTCTTTTGCTGTGCAGAAGCTCTTTAGTTTAATTAGATCCCATTTGTCAATTTTGTATTTTGTTGCCATTGCTTTTGGTGTTTTGGACATGAAGTCCTTGCCCATGCCTATGTCCTGAATGGTAATGCCTAGGTTTTCTTCTAGGGTTTTTATGGTTTTAGGTCTAACGTTTAAATCTTTAATCCATCTTGAATTGATTTTTGTATAAGGTGTAAGGAAGGGATCCAGTTTCAGCTTTCTACATATGGCTAGCCAGTTTTCCCAGCACCATTTATTAAATAGGGAATCCTTTCCCCATTGCTTGTTTTTCTCAGGTTTGTCAAAGATCAGATAGTTGTAGATATGCGGCATTATTTCTGAGGGCTCTGTTCTGTTCCATTGATCTATATCTCTGTTTTGGTACCAGTACCATGCTGTTTTGGTTACTGTAGCCTTGTAGTATAGTTTGAAGTCAGGTAGTGTGATGCCTCCAGCTTTGTTCTTTTGGCTTAGGATTGACTTGGTGATGCGGACTCTTTTTTGGTTCCATATGAACTTTAAAGTAGTTTTTTCCAATTCTGTGAAGAAAGTCATTGGTAGCTTGATGGGGATGGCATTGAATCTGTAAATTACCTTGGGCAGTATGGCCATTTTCACGATATTGATTCTTCCTACCCATGAGCATGGAATGTTCTTCCATTTGTTTGTGTCCTCTTTTATTTCCTTGAGCAGTGGTTTGTAGTTCTCCTTGAAGAGGTCCTTCACATCCCTTGTAAGTTGGATTCCTAGGTATTTTATTCTCTTTGAAGCAATTGTGAATGGGAGTTCACTCATGATTTGGCTCTCTGTTTGTCTGTTGTTGGTGTATAAGAATGCTTGTGATTTTTGTACATTGATTTTGTATCCTGAGACTTTGCTGAAGTTGATTATCAGCTTAAGGAGATTTTGGGCTGAGACGATGGGGTTTTCTAGATAAACAATCATGTCGCCTGCAAACAGGGACAATTTGACTTCCTCTTTTCCTAATTGAATACCCTTTATTTCCTTCTCCTGCCTGATTGCCCTGGCCAGAACTTCCAACACTATGTTGAATAGGAGCGGTGAGAGAGGGCATCCCTGTCTTGTGCCAGTTTTCAAAGGGAATGCTTCCAGTTTTTGCCCATTCAGTATGATATTGGCTGTGGGTTTGTCATAGATAGCTCTTATTATTTTGAAATACGTCCCATCAATACCTAATTTATTGAGAGTTTTTAGCATGAAGGGTTGTTGAATTTTGTCAAAGGTTTTTTCTGCATCTATTGAGATAATCATGTGGTTTTTGTCTTTGGCTCTGTTTATATGCTGGATTACATTTATTGATTTGCGTATATTGAACCAGCCTTGCATCTCAGGGATGAAGCCCACTTGATCATGGTGGATAAGCTTTTTGATGAGCTGCTGGATTCGGTTTGCCAGTATTTTATTGAGGATTTTTGCATCAATGTTCATCAAGGATATTGGTCTAAAATTCTCTTTTTTTGTTGTGTCTCTGCCTGGCTTTGGTATCAGAATGATGCTGGCCTCATAAAATGAGTTAGGGAGGATTCCCTCTTTTTCTATTGATTGGAATAGTTTCAGAAGGAATGGTACCAGTTCCTCCTTGTACCTCTGGTAGAATTCGGCTGTGAATCCATCTGGTCCTGGACTCTTTTTGGTTGGTAAACTATTGATTATTGCCACAATTTCAGAGCCTGTTATTGGTCTATTCAGAGATTCAACTTCTTCCTGGTTTAGTCTTGGGAGAGTGTACGTGTCGAGGAATGTATCCATTTCTTCTAGATTTTCTAGTTTATTTGCGTAGAGGTGTTTGTAGTATTCTCTGATGGTAGTTTGTATTTCTGTGGGATCGGTGGTGATATCCCCTTTATCATTTTTTATTGTGTCTATTTGATTCTTCTCTCTTTTTTTCTTTATTAGTCTTGCTAGTGGTCTATCAATTTTGTTGATCCTTTCAAAAAACCAGCTCCTGGATTCATTGATTTTTTGAAGGGTTTTTTGTGTCTCTATTTCCTTGAGTTCTGCTCTGATTTTAGTCATTTCTTGCCTTCTGCCAGCTTTTGAATGTGTTTGCTCTTGCTTTTCTAGTTCTTTTAATTGTGATGTTAGGGTGTCAATTTTGGATCTTTCCTGCTTTCTCTTGTAGGCATTTAGTGCTATAAATTTCCCTCTACACACTGCTTTGAATGTGTCCCAGAGATTCTGGTATGTGGTGTCTTTGTTCTCGTTGGTTTCAAAGAACATCTTTATTTCTGCCTTCATTTTGTTATGTACCCAGTAATCATTCAGGAGCAGGTTGTTCAGTTTCCATGTAGTTGAGCGGCTTTGAGTGAGATTTTTAATCCTGAGTTCCAGTTTGATTGCACTGTGGTCTGAGAGATAGTTTGTTATAATTTCTGTTCTTTTACATTTGCTGAGGAGAGCTTTACTTCCAACTATGTGGTCAATTTTGGAATAGGTGTGGTGTGGTGCTGAAAAAAATGTATATTCTGTTGATTTGGGGTGGAGAGTTCTGTAGATGTCTATTAGGTCTGCTTGGTGCAGAGCTGAGTTCAATTCCTGGGTATCCTTGTTGACTTTCTCTCTCGTTGATCTGTCTAATGTTGACAGTGGGGTGTTAAAGTCTCCCATTATTAATGTGTGGGAGTCTAAGTCTCTTTGTAGGTCACTCAGGACTTGCTTTATGAATCTGGGTGCTCCTGTATTGGGTGCATAAATATTTAGGATAGTTAGCTCCTCTTGTTGAATTGATCCCTTTACCATTATGTAATGGCCTTCTTTGTCTCTTTTGATCTTTGTTGGTTTAAAGTCTGTTTTATCAGAGACTAGGATTGCAACCCCTGCCTTTTTTTGTTTTCCATTGGCTTGGTAGATCTTCCTCCATCCTTTTATTTTGAGCCTATATGTGTCTCTGCACGTGAGATGGGTTTCCTGAATACAGCACACTGATGGGTCTTGACTCTTTATCCAACTTGCCAGTCTGTGTCTTTTAATTGCAGAATTTAGTCCATTTATATTTAAAGTTAATATTGTTATGTGTGAATTTGATCCTGTCATTATGATGTTAGCTGGTGATTTTGCTCATTAGTTGATGCAGTTTCTTCCTAGTCTCGATGGTCTTTACATTTTGGCATGATGTTGCAGCGGCTGGTACCGGTTGTTCCTTTCCATGTTTAGCGCTTCCTTCAGGAGCTCTTTTAGGGCAGGCCTGGTGGTGACAAAATCTCTCAGCATTTGCTTGTCTATAAAGTATTTTATTTCTCCTTCACTTATGAAGCTTAGTTTGGCTGGATATGAAATTCTGGGTTGAAAATTCTTTTCTTTAAGAATGTTGAATATTGGCCCCCACTCTCTTCTGGCTTGTAGGGTTTCTGCCGAGAGATCCGCTGTTAGTCTGATGGGCTTTCCTTTGAGGGTAACCCGACCTTTCTCTCTGACTGCCCTTAACATTTTTTCCTTCATTTCAACTTTGGTGAATCTGACAATTATGTGTCTTGGAGTTGCTCTTCTCGAGGAGTATCTTTGTGGTGCTCTCTGTATTTCCTGAATCTGAACGTTGGCCTGCCTTGCTAGATTGGGGAAGTTCTCCTGGATAATATCCTGCAGAGTGTTTTCCAACTTTGTTCCATTCTCCGCATCACTTTCAGGTACACCAATCAGACGTAGATTTGGTCTTTTCACATAGTCCCATATTTCTTGGAGGCTTTGCTCATTTCTTTTTATTCTTTTTTCTCTAAACTTCCCTTCTCGCTTCATTTCATTCATTTCATCTTCCATTGCTGATACCCTTTCTTCCAGTTGATCGCATCGGCTCCTGAGGCTTCTGCATTCTTCACGTAGTTCTCGAGCCTTGGTTTTCAGCTCCATCAGCTCCTTTAAGCACTTCTCTGTATTGGTTATTCTAGTTATACATTCTTCTAAATTTTTTTCAAAGTTTTCAACTTCTTTGCCTTTGGTTTGAATGTCCTCCGTAGCTCAGAGTAATTTGATCGTCTGAAGCCTTCTTCTCTCAGCTCGTCAAAATCATTCTCCATCCAGCTTTGTTCCGTTGCTGGTGAGGAACTGCGTTCCTTCAGAGGAGGAGAGGCGCTCTGCGTTTTAGCGTTTCCAGTTTTTCTGTTCTGTTTTTTCCCCATCTTTGTGGTTTTATCTACATTTGGTCTTTGATGATGGTGATGTACAGATGGGTTTTCGGTGTAGATGTCCTTTCTGGTTGTTAGTTTTCCTTCTAACAGACAGGACCCTCAGCTGCAGGTCTGTTGGAATACCCTGCCGTGTGAGGTGTCAGTGTGCCCCTGCTGGGGGGTGCCTCCCAGTTAGGCTGCTCGGGGGTCAGGGTTCAGGGACCCACTTGAGGAGGCAGTCTGCCCGTTCTCAGATCTCCAGCTGCGTGCTGGGAGAACCACTGCTCTCTTCAAAGCTGTCAGACAGGGACACTTAAGTCTGCAGAGGTTACTGCTGTCTTTTTGTTTGTCTGTGCCCTGCCCCCAGAGGTGGAGCCTACAGAGGCAGGCAGGCCTCCTTGAGTTGTGGTGGGCTCCACCCAGTTCGAGCTTCCCGGCTGCTTTGTTTACCTAAGCAAGCCTGGGCAATGGCGGGCGCCCCTCCCCCAGCCTCGTTGCCGCCTTGCAGTTTGATCTCAGACTGCTGTGCTAGCAATCAGCGAGATTCCGTGGGCGTAGGACCCTCTGAGCCAGGTGTGGGATATAGTCTCGTGGTGCGCCGTTTCTTAAGCCGGTCTGAAAAGCGCAATATTCGGGTGGGAGTGACGCGATTTTCCAGGTGCGTCCGTCACCCCTTTCTTTGACTCGGAAAGGGAACTCCCTGACCCCTTGCGCTTCCCAGGTGAGGCAATGCCTCGCCCTGCTTCGGCTCGCGCACGGTGCGCGCACACACTGACCTGCGCCCACTGTCTGGCACTCCCTAGTGAGATGAACCCGGTACCTCAGATGGAAATGCAGAAATCACCCGTCTTCTGTGTCGGTCACGCTGGGAGCTGTAGACCAGAGCTGTTCCTATTCGGCCATCTTGGCTCCTCCCCCCAGTGTATTCTTTGGGAAAACAACTAAAATATAATGAAACAGTTTCTAGTGCAAAACTCTTTGAAAATCCCTAAAGAAAATTTGACATTGTTTTTGATGAAATTTTGTAAAGTTCCATTAAAGACAGACACAATATACGCACAACCAGGTGCTAAGATACATAAAACTTATGTTTATTTATTTTAAAAATTCAATAAAAAGGTTACAGATTTTTCTTTAAATATTCCTACAACAATTATGTATGCTTTTTGAAAACAATTTTCCATGGGTATTTTATTGGCTTCTGATGCAATAATTATTTCAACTACAATTACGTATCACAAAAGCCAAATAAATTTTCATCCACACTATGCAGAGTGCCAGATTTACACCTACAGACAGATACTTCCCTAGACTTGATTGAGTATAAAAGTATGTAACATTTTCCTGGTTTCCATTGATATTAGAAGCACAATAATCTACACAGCTTACCAGTGGCATCATAAAATAATATATGCAAGTGCTTTAAAATGTTACATGAGTCAAATCACTGTAAGTTATTATTATCACTTCATCACCTGTACTATTAACAGTCATGACAGCCACAAAATGCCCTTTGAATGGGAGACAGTAATAATAATACTGTCATTTGTTAAGAGCCCAATTCGAGCCTGGCACATGACTAGATACTTTATAAGCATTTAATTTTCTCAGTAACTGTGAGAGGTTAGTCATATGCCCATTTTTAGACAAAGATCCTGAAATCTAGGTTGTTAAGTAGTGCTTCCAAAATGACAGAATGGTGTGTCGAAGTTGGACAGGGATCTTCTCTTCCTCTTTTTCTTCCTTCCATCTCCGGGGAAACTATCCCAGATCTGACACATGGCAAGAACTTAGGGTAAGGTTTTCATTGTTTCCAGCCTATTCAGATGCCCCCATCTGCAGTGTACCAAAGACCCTTGTATTAGTCAGGGTGCCCCACAGAAACAAAAATAGCAGAATGTGTGTGTGTGTGTGTGTGTGTGTGTGTGTGTGTGTTTAGAAAGTGGGATTATTTTAAGAGATTGCCTCACATAGTTGTGGAGGCTGGTGACCTCTAAAATCTGCGGGGTAGGCCAGCAGGCTGGAAACACAGGGAAGAGCTGATGCTGCAATTTCCATCCAAAGGCTGTCTACTGGCAGAATTCCCACTTCTGAGGCAGAGGTGAGTCTTTTTCTATTAAGGCCTTCAACAGATTTAATGAGCCCCACCCACATTATGGAGGGCAATCTGCTTTACTCAAAGTCTACTGATTTAAATGTTATTTTCACCTAAAAAGTACCTTCACAAAAACATATAGAATAATCTTTGACCAAATACCTGGGCACTGTCACCCAGCAAAGTGGACATATAGTATTAATCACCACTATCCTGCATGAGATCAAAGCAACACCACCCAGTCATTACTTTGCCTGCAGTGAGCCACTTCTGTTTGGTTGAATTTCAAATGTCAGTGATTAATTTTTCACATTCCAACACACTTCTCTCCACCTCCTCTGCTCCTACCATGATGCAATCTCCTTCACACCTGAGTTACTGCAATTGCTCTCCCTGCTTCTATCATTGCTCTCCCTGCTTCTATCATTGCTCTCCCTGCTTCTATCATGCTCCTGTGCAATACGGTAGTTATACAAAGGCAGCCACGTTTCTCCACCACAAAATCCTGGGTTGTTTTCCCATTTCACCTAGTGAAAATTTGAAGTCTTTAGAACGACCTCTCAGGCTCTACATGATCTGCCCCGGATGCCTCTTTTGCTCCCTTCTCTCCCGGCTTTCCCCTGCTCATTCTGTTCCAGCCACATTGGCCTCCAAGCTCATCCTCCAGCTTCCTGGCTTTGGCCCTATTCCCTTGCACTGGCTGACTCTCTGCCTAGAACCTTCTTACCCAAATATCCACCAAATTAGGTCCTTCAGCTTTGTAAAGATGGTTCTCATGTCTCCTCCACAGCTATACCTTTAAAAACTACAGTTCTTCCCCCACTTGCATTAGTTTTCTGTTGCTGCAAAACAAATCGCCGCAAATTTAGCAGCTTAAAGCATCACCCATTATCTCACAGCTCGGTAGATCATGAGTCCAGGTGGGCTCCACTAAGGTCTCTGCTGAGAGTTTCACAAGGCACCTCATGTTAGGAGGCAGTAAGTATAGTCAGCTCTTTAATGAATTTTTCTGTAAACTGGAGGAAATGGAGTGGTAACTGGAGAGGAATTAGGGGCCAAAGGAGACTTTGTTTATTTATTTATGTTATTTTTTAATTTTATTTTTTATATCCATAGGTTTTGTGGGAACAGGTGGTATTTGGTTACATGAGTAAATTCTTTACTCATGTGATTTGTGAGATTTTGGTGCACCCATCACCCAAGCAATATACACTGAACCCAATTTGTAGCCTTCTATTTTTAATGCTGTCAGGTTCCACGTTATGTTTCCATGCTGATTAAAATGGTATAAAAGACAAATTTTCCACTGATGGCTGCAGAAGAGAAGGAAGGAGAAAATTATGGGTGCAAAATCACTGAGTAGTCAGCAATGGATCAAATCTGGGGCACAATAGGGAACTGCCTCGGTTGGAAGCACATGAGGTAACCAATCCAATCAGGAGGTGAGACAGAAGATAGAGGCACAGATGCAGGTGGACAGTAGGACTGTGTGGGGAATGCTTGGCAATTCTCTTTGGATACTTCCTGTTTTTCAGTTGAGAGTGAGGAGGAGTTGCAGGAGGGTTATTATCTGTTTGTGGGGAGAGGAGAAGCCTTGACATATTCTTCGGGTTACTTGGGGAGTGGAAAGACAATAAGTAGGTTTTAAGATTGTCAATGACCATTTATTAAATAGGGAATCCTTTCCCCATTGCTTGTTTTTCTCAGGTTTGTCAAAGATCAGATAGTTGTAGATATGCGGCGTTATTTCTGAGGGCTCTGTTCTGTTCCATTGATCTATATCTCTGTTTTGGTACCAGTACCATGCTGTTTTGGTTACTGTAGCCTTGTAGTATAGTTTGAAGTCAGGTAGTGTGATGCCTCCAGCTTTGTTCTTTTGGCTTAGGATTGACTTGGCGATGCGGACTCTTTTTTGGTTCCATATGAACTTTAAAGTAGTTTCTCCCAATTCTGTGAAGAAAGGCATTGGTAGCTTGATGGGGATGGCATTGAATCTGTAAATTACCTTGGGCAGTATGGCCATTTTCACGATATTGATTCTTCCTATCCATGAGCATGGAATGTTCTTCCATTTGTTTGTATCCTCTTTTATTTCCTTGAGCAGTGGTTTGTAGTTCTCCTTGAAGAGGTCCTTCACATCCCTTGTAAGTTGGATTCCTAGGTATTTTATTCTCTTTGAAGCAATTGTGAATGGGAGTTCACTCATGATTTGGCTCTCTGTTTGTCTGTTGTTGGTGTATAGGAATGCTTGTGATTTTTGCACATTGATTTTGTATCCTGAGACTTTGCTGAAGTTGCTTATCAGCTTAAGGAGATTTTGGGCTGAGACAATGGGGTTTTCTAGATATACAATCATGTCATCTGCAAACAGGGACAATTTGACTTCCTCTTTTCCTAATTGAATACCCTTTATTTCCTTCTCCTGCCTAATTGCCCTGGCCAGAACTTCCAACACTATGTTGAATAGGAGTGGTGAGAGAGGGCATCCCTGTCTTGTGCCAGTTTTCAAAGGGAATGCTTCCAGTTTTTGCCCATTCAGTATGATATTGGCTGTGGGTTTGTCATAGATAGCTCTTATTATTTTGAAATATGTCCCATCAATATGAGATACCATCTCGCACCAGTTAGAATGGCAATCATTAAAAAGTCAGGAAACAACAGGTGCTGGAGAGGATGTGGAGAAATAGGAACACTTTTACACTGTTGGTGGGACTGTAAACTAGATCAACCATTGTGGAAGTCAGTGTGGCGATTCCTCAGGGATCTAGAACTAGAAATACAATTTGACCCAGCTATCGCATTACTGGGTATATACCCAAATGACTATAAATCATGCTGCTATAAAGACACATGCACACGTATGTTTATTGCGGCATTATTCACAATAGCAAAGACTTGGAACCAACCCAAATGTCCAACAATGATAGACTGGATTAAGAAAATGTGGCACATATACACCATGGAATACTATGCAGCCATAAAAAATGAGTTCATGTCCTTTGTAAGGACATGGATGAAATTGGAAACCATCATTCTCAGTAAACTATCGCAAGAACAAAAAACCAAACACCGCATATTCTCACTCATAGGTGGGAATTGAACAATGAGATCACATGGACACAGGAAGGGGAACATCACACTCTGGGGACTGTTGTGGGGTGGGGGGAGGGGGGAGGGATAGCACTGGGAGATATACCTAATGCTAGATGTATTAGTGTGTTAGTGGGTGCAGTTAGACGAGTTAGTGGGTGCAGCACACCAGCATGGCACATGTATACATATGTAACTAACCTGCACAATGTGCACATGTACCCTAAAACTTAAAGTATAATAATAAAAAAAATTTAAAAAAAAAAGATTGTCAATGACAAGGGACTAATTGAGGCTGATTGCTGTGAACTTAAAGTAAAGCCATTTAGCATGATTGGTGATTGTTTTTCTCCAGCCATAGCTGATGGGGTGGAGGTGAGGAAAGTTAGATTTAAAAGTGGTTGAGTTAATTAAAAAAAGGTGTGTCAATCATGAAACAAGAGTTGGAAATCACTAAAAACCAGCATAAATAAACCAACAAAGGAATATTCAGTTGTTCCTCTGTATCTAAGGCGGATTGCTTCCAGCAGATATGAAAATCTTCAGACACTCAAATCCCTCATATTGGCATCCTTCCATAAACTCTAGATTACTTATAATACCTAACGCAATGTTAATGAAATTTAAATAGTTGTTATATTGTATTGTTTTAAAATTTGTATTACTTTTTGTTGTTGCATTATTATTTTTTCAAATATTTTCAGTCAGTAGTTGGTTGAATCAGTGGATGTGGAACCCTAGGATATGATGGGTTGATTGTGTGTTTCTGTGTGCGTATAAATTTTTCATATGTAAACAAATGTGTTTATATATTTAATAATATAATACATCATATATATTTAAGAGAATGTTCCTTAACAGAATTTCTTATATTGTTTATGGTATATGTCTACTGTGATTACACAGTTTGCATAATATATGGAATTTCTAACACCAAGTTTACCAGAGAAAACTCTGGGTACATTCTCCCTCAACGCTCTCAGGGGTGCTAATGTTTCAGGATACATTCTTTAGAAGGCATGTAACTTTAAGTTTCTCACCAAATAACATCAAATCAGTGTGCTGAATCACTATTTTCAAAAGAAGGAAAGAATATCTAAACTCTTTCTTTTGAAAATAGTGATATTTCTCTTTCAGTTTTCTGTTATATTAATAATTTCCTAATTTCTCTTAAAGATTTACATTTCCTGTTATGGTGAATAACCTTTTCCTAGTAATGTGAAGTTAAAGTATATTTATTGAAAGAACAAAGCATTGTCTTAACAGTTCCCCACTGTCTTAATCAGTTTAGGCTGCTGTAACAAAATACAAGGTACTGGGAGCTTGAACAACAAACACTTATTTCTGATAGTTCTGGAGGTTGGGAAGTCCACGATAAAGGTGCCAACAGATTTGGTGTCAGGTGAGGGCTCTGTTTTTTTTTTTTTTTTTTTTTTTTGAGACGGAGTCTTGCTCTGTGGCCCAGGCTGGAGTGCGGGTGGCACGATCTCGGCTCACTGCAAGCTCCACCTCCCGGGTTCACGCCATTCTTCTGCCTCAGCCTCCCGAGTAGCTGGGACTACAGGCGCCCGCCACCACGCCAGGCTAATTTTTTGTATTTTTAGTAGAGACAGGGTTTCACTGTGTTAGCCAGGATGGTCTCTATCTCCTGACCTCGTGATCCACCCGCCTCAGCCTCCCAAAGTGCTGGGATTACAGGCGTGAGCCACTGCGCCCGGCCAGGGGCTCTTCTTGATTTGCAGGTAGCCACATCTTGCTGGGTCCTCACACGGTAAAGAGAGAGAGAGCACTCTGATCTTTTCCTCTTCTTATAAAAGCTCCACTCTTATAATGGGAGCTCTACACTGATGATCGCACCTTAACCTAATCACCCCCAAAGGTCCTACCTTCAAATGCTATCACATTCGGGGTTAGGGCTTCCACATATGAATTTGGGCGGGGACATATTCAGTCCAAAGCATTCACTTTTCTTGAGCTTCAATCCTTCAAAAGATACTCTAATTCTTTCCCTTTTTAAGTTAATATTCTTTAATAAATGATTGAAAGAAAAGTGGAACAAATGCATTTATTCACTCATACACTTTTCTCTGCTCACTCAATAGTTTTTTCAAGGTTCACAATGGATAAAGTTGAATGAAATTTCCAAATCAAATTGTTTCCCTTCTTGCCAGTCATGAATATGATAATATTGTTTTAGTTTATAAGAAGTTATTTTCAAGCAAGTTGATCTAATGATCTGTGAAAAGCAAGCCCACTGTTTAAAGATGTCATTATTTATGGAATAATCATATTTTTGGGGTAACACAGTTGTTTCAAAATAAACATTGAAGCCTTATTTTAGGCAATGAAATACATCTTAATATTACTTATATTAATATATTAAATATATATTTGGTATTTTAGGCATTTTTAATCACCAACATTTTTTTTTATGTGGTCAAAAAATTCTTCACTTTTGGAAATCTTTTGTATAAGATATCTTCTCACAGTTTTTATGAGGCTATCAAAATATTTTTAATTAAAATGTAGGCTTTATTAGTGTAAATGCCAACAGAAAGTATGAAATTAGAGTATTTTCTACAGTAGGCAGCTAGCTGTAAAGAACAAGTGGTGGATCACAAATAAGACTGTAGCTCAAACATGGTGTTTGCCAGTAGCTGAGATGTAACTGTAGACAACCTAAGCTCTGTTGGGTTAGTTTGTTTACGTCTTGATGCGTATTTTAAGTTGATGCATTGATAATACTTAACATCATTACTTCAATTATCTTTTACAGGCTTTAAAGATCTCAGATACTATAATTTTAGAACAAATTTATTTATTTATTTATTTTGAGACAGGTTCTCACTCTAGAGCATCATCCAGGCTGGAGTGCAGTGGCACCATGATGGCTCACTGCAGCCTCCATCTCCTAGGATTAGGTGATCTTCCTGTCTCAGCCTCCTGAGTCACTGGGTCTACAGGTGCGTACCACCATGCCCAGCTAATTTTTTGTATTTTTTGCAGAGATGGGGTTTCTCCATGTTACCCAGGCTGGTCTCGAGCACCTGGGTTCAAGTGATCCTCCTCCCTTGGCTTCCCAAAGTGCTGGGATTACAGGCATGAGCCACCACACCTGGCCTAGAAGAAATTTAAAACAAATCAGAATTCTATACAAATATGGTAAAGATTATATTATGGTAGTACTTTGAATTCATAATGCATATATTTTACAGAGAACTACAGATAAAGTTTTCCCTTAACCGATCCTGGCAGCCACCGTTTTATAATAAATAAGGAAAGAAATAAATACTATAGCACTAATCACATTTCCAGGCACACGGTAGTTATTCAATATTAACAACGGGTATTATAATTTTGAAACAATGGTTTTCAGCTCATGGAAGGTATATTTTCTGTTACTGTAGATGGACTCTCGAAAGACTTACATCTAATATATTATTTAAATGATGGAAAATAAACTCAATATACTTGAAGACTTGGCTTTCCTTTGTGTCAAATTCAAAAGCAGTTCCTTCCACTTTTTTCCTGTAAGTCACGGGTGTATTTCTAATATTCTAGTTTTTAAAATGAATTATCCCGTAATCGTGGAGCCTGAAAATAAAGATGATTTGAATATACATAATTACTTTGGTGGTTTTATTTCCATCACATTATAAGCAGTTTCTTGAATGTTTTCTATGAAAATTATCTTTGAATATCTGTCACAAGAACCTCTAGATAATGAAAGTTTAATAAAAGATAGTTTTATTTCATTAAATCATCAGTCTTCTTAGGTATATAATTACATTTTGATGCATAAAGAATCTATAAAAGCAATTTTTCTGTTTTCAGGGTTTTACCTAACTACAACTTAGTGTAAATTCTACATGTTAAAATAACATGAGGTTGTGAAATGCCTATTTAAAAGAAGTTGCAAATATGCAAGGTAGAGGTTTCCATGATCTAATTTATACTATAGATTAGACTATGTGGCAGTAACATAATAATTACAATTATTTTAGTGGATCAACAAGAAGGTTTTACTTGTCTCCCCAGGTGCACATTCCTCCTGGATAGCCAACCCCATTGCCTTGTGTTGCAGTCACCTCAGCATATGGTGTCCAGGGTCTCGATGGCATAGAAATGGAGCTGGAGGGGGCCAGGTATGGTGGCTCGCGCCTGTAATCCCAGCACTTTGGGAGGCCGAGGCAGGCGGATCACCTCAGGTCAGGAGTTCGAGACCAGCCTGACCAACATGGTGAAACCCCATCTCTACTAAAAATACAAAAAAAATTAGCCAGGCGTTGTGGTGGGTGCCTATAATCCCAGCTACTGGGGAGGCTGAGGCAGGAGAATCGCTTGAACCCGGGAGGCGGGGGTTGCAGTGAGCCGAGATCACACCACTGCACTTCAGGCTGGGTGACAAGAGCAAAACTCTGTCTCAAAGAAAGAAAGAAATGGAGCTGGAGGGTTACAGACAACTGTTGTGACCTAGCATGGGTAAGTAAGCAGATATAGTATCTGCTTACATTCCTTCCACCAGAACTCAGGGAGGCTGTAATGTGTCATTTTACTATGTGTCTAAAAAGAGAAAAAAGAAGTGGAATTAGGTAGATCTATAACTGTATAATTCTCTTGCTTTTAGAAAATACCACATGATTAATTTTCCATTGTCAATCAATGATATGGAGAAGACAGATGTCATAGCTTCACCTTTTTTCCATTTATATACCTGGAGCTATTAAGGTATTTTCATTCTACAATAAAATTGTATGATTTGAATCAGCACATTTACAGATAGAGTAGCTTTTAATCTCCGTTAGACCACAAAAATCTCCTATACTTGGTCCACATTCCCTGCTTCCCCTTTCCTCATGATCACATCCCCCATGAATGTCTGTTCCCACCCTGGTTTATTTAGATGATGACATTTTAATGAGAACTATACCATATGTGTGTTTTTAAATTGTGGCCTGAAATTATGTTTAAAGCAATATACTGTACTATAAAATAAATGTCTCTGAATGTAATCCCATGTTAATGTCGGCTGCAATTTAGGTTGAGAGCACTGCCTGTCTTCTGGCTTGGATAGTATTTCCTGCAGTGAAGAACACTTAGCATTAAGGAGCAGAATTTCGGTTGTATTTAATGACTACCTAATGTCAAGCAATTGCCTGGGAAGGAAGGCACCCATATTATATGGTTCAGTGATGGGAAAGCTTATGCTCCACTTTTCCATTTTTACACTTGACATTGTTTAAATACGAGGTTTTCTACCATGTTATTTTATTTTACAACTTCAGTGAAGAAAGAGAAGTAAACGCTAACATTTGTTAAAAATAATTAAAATTATTTTCTTATATGTAAAATACATTATGCTATGTTAGATTGTGTTCATATATATTTTTTGCATAATGATATGAGAAAAACTCCTTTATCATCTCCTGCTATTTACTTGTTCTTTTAGACACAGAAGCTGTAATAGCTATGATAGTGGCTGTTAATGTGATATTGTTGTCATCTTAGTATTAGCATTGCTTAATCTGGTATCACTGTCCTTGTTGGTCTTCATATGCATGCTGAGAAGCTCACAGAGATGTTACCTATCTGAAGTGGTTCAGATGCACCACTGTTCAGTAACCTTTTGTGCTGCTTAAAGCACTGTTAAGATTTTTTGGAGATTTACTTCTCATCTGATCTGATCACTAGATCCCTTAGCCATGTATTTGCAAACAATGTTGCATTCCCTCTCTGTTGCAGGGATTTCTATAGTTTTTTAAAATATATTTTGCACTTTTATGCAACTACTAGAATTGGTAGTCACATTTTGAACATGAATTCTGAAAAAAAGACAAATTTGGAAATGCCTTCTCAATCATTGAGAATGATTAAATTGTATGCGGTATAGGGGAAGTGGGATATCTTATTGACAAAAACATGTAGCATATAATAATTGCCCATTCTCTAAATATTTTGAATAGCACAGATTATTATATTTGTTATTGATGTATGGCTAAGCACAGGATAATTCAGAGCCATTTAAATAACTGAGAAAAAAGGAAACTTTTATTCAAGATGGAGTTCATAACTAAAAAATGAGACAATATAAAATTTAGGAGATAATTAAAATGTTTATAACTCAACCAAGAAAAATTATCTATCCTAAACTGCCTGGGACTGCTTGTGATAGCTATTCAATCACTGCAGGGAAGCTCAGGACTATAGATTCCATTGCATTAGGTTAACAGATTTATACACCTTCTATGCTCCAAACCAACTATTGTATTTCTTTGCAAAGCAAACCTAATAAAAGGAGTAACTGATTACAGATATGGAAGAAAAAAAAGACCATCCAAATGACAGCAGCAGATAATATATATTCAGAGCTTGCCATAGCAAGGGAGTCAGCCACTTGTGATTGGCAGAGACTCAAAGGATGCATGTTGGAAGGAAATACATTGAGTGAACAACAGCAACAAAAAGTAATGGTTCTAATACACTCTGATCAGAGGTTGTTTGCATGCAGAAGCTGGAGGTGAGCTAACTGGAAGCTGGGCATTTTGTGTTAGGTTTGAAATTACACTTGTTTTTCTCTAGTTGGTCCTGGCTTGCAAGAAGGACAAAAGAACAGGGGAGCTGACAGTCCTGACTATTCTGGGTTGATTGCTGCAAAAGCAGTGGTTTGGCTTTCTGGACAGAGCTACAGAGTATGTGGGTCAGATTTCTGTTGTTATAATACGATCTGACCAATAACATCTTTTGGATACTATAATTATTCAACAAATACTGACTGTATGCCAAATATGTTCATTTCTCCCCTCAGAATATTTCATCTCTTTTTATCCAAACTTTAAGATAGATCCTAATTAACCAGCATACACTGAAGTATTATTTACATCTTAATAGATGTAAATAATATAAATAGGATGTACCAGAGTCAGTGATTTGTAAATCATAAGAGTTCATGATCTCTTCTTTCCAAATTGGCCATGGGTAAATTTACTGTTTTTTTAGATGCCTTTCTCTAACAATGCTTGAAAATGTTTGTAAATTACTACATACATAAGAGCAACAACAAAATACATAGTATATATTCAAATAGTTTGCTCTTCCAAATATGACTTGATTTTTCATTTTCCTCATCAACTACCTGAGTAGTATGGAAAGACTCTCTTACCATCAAGCACTGTTTCTTCTCTCTCCAAAGACTTGCTTCTGCTACGCATATTCTTGTCTGGTGGATTAGGTTCCTAAGATTTTCTCATTTAACTGTTTTATTACTTGTGTGGCTTGTGTAACTAATTTTCCTTCATTTTAAATTCATTTCCTAATCCATTGTTTGGAATTAGAATGAGTTAGAGATGTTTTCTTTTTTAAGATATATATTTATTATGTAAACTTTCCTCTTGGTACTGCTTTGGTGGCATCCCATAAGTTTTGGTATGTTGTCTTTTCATTTTCATTTGTCTCAAGATACTTTGGAAATTTCCCTTTTGATTTTTAAAAACCTTATTGTTAAATTTCCACATATTTGTGAATTTTTTAGTTTTCTTCTGCTATTAATTTCTAGTTTTATTTTATCGTGGTTGAAAAAATACTTGGTAAGATGTCAATCTTCTTAAATTTGTTGAAACTTGTTTTGTGACCTAATATGTATGCTATCCTGGAACGTGTTCACTTGAGAAGAATGTGTTTTCTTCTGCTATTGGTTACAGTGCTCTGCAGATGTCTGTTAGATCCACTTAGTGTATAGTGTTGTTCAAGTCCACTTTTTTCTTATTGATTTTTTTTGAATGTTCTATTGATTGTTGAAAGTAGGGTATTGAAGTCTCTTATTATTGTAGTACTGCCAATTTGTTCTTTCAGATCTTTCAATGTTTGCTTTATATATTTAGGTGTTTGATGTTGGGTGCTTACATATTTATAGATATATTTATAATTCTATCTTCCTGATGGATTATTAATTTTATTATTATGCTGTTCCTTATACAGATGACAGGGTTATGTAGACCTTCTCTGTATCTTGTGACAGTTCTTAACAAGAAGTCTATTTTGTCTAATTTAAGTGTAGCCATTCTTACTATCTCTTGGTCATCATTTGCATGGAATAATTTTTTTTATACCTTCAGTTTCAGCTTATGCATGTCTTTGATTCTAAAGTGAGTCTCTTGTAGACAGCATATCGCTGGATCTTATTTCTTTATCCATTCACCCACTCTATCTATTTATTAGAGAGTTTAATCCATTTTATTTATAGTAATTATTGATAGCTTAAAACTCATTGTCATTTTATTAATAGTTTTCAATGTCTTTTGTAATTATTTGTGTCTCTTTTTCTCTCTGTCTTTCTTTGTGATTTGTTGATTCCACTTAATCAAACTCATAGGAAGCAAAGTAGAATGGTGTTTTCCAGGGCCTAGGGAGAAGGAGAAACCGGCAGCTGCTGTTCAATAGATACAAGATTTCAGTTTTTAAAGATGAATAAGTTATAAAGATCTGCCATATAACATTGTGTCTACAGTTAGCAATACCATATTGTGCACTTAAAATTTTGTGAAGAGGGAAAATCTCATGAAGTTGTTACCACAGTAATAATTTTTTAAAAACATGGGGAATAATATCTTGCATAAAGTAATAATTGAATAAATATATAATTATAATTATTTAAAAAACAAGTTAGAGAAAGATAATATTAAAATTAAAAACTTGCTGAATCATTTGTTTATTTAGCAATATTGGTGTCTTAAAGTTAGCTTTATAATTAATTAATTAATAGAGAAGAAGATTATCAGAGGCTTGTTTTTAAGCATTTGGCTCATCTTCCCTGCAAACCTTAAGAAAAGTCCCCATCAAAAAAATGTAATAGATTGTTTTAAATATATGACTTTGAATTTCTTCAGTAATCTTTTCTTTTTCCTGTAATGGGGAGTGATGGATTAGGGAGGAAAGAGAGTCAGAGACAAAGTAGATTTATTACTCTAGTGTAAATGATAACTTTCTCTCACATAACTTATAACTGAAACTTGGTCGGTTAACCACAAGAGCCTAGCACACACGCAAGCCTGAATTTCAGACTGGCTTTGCCATTTGTGATTTTCTCACTCTCATTATCTGATGCCCTCTTTGAGAGTAAGGTTTGCTGAAATCCTTTAGCCTATTGCAGTCAACCACAGAGAGAGGTTGTGACCAAGATATAAACCTCTAGTTGCTTTAAAGATGTTTGAAATAAAACTATAAAGCTTTGTGCTTGTTGCTGTTGTCTCCTAACCATTACTTTATCCCAAAGTGGTTTTTGCTGTATGCACAAAGAACATTTTTAAAAGTATATGATTGCTAATCACAATGAAGTTAAGTGGAATTAGTGCTTAGGCTCATTTAATGAGTTGGCAATTGAATTAAGGATGTATAACCATTCAGATTAATGATACTGTCCAATCAATGCAACTCATAGAAAATTCAGCTTACCATAAGGTTAGAGTACTGATTCATCAATAGGATGACTAATATGCCTCATAACATATGAGCAATACATGAGCTAATCTTAGAGTTGACAGAAGTCTGAGGTGTATTTGTTATTCCTGAACATTGTAAAAAATTTCTGAACTTCTGAAACTTTGCTTGTAAAAACAAAAACTGGTTAACTTTCTAAAATATAAGATATTTATATTAATATCACAGGATATTTTAACGAAGAACTTTAATATTTTCTATTCTTTACCAGACATATCACCTTGTTTTGAATTCGCTCATATCAGTTACATGGGTAAAATCTTATATTCTCAAAGGAATAAAAAATGCATCGTTTATGTCAATTGTTTCAACTACACACCAATGTCTGTCATCAAATAGCAGTAAAGTATCCTTGCAAGAATAAATTTTTGTTCATTATTTTATTAAATGAAACCTTGTATTACTTTTTTCTATTAAAATTATATACACTAATATTTTAATATTTTCTAAATTTATATTTCATATGTATGAATATAACTCATAAGGTTTAATTCACTATAATTGTAATGGCCCAGATAATACAAAATATAAGTACTTAAAATTCTTTAGTTAGATGTGTAAAGCATGTTTCAACAAAATTGAAGAGTTTTGATATATTTTCAGCCAAATCAGTTTACACCTTACCTAAATCATTGTCTTAGTCCTGCCATTCCACATTACATTTTTTCAATTATACCAAGTTAAGCTTATACTCAAACTTTGATAACTTAAAAAATATTTGTTTTCTTTTTCTCTGTCTCATCTCTACCTTTTCCTTTTGTCGTCTTAGAAATGAATCGCTAAAATACTCACAAACGTGCTGAGTACACAGTATCAAGGACACTAGATACAATCCAGCATCAACACTACTTTGCTTTTGTGATGGAAGAGTTATAAAGACCTGTCCATATAGTAATAGGCTGATGTGTTGCTTTGTACCTAATGAAAACTTAAGGCAAATGTCAGTATGAGTACTAATTTCTCAATGTTACTGTAGAAAAAAAAATATAGAGATGTTTATCATCACAAAAATTTTTGCTTATCAGACTATTGCAAATGACAAATTAAAAAAAAAACTAAATTTTCTTAATGTTGTATCAAAAAGTACACCACAGATAAAATAGGTGTTATGACATGAGACAAGTGTATAAAAGACAATGGAATTGTATCTTGAAAACATCTTATGGGGGTATGAGCAGCCTGGACATATAAATAAACACTGTACTTAAGAACTACTTCAGGCCGGGCACGCTGGCTCACGCCTGTAATCCCAGCACTTTGGGAGGCCAAGGCTGGTGGATCTTAAGGTCAGGCATTCGAAACCAGCCTGGCCAACATAGTGAAACCCCATCTTTACTAAAAATACAAAAAATTAGCCGAGTGTGGTGGCGGGTACCTGTAATCCCATCTACTCAGGAGGCTGAAGCAGGAGAACCGTTTGAACCTGGGAGGCAGAGGTTGCAGTGAGCCAAGATTGCGCAACTGCACTCCAACCTGGGTGACAGTGCGAGACTCCATCTCAAAAAAAAAAAAAGAAAGAAAGAACCACTTTAAGCTGGGCGCTGTGGCTCATGCCTGTAATCCCACCACTTTGTGAGGCCGAGGCAGGTGGATCATTTGAGGTCATGAGTTCGAGACCAGCCTGGCCAACACAGTGAAACCCCATCTCTACTAAAAGTACAAATTTAGCTGGACGTAGTGGTGTGCACCTGTAATCCCAGCTACTTAGGAGGCTGAGGCAGGAGAATCACTTGAACTCTGGAGGCAGAGGTTGCAGTGAGCCAAGATTATGCCACTGCACTCCAGCGTGCACAATAGAGCAAGACTCCATCTCAAAAAATAATAATAATAATAATTAATAAATAAATAAAAAAGAAAAAAGTAAAATAACCATTTTAGACTCACTTTTAGCAAACTGGAAGACACAAGCGATTCAGCTAAAAACAGTTATCCAAGTAGCCCAGTAAATGATACCAAAAAGTCAGGATTCTGTAAGAATCCACACACAGACACACATGTGCACATATACACACGTTTTATAAATATATATATGATGTTACACATATATGTGTGTGTATGTATAAAACAGCAAAAATTACAAAAGTGAAAAGTAGAAAATAGTAAGAAAAACAGCAACAGTAACAATTATAAAACAACAGTATATCTGTATATGTGACCTTCCGATGAATTTGTACTATATATTGTCATTTTAGAAATATGGGGAAAAATCAATGGTTCTTGGATTAAAAAGCAATTAAATAAGAAAAACTTTGTGCATTTCTTATTCTTTATGTGGGAATATTCCTTTCATATTAAATAAAACAATCAAACCAAAATTTTTAAAAATATGGAAGTTGTAGCCTAAGGTAGTTAACCATTTTCCTGTTGAGAAAAATAAAGATGCAGCATGCTGTCAGCACTCATTTAATTTTACATAAACACATTCTTTGAGGCTGAAGTAAATCTGACTGATTTTCAACATGAAAATAAAATATAAAAACTGTTCTTGGAGTTATTTCTAATCAAAACTGACATCAGAATCATCTGAATCATCAGAATCATCTACTTTGAAAAAAAATCTGATTTTTCAAACAAATCTTCTGCCAACAAGTGTTAGAGAAATATGTTAACGTCATGGGTGGGATTGCTACGTTTACTAGGATTTGACATTTTCAGCAATTGAAAATTACTACATTTTGTAAAAGGACATATCACTACTAAAAACAGAATGCTAGAAATAGAATGATGTCTTTTGTTTCCAATGTCAATATACTAGAGTGATATGAAAATAACAATAAAAGTGAGATATTTTGTGGCAAAATTATCTCAGGTGCAGCTGCAATCATTGCTTGCAAATATTCTTGGGGCAAACGGGGAAAAGATTAAGAAAATAACAAGAATACATTTATCTTTTTAGTGAATAGGTTCAACTGGATATAGTCTAATTATATGTCATGGCATTAAGCAAAATTGAAGATTTATAACTGAGCTACCACCACTTTTGAAATTTTTACAGAATAGTAGGTATGCTCATAGACTGGAAGTAAAGTAATATCCCAATTGTTAGAGGGGAGAAAGAAAATATTCTTGAAAATATAGGCTGATGCCAAATTATGGAAAATTTCTAGAACTTATCAAATGGATAGTGTGAGAATATTTTGATGAGTTGTACTAGCTAATGATAACTATTATATTGTATTAATAATTTAATCCATATTCCTCTGCTATTCATAGAAAATGCTGAAACACTTAGACATAAAAATATTGAAAAAGAATTATATTTCATTTGGAAAAACATTTATATTTGGTGGACAAGTCTGACAAGAGGATGAAAAATGGGTTAAATAAAAGTAATAATATTAAAACTTCAAGGCTTAATTGGCTAAATGAGTGCTGATTAAAGGTTTTATGTAATCTGTAGATATTGACGGTTTTCACATTTTTACTTCAGCTTTAGAAACTGGGAAGAAAGTGCTAAGAAGCACCGTGGAAGTTCCCGATTTGTCTCTTTACAGGGGAAGAAATTTCCCTGGGAAAGAACAAAACGGGGTGACCCGGTTAAATTCCTTGGAAACTTGCTCTTGACCAAACTGACAAATGCACTAAAAACTATTTACTATTTACTGAAAAGTATTTACTAACAAACTATTCACTAACTTCAATTTTACAAATTGTAACATGTAGTTACACTGGAATTGCTATGTGGTTAAAATTTAAACGTTCTAACATATCTCCTGGAGCATAGAAAACTAATTCTTATAGCAAGTGTCCAGTTGGAATCTCAGAACGTTCTGTCTTTGACCAAGTCTTGTTTTGTATTTTCATCGCAACCTACAGAATGAATTTATAGAAAGCTTTACGTAGGATTTGTAAAATTTGTGTGAGGTCTTGAAGTGCATGGACTGATGAAGCCTGGCAGTCTGGAAAATGTAGGTAAATTATTTGATCTTCCAAGTATAAAACCGAGCTGTTTAATTATCCAAATCTGTATTTTGTGTGTCAGTGATGTGACTGCTCGTATTACTTAAGGACCTTGAAAAACAGCCTAGGCTACTGCCCTCTGTGGGGAGGATGGCTCTGTGGATGTGCACTGGGAGTCCCAGACCCATTTTGTAATTACTTGTGTCCTTGAAATTGTGAAAAATCTGGATATTGAGTAAGATATTTGACTGATGTGACTTTTAACAGATAGATCCTTTTCAACACATTAAAGCTTTAATTAATAAAGAGATTATATATATATAATTTATTTATGTATTATATATGTTGAAAGTAGAACTAATTGATTAGTGAAGGGGTGATTTATAGAGATGTCTCCCTTCTAGGTCTTCCAGTCACAGCCTGTCTATTTCCACCTGAGATGAATCTCAATGGAACAAATAATAAACTATTTGTGTTCTAGAAACATCTTAATCTTTGTAGTAGAGAAGATCTGAATTTGAATCCCTAGTCTAACGCTTACTGAGATTTCTTTAAAAATTTGCTTAAATTCTGTGAACTTCAATTTTCCTATTTGTAACATGTAGCTACACTGGAGTTGCTATGTGGTTAAAATGTATAGATTTCTAATATTCTTGGAATAAAGGAAACTACTTCTTGTAACAAGTGTCCAGTTGGAACTCCAGAGGGTTCTGTCCTTGACCAAGTCTTGTTTTGTATTTTCATCATCACTTACAGGATCATCAGAATTTTAGAACCTCGAATGTCAACATTTGGCATTATCAAAATTTTACCTTACAAAGCTGGAATGAAAGACTAATGCAATAGATGATAGGTAGAATCAAGATTTGGGAAAGAAAGCTTGGAAAGACATCTTTTAGAACATGAAATTATAGCCTCTGTTGAAATCTCTGAATTTGAGAGTTTTAATGAATCTTAAAGATTATTTATTCTAAAATATCCTCTTCTTCTGATAAGGGATAGCAATGCAGAGAGGAAACGCTGATTGGAATTCAATACGAATTATAACATGGCACATTTACTTCTATACTTATGCTAAAGGGCCTGGAGTACTCAAGCAAAATTATATAAGATAATTTTGTTGGGTGGGTGGCTGGTAAGCACTGTATTATATCAATTTTTAATACGATATAGAAAGTAGTGGCTGGAAAATCCTATCTAAAAAAGCATATCTCTCTCCCCATTGTCTCTATTGAGGTGAAACCAATAATTCAAATTGTAAAGATTTACTCCAATTTTAAAAAAAGATGATTGCAATAATGTTTTACTTAAATGTAAACCCACTAGAAGGCTAACACATTAAGCTGTCAACTGTTAACATTGACAGACATATTGTCAATGATTACAAGCTCTAAGCACAGTTAAGAATAAGGAGCTCCAAAAATGGAATATATGCCCAGTGAATTTTGATCAGGAACACAGATGAAATAATTTTAGATCAAATAGTCATAGATCATCCTGCTCAGGCCAGTTTATAGAGAAGTTTGTTAAGAGTTCAATTAATTTGCTTTTCTTTCCTCTATTACGGCTGGAGAAAAATATAAGTCAGGGGTAGTTTTAAAATTGTAATATGTCCTTCCTACCTTTGTATGTATACCAGCATATATATTTGTTGTCAAATAAATACATGTAGCTGTCATCACTGAGATGGAAAATAGAAAACCCCAGAACTTGAAGAATTCCAGAATTCTAAGAAAAAAGGAGAAGCTCTGTCCATGACTTTTCTCCCATAGGTACCAATGTTTATCTTGACATCTTCCTCATTACCACTTCCAAAAGCAATTGGACATAATTATCCAAATATAGTTGCCAGATTAGTTTTCATCTTCCCATCTCCAAATTCTATAGCAAGCCCTGTGGACTCAATCATTTTGGACATATTCTTTGGCCATTTTTATAAAGTTCTATTTTAAACAGTTTCTTTGGGTGTTTGCACAGACAGCTGAGATGAGTGGGAGGTGCCTGACTGTTGCAGTATGGATTTTGTTTCACAAAGTGAGAAAACTAAGGAACACCACCTTGAGAAGATGCCATTTTGAAACACCTTAGATGGATGTTCTATTTTTTCCAAATAGCAGTAGCACAAAAGATTTTCTTACAATCTCAGGCTATGCCTAGGCCAGGTCTGAGGACATCTTAGTTTTCCCTATAGAGACAAGTAAATTATATAATGATCAACTGATTATTTCATGGTAATCTTGTTAATGTTTCTCCAGTTTCAAATCTGTGAAGTGGTCTTCAAGTCAGAAACTACCAGAGAACTGTCATCCCTTCTAAGGGCTAGCAACTCTATCAGCTTCCTTTCTCTCTCTTTTAAAATTCAGAGTAACATATTCATTTCCTAGATTGCAGGAATGAGCTTCTCAATGGCCAAAGCTTTAATTATCTTTTTTGTGTGTGTTTCTCTAGCATCGAGTATACTTCATTAGTCCAAGCCTAGAAAGAAACTCAGGGCTGTCACTCAATTCTAAAATGAATGGATTTTATTTATTTATTCAACATACTTCTGTCTCAAACAAAATACTTCTCTTTACATTTTGTATCAAAAAACATCTTTAACAATTTCCTCTAGCCTGGCACGGTGTCTCATGCCTGTAATCCCAGCACTTTGGGAGGCCGAGGTAGGTGGATTACCTGAGGTCAGGAGTTCAAGACCAGTCTGGCCAACATGGTGAAACCCCGTTTCTGCTAAAAATACACACACACACACACACACACACACACACACACACACTAGCTGGGCCTGGTGGTGGGCGCCTGTAATCCCAGCTACTTGGGAGGCTGATGCGAGACAACCCTCTGAGCCTGGGAGGTGGAGGTTGCAGTAAGCAGACATGGCACCACTGCACTCTGGCCTGGGTGACAGAGCGAGACTCCATCTCAAAAAAAAAAAAAAAAAATCCTCTAGGTCATACTGTATTAAAGAAACTATATAATTAAACAAGTGAACACATAATCAGAATAAAATATTTTCATAATGTCAAATTCATTTATTTAAAATAACTCCTGCAAAAATGATAGGACTCTAACTAATAGAAAGTGAACGGTTTTAGGACTGGTGGTCCACGAGTAAAGGATTACAATTTATGGTGAGTGTAATCTTGTTTTCTGAAGATCATGTTTATATTACATACTTTATAGTCACTCCTTTCACCCTGCAGCCACTTAGCAAATATAAGCTGGAACATGAACTTCTAAGACTGCAATCAATCCAGCTAGTAATTTCCTTGTCAAGCCTGCTTTTCTACTAGTGGGTAGAGGGGGTTAAGTAGGGATCACAGCTAAAATAATTTCACTTGTATGCAGAAGATATTATTGGCTATCACGGGTCCAAGGTAAGGAAAAAAATGATGATACTTCTCAAAGCATTCATTGAATAACCACTATTGATGAGGCATTTTAAATAAAATATAGCACATATATTTGAAAAAAATGTCGAAACTCAGAAAATTAATTTTTAACAATATAGTGCGGTTAGTATATGTCTATTTCACTCTTACAAATTTATTTTTATGTCCAGCATATAACTATTATAATGTTTATGAAATTTCATTGAAAGAGAAGATTTTATCTGCCCCGGTAAATAGACTGTACAACTGAAAACACTGACATGTAAAGTGCCTTGTAATTTCATTTTATTTGGGCTGTTAATAAATCTCATCCAGACAAAATACTTTTATATTCTGTAAAGACACAGGTAAAGCAAATTGGGGGAAGGCTAAGCTATTGAGAGATTTTTATCTAGTATAAAATATGTTGAAACCTACATTTGCTCTGTACGTATAAGAGTGAATCATCATTTTTAGGAGAGAAATAATAAATTGCTGCAGATTTTATTAGCACTTGAACTGCTAAACAAAAGACGGAACACATTATGGTATATTTCTTACGTTTGATGTAAATAAAAAGCCACCTTAATATGCATCTTTAAGCATATGTATTTACAGATGTAACTGAGAAAAGTAAGCATACATTACAGAGGTAAAAAAAAGTGAGTGAGGGCAGTTTATCCTTCAAAGCCATGTGGAGCTTTCCTCAGTGAAGTGCATATAGCACGTGATTTAGCAGGTCCTCTCTGGCGGCCTCCTAGCTTTCTTTAGTCTTTATTACAGAGTTCCCTTCAAGACATGTGTCTCTCTTTTGGTCCAATTTCAGACTCCACACAGGCACCCCACTACAGCTGGCACATCTGCACTAATGTCAAATGCAATTCCCTTACAGATGAGCCACTTTCTTCTTTTCTGTCCCTTCTGGAATTATCCTCATAATTCTGCATTCCTCCTTCCTCACCAAAAAGTATCCCAGAATGTACATATTTCTCAATCAAGGGATTACCAAGTCTCTAAATTAAAAACTTCTCTTGGGTTTGCTTCTGTTCTCTAAATGAACCTCTCCCAGGGCTTCTTGGAGATTACTCTCCCTCAAAACTGCTGTTTCTTGAAGTGCTTGATTCTCAAATCTAGGACATCACTACATAATTTTTTTCTTCCTTAGAATACGATCTAGTATGAGTTTTTAAATCCCCTAAGATAGTTTGTATTATAGTAAATGACCAATATAAAAAATGAACAAAATAAATGAAATAATTTTCTTTTAACAAAACAATCTAACCTTTGAAACACCTCTGTTTAAACTGAGCATTCTTTATAACACAAGATGCTTTGTTTCCAGCTTCATCCATGTCCCTACAAAGGACATGAACTCATCATTTTTTTTATGGCTGCATAGGATTCCATGGTGTATATGTGCCACATTTTCTTAATCCAGTCTATCATTGTTGGACATTTGGGTTGATTCCAAGTCTTTGCTATTGTGAATAATGCTAAATGACGAGTTAATGGGTGCAGCACACCAACATGGCACATGTATACATATGTAACAAACCTGCCCATTGTGCACATGTACCCTAAAGCTTAAAGTATCATAATAAAGAAAAAAGATGCTTTGTTATCTCTGGCTGTGTAACAAACATCACCAAAAATTAGTAGCTTTAAATGACAACAATGTATTATATATCATAACTCTGCAGATTGGACAGATATGTCCTCTGCTTCAGATGGTGTTAGCTACAGCATTACCATGGCAAAAAGGACCAGGATCACCTTGTCAGATGACTAAAAGTTGGTGCTGGCTGCTGGTTGCTCACTGGGAATTCCACTGGGACCTCTCCATTTGGCTGCTTGGACTTCCAACAAGGAGGCTGGATTCTAAGAAGGAGCTTTCCGGGAAGGACGTGCATTCTGTCAATCATCCTAAGGCTTGGGCTCAGGAAACTTTGAAATGATTCTATTTGTCAGAGCAGTAAAAGGGCCAGCACATATGCAAGGGTCGGGACCAGCAGAGAGGAAGCGAAGGACAGAAACCATGTTTGGAGAGTGACTATCACGGCATTGGGGAAAACAATCTCCCACAGGACTCCTAAGATTTTACCCTTCAGGTACATGTCTAAATTATGCCATAACTTCTTTCAGAGTCTAAAATAGACTTTCTTCCCGAGGACTCTGACTCACAATGATGTGGTTAATTTCTCTCATACCTGACAAACCAACGCCTCTCCTTTGGGTTTCCATAAGTAAAACCTACCCAAGAAACACATTTCCCTGGGATACTAAAATATTATTCTGCTACAAAGTACAAAGCCGATAGAGCATGCACTGATTATCTTGTCACCAGAATACCTCATTATGTCTTTCTTGTAATGAGGGCCTTATTTGTGAGATTCTTGAGCTATGAAATACATTCTAATTAATTTTGGAATATTAATTGATTTTAAATATTCTAAATTTATAAACCAAGAAGAATACATATTCTTTATTTGGCATAATCAATTTCATGTTGTGAATGTTGGCTGACCATGGCTATAAATATGGCACCATACAAAATTAAAATGACAATACAGATACTGAAAAACTCAGTTTTATACCAAATGAGGTTTTAATTAGAATCTGAACTTTCAAAGATTAAAAACATATATACATACATGTAGTAAAATCACTCTAGAACAATTTCTTTCTTTTTTTTTTTTTTTTTTGAGCCAGAGTCTCTCTCTGTCGCCCAGGCTGGAGTGCAGTGGCGCAATCTCGGCTCACTGCAAACTCTGCCTCCTGGGTTCACGCCATTCTCCTGCCTCAGCCTCCCGAGTAGCTGGGACTACAGGCGCCCGCCACCGCACCCGGCTAATTTTTTGTATTTTTAGTAGAGACGGGGTTTCACCTTGTTAGCCAGGATGGTCTCCATCTCCTGACCTCATGATCCACCCGCCTCGGCCTCCCAAAGTGCTGGGATTACAGGCGTGAGCCACCGCGCCCGGCCACTCTAGAACAATTTCTATTAAAAGTGACTTAAAGTAATCACCCATGCTTACTTAGCAATATCAGACTAAATGGCCAGCCTATTTATCTATCATCTCATCATCTTTCTATGTGTGTCATACCTGATGACGTACCACAGAGCTTCTAACTGATAAGCTTTAGTTGTTGTTAGATCCAATTTTCTCATCTTTGTGGATATTTGGACTTTTGACCAGGAACCAGTCACCACTTTTGCTCTCCAGCATCATGCTATCCACCTCCTCTTGCCGACATCCAGCCTAATTACAACTCGAGGAAACACACACACAGGCAGAGCACATGCAGATTAACTACGGCCTCTTTAGTAGGCACTGATTCCTAAACTCGGCTAAAGGGAATGTAAGGATAAGCCTGTATAGATTTTCTTTTACCTCAGCACAAATATATACAGAGGTAGAGTGACCCATGAATAATACAGGACAACAATATGGAACAATGGATATATTATTTTAGTAATATATTTTAGTTCAAAGACCTTTCTTTGTAAAGTATAAAATCACACCAAAATTAAAGTGGCTTAAGTTATCAAGAAAGTCTATTCTTAAATTAGCATAAATCAATAAGGAGGTCAAAGCACTTTTCTTTGAAATAGTGAATCTTTAAACACTGTTACTTCCCCAAGGTAACTGGAGTCTAGTAGCCACCTTGTCTCTCATCAGAACCACCATATTTAACCTTACTTATCTTTAACAAAAATTATTACTGAAAAATTTAAAAATCAGATATTAAACTTTATGGTTTATAGTTTAACTTTGTAGGTTATCTGCACAAACTACACATAGCAAACCTCAAATTTGAACAGGAAATAAAATATTTTTCAATGTTTGAGCTCTCTACACCTTTTTTCCTTTAGTTGATTTTACAAATGTCTTCTTGAAGTCACTCTTCCATCTCTTCAGAGTGGATTATTACAAGAAATTCAGTACCAATTCAGCTAAATGTGTAGGCCTTGATTTATGCGTACAAAGTAAAAACATTATCTGAAATCTAAATTAACGGACAGATATCTCCATTATAAAATTCAACCGATTTAAAAAGTATTAACAAACACATCCGATAGTTACATTCTGTGATTTAAAAAATGTAAATAGCATCTGGCTGTACTAGTTTTCCTTGAGAAACTCATTAGTAACCAAAATGGGACAGTGTTCAAAGAGCAATTGCCTGGGTAGGAACTAATACACACGGTATTCATGAAACGACATTGGCCGAAATATGCTGGGAGAAACATGTTGCTTTGTAAAACTCATTTCAAGGACAAACTTACAGCCTCTTCATCACGGTCTAATTTCCCCACCTCAAGCTTCTATCACAAGGAATGTCCTTCTGAAAGCAAGATCTGTAGCAGCACCTATGTATTTGTGATGTGGATGAAGACGCATGCTCTGCCACAGTAGGCGACAACATCCTGAGCCAGTCCTGGTGAAGCGACCGTCATCAGCAACAGCATGCAATCATGTCTCTCTTCATTTCTGATGGTGTCTGTGTCAAAATGACAGAATAAAATGCTGCAATCTATTTACTTAGTCTGACCATCCAGGCTTATATTTATGGCAGACATTGTGCACAATATTCAAACAAATTAACATCCTATTGAAAAAAATGTGAGAACTCTGCACCATGGTAAGAAATAATGGGGACTCAATATATGTACACTGCTCTCAGTCTTTCCCTCTTTAAGTGACTGAGAAACAGAATTCAGGTGAATATGTAAATTCTAAGTATCTTTCTTGAGATAATTATAATTACAGATGGAATATCCACATCTTCAGAATGGGAAACAAGCAAATTCATATTTGTTTTTAATATTCAAATTAATGTTTCATCCTCTGTATGCCAGAGTAAGCAGGAATTCATACTTTCTTAATCATTCGGTCTTGTCTAACTCTTATATTGAATTGTCCAGAAAATTGGGGACTTGCACAGCCCCAGGGACAAGCCACAGTTTAAAGTCACAGTTTTCCTAACATATGCTTCCAGGGACTCCACTCTGTGACACAGCTTCACCGTGATAAACATCAGACACCAACAACTGGGTTTTGCCTGCAGCCTCTAGTAATGATCTACAGTGTTTCTGCCGGAAGTTGTGAAGGAAGTAGAGGCGTCTCTGTCACCAATCTTGGGCTGGGCTTGGTTGCTCTCTGCCCAGGCATTGAGCTTCTCCATGTTGCAGCAGTTTATGTGCAAGTGCTAGCACCTGTCTCTGAACACACGACCATGGTTCCTAGAGAGAGGATACTCTCTTTCACCACTCCTTGTGGGTATGAGGGTTCCCATTGTGGGTCTGGTGTTTAATCCTTGCATGTGGAAAAATCCACAAGAAAACTCACCACCCTAGAATGGCTGGTATCTTAATCCCTTCGAGCTGCTGTAACAAAACACCAAAAACTACGTGACTTATAAATAACGTGAATTATTTTTCACAGTTTTGGAGGCTAGGACATGCAAGATCAAGGTACCAGCAGATTCAGGGGCTGGTGAGGGCCCATTTCCCAGTTCATGGGTGATCATCTTTCCCTGTGTTCACACAGGGTGGAACAGGCAAGGGTCCCCTTTATAAGAAGCACTAACCCCATTCATGAGGGCGCCACTCTCGTGACCTAATCACCTCCCAAAGGCCCCCTGCCTAGGATCATCACCTGTTGAGGTGGGACTTCAATATGTGAATTTGATGAAACATAAACATTCAGACCGTGGCAGCTGGATTGGTAAAGAAGAGCTCATGTCCACATGCCCCCATGTCTCCCAGAAATGTTTGAACTCTACATCAAGCACTACATAAGACACAGCCCAAGCGAAGTCTCAACAGAAAATTGTCCCGCCACAAAATCACCCTTGAAAACAGTCACTACTTTCCCTCCATGTACACAACTGAAGGAGGCACTTCAGCATTCTTGCTTAGGAAAGAATAAGGAGAATCTGATTTAAATCTGGCAGCTTCTCCTATGCTAAGGAGAAGTTAGCAACTTTCAAATAAAAACCACACAAAGTTAAACTAGAAGCGCCTGACCAGAATTTGTAGTGTATAAATAACATGAGAATTTATATTTTATTCACTGAGCTTTATTTTACATCATTCACATTTTTATCAGCTTTTGTGTTTCCAGTCCCAAACTCATGCCTTTGAATTCAATATTTCCTTAAATAAATTTACACTTTCAGCATTCATTGTTTGGGGAAAACTGAATCTAAATTCCACTGTCTTTTACAACTAGCAGTTTGTGGATATTAATATTTTGTTCAATTTGAACTGAGATTAACATTTTTATACCTAAAGAAATGATTTCCATTAATAAAAACACAGTGACAAATCCCTGCTTATATAGATATTCTCACATGTACAGAAGACACACACTGTTCTATTCAGGCTGGGCTGCTCAAAAGATGGGCTATATATAAAAATCCATATATAACCAGGCAGTGTTCACATTTAATAAAACTGGATATGTGGCAACAAGCAAATCAAACAGGTTATTTGAGTTTTTGCATTTTTGTTTGGCTGAAACATCCTTGGAATGCACTGATTTGTAGTTTTATTGTCTTTTAAATTCCAGATATGAAGCAAGACTTAAGTTTTAAACATTAGTAATATACAACAAATAAGCCATGCAACATATTTCCTGATAGATTCAATAGGAATGGTGTTTGGACAAAAAGGAAGATATTTGAAAATGGGTAATATTTTGTCACAATACCTCATGTTCAATTTGTGTGTGAAAAATTATTTTCTGCATAGTCAAACATGCATTCCACTTTACAGCATGAAGGCATACCTACATTGATATCTTGATTTCATTCAAAGAGTAAATATTTGTCATGTCTATTTAAAATATTGCTACCTTCCTACATAAACCAGAAAATCAAGATAAAATTCATTTGAAGGTGAAAGGGAAATAGCTGAAATGCCAAAAGGATACTTAGCTCTCAGAGCTGACATGGTTATAATGACAATTATTATAAATCAAAAATTTCCCTTTAATAAGGCTATTAGAAATATGGAAACAAATGAAAATTTAAGATTCATGATGCAATCTATGATTAATTCTATATTTTTCACTTCTTGAATATGCCACACATGTGACTAGATATTTCTAAATATTTAGACATGAATTTTGACTTTAATTTTTTACCAGAAACACGAAAAATGAAATCACTTTTGTGATGTTTCCAAAGCAAAGGATTATGATTAATTACATATTGATATTTTCTTTTAAATATATTTATTTAAATGTCATTTAAAACATTTATAAGATTATCGTTGAATAATCAAAATTTTGTTTATTTGAATGAATAGAAAATCCATCTTTATACTGAGACTACACTGAGAAAAAATCTGAAAAAAAAAGAGACGGTAATTCTAATATTTTAACACACAATTTTAATGTTGCAAAATAATTGCTGATTTGCGACGTGGTTTTCTGTTTCTGGTTGAATGTCTCAAAGTAGAACATTTTTATTGTGTTTTTCTTCAGTTCTCCAGTTTAATCACTGTTATTTTTAAAATTAGATATGGTATCTTTCATATGAAGTCTTATTGATTCAGGGCCAATTGATCTGCCTACATACCAGAAACAAAATAATAGAATTCAACAAAATTTAAAACAACAATATGAAGAATCAGTAACTTTTCTTTCTCCATCTGATTTCAGAAAGTTTTCCTGAACTTCAGACTTTGGCATCTGTGGCACTGCAAATACCTTGCTGAGAGTGTCACTCACTGTGTCTATCACATTGTAAGCGTGGGTTACAAAAATATTTTGATGGAAGGTTTGTGATTATATCACAGCCAAAATGTGAGAGAGAAGTAAGGTATTGGGTACCAAATGTTTCAGACTTGTAGAAATAGAGAAATGAGGCAGAATGGGGGGAGCAGGGTCTTGATGACAAAGCCTGCTTGCTGTTCAGGTCTTCTTCACCTCAGCCTGGGATGCCTGAGTATTTTGATTATTTTGAATTTGGCATGTTTAAATAGATATACTTTTTCCACTTCATAGTTATTGCTTTATATGAATCTATGAAAAGGAGATTGTCTGTTCTGAAAAATAATGATGTGTGAATGTGAAGTGAGATGTAGAATTTTGCCAGGATTTTAATTCAGAAGTCGTAATAAAGTATATATAGAATTTTCTGAAAATTACATTAAAAAACATTTCCTCCAAAATGGTATAAGTCTATTTGTAAAATCTATATGTATATATATATATATATATATATATATATATATATATATATATATACACACATACCAAAAAATGTTTGCACTTCCTAAAACATTTTAAGGCATCATTATTGATAATTGAAGGTTAAAATAAATGAGGAAATTTCATGACATGTATCTATATCTATCTATCATCTATCTCTGTTTATAATAGGAGATAACTACATAAAATATTTGAACTCATCAATGTTAGATATACTAGAGAAATAAAGAAATTAGAAGTAGTGCTGAGAGTGATTCTGGTGGTTCAGAAGCCACACTGACTAGCAATACTTTATATGAAAAAATAACAAAATAATATTTTACTTTTATCCTGTTTTATGCTCTGAAGTTTCAATAAATATCACACCTAATAACTAACATGATAATCTTCATCATTAATTAATTAATTAAATTTTTTTTTGGCGGAGTCTCACTCTGTCGCCCAGGCTGAAGTGCAGTGGCGTGATCTTGGCTCACTGCAACCTCAGCCTCCTGAGTTCAAGCAATTCTCCTGCCTCAGCCTGCAGAGCAGCTGGGACTACAGGTGCACACCACCATGCTCAGCTAATTTTTGTTAGGACTATCATGCAGTTTGTATTTTTTAACTCTGAGTAATTGGCCAAAATTAATTTAAAGGAATCATGTTTTCTGTATATGCATATTCCTCCTGGATAGAACATCACCGACTGTTTTGTCCTAACATCAACGACTATGTTCCCTTTATGTTAGATGTAGCATAGTGATATTAATGGCTTTCTCAGGAAAACACATGACTTTTCAGATGACTTGAATAAACACTCAACATTTAATATATTAATACTTACAGATAATGTTTAACAATGGACAATCTTGTCTTTGCGGGGCAAAGGCACAATGCAGTCTGCATCGGTATGTGGGGAAAATTGTGCATGGTTGGAACAAATATCATTCTTTAATTATGTGAAGGATCATCCTCCCCTATTATAGCTAAATTGATTATCTGAATTTTCTTTCAGGTATAGTTGAATACTATAACCATGTTTGTAGATTAAGCAACAACTGCCTTATTCCAGACAGTAAAATGAGAAATGTAAAATGGCAACAATGTTAAAGACAACAGTTGATATATTCTATAAGCAGATGATTCTATAATGCCTATTTTAAATGCTAGGATATTTTCCTATTTATATACAAGAATGAATACTGATTGCAAATATTTGATGTAACGGCTTTCCGTATTTCTAATAAGAAATTACTGAAACTAGTACCTATGGTAGAACTATCATATTATTTCATATAACCTGGTTCAAGCTTATTTAGTGGCCCTAGCAGAATACTCTTCTTTGGAAGTTACAAATATCTGTTTAAGAAGGTTATATCTGAGGGTTTTGGGCAGTCTATATTCTTTAAATGACATACTAAGTCTGTTCTGGTTGGTAATTTGAACAGGGAAGCTCCACCATTATTTCCCATTCTTTCAAGCATCACTTTCTAGAATTCTAATACAACATTTCTATATGTTCGCTGGGATTCACAGCTTGTCAAATTATTAAATTTTCTCCATCTTTGCTAGTTGACCTGACCATTAAAATGTAAAAAATGAGTCTTCATGTATTTAATAACTGCCAATATATTCTGAAGTTGAAATGCAGAATATATTCTATACCTTGCAAGTTCCTCGGTGAATTTGAAGACTATTTTCTTAGCCTAAGACCTGTAGAAAGCAGCGACTGAGACTAAGCTTTATTACTCATACTTCAGTGGAAGGTGGAACCCCAGGATAGCAAGAGTAGGGGTTATGAGGCAGAATAGCATGGGGAGCAATGCAGGTCCCACATCATTATGCTGGTCACTGCCTCACGAGAGGCTATAGAATGACCCGTTGCGTGTCCAGCAAGCACACGTGTGCTGCCTTCAACATCATCTCGAGAACAGAGACACTGCCTTATGGCATGGGAGTCTATACAGTGAGGAAGTGCAGAGATGAGCTAGAAACATGGCGAATGATATTGGCCAGCCACAGACAGTGAGACTGAAGAGACTAAACAAAGTTAATTATCTTTAAGCATCAGCTAAGGCTGAGTGTACTAGTTCATTTTCATGCTTCTATGAAGAAATACCCGAAATTGGGTAATTATAAAGGAAAGAGGTTTAAATGACTGACCGTTCCACATGGCTGGGGAGTCTTCAGGAAACTTACAATCATGGGAGAAGGGGAAGCAAACATGTCCTTTTTCACATGGCAGCAGGAGACAGAAGTGCAGAGTGAAGGGGAAAAGTCCCTTATAAAACCAGCATATCTCATGAGAACTCACTCACTATCATGAGAACAGCATGGGGCGACCCCCTCCATGATCTAATCACCTCCCACAAGGTGCCTCCCCAAGACACAGAGATTACAATTCAAATTATAATTCAAGATGAGATTTGGGTGAGGGCACAGAACCAGAACATATCACTGAGCAAAGCAACACAGTGTTAGGGAGAAATGTGGCCAACAGAAGCTCCAGAGCTGCCTAAGGTAGGTCTGGTATAGACAACACATTAGACTTGGCACTTTGTGACCCTCACATTCCATAATCTTTTCCTAAATGCCCAGGGTATTTCAGTGTTACACTCCACTTTTGCTCTGTGAGTTGCTACCTGGACTTTAGACGCATCCATAGAAAGATTTCTCAACCTGGCTCTGTTGACATTTGGGCATGGACACCGTCTGTTATGGAGCTGTCCTCTATGCATTGTAGGATATTTGCAGCATTCCTGGTCTCTATTCACAAGATGGTAGTAACTCCCCCACCCAAGTTTTGAAAATCAAAAGCATCCTCAGATATTGCTAACTATTGCATGGGTGGCAAAATTGCTTCAGTTGAGAACCACTGATTTATACAACCTACATGCTCATTAGGATCTACCTGTCTAGTCTCCCAATTCCCTAGCCTACCTTTCTGAAGAGATTACCTCTATAATTGTTAAGGATGTTATACACAAGCAGGCTATAATGAACGCAGTGCATTTTGGTTTTCAAGGCATCGTATTCTCCTCATTTTTCCCCTCCTCTTCCCTAAGCACTTATTCCCTGACTTTTTGATACTTATTTTTCTAAGAACCTAAATAATAGGTGAATACAGAGGCCATGTTTACAGATCTGGCTTACTCTCTGCATGTATCAAATTATCTTTGTGAGCTTAATCCCACTATTATAACCATCCCTATTTGAGTGGAGTGACACATGCATAGGCTCTGAATCAGACTGGCTAGTCATGAATCCTAACTTCACCTCTTAGAGCTGCTGGAACCTTAGGGGAGATGTTGACAATAAGTGACAATATCCACCTCTTAAAGTTGTGTCAGAACTACAGGACACAATTAACATCATGAACGCAATATTAATGTAATTGTCATGATACCTGGCATATCTTAAACTGTGAATATTTCCTATTACTCTCATCTCTGTTTATATTCGGATCTCTCACCTGCGCTTTACTCCATAAAACATCTTCATGAGATATGCTCTTATTTCTTGTGAGATCTAAAGATTTTGCTTCTCATTGATCTCATCAAAACAAGCCCACTTTATACTACTTTGCAAGGACACGAGCTTTTGTCTTCTCTCATTTAACAAATTTTGAGATGGCTCTACTGTTAACTTCCACATCTAGTCCTCTTATTCTTTATTTAATACAATGACAACTCATATTTGGATTGTGCTTTACGGTTTTGAAAGCATTTTCAATTTGGTTCTTTCAAAATCCCAGTGACTCAGGAAGGACATGTACATTTGTTATTAATTCAAAAGGAAAAAATGTTATTTAAGAATTATGATGAGGCAGACACTGTTCTGGTTTCCAGACAATGAAAATAATAATCATGGTCCAGATTAGTATAAAGTATCTACCTTGTTACTTTGGCTCTGGGTCACTCCCTCTGTCTTATCCTTCTTCCATGTCACTTCTGGATAATTTTGTCAAAACACACTAGTGTAAAGATCTAAAATCATCCCATATGTTTACATGAGAGTTCTCTAGCACCAGCTTTGAATGTGACTTGTATTTCCCAGTATTTTTCAAAACATTTTAACTCCTAAAACTCCATTTTGGTCAAGTAAGTCTGCTTACTTTCTGTCATATATTCTGGGTTCCTGTAACCATTTTTTCTCCCACTAATACTACTTCGTCTTCCTGAAATTCTGGTTTTAGTCTTTTTGGATTGTGTAAATCCTACATATTATTTACAAGTGCAATTTCCTATGCCTACGCTAGTGCAGGATAGTATTTTTTACATCTGAGCTCTTTACAGTCCTGAGTTTCACACTGTTTAACATGTGATTATTGTCCAATTATTTTATATATTTTAGATTCTGCCTCTTGGGCACGCTGGTAAACCTGGTAAAAGATGGAATCATATATATGAGTACTTTGATACTTACAGATATTTAGAATTTGATGTCTACTTATAAATATCTCCCGGATTAGCATTTGATCTTCCCAGAGATGAAGAATAATGATTTATCCCAAAGAGAAGCTATCATAGAGGAAATTTCAAGTATATTGGTAATCTGGGGTTTGCAGCGTCTCTGAAAACACACCATATGCTATCCACCTCTTCTAGTTAATATTCTTTCTGATCATGCTCATTTTAGACACGATTTTTTTGCCCTCAACAAGGCTGATCACTATAAAACCACTCTCAGAAAGTACTCTTCTTATCGTCTTGGCAGAAAATCTTCTTTCTCCAGCCAAGACAGGAGTTACATCACAACTTCCAGAAATGTGTGACTCATTTACACCTAGTGTTTGGTGTTGTTGTAGGATGTTTTCAAAGGTAAAAGATTAATATTGCATTAGAACATATAGGTATGTCTAGGGTATTTTTATAACTTGATACAAATAAAAACTTTTTGGAGGACTGGGAAAGAAATAGATTTACAATCCTGTAGAATTGGTCCTAGCATAAACAAGTACTTATTTTATTTTATTTTCCTGTCTATAAGAATCACACCTGGTTTTACATGTTATTCTCAGGAAAAGATTGGAAATGACAATGGCAGTTAAGGGTTGCTGTTAGTGTAATTCCAGTTTTCACTTGTGGTATTCTTTTGCCTCAGTCCAAAGCATTTTGGCTTCCAGGTCAATTTCACCTTTCTATTACATACAGTCCATTAAAATATACAAAAAGAACATCTGTGTCAATCAGTTTTGTAAACACAAAGATGCCTTATTTTCTGTCTTCGACAAGAAATTTGAAAGATTTTTCCACTCTGAAAATTTGTCTCTTCTAATAAAATATGCATAAGTTATATAAGTTGAGTTTGATTGTTATTAAAATAAATTACTCTACATTTAGAGATTTTTCAGGACACTTTAAAAATTGAATTATGTATTTTTTTAAGTTTAAAATTGAAATATTTATTTCAGAATTATGTGGCTGAGGTGTTTTCCTGAGTGGTTCCCAAGAATGATACCTCACCACGGATTTTGGCACCTGTGAAGTTAATTTCTATGGCCTTTTCCCATGGTTCGTCAGAACACCAAACCCACATTTCTTGATCATTTCCTCTTTCTGTTTTTAAACGTAAACATCAAATCTCAGGTTCAGATAAAAAGAAGTAAGTAGATGTGGAGGAAGGTGAAAGAGTTTCTCTTTTAGCTAGGGAGCCAAACGTGAGTGTCTGAGTAAAAAGCAGAGAGAAGCTGAATCTGCAGCAGCAGCAGGATTAATCTATGGCCTCTCCTCACTGGGCAGCATCTTAAATTGAAAGTGTTCTCAGGTCACCACGGTTAATGAGTCTTATTTACAAGAAGTAATTTAAGTAGTGACTTAACTTCCACATCATGCAGAACTGTGCCTTGACCTGCAAAGGAAATAAATAAGAGTTGTCTAGGTCTCTGGGGTTACAATGTATGTCCTGTTAACTCATCAAAGGAGCTGGGAGATGAGTAATTATTTCTTCCCCAGTGAACAAGAGGAATAGGAGCCAGGTAACCTACTCAGAAAGGAAAATAACATTCCTGAATGGCCGAATGCTGCTGGTACAATACCATGTGTTAACCACCAAGGCAAAAATGCATTTTGTGACTATGACCTCTGAACCACTGGTTGAAAAGTGAAAAATCCATTAGCCAGCTAAATGTTCTATTTGAGAACTAAGGAAGATTGTGAAATCAGAAGGCTGAGTATGCTTTCCACTTTGGTAGGCTGTTGAGTAGTTGTGATCCCTGACCAATGACTTCTAAGAAAAAGAAGAGAATAAATAATCGGTATGACAGCGGCAGATCTTCCGGTTCCAGCTCTGGAACTTCTTGGCAGCTATGATGAGCATGCTATCTGCCAACTATTCCATAGCGTGAGGTGTCACTGGCAGCAGTGAAGGGGACATGGCAATTAACAATCATCTTTCTGTCATTTGAGTGACAAGGTGAAATTTCTAAAAATTACATGAAGATAGTTCAACATTAAGCATATAAGTTATTTGGAGGCTTCTCAGCTTCTCAAAAATTGACTAACTGATCATTTAAAAGTGATGGCAAATACTCTCAATAAATTATATTTTTACCAATTGAGCTAAGTTCCTTGTTTTGCATGTGATATAACCTAGAATAATATTATTATTTCCTCATTTGTCTCATAAGTAACTCTTCTTCACTGTTATACTCTCAAAACTTCATGTAAGTACTATCTTCTCTGCGAAAGCTTGCCTAACTCCCACTCCCTATACCCTGAACGGAATAAGATGGTTTTCCTTATCCTTCATTTGCTTGTAGGGTGTCTGCCTGTTAATAGAATTTATTATAATACATTTCTATAAATTTGTTTGTTTCCTCTTTTGGTCAAGAACTTTCTCTGTGCAAGTTTGTTGCACAAATGTTGAAGGGATAAACCTTGGTGTCTAGCAAAGTAGACAGTTTTTAAAATTGATGAGCATTTGTTGAATAAAATTAAATAATTTCCTTGTAATCCTACATTTTCTCAACAGCTTGGGTTTACATTTTACTACTCTAAATTCTGATTTTTATATAAGAAGTCATATTCTCAGAAATGTGGTGTGTATGTGTGCATTCTTATAGGTGTGTGTGCACCAAAGTAACTCCTCCCTACGTCCTTCACTGGAAGTCTAGGATAGTTAAACTAATATTTCTGAGTGTACAACTCCAATGTAGAAGTGAAAAGAATGTTGGACTTAGATTTCAACAGTTTGGGAATTATATTTAACTTTCTTCATTCACTAGACATATAAATCTGCAAAAACATCTGAATTGCTCTAAATGTCCATTTCTTCATGTGGAAACTAGTGGTGAAAGTAGTGCCCACCTCAAAGAGTTACTGTGATCATAAGGCGTAAGATTTTTTTTTTCTGAAAATTCTTGATAAAGTGAATCATATCAAAATGAATTTTTTCAGTCACAATCCTTTAGACATACTTTTTAGCAATGAAAGAACTGCATTTTAATTAGCATTTTTATTCCTATATCTCCCATTATACTGAGAACTTCTCAAGGACAAATGCTTTGTTTTCCTAACATTGTAACCCTATGCAGCACATAATAGGTGCTTTAAAAATGTGTTGATTAAGGGATGCACTCAGGACTAAAGAGAACATAGAGAAACAACATAGAGAATGTAGAGAATATGGGGGGAGTGGAGGAGGCAGAATGCTGCGTTCCATACTGGATTGTGTTGTTGAAGTTTCTGGCCACTGCTCTGTAGTCGTGTCTTCACTCGGACACGCTGAGCAGCCTAAGAAAAGGAAGTCGTTATTCTTTAAATGCACAGATTCTCACTGCCTGTGTCTATGAAAAGACAGCAGTGTGACCACTGTCATGTTTGAAGACCAACACAAAAGGAACATCTGTTTAATTTCCAATCTAACTAATTCTGTTAAATTTGGGTGTAGGATTTGGGGTTTATTACAATATATAATTAGTTGCATAACTTAATTAGTAAAGTACTTTTAATTACTCATTTCCAGTTTGTGGTGTCGTATATTATATTTTGTATGCATTTTGGAAGCAGCTTTGGAAAGGAGCTATTAGACGATGAAAAATTGTTTGTCGTAAATTGAACTCCTTAGATCAAAAGGTTTGGTGACAGCTGAGGAAACAGTTGTGATGAGGAGATAAAGTGAGATTTGACTAGAAAGAGGTGCTAAAAGAAAACAGAAATAACAGAAGTTTAGGTTCATAAGAAATAATTGAGGAAGTAGGTCAACGTGAGGATGTGGATCAAAGACCTTATTTCTACACTTTAAGGCTAAGAATATCACTAAGGGAGAGAGAAGATATCTTGAAAATAATAAAAATCTTCAGATTAGGTATCCTCTTATAAACTCATACCCAGATACTGGACTCTACATTGCAAATTTTACTTAATTATTTGAAAATCTGCATTCCAACTGTTGTTTCTGAATTCGACTATGTATGTATCTATATATTTACAGTCTATTTTTCTCTATTAAGTAATTAGTTAACATCCATCATATGTAGGAGACTACAATTTTAGTACGTTAGGAATAAATCAATAGATAACAACACAGTGTTCCAATCCTAAAGTAGTTACCAAATTAACAGAAAGAAAGATAACCACAGGATTCACTATGAGGCTAAATGTACTTTTGATGCAAAGTGGTATTTATTGTAGTGGTTCCCAAATTAGCTGATCTTAAGAATCAACTAGGCAGATTCTAAAATATATAAATTTATTTTGCCACACTAGAGATCTGCTGAAATTTTATAGAAAAGTGGACATTAAGATATAAATAAACTAAAAAAGCAAAAATTGGCCACAAGAGTATGTGGTGGAGCCATAAAAAATTGCAAATCCTTTTTGCAAGATGGTCACTAATAATTACTGATGACAAAATGTAGTGAAGTGAGGGTATTCATGATGAAAATAAAAAGTCCATAAAAACATCTATATGTTCGTTCCTAGATAATTAGAATCTTAGGCAATGTGGAACCATCAATATCTTGGGGATAGCGAGATACTGGGGAAGGACTATCTGTTAGCAAAGACGTAATCATGGTGTCAAGAACAGATAGGAGAATGAGATAGACTGGAGAAAGCTTGCATAACCTTTTAATAATAATTCAGATGAATACAATGGGGGCTGTGTGAATGGACATTATAGAAGGGATTCAGAGGAAGGGTGGCAGGGATGGTTTGAGCTTTCTGGGTTGGAATTTTAGATTAAGGCATTAAGTCAACAAAGACGGGGACATAGAAGGAAAATAATGTGTTTATATTTGGTCATTTTACATGTATACAATATTCACATGGACATATGCAGCAAAAAGCTGTAAATGTTGGTTAGGAGTTAAAGAGAAAAGTGAAAACTTGAGATATAAATTTGAGCATCATTTTAAGATGTGAGATGAAGCACAGACAGCAAATGAGATCAGTGGTACAGATCAGAAATAATATCAAATAAGTGAGAAATGGGGAAAAATTGAGTTAGAGGAAGAAGAGAATAGATGGTCAAGAAGGTAAAAAGGATCATCAGAAGTACGTAAGTGCATTTACTACAAAGCATGATGATAAAGAAAGGTGCTATGAAAAAAAATTAATGGAATGAAGAGTAAGAAGACATAGGATTTGTTACTTAAGAGGAAAATGAAATTCTGTGCTGATAGTAAATGTCAGATGCTTTTGCCTATCCAGAATCCAGCCCTCCTTCTTCAGGTTAACAAGAAGTAGGAAAAAATGTAAATGCTCATCAACCATAGAATGACTGAAAAATACACTTCATCTTCTTGATGTAGTTATAACAGACACTTATGCTGTTAAAAGCTATTAGTCTTCTAGTAATGACACAGAAGGATATGCATACCACATTGGAGTAAAAACGGTAAAAGAAAGCCATTATGAAACAATCATTCATTGCAAAAGTCAAAGCAATGAATGCATTGATGGGCTGAGGCACGTGCACTGAGGGAGTGTAGTGAAGCCCTGGGAGCCGGATCCAGGAGGGGCCAGGGGCTCATGGTGATCCCAGAGAGGCCACAGTCATCTTACAGAGGTCACAGCAGTCCCAAGAGGTCACAGGCTTCCCATAGAGGTCACAACAGTCCCACAGATATCATGGCCGTCCCACAGAGGTCACTGTGCTCACTCTCAGGGTCAGAAGGATACAGCTTCCCTTAGGTGTGGGGCAGGAAAGAAACATGAAACCCAGGGCTCCAGAGCACTGATTTCTGAATATATGAATTGGGTGTCCAGTAACATTTAAACAAATATTGGGGATCACCACACACTTTTCATCTGACTTTGAATTTTACCAGAAGTGAGTTTATTAAACATTTAACATCTCCCTGCAACCTACTGTCACATCAAAACACACAAGAAATTATATTTTACTTCAAGATGATCAAGAATCATGGTCTACTGGTGGCTCTGCAAACTGTACAAATCCACTTTTTAAAAATGCTGCCCCTCTGTTCCAATTTTCCTCTTGGCTCAGATTGGTGAATACATGGTCATAACCCCAAATCAGCACATAGACATGACTCTAGGAGCAGCTGCCACGGTGTCCCAATTAAGGACCTGAAGAGTAGACTCAAGTGGAGAAGGAAAAAAAAAGTGAAGGCTGGGCCAGGCGCGGTGGCTCATGCCTGTAATCCCAGCACTTTGGGAGGCCGAGGCGGGGGGATCACCTGAGGTCAGGAGTTCAAGACCAACCTGGGCAACATTGTGAAACCCCGTCTCTACTAAAAATAAAAAAAATTAGCTGGGTGTGGTGGCATGTGCCTGTAATTCCAGCTACTCGGGAGGTGGAGACAGGAGAATTGCTTGGACCCAGAGGCAGAAGTTGCAATGAGCCGAGATCGCGCCACTGCACTCCAGCCTGGGCTACAGAGAGAGATCCATCACAAAGAAAAAAACAAAAAAAGTTTGAGCGAAACTCCAATTGTATTTTTATAACCTCATGAGTAAAATATGGCCAATAGCCTTTATTTCTCTTAAGAGTCCTTTGGGCCGTAATATTTTGACAACGCAATGGCTTATTTTGTTTTCTTTCAGCATATGATTTGATCCAAAGGATATAAAAGCATGAATCCAGGCAATAACCCCAGTTTCTAGAACCAGGCTAATACCATCAACAAAGCTATAGATCTGTAGCTGATCAATTGAATGTTGTATCTTCCTTGTGCTGAGCTAAGCCAGAGAGAGAGAATCAGGATCAGAAGATGATACCATGGGGCTGAACTGAAAGGAAAGAGTAAATTGTCTCAGCTGTAAAGGCAATGGACCCAGATATGAGAGCATAAGCTGATTATTATACTTAGCTAGAACCAAGGCATTAAAACAAAACAGTAGGAGCCCCCACCACAACTGCCATAGCTAAAGGGATGCAAAAACAGGTGTCCTCGTTTAAGGATATGCGTGCACACCATGTGAATATTCCATAAGGAAATCGGATTGTAATGGCCATTTGGCACATGTTAAATGTAATCAAGAGTAAGGTAATTTTTAAAACATCTTGATTATGAGCCGAATACTTCAGAGAAATGCCTCCTTTTTTTTTTTTTTTTTTTTTGAAGGGAGTGGGTAGGACAGAGTCTTGCTCTGTCACCAGGCTGGAGTGCAGTGGCACAATCTTGGCTAACTGCCACCTCTGCCTCCCGGGTTCAAGTGATTCCCCTGCTTCCACCTCCCAAGTAGCTGGGATTACAGGCACATGCCACCATGCCCGGCTACATCCTTATAGGAGGAATACCTAATGTAAATGAGAGTTAATGGGCACAGCACACCAACATGACACATGTATACATATGTAACAAACCTGCACGTTGTGCACATGTACCCTTAAACTCAAAGTATAATAAAAAAATTACTGAATTTCTGTGTAGAAATATTGTTAATGGTGTTTATTGTTTATAAACTTCTGATTTGATGGCTGAAAACAATTAAAAATAAGATATTGGTCTTTCTGAATCTCAAGTCAGACTTGCTTTTGATCTTTATCAACTTGTCTTAGACTATTCAGGCCGCTGTAACAGAATACCATAGACTGGGTGGCTTGTAAACATCAGGAATTTATTTCCTACCACCCTGAAGACTGAGAAGTCCAAGGTCAAGGCAGCATCAGATTCAGTGTCCAGTGAGTGGCCACTCACCGTTTCATACATGATGCTTTTGACTCTGTGCTCACAAGGCTCCTCCTCATTTGCCCATAAAAAGAGAGAGAGAGCTCAGATGTATCCTCGTCATCTTATAAGGACACTAGTTCTATTGTATTGGGGCCCCACCCTTATGACCTAGTTTAACCTTGATCAGCTTTTTATAGGCCTGTCTCCAAATACATTCACACTGGGAGTTTAGACTTACTTCAACATATCAATTTTGGAGGACACAATTCCATCCAGCTCAATAGCTATTATGGATGAGATATTTATATTACTTATACTCCTCAAAATTCAGTGAGAACTTGTGGGACCTTTGGTTTCTGTAAGTAACCAGAAAATCTGGCTGGGTGGAATGGCTCACACCTGTAGTACCAGCCCTTTGGGAGGCTGAGATGGGTGGATAGTTTGACTTTAGTCCAGGAGTTTGAGATCAGTCTTGGTAATATAGGGAGATTTTGTCTCTACAAAATAACAACAACAACAAAGAAATAAACTAACTGAATGTGTGGGTCTGTGGTCCCAGCTACTTGTAAGGCTGGTGTGAGAGGATTGCTTGAGCCCAGAAGGCAGAAGTTGTAGTGAGCCAAGATCATGACACTTCACTCCAGCCTGGGCGAAACAGTGGGATCCTGTCTCAAAAAAAAAAAAAAAAAAAAAAAGAGAAAGAAAGAAAAGAAAAGAAAAAGAAAAGCCGTTAGGCTTGAACTTTGGGGTAAACCACCTCCTCTTCACTCCTCACAAACGACTAACTCTATATAACCTGTTTGTGATGTGTTCTGTGTGTTTGGTGGCATTAAAATATTCAGCAGAAAAGCAAGCTTGGTACAATTTTTAAAATTCATCTTATAAAATGAGGAATAATTCACCATAAAGAAGAGATACCAAGTGTATGAGTTTAGAATCAAGTGGCAAAGTGATTGCATACAGCAGGTAGATTGGCTCCAAAGAAGAGTCCCAAATAACTTTGGTGAAGGGACACAAGTTTGCGTGGGTGAGGTCATAGTGAGGGAATTGGAATCCCGTTAAATTGTTCTCTGCATAGTAAAGAGCAATAGCCAGTAAGAGGTACACCAAGATGCAGAAAATGTTCACTCAGGCACAAATGAAAGCAAATGTAATAAACAGTTTTTGTAAGAGTTCAGATACCAACAATTTAGTAGATGGAGCTTAGATTTCATTTTCTTGTAAAGGTTTTACTGGATTATTTTCTTGTGTACAATTAAAAAAAAGAAAAAATCCCTTTCATGTATTTCATTAAAAATGTGCATTTTAAGAGAAAGCACAAATGAGAAGATTGGGTGTTCTATTTATGATGCTTGATTATAATCATCCAGCAACTCCCCTGTAATTCTGTTCAAGGCAGTCTAAACAGAAATTATTAGGAGTTAAAGTAGAATCCAGAGAAGTGCCTATGGGGAAATTGCTCATTTTCATAAGACTAGGTTGTACCCCTTGATGTTCTCTGATGACAGAAATGTGCCAACTGTCAAATTGTGGCCATCTCCACATTGTTTGGCTGTGAGGTCCTGCTAGCTTCTCCTTTCAGTGGCAAAACCAAACAAACCTATGGTCTGAATTTATTCTCCTCTGCATTTAACCTACTGCCCAGGTTTTATATTGCTGCTGCTTTCTCCCAGATTCAAGACATCAGTTCCAGCTTGAAGCACCTCCACAACATGAGTTACTTAAAGAGAAAACTTTTCAAATTTGTTCCAGAAATTTCTTGAGAGATGCTAACATGAAGTTTATCTGTGTTGCCCCTGGTGTGTGTTGAGTCTGTGTTTTCCGAATCCTAGAAACTGCTGAGACCATTGCATGGGAAGTAAAAATGGGTGCTGATAGTAACAAAGGAATCTACTTCTCAGAATCTTTAGGTGGGCCTGTTGGTGAGGTCACTTTTCCCTAATGGTATATTCCAGTTCCTGTAGATCCTATTCCAGTTCCCAGGACATATTCCAACCTCGACCTCCAGCCAACTTTGAACCCCTGAAGTTGTGTGCTGATGTGTTTCTAACAACATGGTCTCACCCAAAGATCTTCCTCTTGTGCTTTTGCAGGACATTAAAGTTCCCAGCTCCATGACTGGATCACATGCTGGAAACCCTCATATAGAAAGGAATGATCTCCCCAGACATGGTTCTCCTCAATTTTTTACAGGGAGTACTTGTGCTTCTACAAACCCATCTCAGTGTCTGGCAGCATTTCCTTATGTCCCTTGTCAATCTTTTCTTCCTTCACCTGTGAGAGGCATTTCAGACCCACCTCATGTCTCCTCCCTCTTGCACATTCATTCTTAATCTCTGAAATGATACTGCCCACATTGCTTCTCACGTCCGTCAATGAAAAAACTGACAGCTTTTAATTTCCGTTTTCTCACCTGTCCTTTGGCTCTTTACCCACTGTCATCAGACTCCCACTCAATTCTGCAAAATTGTCTTTCATTCAACGTCTTATTATATTGACCACTCTTTTCCTTTGTTTTCTGAATTATCTTTCTCTACTTCTTTGCCTTCTAGTGCTTTGGATTTCTTTTTTAGTTGTAAGATTTGGGTTTTTTGTAGAAAATAGTCAAAGTGAGAAGATGGGCAAATAGGAACAGCTCCAGTCTGCAGCTCCCAGCATGAGTGACGCAGAAGACGGGTGATTTCTTCATTTCCAACTGAAGTACTGGGTTCATCTCACTGGGGCTTGTCAGAGCATGAGCCGAAGCAGGGCAGGGCATCACATCACCTGGGAAGCACAAGGGGTCGGGGAATTCCCTTTGCTAGCCAAGGGAAGCCGTGACAAACGGTACCTGGAAAATAGGGACACTCCCACCCTAATACTGCAATTTTCCAACAGTTTTAGCAAATGGCAGACCAGGAGATTATATCCTGTGCCTGGCTTGGAGGGTCCCACACCCACAGAGCCTCACTCACACTCACTGCTAGCACAACAGCCTGAGATCAAACTGCAAGGCAGCAGCGAGGCTGGGGAAGGGGCATCTGCCATTGCTGAAGCTTGAGTAGGTAAACAAAGTGGCTGAGAAGCTTGAACTGGGGGTGGAGTCCACCACAGCTCAATGAGGCCTCTGTAGACTCCACCTCTGGACACAAGGCATAGCTGAACAAAAGGTAGCAGAAACTTCCACAGACTTAAATGTCCCTGTCTAACAGCTTTGAAGAGAGTAGTGGTCCTCCCAGCATGGAGTTTGAGATCTGAGAATGGACAGACTGTCTCCTCAATTGGGTCCCTGACCCCCGAGTAGCCTAACTGGGAGGCACCTCAGAGAAGGGGCCGACTGACTTCTCATACGGCCGGATGCCCCTCTGAGAATGAAGCTTCCAGAAGAAGGATCAGGAAGCAAAATTTGCCGTTCTGCAATATTTGCTGTTCTGCAGCCTCCGCTGGTGATACCCAGGCAAACAGGGTCCAGAGTGGACCTCCAGCAAACTCCAACAGACCTGGAGCTGAGGATCCTGACTCTTAGAAGGAAAACTAACAAACAGAAAGGACATCCACACCAAAACCCCATCTGTAGGTCACCATCATCAAAGACCAAAGGTAGATAAAACCACAAAGATGGGGAGAAACCAGAGCAGAAAAGCTGAAAATTCTAAAAATCAGAGAGTCTCTTCTCCTCCAGAGGAACACAGCTCCTTGCCAGCAACAGAACAAAGCTGGACGATCGGTAATAACAAAATCCTCTGAGCTGAAGGAGGATGTTCGAACCCATTGCAAAGAAGCTAAAAACCTTGAAAAAAGATTCGATGAATGGCTAACTAGAATAAACAGCTTAGAGAAGACCTTAAATGACCTGATGGAGCTGAAAACCATGGCATGAGAATTATGTGATGGATCCACAAGCTTCAGTAGCTGATTCAATCAACTGGAAGAAAGGGTATCAGTGATTGAAGACCAAATGAATGAAATGAACTGAGAAGAGAAGTTTAGAGAAAAAAGAGTAAAAAGAAATGAACAAAGCCTGCAAGAAATATGGGACTATGTGAAAAGACAAAATCTACGTCTGATTGGTGTACCTGAAAGTGACAGGGAGAATGGAACCAAGTTGGAAAACACTCTTCAGGAGATTATCCAGGAGAACTTCCCCAATCTAGCAAGGCAGGCCAACATTCAAATTCAGGAAATACAGAGAATGCCACAAAGATACTCCTCGAGAAGAGCAACTCCAAGACACATAATTGTCAGATTCACCAAAGTAGAAATGAAGGAAAAAATGTTAAGGGCAGTCAGAGAGAAAGGTCAGGTTACCCACAAAGGGAAGTCCATCAGACTAACAGTGGATTTCTCAGCAGAAACTCTATAAGCCAAAAGAGAGTGGGGGCCAATATTCAACATTCTTAAAGAAAATAATTTTCAACACAGAATTTCATATCCAGCCAAACTAAGCTTCAAAAGCAAAGGAGAAATAAAATCCCTTACAGACAAGCAAATGCTGAGAGATTATGTCACCACCCAGCCTGCCTTACAAGAGCTCCTGAAGGAAGCACTAAACATGGAAAGGAACAACCAGTACCAGCCACTGCAAAAGCATGCCAAATTGTAAAGACCATCGATGCTAGGAAGAAACTGCATCAACTAATGAGCAAAATAACTAGCTAACATCATAATGACAGGATCAAATTCACACATAACAATATTAACCTTAAATGTAAATGGGCTAAATGCTCCAATTAAAAGACACAGACTGGCAAATTGGATAAAGAGTCAAGACCCATCAGTGTGCTGTATTCAGGAGACCTATCTCGTGTGCAGAGAGACACATAGCCTCAAAATAAAGGGATGGAGGAAGATCTAACAAGCAAATGGAAAACAAAAAAAAGCAGGGGTGGCAATCCTAGTCTCTGATAAAACAGACTCTAAACCAACAAAGATCAAAAGAGACAAAGAAGGCCATTACATAATGGTAAAGGGATCAATTCAACAAAAAGAGCTAACTGTCCTAAACATATATGCACCCAATACAGGAGCACCCAGATTCATAAAGCAAGTCCTTAGAGACCTACAAAGAGACTTAGACTCCCACACAATAATAATGGGAGACTTTAACACCCCATTGTCAATGTTAGACAGATCAACGTGACAGAAAGTTAACAAGGATATCCAGGAATTGAACTCAGCTCTGCACCAAGCAGACCTAATAGACATCTACAGAATTCTCCACTCTAAATCAACAGAATATACACTCTTCTCAGCACCACATCGCACTTATTCCAAAATTGACCACATAGTTGGAAGTAAAGCACTCCCCAGCAAATGTAAAAAACAGAAATTATAACAAACTGTCTCTCATACCACAGGGCAATCAAACTAGAACACAGGATTAAGAAACTCACTCAAAACCGCTCAACTACATGGGAAACTGAACAACCTGCTCCTGAATGACTACTGGGTACATAACGAAATGAAGGCAGAAACAAAGATGTTCTTTGAAACCAATGAGAACAAAGACACAACATACCAAAATCTCTGGGACACATTTAAAGCAGTGTGTAGAGGGAAATTTATAGCACTAAATGCCCACAAGAGTAAGCAGGAAAGATCTAAAATTGACACCCTAACATCACAATTAAAAGAACTAGAGAAGCAAGAGCAAACACATTAAAAAGCCAGCAGAAGGAAATAAATAACTAAGATCAGAGCAGAACTGAAGGAGTCAGAGACACAAAAAACCCTTCAAAAAATCAATAAATCCAGGAGCTGGTTTTCTGGAAAGATCAACAAAACTGATAGATCACTAGCAAGACTAATAAAGAAGAAAAGAGAGAAGAATCAAATAGATGCAATAAAAAATGATAAAGAGGATATCACCACCAATCCCACAGAAATACAAACTACCATTAGAGAATACTATAAACTCCTCTGCAAATAAACTAGAAAATCTAGAAGAAATGGATAAATTCCTGGACACATACACCCTCCCAGGACTAAACCAGGCAGAATTTGAATCCCTGAATAGACCAATAACAGGCTCTGAAATTGAGGTGATAATTAATAGCCTACCAACCAAAAAAAGCCCAGGACCAACAGATTCACAGATGAATTCTACCAGAGGTACAAAGAGGAGCTGGTACCATTCCTTCTGAAACTATTCCAATCTATAGAAAAAGAGGGAATCCTCCCTAACTCCTTTTATGAGGCCAGCATCATCCTGATACCAAAGCCTGGCAAAGGCACAACAACAAAAGAGAATTTTAGACCAATATCCCTGATGAACATTGATGCAAAAATCCTCAGTAAAATATTGGCAAACCAAATCCAGCAGCACATCAAAAAGCTTATCCACCACGATCAAGTTGGCTTCATCCCTGGGATGCAAGGCTGGTTCAACATATGCAAATCAATAAACGTAATCCATCATATAAACAGAACCATATGATTATCTAAATAGATGCAGAAAAGGCTTTTGACATAATTCAGCAGCCCTTCGTGCTAAAAACTGTCAATAAGCTGGGTATTGATGGGATGTATCTCAAAATAATAAGAGCTATTTATGACAAACCCACAGCCAATATCATACTAAATGGGCAAAAACTGGAAGCATTCCCTTTGAAAACTGGCACAAGATAGGGAAGCCCTCTCTCACGACTCATATTCAACATAGTGTTGGAAATTCTGGCCAGGGCAGTCTGGCAAGAGAAAGAAATAAAGGATATTCAATTAGGAAAAGAGCAAGTCAAATTGACCCTGTTTGCAGATGACATGATTGTATATTTAGAAAACCCCATCGTCTCAGCCCAAAATCTCCTTAAGCTGATAAGCAACTTCAGCAAAATCTCAGGATACAAAATCAATGTGCAAAAATCACAAGCATTCGTATACATCAATAATAGACAAACAGAGAGCCAAATCAAGAGTGAACACTCATTCACAATTGCTTCAAAGAGAATAAAATACCTAGGAATCCAACTTACAAAGGATGTGAAGGACCTCTTCAAGGAGAGCTACAAACCTCTGCTCAATGAAATAAAAGAGGACACAAACAAATGGAAGAACATTCCATGCTCATGGATAGGAAGAATCAATATTGTGAAAATGGCCATACTGCCCAAGGTAATTTATAGATTCAATGCCATCCCCATCAAGCTCCCAATGACTTTCTTCACACAATTGGAAAAAACTACTTTAAAGTTCATATGGAACCCAAAAAGAGCCCATATTGCCAAGACAATCCTAAGCCAAAAGAACAAAGCTGGAGGCATCACGCTACCTGACTTCAAACTACACTACAAGGTTACAGTAACCAAAACAGCATGGTACTGGTACCAAAACAGAAATATAGACCAATGGAACAGAACAGAGCCCTCAGAAATATTACCACACATCTGCAACCACCTGATCTTTGACAAACCTGACAAAAACAAGCAACGGGGAAAGGATTCCCTATTTAATAAAAGGTGCTGGGAAAACTGGCTAGCCATATGTAGAAAGCTGAAACTGGATCCCTTCCTTACACCTTATACAAAAATTAATTCGAGATGGATTAAAGGCTTAAATGTTAGACCTAAAACTGTAAAAACCCTAGAAGAAAACCTAGGCAATACCATTCAGGACATAGGCATGGGCAAGGACTTCATGACTAAAACACAAAAAGCAATGGCAACAAAAGCCAAAATTGACAAATGGAATCTGCACAGGAAAAGAAACTACCGTCGGAGTGAACAGGCAACCTACAGAATGGGAGAAAATTTTTATAATCTACCCATCTGACAAAGGGCTAATATCCAGAATCTACAAAGAACTTAAACAAATTTACAAGAAAAAAATCAAACAACCCCATCAAAAAGTGGGCAAAGGTTATGAACAGACACTTCTCAAAAGAAGACATTTATGCAGCCAACAGACATGAAAAAGTGGTCATCATCTCACACCAGTTAGAATGGCAATCATTAAAAAGTCAGGAAACAACAGGTGCTGGAGAGGATGTGGAGAAATAGGAACACTTTTATGCTGTTGGTGGGACTGTAAACTAGTTCAACCATTGTGGAAGACAGTGTGGCGATACCTCAAGGATCTAAAACTAGAAATACCTTTTGACCCAGCCATCCCATTGCTTGGTATATACCCAAAGGATTATAAATCATGCTGCTATAAAGACACATGCACACGTATGCTTATTGTGGCACTACTCACAATAGCAAAGACTTGGAACCAAGCCAAATGTCCATCAATGATAGACTGGATTAATAAAATGTGGGCCAGGCACAGTGGCTCATGCCTGTAATCCCAGCACTTTGGGAGGTTAAGGGAGGCAGATCACAAGGTTAGGAGATCCAGACCATCCTGGCTAACATGGTGAAACCCCATCTCTACTAAAAATACAAAAAAAAAAATTAGCCAGGTGTGGTGGTGGGCAGCTGTAGTCCCAGCTACTGGGGAGGCTGAGGCAGGAGAATGATGTGAACCCGGGAGGCAGAGCTTGCCGTGATCTGAGATTGCGCCACTGCACTCCAGCCTGGGCAACTGAGCGAGACTCCGTCAAAAAAATAAAAATGAAAATGTGGCACATATACACCATGGAATATTATGCAGCCATAAAAAAGGATGAGTTCCTGTCCTTTGTAGGGACATGGATGAGGCTGGAACCATCATTATGAGCAAACTATCTCAAGGACAGAAAACCAACACTGCATGTTTTCACTCATAGGTGGGAATTGAACAATGAGAATACTTGGACACAGGGTGAGGAACATCACACACCAGGGCCTGTCGTGGGGTGGGGGGAGGGGGAAGGAGATATACCTAATGTAAATGACAATTTAATGGGTGCAGCACACCAACATGGCACATGTATACATATGTAACAAACCTGTACATTGTGCACATGTACCCTAGAACTTAAAGTATAATAAAAATAAATAAATAAATAAATGGAAAATAGTCAAAGCTTTTTGTGGGCAAATGTTCTGAGAAGTTCTTATTTTACTCTTTAGTTTTATCCTGATCTGTGTTCTCACTGGAAACACACCTACTTGGGAAATGTATTTTATTTCAATTAGGCATGAAATTAGCTCAATTACTCTTCAAAGAGAAAATCCTTTTATTTACAATCTTTGGCTTGCAGTGTTTTAGGTAGATGGAATATGTTGTGTATAGAGTGTGTTTTGTGTGTGTGTGTGTGTGTGACAGAGAGGAGAGAGAGGGAAAACGAAATGCAAACTATTTCATAATTATATTTCTGTCTTGAGCAAGTGAAATGATTCAAATCAGACTGTAGGACTGGATGCTGCTTAACTGTGATTTTCCTGTTCAGTATATTTCACATGATGGCTGATGTCTTACCTGTTGGATATGAGCAAATAAGGCAGGCTTTGTAAAAACTTGCCAACTGGCAGTTTGACCAGACTTCATTAATTGATTTAATGGGCCACAAATTATATAAACCCAGGAACATATCCCCTGGATTTGCTGTAAAACCTGTCATATTCATTCGGTTGATACATTTTAATACTTAAGGTGAACCATAAAACTACTCAGAAGTGACCAAAATACCATTTTATTCTAAAAATATTCAGTTGGTGATGTCAAACACACGTGAGCTACTTATTTTTCTTTTATGTTAATTAAAAATATATAAATAGGTTTCTCATGCAGAGCTTAGAAGTTGCCAATGTGGAAGGAAAATACATCTTGCGACTCTCAAATCACTAGGCTAAAGGGAAAAGTCAAGCTGGGAACTGCTTAGGGCCAACCTGCCCCCCATTCTATTCAAAGTCACCCCTCTACTCAATGAGATAAATGCATATCTGATCGCCTTATTTGAAGAGGCTCATCAGAAACTCAAAAGAATATAACCATTTGCCTCTTATCTACCTATGACCTGGAAGTCCCCTCTCTGCTTCGAGTCTTCCCTCTTTTGCTTCCAGTTGTCCCACCTTTCCAGACTAAACCAAAGTTCATTGTGCATATGTTGATTGACGTCTCATGTCTCCCTAGAATGTGTGAAAACAAACTGTGCTCTGAATCCCTTGGGCACATATCGTCAGGACTCCCTGGGGCTGTGTCACAGGCACCCATCTTCAACCTTGGCAAAATAAACTTTCAAAATTAACTGAGACCAGTCTCAGATTATCAGGGTTCACACCACTGTAACCTAACGACTAAAAACCTAACAGAAAAATCAATAACTCTTCTTAAATCCGTCAAAGAGGTGAGCTCACAGGAAAAGCCACGGTCCCAAAACTTGGAGAGACAGATAGGTGCATACAGAGAATCACAACCTACCAGAGCAGAAAACCTGTAAGCAGAAACCTGCACAGGAACCACTGCCAGAAGAGGGAAGCCTAACCTGCAATTAACAAATTATGAGAGGCTCAGAATGGACAAGGCTGAGAGTGAACATTGCCAGGGAGACTCGAGCATAAGGAAGTCCCTACACTTTTGTGAGCTTTACCTCTAGGAGCTTTCTCAGGGAGACAGAGCAATTATGGAAGAAAAATCCCCTCATGAATTCTGAAGCAGAAGGGAAAAAGGAACCGTTCTGAGATACAGCATAGCATTCTGCTCTTCTTTACAAGGTCTGCCTCAGGAAAAACTAGGTAACCAGAGCCTATCCTGCTGGGGTTTTTTCATCAGAGGCTACCTGACCTGGAGGAAGAGAAATAACCAGGCCAGCTCCTTTAGTTCACCCTGTCCTTCCTAAGAAGGCAAAGACTGAGAAGCACCGGTGAAGCACACAGTCCAGGGGCACAAGCTCACCAAAAAGCTGACACCTAATCACAAAACCACAGAACACTTCTGATGCAGTTTGGCTCTGTGTCCACACTCACATCTCATGTCAAATTGTCATCCCCACATGTCAGGGGTGAGACCTAGTGGGAGGTAATTGGATCATGGGGGAAGATTTCTTCATGCTTTTATCATGATAGTGAGTGAATTCTCACAAGAGCTGATAGTTTAAAGATGTGGCAGTTTCTCTCTCTCTCTCTCTCTCTTTCTCTCTCTTGCCACCATGTAAGATGTGCCTTGCTTCCCCTTTGCCTGCTGCCGTGATTGTAAGTTTCCTGAGGCCTTCCCAGCCATGCAGAACTGTGATTCAATTAAATCCCCCCACCCCCCCTTTTTTTTTAAATTACTCAGTCTCAGGTAGTTGTTTATAGCAGTGTGAAAACAGACTAATACAGAAAATTGGTGCCAGGAGAGTGGGGCATGACTATAAATGTACATGAAAATGCAGAAGTGACTTTGGAACTGGGTAACAGGCAAAAGTTGGAACAGTTTGGAGGGCTCAGAAGAAGACATGAAGATGTGGGAAAGTTTGGAGCTTCCTAGAGACTTGTTGAATGGTTTTGACCAAAATGCTGATGGTGATATGGACAGTAAACTATAGGCTGAGGAACTTGTTGAGAACTGGAGTCAGGTCACTCTTGCTATGCCTTAGCAAAGAGACTGGTGGCATTTTGTCCTTGCCCTAAAGATCTGTGAAACTTTGACCTCTAGAGAGATGATTTAGGGTACCTGGCAGAAGAAACGTCTAAGTGGTAAAGTGTTCAAGAGGAAAGTGAGCACAAAAATTTGGAAAAGTTGCAGCTTGACAATGGACAGAAAAGAAAAACTCATTTTCTGAGGAGAAATTCAAGCCCAATGCAGAAATTTACATAAGTAATGAGGAGCCGAATGTTAATCACCAAGACAATGAGGAAAATGTATCCAGCGCACGTCAGAGTCCTTCACAGCAGCTTCTCCCATCACAAGCCCAGAGGCCTAGGAGGGGAAAATTGTTTTGTGGGCTGGGCCCAGGGGCGCCCTGCTCTGTGCAGCCTCAGGACATGGTGCCCTGCATCCCAGGTAATTCAGCTTCAGCCATGGCTAAAAGGGGCCAATGCACAGCTCAGGCCATTGCTTCAGAGGGTGTAAGATCCAAGCCTTGGTGGCTTACTGGTGATATTGGCCCTGTGGGTGCAGAGAAGGCAAGACTTGAAGTTTGGGAACCTCTGCCTAGATTTCAGAGGATGTATGGAAACACCTGGATACCCAGGCAGGGGCAGAGCCCTCATGGAGAACCTCTGCTAGGGCAATGTGGAAGGAAAATGTGGGGTCATAGCTCCCACACAGAATTCCTAGTTGGGGCACTGCCTAGTGGAGCTGTGAGAAGAGGGCCACTGTCCTCCAGACCCCAGAATGGTAGTTCCACCAATAGTTTTCACTGTGCACCTGGAAAAACCACAGACACTCAATACCAGCCCAAGAAAGCAGCCAAGGATGGAGCTGCATCCTGCAAGACCATTGGGGTACAGTTACCCAGGGCCATGGGAGCTCACCTCTTGCATCAGCGTGACCTGAGTGTGAGACATGGAGTCAAAGGAGATCATTTTGGAACTTTAAGGTTTAATAACTGCCCCATTGGATTTCAGACTTGCATGGGGCCTGTAACCCCTTTGTTTTGGCCAATTATTCCCATTTGCAATAGGTGTATTTACCCAATGACTATACCTCCATTGTCTCCAGGAAGTAACTTTTGCTTTTGATTTTACAGTCTCATAGGCAAAAGGGACTTGCTTTGTCTCAGATGAGACTTTGGAGTTGAACTTTTGGGTTAAGACTGTAATGAGTTAAGACTTTAGGCCGGGCACGGTGGCTCATTTCTGTAATCCCAGCACTTTGGGAGGCTGAGGCAGGTGGATCACAAGGTCAGGAGTTTGAGACCAGCCTGGCCAACATGGTGAAACTCCATCTCTACTAAAAACACAAAAATTAGCCGGGTGTAGTGGTGGGTGCCTGTAATCCCAGCTACTCAGGAGGGTGAGGCAGGAGAATCACTTGAAACTGGAAGGCGGAGGTTGCAGTGAGCCAAGATCGCATCACTGCACTCTAGCCTCAGTAACAAGAGTGAAACTCCATCTCAAAAAAAGGACTTTAGGGGACTTTGGAAGGGCATGATTGTGTTAGGAAAAGTGAAGACATGAGAGGGGAGGGGCCAGGCACAGAATGATATGGTTTGGCTTTGTGTCCCCACCCAAATCTCACCTTGAAGTGTAATCCCCATAATTCCCACGTGTCAAGGGAGGGACCAGCTGGCAGTAATCAGGTCATGAGAGTGGATCTCCTATGCTATTCTCCTGTTAGTGAGTTCTCATGAGATCTGATGGTTTTATAAGCATCTGGCATTTTCCCTGCTTTCACTCACTCCATCCTGCTGCCCTATGAAGAAGGTGTCTGCTTCTTCTTTGCCTTCTGCCATGATTGTAAGTTTCCTGAGGCCTCCCCAGCAACGTGGAACTGTGAGTCATTTAAACCTCTTTTCTCTCTAAATTACCCAGTTTCGGGTATTTCTTCATAGCAGTGTGTGAATGGACTAATACAAAATGGGTGCATTTATCCAATGCCTGTACCCCCACTGTATCTTGGAAGTAACTAACTTGTTTTTGATTTTACAGGCTCCTAAGCAGGAGGGACTTGCCTGTCTCAGATGAGACTTTAGACTGGAATTTTGGTCTAATGCTGGAATGAATTAAAACTTTGGGGTACTGTTGAGAAGGTATAATTGTATTTTGCAATGTAAGAAGGACATGTGATTTGAGAGGGGCAAGGGGCAGAATGATATGGTTTGGCTCTGTGTACCCACCCAAATCTCATGTCGAATTGTAATTGCTATGCTTCAGGGGAGGGACCTGGTGGGAAGTGATTGGATTGTGTGGTGGATTTCCCCATGCTGCTCTTGTGATAGTGAGTAAGTTCTCACAAGATTTGATGGTTTAGAATATGGCACTTACCACCTCCACCTCCTGCTTCCGCTTTGCCTACTGCCATGACTGTAAGTTTCTGAGGCCTTCCCAACCATGAGGAAATGTGAGCCAAATAAACCTCTTTTCTTTATAAATGACCCGGTCTCAGGTAGTTCTTTACAGCAGTGTGAAAATAGACTAATACAAAACTTCCCATCCATACCCCTTACGAGCACACCACTAAAGTCCTTTTTACCCCAAGTCCTTTCAAATGGTGCATTAAGTCCAACTTTCAATAAAAAATAATAAAATCCAAACTAAAAGGAAACAAATAAAATTAGAAGAGTCTGCAAAAGCACCAGAACTAATGTCAGATATGGTAGGAATGTTGGTCTAATCAGAAGTGAAATTTTAAAAAGTTGTGGTTAATATGCCATGGGCTTTAATGGGAAAAGTAGACAACATAAAAAGAAGATGGATAATGTAAGCAAAAAGATGAATATTCTAAAATAAAAGCTTAAAAATCTTAGAAAGCAAAAGCAGAATAACATAAATGAAAAATGTGTTTCATTGCCTCATTAGCTGACTACTCACAGCTAAGGAAAAAAATCTCTCAGCATGAAGATATGACAATAGAAATTTCCAAAAAAGTAAAGTAAAAAAGAAAGACTGGATAAAACAGGACAGAATACCCAAGAACTGTGGAACAACTACAAGTGGTATAATGCATGTATAATGGGCATAGTAGGAGAAGAAAAATGAACAGAAGACATATTTGAAAAAATAACAATTGAGAATTTCTCTAAATTAAGGTTAGACACTAAATACAATAACAAAACAAAACAAAAACAAAAACTATCTAGTTATATCATTTTTATTCTACAAATATCAGTGATTAAAAAAATTGGAAAAAGACATGTCGTAGAGAGAACACTGTCTTTAAAGGAGCAAAGATAAAAATTTCATACAACTAAGTAGCCACTATGCAAAAAGAAGAGAGTAGAGTGAAAGTCTTAAAGTATTCAGAGACAAAAATAAACAAACCATACTTTGTACACTGTGAAATTATCCTTCAAGAGTGAAAGAGAAATAGACATTCCCAGAAAAACAATAATTGACAAAATTTCTTGTCGGTAGACCTGCTTTGCAAGAAATGTAAAAAAAGGTCTCAAAACAGAAGAAAAACTGTATAGATTATAAACACAGATCTACAGAAAGAAAGAACACTGACAAAAGAATAAGCGAAGGTAAACAAAGACTTTTATTTTTCTTATACTTAATTGATCTAACATGTAACAGTTTGTTCAAAATAATAGTAGCAAAAATGTATTCACTTCTGTATACTTATAAATATATAGTATTTGAATATAAATAGATGTTTATGTAAGCATGTGTATCAATAAAATAATTGACAGCACTAATACAAGAAATGGGAAAAAGGTATTAGGAATATTTTAAATCACAAGATACTTTTATTCCTGTGAAGATGTACATTGCTATTCGAAAGAAGACTGTGATAGATTTACATGTATATTACAAATTCTAGGACAACTACTGAAAAAAGGGGAAAAAGGAAGTACCATTCATATGCTGAGAAAGGGAAAACATTGAATCAAAAAATGTTCATTAGAGACACAAAAGGCAGAATGTAGAAGATGAAGATAAGTACAAAGAACAAGAGCAACAAAAAGCAGTAACAAATGTGGTAGATATTAATCCAAATATATCAATAACCACTCCAAATGTCAATGTTCTAAATATACCAATTAAAAGATAGAGACTATCGGCCAGGCATGGTGGGGCATGCCTGTAATCCCAGCAACTCGGGAGGCTGAGGCAGGAGAATCGCTGGAACCGGGGAGGTGGAGGTTGCAGTGAGCCGACATCGCGCCATTGCACTCCAGCCTGGGCAGCAAAAGGGAAACTCCCTCTCAAAAAAAAAAAAAAAAAAGAGAGAGTGAGGTCATCAGAGTGGATCAAAAAACCAAATCCAATTATATGTTGTCTATAGAAAACCACTTTAAATATATGAGCACAAATAGATTAAAAATAAATGGATGAAAAAAAGGTATACCATGCTAACCGATAACAATAAACAAAAGAAAGCAGGAGTCACTATATTAATTTCAGACAGTGCAGACCTCAGACCAAAGAAAAATATAACAGATCAAAGGGGCATTGCATAATGATGAAGGGGCTTGTGGCCGGGCGCGGTGGCTCACGCCTGTAATCCCAACACTTTGGGAGGCCGAGGCGGGCGGATCACGAGGTCAGGATATCAAGACCATCCTGGATAACACGGTGAAACCCCGTCTCTACTAAAACAAAAAATTAGCCTGGCGTGGTGGCGGGCGCCTGCAGTCCCAGCTACTCGGCAGGCTGAAGCAGGAGAATGGTGTGAACCCGGGAGGCGGAGGTTGCAGTGAGCCTCGATCCCGCCACTGCACTCCAGCCTGGGCGACAGAGCGAGACTCCGTCCCCCCGAAAAAAATAAATAAATAAATAAAAAACAATGAAGGGGCTTGTAAACCAAAAGGTATCTGAGACAGGTCTCCATTGAGAGGTTTATTTTCTCAGGGTTGTGATGTGCCCGAGAAAAAGAGACACCAGCCACAGCAGGACCTGTGGCCTGTACTTTTTCCAAAGAAGACTTTGAGGCCATCAGTATTTAAAGGGGAAAAGTGGGCAGTGGGAAGGTAGATAAAAGCGGCAAGGTTTTGCATTCTTTTGCAGCTCGGATCAGTGAAAGGAGGGGTTGGAAGCATTTGTCTTTTGCTCAATGAATCTTCATTTTTACATAAGATAAAATAAACACAGAGTAGAGGACGCAAATATACATTTGTCTCAGGTGAGGGGAGGTTTGACTTCTGTTTCTGTCTTTGTCTCATACCTATAAAAAATAAGCTGTTGCTTTACATTGACAGTGTGAAATTCAACAGATCTCTGTCTGGACAAATATCAGACATAGGGTCTGATATTGGAATAAAGATAGTGGGACCCACAGGGAATTTTCTTGTGAGCAAATTGTGAGGAAGGCCCCTGGGGAAGTATGTGGCCTTCTATCTTTACAGCTATCTGTTTAATAACAAAATGGGGAGCAGTTTTGCATGACTCAGCTTCCAAGCTTAACGTTGCCCTTGGCATAGGGAGTTTGGGGTCTCGAGATTTTATTTTGCTTTTATAAAGTAATACTCCAAGGCCAGGCACAGCGGCTCACGCTTGTAGTCCCAGCACTTTGGGAGGCTGAGGTGGGTGGATCACTTGAGGTCAGGAGTTAGAGACTAGCCTGGCCAACATGGTGAAACCCTATCTCTATTAAAAATACAAAAATTAGCCAGGTGTGGTGGCATGCACCTGTAGTCCCAGCTATTTGGGAGGCCGAGGCAGGAGAGTAGCGTGAACCCAGGAGGCAGAGGGTGCAATGAGCCGAGATCATGCCACTGGACTCCAGCTTGGGAGACAGAGTGAGAATCCTTCTCAAAAAAGAAACTTAATACTCCAAGAAGATATAACATTCTTTAATGTGTATTCATCTAACAACAGATTGTCAAAATGTGTGGGGCAAAAACTGATGGAACTGCAAGGAAAAATAAATGAATCCACTGATTTAGTTGGGTATTTTATCACCCCTTAATCAGAAACAGACAGATTTAGTCAGCAGATAACTAGTAAGGATATAGATGAACTCAATATACCATTAATCAACTGGATATAACAAACATATAGGTTACTTTATCCAAGAACAGAAGAATACACGTTTTTATTAATTTTATATGGAACTTTCACCAAGATAGACCATGTTCTGCTCCTGAAAACACACCTTAAAATTTTTTAAAAATAAAAATCATACAATGTCTCCTCACAGACCAGAGTGAAATTAAACTAGAAATGAATAACAAAAAGATAACTAGAAAATCTCAACTTACTTGGGGATTAATCAAAGACTTCTCAGTAGCCCATACATCAAAGAAGAAATCTGAAGAAAATTAAAATATTCAGAGCTAAATGAAAATACAACTTATCAAAAGTTGTGAGATACAGTAAAAGCATTGCTTAAAGAAAAAAAACTCTAAGCTTTGAAATCAAATATTAGAAAAAAATAAAGATCTAAAATCAATAATCTAAGTTTTCACCTTAGGAAACCAGAAAAAGAAGACCAAGCAAAATGCAAAGTAAGCTGAAGAAAAATAATACAAATTAGAGCAGAAATCAATAAAATAAAAAAACAAGAAAATCAATTTTTTATAAATCAACAAAATTAAAATCTGGTTATTTGAAAAGATCAAGAAAATTAATAAACCTCCTGTCAGGTTTATGAGGCAATAAAAGCCTTGCTCAGAGAAGGCTTTTTTAGACTTAGAAAAAAAGAAGACCCAAATTACTCATGTCAGAATAAAAGAGGAAGATTGCTACAGATCCCATGGACGTTAAAAAGATACTAAAAAATATTACGAACAACTTTATGCCCACAAATTTAGTAACTTAGGTGAAATGGGACAATGTTTTGAAGGATACGATTTACTGGTTTTCACACAAGACCAGGTAAACACTGTGAGTCTGCCTATTAAAGAAATCAAATTAATAATTAATATCCTTTAAAACAGAAAGCACCAGCCCCAGATGGGCCACTGGTAAACTTTACCAAATGTTTAAGGAAGAAATGATACCTATTTTCTACAATCTCTACCAAAAAATAGAAGCAGAAGGAATATGCCCAACTTATTTTATGGTACGAGTATTACCCTAACAAGACCAGATAAAGGCATTGCAAGAAAAGAAACCTATAGACACATATTGCTTGTGAACAAAATAGACAAATGCAAAAACCCTCACAAAATATTAGCAAATTAAATCCAACAGTATATAAAAAGAATTATTACCATTATTAAATGGGATTTATCCCTGGTTCAACATTCAGAAATCAATTAATGTAATCCATCACATCAACAAGCTACAGAAGAAAAATCACATGATATCAATAGATACAGAGAAAGCATTTGAAAATATTCCAATACCCATTCATGATAAAAATTCTCAGCAAATTGAAAACAGAGGGGAATTTTACATATTTTATAAAGAACATCTACAAAAAACCTGTAGATCACATCATACTTAATGGTGAAAAACTTGAAGCTTTCCTGCTAAGCTCAGACAGGACAAAGGTGTTTCTTCTCAACACTGTTTTTCAACATCATACTGGAAGTCCTAGCTATTGCAATAAGTTGCAAAATAAGTAAAAATAATATAGTATAGGAATGGAGAAATAAAACCCTTTGTTCCTAGATGATGATTGTCTATGTAGAAATTTGGAAAAAAATTGCCAGAAAAAAAAAATCCTGTAACTAATAAGCGATTAGAGTAAGTTTGTAAGATACAAGTTTAATCTGGAAAAGTTTATTTCCTAAATACCAGCAATAAACAAGTGGAATTAGAAATCAAAAACATATTACCCTTTGTACTACCGTCCAAAAATAAAATAGGCATCAATCTAGCAAAAAAATACCCCGCACAATTTATATGAGGAAATCTACAAAATTTTGATAAAAGACATAAAAGAAGAACTAAATAAATGAAGACATAGTTTATGTTTATGGTGAGAAGACCCAATATAGTCAAGATGTCAGTTCTTCTCAACTTGGATTCAATGCCATCCCAATCAAAATCCTAGTAAGTTATTTTACGGATATTTGCAAACTGATTCTTAAATTTATGTGGACAGAGAAAAGACCCAAAATAGTCAACTCAATATCAAAGGAGAAGAAAGAAGCTGGAGGACTGACACCACCAAAATTCAAGACTAACTATAAAGCTACAGTAATGAAGACAGTGTGTCACTGGAGAAAGAAAAAAACGTATAGATCAAAAGAACAGAAAAGAGAGCATATAAATAGACCCACATAAATACTCAACTGTCTTTGACAAAGGAGCAAAAATGGTGCAATGGAGCAAAGTCTTTCAAACAAATGATAACAACTGGACATCAACATTTTGCATCACGTGTAAAAATGTGAATCTAAATATAGACCTGTCACGCTTCTCAAAGTTAACTCAACATGAATCACAGACTTTAATGTAAAATGCAAATTATAAAACTCCTAGAAGATAATGAGAAGAAAACTTAGATGAACCTGGGTATGGCGATGACTTTTAAATACAACACTGAAGGCATGATTTATGAAAGAAACAAATGACACACTGGACTTCATTCAAAAGAAAAAAAAAGGTGTGCTTTGTAAAAGACAATGTCGAGAGAATGAGAAGATAAGCAACATACTGGGAGAAAAACACCGGATAAAGGATTGTTATCCAACCTATACAAAGAACCCTTAAAGCTCCACAATAAGAAAATGAACAACTCAATTAAAAAAGAAGCAAAAAACCCAAATACATAACTCATAGACGAAGACATACAGAAGGCAAGTAAGCATATAAAAATCGTTCTGTATCATATGTCACTAGGGAACTTCAAATTTGAACCATGAGATATCAATATATAGTGCACTGTTAGAAGAGCCAAAATTCAAAACACTGACAACACCAAATGCTCACAAGGATGTGAAGCAATGGGGATTTTCATTCATTGCTGGTGGCAATGGAAGATGGTACAGCTGCTTTGGAAGGCAGCTTGGCAATTTCTTATGAAACTAAATATGCTTTTATCACATGGTCCAGCAACTGTGCCCTTTGGTATTTACTCAAATGCCTTGAAAATTTATGTCCACACAGGAACCTGCACAAAGATGTTTATAGCAGTTTTACTCATAATTGTGCCAAAACTTGGAAGCAACCAAGATGTCCTTAGCTTACTGTAACTTCTATGTTTTATAAACTTTTTTGTTAGGCTAATTAATTAACTCATTTTAGAGACAGGATCTCACTCTGTTGCCCAGGTATGATTATAGCTCACTGCAACCTTGAACTTCTGGGCTCAAGTGATCCTCCTTCCTGAGTACCTGGGACTACAGGCACATGACAGCGTGCCTCACCAATTTTTAAACTTTTTATAGAGACGGGATCTTGCTTTGTTGCCTAGACTGTTCCTGAGCTCCTCGCTTCAACTAATCCTCCTGTATTAGCCTTGCAAAGTTCTGGGATTACAGGCATTAACTATTTCTCCCGGCCTCTACTTAAAAACTTCTTAGAAACTTTTTGATCCTTTGGTAGTAACATTACCTTACAACATAAACACATTGTACAGCTGTACAAAAATATATTTATTTATATTCTTATTCTCAAAACTTTTATTTCCATTTCTAAAATTATTCATTTACTTTTAACACTTTTTGTTAAAAACTAAGACACAAACATACATATTGGCCTAGGCTTACACAGGGTCAGGATCATTAATATCATTCTGTTTCACCTCCACATCTTGTCCCTCTGGAAGGTCTTCAAGAGCAATAACATGCATGGAGATGTCTCCTACGACATCGATACCGTCTTCTCAGGTACCTCCTGACTGACCTGCCTGAGGTTGTTGACAGTTACCTTTTTTATAAACTATCACAAGGACAAAAAACCAAACACCGCATGTTCTCACTCATAGGTGGGAATTGAACAATGAGAACACATGGACACAGGAAGGGGAACATCACACTCCGGGGCCTGTTGTGGGGTGGGGGGAGGGGGGAGGGATAGCATTAGGAGATATACCTAAATGTTAAATGACAAATGGGTGCAGCACACCCACATGGCACATGTATACATATGTAACAAACCTGCAATAATAATAAAAAAATTAAAAAAAAATAGAAGTAGTATACTCTAAATATCTATGAAGAGTATAGTAAATACATAAACCAGCAACATAGTTGTTTATTATTATTATCAAGTATTATGTACTATACTTAATCATATGTGCTATACTTTTACTTGACTGCAAGTGCTATAGGTTTGTTTACACCAGAATCAACATAAACATGTGAGTAGTGCGTTACACTATGACATTATGAGGGCTATGACATCATGAGGGCTATGACATCACTAGATGATTGATAGGAAGTTTTCAGGTCCATTATAATCTTATGGGACCGCCATCATACATGCAATCTATTGTTGACCAAAACGTTGTTAGGTGGCACCTGACTGTATTTGTATACAAAGTCTGACTAACCATCCACATTAAAAATAATTTCAGGGCTGGGCACAGTGACTCACACCTATAATTCCAGCACTTTGGGAGGCAAAAGTGGGAGGATCACCTGACATCAGGAGTTCGAGACCAGCCTGGCCAACATGGCGAAACCCCATCTCTACTAAAAATACAAAAATTAGTCTGGCATGGTGTCAGGCGCCTATAATCCCATCTACTCAGGAGGCTGAGGCAGGAGAATCACTTGAACCTGGGAGGTGGAGGTTGCAGTGAGCCGAGATCGCGCCATTGCACTCCAGCCTGTGCGACAATAGTGAAACTCCGTCTCAAAATAATAATAACAATTATTATTATAATAATAAATAATTTCAGAAAAAAATGATACATATTATCCAAGTTGTGTGATGAAGGATAATATTAACAGTGGAAAGTCATGTTGACAGTGTACCCTGGATATGATGTGATAAAAATGGCACGTTACCACTGTGGTCTTTCTCCCCAAAACTCATAACCTCAGTCCCTTTATGTGAAAAATACCAGACAAATCATAATTAATGGATATTCTGACTCATACTACTCAAACCCTCAAGGTCATCAAAAACAAGGCAAGTCTGAGAAACTGTCAAGGCTAAGGAAACGTGACAATTAAATGTACTGCGGTGTCTAGGATGGGAGCCTGGAATAGAAAGAGGACACTGGGTAAAGGCTAAGAAAATCTAAGTAGTGTGGCCTTTCACTAATAATAGTGTATCATGATCAGCTCAGTAATTATGCCCTATGTACCATATTAACAGAAAATGTTAATAATAGGGGAAATTGGATGCGGGACATATGGAAATCCTCTGTGCTATCTTCTCAATTTTTCTGTAAATATGAAACTACTCATATTCTAAAATGAAATTTTATTTAATAGCAGATATTATCAACTGAACATAATTATTTTTTATTTTTATATAATACTTTCTGATGCTTTCACTGAACGGAAGTAATTATAAAAGACTAGGAACATCAAACCTGACACACAAAACTAGAACAAATCTCTCTTATCAGAATTCTCTCTGAAGGGAACACTACAATTTGCATTAAGTACAAATGCATTTTCTTAAGTGTCTCCCAGGTAATGGCGTTTATGTAATATGTAAAATAGCAAGATGCCTTCTTCTGATCTTTTCTTTACCAGATATGTAGGGGTATCACCTTGGTTATGCTTCTTTCATTCTAGGCCTTGCTCTCCTCATTCAGAAATAAGGAATTTTCTAAAATATGTCTACATCCTTCCCCCTAGTTTAAACATTTTATGATTTAATAATATTATTTCCTTACTTTAGTCCATTTATTCCTCTAGTTGATGTTTTAATATATGAAACTACGAAAAGTTGACCAAGAGGTGCATAATACTAATCACCAAACAGAATTAACTTTTTGGTAACAGGGTTAGGTTGTTTCAGAGAAGAGATATTAAAAAGTTTCTATGTTACACATGCCATTCTGTAAACATGGTATGATTGTATTAATCCTCTGCAAAAACAGGAAAAGGCATGCATGGTAGGAAATGTTCCCCTGAGTATTTTTGCTATTGTCGATAGTTTCCCTTTAGTTGTATCCCAAAAAGTAGAGAGAGAAACAAACTCTCGTGAACCATCACTTAGCTTCATCATCTATCAATATTTTGCCATATTTCATTTGTCCCACCCACTTTAAAAATTATTTTCCCCTGTATCATTTAAAACAAGTTAAATGCTTAATTATTTCTCATTAATTATTAACTTTCACAATAAATAACTCATTTTATGCAATTGGTAAGGCGTTTGATGACATTTGTTTTATTTATTCCTTTCCTCTTTATCTTTTTACTTCTTTTTTCTTTATTTTTATTTTTTTCTGATACATAGTCTTATTCTGTCACCCAGGCTGGAGTGCAGTGGTGCAATCTTGGCACACTGCAACCTCCACCTCCCAGGTTCAAGTGATTCTCCCACATCAGCCTCCTGAATAGCTGGGATTACAGGTGTGCACCACCACGCCCAGCTAATTTTTGTATTTTTAGAAGAAATGGGGTTTCACCATTTTGGCAGGCTGGTTTTGAACTCCTGACCTCAAACTGTTGTTTTCCTTAACCTGCCTCGGTCTCCCAAAGTGCTGAGATTACAGGTGTGAGCCACCGTGCCCAGCCCTTTACTTTCTTTGAAAATCTTATTCTGTACACAAAATACGTTTCAATAAATTGTTGTCATTATTATTATTAGTGTTTAGTTATTTTTTGGTAGTTTGTGGTTTGGTCTTTAATAGGTTTCTCAAAAGAGTTAACGAAAACATAATCTATGAACCTTGCATGTTCATATATATTTGTCTGAGTCATTGTAACTGATGGTCAGTTTTGTTGTGTACAAAATTCTTGGCTCCCGATTCTTTCCTAGAATCTCTTAAAATTGTACTATGTCATCTTCTGCTATAAAGCATTGCTGTGAAAAAACTATGCCAATTTGACTTTCGTTCTAAGTGACTCAGCTTTTTGTTCAAATGCCCAAATATATCTTATCTTAAAAACGAATAGTTTTTCTAAGATATATCTCAAAATGGACAAGGCTGAGTTAAACATCATAGGTAAACAATTTTTTCATTCAATCTTTAGACCTACGTACATATCCTTTTATGTTTTAGAAAACTTTCTGGCTTAAAGTTTTAAGAATTTGTTGGTTTATATTTAGGGACTCTTCCCAGTGACTTTAAATCTGTGTATGTTTTAACTCCTTTGCTTTTTCTGTATGTCCATCGCTGTCTTTCACATCCTTCTTTATGTCTAGTTTTATTATTTGACTCGTCTCTTTCTCTTCTCTATTTTCCTATTCTTGTTTGCATCTATTTGCTCTTGACTCCAACCACTATACTCTTGTTTTATAAATTTTTCTCTCGCCTTTTTTATTTCCGTTTTGTCACTGATTTTCTCGTAGCCACTTTTTGTTTCATTTCTTCTTTTTCAGTTGTTCTCATTCTGTCTTATGGTGATTTTTCATAGCTTTTTGTTTTGTTGTGTTTTCTGATATTTCCTTTGGCATATTTTGATACATTGGTGTACATGTTTTCTCTCTTGTGCAACCACCCTTTATTCGGTCTCTGTATGACCTGTTGGATTATTTTTTTTGATAATAAATATTTGTTATTAAAAAATTTGTTTAAAAATTTGCCTTTTTTTAATGTAATTTAATTTAAGTGCTGGGATGCATGTGCAGGATGTGCAGGTTTGTTACACAGGTAAATGTGTGCCATGGTGGTCCCATCACCTAAGCATTCAACCCCACATGCATTACCTATTTGTCCTGTTGCTCTCCCTCCCCCATCCCTCTTCTCCCAGAGGCCCCAGTGTGTGTTGTTCCCCTCCCTGTGTCCATGTATTCTCATTGTTCAGCTTCCACTTATAAGTGAGAACAGGCGGTGTTTGGTTTTCTGTTTGCTTGTATATATTTATGTGGCTTTAATAATTTTCCTGCTTGCTGCTCACCTGTGAATAATAGGGGCATGTGAGGGAGATTAGAAAGTGTCCTAGCGTAAAGGGTGGGGTGAGCAAGCACAGCCTTCCCAGCTACAAATTGGAAAGTTGCTCTTCTCTGACGATGTAACATATTAAACCCCATGGCCTTTGGTGTACTTATTTATCTCATTTGCAGGATCAAGCCTGATTCAGACACTCTTCTGGTCTCTAGCTCTGTAACTCCAGAACTCTACCAACATTGTCTTTTAAGGCAGAGCTTTCACCTTGAAATATTGTACTTTTCTGTTTCAGCATATTTTAGTTCTGCTGCGTCTGTGCCTCTTTTCTGCTTGGCATCTGACGTTTCTTCTGCCTGAAATTCTTCAACATTTCTGCCTTACTCAATTTAGATTCCATTTCAAGCAATTTTAAAAAATTACTTCCTGTTGCATTTCTGTCCTTCTAAAAGGACTTGTTGAGTATTTCCGAAATTTTTGAGGACTCAAGAAACTTTGGACTATTCCAATTTTGTTGTATATTCCAATCCTTGGCTCCTTGTGGTCCCACTTTGCTTACTGAAAGCCTGGAACTCATAAAACGTTCTCCCAGCCTTGCTGATTATTTGAGATTTGTTAACCTAGACTTTACTCAGCCTGAGATGTTCTTCTTTTAGGGATGAATTTCATTTTGCAATCTGGTTTCCTTTCTCCTCATTTTCTTTGCAACTGGGGTTGCATATCTGCTTATCACTCACAGGTCCTGTTGCTGTCTGTGTTTTCGTGACAACCATACTTTGATGCTTATGGGATTATTTATCTCTTACTTTACTGAAGATGTTACCAGCTAGATGTTACTTCTTCACTATTTTAATTGATTTGTCTATTTTGAGTGAATAAGAATACAATGAAAACTATATGTATGTTACTGTTAAATATTTGCTATTTAGTCAATAAGGATTTCAAATACTTCACACTAAAAAAAAATACAACTCAGAAGCTGAGGGGATGACACTGCGTGTAATGTTGTTATGACAGCCTTGCTGCTGTTACTCTTGCTTGAGTAAACTTTAGACAGGTTTCTTCCTAACTCTAGCCGCTGATCTCTTTTCTTAGAGTGTTAAGGAAGCTTGCAATTATACAATCTTTTTCTGCCCGTTTAAAATGTACATCTTCACCCAACGTCTTTCCAGTTTTACAATCCAGGAATCTTTTTCAAGGACCTGTTAGCCATTCTTGTAAAATGTAATCATCAAGGAAGACAGCCTGCCTTCCATTCTCTGCCTGAGGGTCAGAGTCCAACTCTAATACACACCAACTAGCAAACAGAGATGGCATGATCCCATCGGCCAACTTCCACTCTCATGTCTTTCAGGACATACCCCTTCCGTCACTCACCCCAGCACTTTTACTCTCATGGCTGTCATTTCAGCTTGGTTGAGCTTGATCTCTTTCCTCTGCTGCAATAGCTTTGAATAAAGTCTTTCTTGCCTGGTTAACTTACCCAGTGTAATTTGCCTTTGACAAAAAGACCCTTGACCGGTGTAAGAAGACTGACATGCAGAATTTTTGTCTCTGCTTGGCCCAAAAGTAATGTTTTTGCTTTCATGAATTTCCAGTTCATAAGGTCATTTTCAGAAGACTAGGGATAATGTTTTCTTAAATTTGGGAGCTTATATTTCATTTGCATAAAGACCCCAGCAAAGACCTTTAGTTTTCTCAGACTCTTAAGTACATACAAAGTCAGTGTGAATCATGCAGAATGAGAATGACAATGACACTGATGGATGATAACTTCATAGTTTTAGAAATGAAACATCTTAATGAGAATGAATTGAACTACATGGTAGGAAATAAACTGATTTAATTCTCTAAATTGATGTCCCCATGCCCAAGCAAGTCCTCCCATGTATGTCCCATATTCTTAATGTGTTAAAGGGATCAGCCAATGAGATGAATAATACTAAACACACACAAACACACACACACACACAAAGTTAAAAAGTGCATTTCTATCTTTTGGAAATCTTTCATGAATGACAAATCACTGGAGCACACCTGGCAGGCAGTTTTGTCTTGAATTTGTTTTCCAAGCCCCATTTTAACAAGGATAACTACCTTTACAGCTTTAGAGGAAGATATAATGTAATTGCTATTTTAATATTTAAAAAAAGTCAGAAGCTCCATTTCAGAGACAACTGCTAGGAAAGCAGGAAGTAAGCCATAGTGTCTGTCTTTTTTTTCCTACTTCTTTCCAAAACTTTCTCGGAGTAGCAACTTCCACCTTCCTCCCAATCTATATGTTTAGACAAGTGGTTGCTTTTCAATTGTGTATGAGTCTGTGTGATTCCAGCACCAATTTTGTGCAGCAGACAGAATTTCCCTAAATCTATTTGTGATCCACGGTCAAACGATTGTTTATTTTCTAACGGGAAAAATGAGGGTAATATAGCAAGCAGCCACTTTTATTTGAGGACTGTAATAAAAGAGACTCTGCAGACGGGCTTTTGCATCTCATTATCAAACGTTCTACTAAAGTACTTCTTTATAATGGAAAAAAGGAGTCCTTTCTCCTGAGATGATCTAAAGATCCATGCTGTTCATTAAAAGGGCTGAACAGAGAGGTCTCACATCTTTATTCAAAGCTGAGATTAGACAAGTCTTTAAAAAAATTATTAGAGCCCTCTTTGTTACCAATGCTACCTCGTTTCTTTAACCTCGCCCTCTGGCTGTGCGCAGAACCCTCCAGAAAAGCACATTCAATTCCCTTTACTGCAAATGAAGATGGACATGCTACTGTGCCACATTAATTTTAGCCAGTCGGGGGGCACAGACAATCTGGAAGTGTACACTGAGTTTATTTCTTTTCATTTCTAAAAGAAGCAAATCCATTAAAAACTACTTGACTGGGGCCCAGGAACACAAATTATACCAGTGGTAAAGAAAGAATTACTATGAGGTGTTGAGGCTAAAGATATTCTAATCCTGCCTGGTTGTGATAAGAACAAGGTGTCAGGTGACAGGATGGGTCAGGCCAAACTCATTGCTCTGAACAAAGTAATGCTGTTCCTTTTCAGTTCCCACAATGAGACATTTTCTTAATAAACAGTTGAAATTAACCAGGCATTTTCAGAATCAGCAGAAGATGAATAATCAAGCTCATTGTCACCCTTGTGAACCATTCTCTTTGGCCTTATCCTTTACGCTTAGAAAGACAGTCCATGCCCATGAATATAAAAGCAGCTGAAGATAACATATTTCATGTAATTACCATTGAAACTGCCAAAAGTCCCACCTGGGACAAGTTCTGAACCCACAAAAAGACTACAGTATTCACACGCTGCTGGCGGCAATGAGCGGAAGCTCTCCTAGTAAATTTAGAGAATGTCCAGGCTCCAGGTCCATGCATAATGAGAAAGTCTGGCCAGAAGCTGGCTTGGTTTTAATACTCTATGGTAATGTGGACACACATGAGGCAGGGGTCTGTCTTTCAAACTCTGCTGGGTCGTGAGCCTAGCGTAGGGGTAACGGCAGGCTCTAAATAGAGCCTGTTGAGGTCAAAGCCTCATTACCCCCTTAGTAACTGAACAAACAACTTATACTTTCTGTGAATCCGTTTCCTCATTTATGAAATGGGCATAGTAACAATTTGTGCCTCACAAGGCTGTGGAGGTGACATGAGTTACTAAATATTTAGCAGTTAGAACTGCACCTAGCAAATTCTAGTACTCTACAAACAGTATTTATTCCTAACAGTTTGGTTTTACAATGACACCTTTTTCTTCCCTTCTTTCCTTTTTTTTATATGACTAACAATTATTGCAAAAACAAATTTAAAATACAAGTAAACAAAAAGAAAATAAGATCACCCCAATTCCCATCATCCCAAATATATAGGTATATAATATCCTTTTAACTTGTTTAATGCTGATGTATACATTCATTGATTTAATATGTATTTATTATGGACTTATATGTGTCTTGTTCTACATGATGTTCTATGTAATTAAAGTAAGTAAATATTCTGCCTTCAAAGACTATTATAAATAAGAAACAATGCATACATACACAGTGTATACCTAAGATATTAAATTATATGAGTGCTATAAAAATGTCTATTAAATAAACAGTGAGTGATGGCCCAAGTTATTTTAGATAAGGAAATGCTGTTTGAGGTGATACTGCAATAGACACCAGAATGCAGTGAGGGAGAATGTCACGCAGACATCTAGGGAAATCACTCTCTAGGGAGAGGAAATAAGGGGGAAAGCGTGTTTGGCATGCAGGGAGTATTCCAGGCACCATCGAGTTAGTGCATCTGGCATTCTGTGAGAGGTGACAAAAGGAGAGACGCAGTTTAGCAGCAGCTGGTAATCAGATCATCTATGGATTGTTGCCCAGTGCAGGGATATCAAATTTTGTTTTAAGTGGAAATGATAACATTGGGGGGTGGAGGGGGGAGTCAGAATAAAATAATATAAAAATTTGTAAATACCTAAAAATAATATTCTTCATGGCTCTGTAAGAAATACATGCAGTTTAATAATTAATACTTCAATGATATAGATAAATAAACATGCAGTTAGTCATTGAAACAGAGGCAATTTTAAGAAAAGGAGTTCTGTTAATCATTACTCTGGGACAGTGGAGAGGGTGGACCATTTCAGGTACACAAGGATCCAATACTTAGGAAGTCAATTCCAATGTGATGTTCCCTCTAGGATTTCTTTTCAGGAAGCTGTGCCAATTCCAGTGACAAGAATGACAATATGGCTTTACAACCATGTGGTTTCTTTGCAGGAGCTGAAAGAAATGGTAGCTAGATAGTATATTGACCCAGATGCCTTCAAACACACAAGCTCAGGTTAGATACCTCCAAAACCTATGCTTTAGGGTGGATCAGACAGACCATGTGTTGCTCCTCTCTTCATTATTATTTTTACTATATTAATATTATTATTATTTTATTTTATAAGCATGTGGTTTTGTTAATTATTTAGATATATACTTATTATTATGATAAGTAGTGCCAAGTTGATGATATTCACTGCTACCTAACTTCCCACTCCTTCTGGGGAAACAGATTTGATTGTTAGTAGCCAGCACAAATAGATTGAATTTTTATGAACTATATTTTCAAGTTTCAGTCATGTTGGCATGCCCTTTGTACTTGTTCACTTCCGAATGCCCTGCTCATTCATCTTCGCATATTTTCATGTGCTTAGTTATTATACGTAGAATTCTATATGTATTCTGTGTGTGCCCAATCTGACTTTTCTGTTTTGTTTTTAAATTAATATTGGCTCAAAACTCTGTATGTTCATTTCTGACTTTTATGTTTTAAGTTGTGTTTGGAAGTCCTGTTTCCCATTTCAAGATTATACAAATATATATTCTTTCATTTAAGAAAATATTTTTATCAAATTATATTTCATTTAGGACTTGAACCATTTGGAAGTTTTGTTGCATGATTTAATGCTAAGATTTGGCTTTTTACAAATTTAGCATCTTAAAACACATAGTTTCGGCCGGGCGCGGTGGCTCACGCTTGTAATCCCAGCACTCTGGGAGGCCCAGGCAGGTGGATCACGAGGTCAGGAGATCAAGACCGTCCTGGCTAACAAAATGAAACCCCATCTCTACTAAAAATACAAAAATTAGCCGGGCGTGATGGCGGGCGCCTGTAGTCGGGAGGTTGAGGCAGGAGAATGGCGTGAACCCGGGAGGCGGAGCTTGCAGTGAGCCGAGATTGTGCCACTGCACTCCAGCCTGGGCGACAGAGCGAGACTCCGTCAAACAACAACAACAACAACAACAAAACACATAGTTTCCTACATTAGTTATGTTTCTGAGGGTTTTCAGTTCCTCTCCAGTTTTTCCATACTCCTTTGCATACCAAGAGATTGGGAAGCCAACAAGCTGTGTTCCCCAGATGCAGTATTAGATGACTTCCTGATAGGCTCTGATATGGGAGGTTCCTGCGGGTGCCGGGAGGTGGGAGGAATGAGGAAACCATGTGTGTTTCTGCTCTGATCACCCTCAGAATGGGAGTGGCTGCAGACGAGGGGGCTTTGGTGCTGATTTCAGCGGCATGAGCAGCTGTCCTGGTACCTGGGTGCTGGCCTAGTGGCTGGGCAGATCCAGCAGGAGCGGCAGCTGCTCATGGTGAGTGGTGGCACATGGGTTGCATTCAGTGGCACAGCATGCCAGGCACCCATCTTTCTCTGTACTGCTCCATCAATGCTTTTAATGTTTTTAATCATTCTTAAATTAAAGATGTGTTTCAAATGCCTACAGTGGCTTCCATTTTCCTCCATGGACAATGACTAGATGCACCATTTATTTGCCAAGTTGTCACTTTGAGTATGAAAATCCCCTCCATCCCTCATTCAACCCCCATCAGCACTTAGGTTCCATTTCACACATCCTACTGCAAAAAAAAAAAAAACCTCCACCTCCAAACTCTCCAGTAAATCCTTCTGCAGCCATAAGGAACTTTTCCAAGTACAAATCTTATCGTCATTCTCAGCTTTGCAGAAAAATTTCAAATAATAACCATGTCTTCTCCAATAAATAAATATTCTGTAAAAGGATCTACATGATGCAACCTCAATGGTCTCCTTTCACTCCACCAAAGGCCCATCACAACCTCCATTCATTCTCATTGCTTATGCAAACTGTACATTCGTCTTCTGTCTCTCATGTTGGTATGCTTCTCTCAACCCACACTTCATGTTCATACTATTTCCTCTCTCGATTACTCTTTTTTCTCTTTGTTCTTTTACAGTCTTGTGATATTCATTACACATTAAAACAAGACCTCTCATATCTCTCTGATTAGTTGAATCTCCATATTAGAGTTTATTTTATTACTGTGTATCTCTTCTACATTCTACTTGTAGTAATGGAGTAATTCCAAATTTGTATTTGCGTAAGAAATTACTGGATTCACATCTGGTTTCCCTCATTCCAACTAAACTCAAACTCCAAGCATACAAGAGCTGGGTCTACGCTTGCTCATTCTTTAACACCAGAAACTGGCATGTTACCTGCAGATTCTATGATTGCTTGTTGTTGCTGTATTTCTTAGATTCTCTGTTGGACTCATCTGTTATTCCATTTCTGTCTAGTATTTTCTCGTTTAATCAAGAAGCACTTGATTATATTTTGCCACATGGAATAGCAAGTTTTTGCATTATTCTTCTGTTTTCAAGATTTTGTTGGCTATTCTTGCAAATATTTTTCAGATGAACATCATCATTTTTACTGATACGAAAATACTAAAACAATAAATGCAGTGAAAGAAATAGAAACTATTAGGCTTTGAATAATCACTAATTTTTTATATGCTGTATTATTTTAGTGAAGACAATATTTTCAAGCAGTCCCTTAGTATTTGGCATTTGATTTGTTTACAGTTTTTTTATATTATCAACATTGTGACCATATGCATGTGTAATGTAGATATATATATATATTTATTTATCTATACTTTATGAGGCTTAGATATATTAAAAAAAAATTATATCTGGGGAGAGACTGCCTCTTCTGGGGCTAGTTCATACTTAGAGGTGGCAAGGGACCTGCCCAGCTGAAGCATGCCTTTCAGATGCAAACTAACCAATCCTGCACCCCTTACCCAACACACCTCTTTTACCTGTTGCATACAACCTAAAGGCAATATTCCTCTGCCTTGGTCATCCTGCGGACACTTCCCAGGCAACTAGAGACCACCATATATCCTAAAGCCCACCAAAATCATTCAAACCAGACAATCTTGAAATACTTAGCCTGCCCTGCCATGTCTTTCTATGGAAACCCCAATAGAGGCCATGGCCTAAGCTCTCTCCCCACTCCTGTCTTCTGCCTCCTGACTACCCTGGTGTTTGACACTGTAACTTTGGGTGGTATGTGGCAACCTCCTCTCTGGGACCCATGAGTCTTCTTCTTCCTTCCAAATCTGGCTCTTGTTTCTTCTGTGGCAGCAAAGATTTCACTATACCATATTCCAACTTGTACATTCTTAGAACAGCATGTATCTTCACATTCTCTCTCTCTCTATATATATATATTTAAGCTAATCTATATTAAATAATTAAATAGGCTAGGCACGGTGGCTCAAGCCTGTAATCCCAGCATTTTGGGAGGCCGGGGGTCGGGGGGGGGTGGTGGGTCATGAGGTCAGGAGTTCGAGACCAGCCTGATCAATGTGGTGAAACCCCGTCTCTACTAAAAATACAAAAAAAATTAGTCGGGCGTGGTGGTGTGTGCCTGTGGTCTCAGCTACCAGGGAGGGCCGAGGCAGAAGAATTGCTTCAACCCGGGAGGCGGAGGTTGCAGTGAGCCGAGATTGTACCACCACACTCCAGCCTGGGTGACAGAGCAAGACTCCACCTCAAAAAAAAAAAAACAAAAAAAATTAAATAAACTAACATATGTGTATATTAGTTTAAATTCCAAAAAGTATGATTGCTACTAATACATTGGTTTTTGTATTAATATCACAAAAAGAAAATTAGTAGAGAGAATTTGAAATACAGAGCTCCAATTAAGATGACACATTTTAGAAGTGATATGGCCTTTAAATAATATTTTGAGTGTATATTTTATATTGATGCATTCTAGTGAGCAATCTATTTCCCTATTTTCTGTAAGGAGATTAGAATTACAGTGCACATAACTTTTTTATATGTTTTCCTTGGAACAGTATGACCATAGCAATAAAATGTTGGAACCCATAAAGGTAATGTCAGTGCATACAAATGCAATCTTATAGAAAGGCAGTCACTGATAATCAGGTTTCTGTTCCTCATTTTACTCATCTTTATTTATGTATAAAGTTGAGTTATGTAACAGAGAGTTATGTAACCATTGTCATATTCACTATCATGGCTATATGGCAAACAAGATAATGTCTTACATTTTCTGGAAATTGATAGTTACTTTTGAATATGAAAAGAAATCTGGAAATATTTGCATGCTTGTAAAAAATTTTTAATATATTCTTTAAAGCTAAACTACAGAATATCAGAGCAAAATAGTTGTTTTTGATATTCATAAACATCCAAACTAAGTTGCTTTATTTCTTTATACTATTTGACCCATCTTTATTTTTGGGATATATTTTTCTTCTTTTTCTTTTTCATGAGTATCTAGAAATAGCCACGGGATGTATTTTTCTATATTTGAAATATCTGAAAGGCCTTTTGTCAATCATATGTTTTACAACGCTTAATTTACTTCTCATAAACTATTGTGTTCACTATTTCTTGCATCTGTGGAATGACAAGACTTATGAAATATTTTAAATATATAAAGTATACATTTTAAACTCCTTTACTATTTCCTGAGAGTTTGATGCATTAAATTGTCCTGTAGAGAATAATCTCCTCTATCAACAAAATATTCCACCCGTACTGCTTCCATGATTTTTCTTTTTATCAGCATACAGATTTTACCCTGGTATATGATTTCAAAAATTATTGAAAGAGTTTAGTAAATATACAAGCTTCTAATTACCTTCAGTGACATTCCTACCTTTATTCTTTCTCTCTCTTTTCTTTTTGAAATTCTTACTTCCATTTACATTGACATATGTCAAATTAGACATATTTTTAATATGTCAAAATAATGGAATATTAAAAAGGAAATAAACTGGGACCACATGTGGTTTTCTGCCCTTTTAACATAGTTATTTTTTGTCCCATGGTACACAGAATAACCAAATTGGGCTGAATCAGTTTTTTTTTCTTTTTGCTGCTATAATAAATTATTACAGATTTAGTAGCATAAGCGTCCAATTTGTAGGTTGATCTCATAGCTCTATTTATTTATTTTTAATTTAATTTAATTTTTTTTTTTGAGAGAGAGTCTCACTCTGATGCTCAGGCTGGAGTGCAGTGGCATGATCACATCTCACTGAAACTTCTGCCTCCCAGGTTCAAGCAATTCTCATGCCTCAGCCTCCTGAATAGCTTGGACTACAGGTGTGCACCCCCATGCCTACCTGATTTTTGTACTTTTAGTAGAGATGGGGTTTCACCATGTTGGCCAGGCTGGTCTTGAACTCCTAAGCTCAAGTGATCCATTTGCTACAGCCTCCCAAAGTGCTGGGATTACAGGCTTGATGGTTTTGCAGTTCTATTGGTTACAGAAGTCCCAGCACCACGTGACTTAGCTAGGTCCTCTGCTGGGAAGCTCAGGAGGTAAAACCAAGGTGTGGCAGGAAGGCGTTCCTGTTAGGGACCTGGGGAGAAGCAGCCAGCAAGTTCATCAGGCTGATGGCAGAATCAACTTCCTTGTGGCTGTAGGACTGAGGTCCAGTTTTCCTTGCTTGCTCTCAACTGACTGTCCTTAGTTTCTGAGTTGCTGACTGTCCTTAGTTTCTAGAGTCCTCTTGCTGTTTTCTGCACATGGATCCCTACATATCAGAGAAAGCAAAAGTACCTTAAATCTTTCTCATGCTTGGAATATTCTTGACTTCCCTTTTTACTGCGTCTCTCTGATCCTAGTTATTTGCCATTAAAGGCTCAAGTAACTCAAATGAGCCCACCCCAGGTTACTTTCCCTATTGCAAAGTTGGTAACCTTATGTTACCAACTGTTTCCCCACATGAGGTTGGGATCTGCAATAAAACTATAAAGACTTTTGTCTTCAGTAAAAGTGTATGGTAGAAAACAAATGCTATGAGAGTATAACTTGGACTTGGGAAGGGAACAGAAGTCTTCCCTGGGGAAGTTTTACTGCAGACATGAAGCACATGCATGTTTGGGGTTTGAACTATTTAAGCTATTGAATATAACAAATTTTCTAGCCCTCTGAATTATTAGAACTATTAAATACTATAAATTTACTAGCCCAATGAGTCTCAATGATTTTAAGTTTGCTATATTAAAAATTCACTACAAGTGTGGTCAAGAAACCTTAATCTGAATACTTAACATAAAAATAAGGCTCACACTGATAATATTCCTGAAGCAACTTGACAAAACCAACTTGGAGGTGCATGTCCTCTATCTGGATTGCCAGGAATTTTATGAATAAAACCCTGATGAAGATAAAACTTCAATCCAAATGACAACTTACATTCGAATAAAATGCCAAATAAGTGAAAGTTGCAAACATATTAAAGGATGGAAGTAAACTCAAAGTTAATAGGAGTTTTTAGATCTAGAATGTATCATCCAAGTGATTAAAAGAAAAAAAATATAAGAAATTTATAACAAAACAGAACCATTAGGCTCAAAAGGACAAAGTAGAATATCTATGCATGGAAAAATTTAGTCTGAAATAAAAAGCTCACCAAGTGAGTGAAAAAGATTATTAGACATAGTGAAAGAGACAATTAGTAAATTGGATAACAGATTTGAGTAAACCACTCAGAAGACAATATAAAAGGCTAAGGAAATGATGATATGAATGACATACTTTATACATTAAGGGAGAAATAGAGAAAATCCAATTATACACTAAATTGTGTTGCAGCAGACCTCTCAGATAGGGTAGAGCAGAGGTCATATTGGAAAATGTTATGACGGCTCATTTTCCAAAATTCATGAAAAGTTTGAATCTTCTGTGTGAGAAAGCCTAGTGAACACATATGGGATAAAATATTTCACAGATATACAATCATTAAAAGGAACCAAAATGCCAATATCTTCAGAAGAGATACAAAAAAAGATTATAAAAGAATGACATTAGGTTGCTAGGATGCTGTGAAAACAAGAAAGAGAACCACAATTTAATATTTTAAAAGTTCTTGAAGCCTAAAACTGTTTTGATCTCTACATAGCTAAATCATTTTTCAAGAATAAGTGTATTCAAAACAAAGATACTATCAAAAAAAGCTGAGATAGTTTAATACTCACAAAACTTCATTTAATGATGAAACAACAAAAAGAGAAAATAAACTGATAAAATAAGCATTGCACATATGGCAAAGAAGTGATGATGATGATAATGATGGTGGTATTGAAGTTTTCAAAATAATATTGAAATTAAATACTGAATAACAAAAATTTAGAGGATCACAGAAGAATCTTTGCAATTAATGCATTTCAAGGTCATTATATTGTTTGGGAGGCATTTAAAATAGTAATTAAGTTTAGAATGTCTTAAAATCAAGTATATAAATTAGCATTTAAAAGATTCCACTAAAAGATAATGAATATAATATATAATTTTCATGCCAATAGAAGGCAAAGTATATAGTAAAACTTGAATAATCAAATAAAAAGTTAAAAAATGGACTAAAACAGGAAAAAACTTGGTGAATATAAAGCATAAATATATATATGTATATAAATTACATCAGGGAAATAAGTAAATATACTGACTGAACTATTAAACTTACTAAACTATAGATCTTCCATATTGAATTTTTTAAAACTTAATTTACGGGACATTTAAAAGAGATACGTAAATGTTAAAGACATAAAGTAGTCAAGAAAATGCTGACCAGAGAAAAGAGAGGAGGGAGCAGGCAGAGGTGGGTTGAGACTCAGGTTTGAGTGGAGATACCTAGCAAGGAAAAGAGGGAAACAAAGTAAATTGAGAAGATCTTCGGACAGCAAGGCAGCCCGGAGAAATTAATTGATGGAAGCCTTGGAACAAAGACTGTCCATTGGTGCTACACTGAGGCACTACACTGGGGAAGCCTGGCCCAGCCCTTCCACCTTGCTCCTAATCACTCAGCATCTGGGAGCCACATGGCAAGAGCATAGGTTCAGCAGGAATCCTGTGGTGGACATGCTCTGAGCAAAGCTGCCCTGCAGTCCATCCCTCAAAAATCCACTTCTCTATTTCTCTGTGACCTGTTGGCCCTGTTCCTGAAGGAAACTTAGAAGAGTGGGGTGAGTGGAACAAAGCACACCAGTCATCAGTGCAGCGAGTAGGGGCTGCAGCTGGAGTGCCTCCTCTTTCTTCTAGGCAAGTTCCAAATTCCCCTCGTTGCCTCTGTAGTTGGTATCTGATCTGGAGGGATGACCCAAATGCTCATTCCTGAGAGGTCCAGGCCCTGATGCTGAAACCCTTCTCAGACTGAGGCTGCTGTACTTGTCCACCCAGAGTCACTCCCTTGGGAAAGGAGTAGCCAGTGGCATCCCAGTGGATCCCCTGGGCTTCACAGGTATTCCTCTCTGCATTGTGTAGATATGACCTCCTCCCACTAATCAGGTATGGTAACCTAAGAAGACGGTGACTCCTTTTCTTGTCCAGTTGTCCTTGGAAACAAGGAGTCCAGAGTGCTCAGGTAGCAGCTATAGCTAGTAGATCAAGGGGAGCTTTTCTGTGTCTCCTGGTAAGAGTGCGTGTTTGGGGAACATGTCCTGTTACTCTGCACAACCCAGAATTGTAGAAACAGAAAGATCAAAGACCTCTAATAAGTAATGGAATTGGTGATAAATTAGGCCACTCCTGCTTCCATCACTTGGCTCTGGGACCCAGGTATTCTTCCAGCACTCTTCCTTTAAAAAAGGGACTAAAAAAGGAAAAAACTTGGTAAATAAAAAGCATAAATATATATGTGTATATAAATAACATCAGGGAAATAAGTAAATATACTGACTGAACCATTAAACTTACTAAAATATAGATCTTCCATGTTGAATTTTTTAAAACATACAGAGGCCTGTGTCAATGTGTATTATTCATGGGGGATGATGGTCCCAGATCCCAGCTCGTATGTTAGGTATGCCTTCCACCTGCTTTTCAGTGAGGCTACATCCAGATGGCATAGTGTGTGATACGATCAGTAAAGCCCGTGGTCGCAAGTCCATTACCTCACATCCCTCACTGTGAAGTGGATCCTTAAGCAGGTACAAATTGAAGGGACTTTCTGCCAGACACTGGCGGCCTCCAATTAGTGGTACCAGCTACGCTCTGTAGGCAGGAAAGACAAACCTTTCCCAGGATAGATAATTATGCTTCCAAATGAAACCAAACCAATGGTCCCATAGATAGTTCTTTTGATAGACATAAAAGCTGACCTTTCTGGTCTTAAAGCTTGAAACTTTTATTAGTTTCATCTGTGTTATTTCCTCAGTAAACAACCTTCAGTCTTCTCAAAAATAATATCAAAGAAGTGAAACTTACCAGATCAACACATCCAGGCAATGGGATGCCGCCTCCTCATTCATCATGATTGCCTCCTTGCCCCTCCCTAGTTCCCGTTGTCTTACACATTGTTACATTTCTTCCTGGCTATATAAATCCCCCAGTTTTAGCTAGTCAGGGAGTTGAATTTGAAACTGAGCTCCCATATCCTTGGCTGCAGCACCTGATCAAAGCCTTCTTCCTTGTCAATAATCATTGTTTCAGACATTGGCTTTCTGAGTGGTGAAAAGCAGGACCTAGTCCAAACCCTTGGTGTTTTAGTAATACAAGGATGAGATACTAGTTCTTCCAGGGTGGAAGGCCAACCAATCAACTTTCCATCAAGAACCTAGTTGGTCTCTGTGAGGAATATCGCCTACGGTCATTCTCTGTTAATGGTGATGGACACTCAAGGGCTGCAGTGGTTAGCTTGGTCACTACACACCCACTGTGTCTGCCACTGCAGCCACTCTCTTCCATTGGCAAGTTCTGGAGTCGCTGATGAGGAAGGATGGATAATGTCAGATGGTTGAGTTCTATCTTCTGCTTAGCTATTCGGTGACTGCCCCTGAGTGGATGAGTGGATGCCTGCTAGTGAGCATTAAGCATGTGCTGTGACAGTCCTCAAACTTGGTGACCACTCCCATACGTCCAGCAACAAACCTTCAGTCCAGACTGCCTTGTCCATGATTTTCCCGTACTTTTATTTCTAGGTCCCTGAGCGACCATCAGGAATAGAATGAAAGGCCAGTTTTGAGATGGGAGAAGATCTTTGAAACATCGTAAGGTTGAATAAAAGTAAAACTTCAGATTGTATGAAAGTCCTTCTTTAGAGATATATTTGTAACTACTATTTGCTATAATCATGCAAACAAATATATAGCAAACAATTTTTTTTTCTATAATGGGAACGTCGTAAATATTTTTGAAATCGTAGGTCATAAAGGTTCTGTTGCAACTACTCATCTGTGCCATTGTAGCACCCAAGCAATGCAGACAACATGGGAATGAGTGAGCGTGACGGTTCTGCAACACAGGACGGGTGCTAGGTTTCAGCCCACAGGCCATTTTGGTAAGCACATGAAATTAATTATCAAAATGATATTTATAATGTGTCACTAATTACTTAAAGCTTTAAAAAAAGTTTAAAAAATATTTAAACATACTACAACTATTTTTAATGTAGAAAATGTCCATTTATTGTTGGCACATTTTAAAAGTTAAAAACAAATATCCACAAAATACCTGTAGAACAATATTTATGGCACATTTATGCATAATAATCCCAAACTAGAAACAACTCAAGAGTCCATCATTACAGAATGAAATAAACAAAATATGACTTACTCATATGATGAAATGGTACTGGACGTTAAAAGAAAATGAACTACCGGCCAGGTGCGGTGGCTCACGCCTGTAACCCCAGCACTTTGGGAGGTTGAGGTAGGCGGATGAACTGAGGTTGGGAGTTCAAGACCAGCCTGACCAACATGGAGAAACCTCATCTCTACTAAAAATACAAAACTAGCTGGGCATGGTGGTGCTTGCCTGTAATCCCATCTACTTGGGAGGCTGAGGGAGGAGAATCGCTTGAACCCAGGAGGTGGAAGTTGCAGTAAGCCAAGATGTCACCATTGCACTTTAGCCTGGGTAACAGGAGTGAAAACTCTGTCTCTTTTTTTTTTTTTTTTTTTTTTTGAGACGGAGTCTCGCTCTGTCGCCCAGGCCGGACTGCGGACTGCAGTGGCGCAATCTCGGCTCACTGCAAGCTCCGCCTCCCGGGTTCACGCCATTCTCCTGCCTCAGCCTCCCGAGTAGCTGGGACTACAGGCGCCCGCCACCGCGCCCGGCTAATTTTTTTGTATTTTTAGTAGAGACGGGGTTTCACCTTGTTAGCCAGGATGGTCTCGATCTCCTGACCTCATGATCCACCCGCCTCGGCCTCCCAAAGTGCTGGGATTACAGGCGTGAGCCACCGCGCCCGGCCGAAAACTCTGTCTCTTAATAAATAAATAAAAATAAATGAAAGAAGAAAGAAAGAAAGAAAGAAAAAAGAAAGAAAGAAAGAAAGAAAGAAAAAGAAGAAAATGAACTACAACATGAATGAATCTCAAAATATTTTGGTAATAGAAGCTTTATTTTAAAAAAGTATGGTATGTATGCCAAATGCTTTTGTTTCTATAAAGTTCTAGAGCAAGTATAACTTATGGCAGAAAAAGATCAGAGTAGTAATTGCATTAGGGCGGGTCAGGTGGGGATTGACTAGAAAGCAGCATCAGGAGTTTTCCGGAGTGATAAAAATATTCTCTATCTTTTTAGAGGCTTGGATTACACAGGTATGTACATGGTCAAAACTTATCAAAAGATAAACTTACATCTTGTGCATCTTATTGTATGTGAATTTTACCTTTAAAGGGAAAAAATATAACATATTATACTCAAAATTACGTGCTTGCCGAAGCATTTAGGGGTGTACTGATGTCAGCAACTTACTGTTAAAACATCAGAAAGTAAAATTGGTTAATACATGAATAGCGGGACAGATAGGTGGCTACAATTGTAAATAAATACTAATTGTAAAATTTAAATGGTTAGTATTTGGCAATACTAATTGTAAAGTCTAAATGGTTAGTATTTGGCGGCCTTAATATGTTCATGTTCCTATGAAGGAATACCTGAGGTTGGGCAATTTAGAAAGAAAACGGATACACTCCAGTCTGGACAACAGAGAGAGACCCTGTCTCAAAAAAAAAAAAAAAAAAAAAAAAAAAGAAAGAAAGAAAGAAAGAAAACGTTTATTACTTGGGTCACAGTTCTACAGGCTGCACAGGTAGCATGGCATCAGCACTTGCTTCTGCTGAGGGCTTCAGGCTGCTTCCACTGATGGTGGAGGGCGAAGGGAAGCTGATGTGTACAGAGATTACCTGGTGAGAGAGAAAACAGGGAGGATGAGGTGCCAGGGAGGAGGTGTCAGGCTCTTATTAACAACCAGCTCTGGTGAGAATGACTAGAGTGAGCACTCAGTCACTACAATGAGGATGGCACTCACCATTTATGGGGAATCTTCTCCATGACCCAAACACCATCCATTAGGTCCCACTGCCAACAATGGGAATCAAACTTCAACACGAGGTTTAGAGAGTCAAATATTTGAACTATAGCAAGTGTTATTCATGATAAAGTTGATTTAATGTTTATGTATGTTAGCAATTTTTCATAATAAGATAATGGAAAACAACAGGAATCGTAAGCATCATATTCAGAATAATGGTATTTGCTATTATGATTTTATTCCTACTGCTCAAATTGTATTGTGGAAGAAGTATTGACACATCATGGAGAATGTATAGAAAAATAGTGTGAAGTTATACTTTTATATTTGGCTTAATTTCTATTAATATATTCAAATCAAACTTGCTTACAATTTATTGACTATGAATCTGTTTTTCATGAGTTATTGATGAGCTCCAGAAAGATTCTGTTAATGTATTTTAAAGAAAATTTTTCCTAGATAAATAATAGTCACACATATCAGCTTTGCCTCTGTATTAACTTCTAATCTCATTTTTTGTTTTACTATGACATTTTTGCTCATACTTTTCATGTGAACTAAATAATGCATTCTACAACGATCTTTAGTAAAGGAATTTATTTAAATATAGCTTACTAAAATATTTACATAACTCAGTAATCAAAGTAGGGACTTAAACATTTCTGGCAATACGGTTGACATATGCTTAAAACAAAAAAATTTTCTTAAATTTGGGGTAAATTATTTTCTCTTTTCCCTTTTTTTCTTGAAAGGTGGGTATTCAAATTTTTCTAATTAGAAGCTCTAGGATATAAAACTCCAATTTTTCCAAATTGAGATATAACATGATTATTCAAAAAAAGATATGTCTTAAAGCAATACATTTTAAGGTTGTCACTCTTTTGCAAACTTAAATTGGCACTATGTTTATTTTAATATTATTCATTAGTTTATATTCTTACATAAATTTAAGCTTTTTCTTTCACATAGTATTAGTATTTGATAGTTTATAGTAATTATTCCACGTCATGGACTGAGTAGTGTCCTCCAAATTCTTATGTAGAAGCCCTAAACCCAGTAACTCAGAATGTGATGGTATTTGGCGATAGGGTCTTTAAACAGGTCATTAATGTGAAATGAGGTCATATGGGTGGGCCCTAATCCAAAGTGACTGGTGTCCCTATAGGGTGTGGAGATTAGACCATAGACACACACAGAGGGAACACCAGGAGAGCACATGGGGAGAAGATGGCCCTCTACCAGCAAAGAAGAGAAGCCTCAGAAGAAACCAGTCCTGAAGATACCTTGGTTTTGTACTTCTTGGCTCCAAGATAGTGGTTAAGTCTCTCTGTCTCTTGTACTTTGTCATGGCTGCTCTGGGAAATGAACAGAATGTTGGCCATCATTTCTCAAATTATCCCTCAGGACCAAAAGTCCGTAAAATGTTTTCAAGTTTTCTCAGGTTTGAATATATGTGATATATCTCATTTATTTTGGGAAAGATACAGTTTGTAATGACATCAATGGATGGTCATTTTAGATGTTCATGTAGGACTCGTAACACAATGGGTTAAAAAGAGAACAAAGACACTTAATCTAGATTTATTTATTTTTATTCCTGATATGACATAGCTCTTGAAAAATTTTAAAGATTGTTTAAACAGTTAGAACGGTAAGTGGTGATATTGTGTACACACCTACTCTCCTAATGGGTATTGTGTCTGGATGTTAAAATATCCAGTGACAACATCAGTCACAAATTGAAAAGTGCTGTAAGTGAAACAAGTTAGATGAAACAGAAGAAAATGTACTCTTGGAAAAAATGTGTTAGATTACTCACTCTGATGCCATAGATACGTGTGAATAGCTGAATAAAGTTATTTTACATAAGAGTGGACATATGCTATATATCTAAATTAATATGCCATTTATGTAATATGTTAATTAAATATCTGTAACAAAGTGAATGAATCTTAAAATTAGACATTTACATATTTGGTTTACATCCTTAGAATTTAGATACCCAGGTTCATGAAAAACTTTCCCTGTGTTAAGGAATATATGCTTTATTCATTTAAAATAGGCTAGTAGGAGATCGTGTGTGTGTGTGTGTGTGTGTATGTGTGTGTGTCTGATGCATCTATTCTGCTTTTGTAATCAGAAAAATTTTCCTGGTTATTTTTCATAAATAAATTGAGGAAATGTTTCACCATAAGATTAAAAAAAGAGGGATGTGCTGACTGCTGGAAACAGTGTAACTTGTGTTCTCTTAAGTCCTTGCCTCCCTGTCATGCCAATGAGCCTTTGCAATGGCAATAAGCGATTCTAGATGTTCTCCTTGTGCTGAAGTCCAGACAGTAAGTGACTCCCGCTTCTGCCCCTGCCTGTTCGTGCAGCACGTGCCAGTGGAGCACGGAGGTGGGAGGAAGAGTGCATGAGGGTGTCCATCATTTTTTCAATCTATCTGCCTTACTCTCCAAACTTTTCCCTTTCCACATGGACTTTGGAATCCTCTGGCTCAGGGGAGGGAAGCCATGGCCCTGCCCCTCCCCGTGCCTCTTCCTAACCATCTGGGATAAGAGATCGCACAGTCTCTCTGCTGAGGGAGAGAAAAGATGAACAGTCACAGATGAAGCCAAATAATCTGACCCTCTGAAGTGGGACTTACGTCCTAGGTGTCTTGGACCAAAATGGACCAAGAAGAAATAGTAACCCTCCTAGACAAAATTAGTAATCGAAGGCCTCTGACAACTTATCATTTTTTTTCTGGTGAGATTTTGGAGAGGGAGTAGCTGACTGCTGTTCATATCACTCCAGCATCGTGCAGCAGCAGTGAAAGTCAAGAGGCATCACTGCCTATACCAGAGAGATCCAAGAGGTCCTGATGCCCTGAGAGGGGTAGTGGAGTGGCTTGGGCCTCCAGGGGGTAGATTAGACTCCATGGACCAATGCACAGCAAATGGTGGGACGTAATTCTGCTGCAGTTTGAGTAGAGGAGGGCATTGCTGTGACTACAATGGCAATTTAAAAATAAGACAAATCCCATCTTTGTTCTGATCAAGGTGATGGGGGGCAAGAACAGACATTATTTTGAGTGACAGTTGGACATAAAGCATAAAACTGACTCAAAGATAATGCTGAAATTATCAGGATCAAGAACTACAGATCTATGTGTCAGCCAAGCATCACATCACCATCTTTTGAGCTCCTTTTCAACAGCTGCACAACAGATTGCAGATGAGGGTGGGAGGGGTGTTAGCCAAGAACACTTCCAGACTGAAGACACCAAGGGCTGGGATTCATCCCTGCTGAGACTTTCGGCATCACTGCCTTGATAATTATGTCATTGATTAAGAGTAATAAATCTCTTGTTAAAATGATTTTCGATTGGAACTATTACTCTCACAACAAAACTGTATGAATAAAATTGGATTGAGGAATCATTCAAATTCTTATATTCACTCCTAAATATTTAGAAGCCAGGCTACAAACAAAGGCAACATTATTTATAAACCTGCAACTGTTAACGTAGCAATATTATTTTGTATGCACAAACCCAATCGAGCTAAACTCACATAAATCAGACAGTTTATGAAAACAGCTCCTTGGTAGATTTTGAAAGAAAATCTGTTAAAGAACCAAGTGCTATGTTTGTGAGTAGTACAGTGAGAATTATAGTCTGTCCTCCAAACCTGCCTTCAGTTCTTTAAACTTGTATTCAAACCACTATGAAATAGAAAACTCAATATTTAATGGTATAATACTATTAAAAGAATGCGAAAACACCTAACATAGCTACAGAAATATAAAATATTATTTTTGTAAAATCTTTTTTTTTTTTACAATATCTATAAAGCTAACCACAGAAGTCAGAATAATGCCACAACGCAAGATAAATAACACTTCAATAGGCAGGCATTAATGCATAAAGGATGAATGGAAAGGCCAAAATGTCAAATACCCAAACAGATACAGGTCAACCACGGAAGAGAGAAAGGGAGTGGAGGGGTGGGGAAGGGGAAAAGTGATGAAGACTGTTGGGAAAACAGGTTAATGTAGCTCCAGTTAAAGCCATCTAGATCAAGAAATTGTGGACATTTGCAGAAGTGCCAAGGGCTCCAAATTTCCATCATCCAAGTAACATATTTCTGTGGAAATCTGCTGTGTCCTACTAGAAATTATCAAGTTCTTTTATCAAGGGAAAAATTTTAAGGGCTACAGTGCACTTGTTTGTGTAAGTGTCAGGTGTAAGAGTTTATGTAAAGGGATATATAATCAGATGCTTTGTTTTACTGTTTAATTTAGCTTTGGGTGTTAGAACCTAGCCTGCATTGGGCCTTCGGGGGAAGAAGAATAAACATTGACACAATCTACTGTGGATGAGCCTAGATGTCTGTGCAGGGGTGGGGAGGGAGCTACACTGCCCTTAATGTCTCCAAGAAAACAGAACACACAATTATTTTGACCTGTTCCTACATGAAAGCTGGCAGTGATGTGAAAAATACTTTCCTCACACTTGGACTCAAATTCTTAGGCAAAATACCATCTTTCTTATGTTTTGAGCAGCCAGCTATACAATGGAACCTCACAAATAATAACTGAGAATGAAATGAAAACAATTTGTGTTGTGCAGAGATAACAAAATATGCGTAAGAGAAAGAAGAGGTAAATGCCTCATGACCGAAGAACATTCTTTGTAAACCACATATTTTTTTTGTCTCATTCCAAAAACAGAAAAAGAAAAATGCTGTTATTAAGGACTCAGTAGTGGGTGGTGGATAAATAGCATCAAGAAGGATGTACTAATGATGGTGTCTTAAAATAAGTAAAGGCAATTTTTGTTGGCCAGAAGCCATACCCTATAATTTATTATGTTCAATCCAAACAGTGTGATTCATTAAGAATCCTGAGAATGAGATGTGACGTCCAAAATTATTCATGCAGGACACTGGAACCGAAGTTAATTATTTGAAAGAAAAATTGTGCAAGTAATGCCCTAATCATTTCCACTTGAAGCCACTAACCAAAGTCAAAGCAAAATTTCTGATACTCCATGCATTTAAACAGGGGTAAAGGGACACTTCAAGAATTAACTACAGAAAACATTCTGTCAACATAAGGCTTGTTACAGCAAACATGACTTCGGTCATCAATTGTTACGTGTTATGCCTATTTGTAATATTAACTTGTAATAAAAATATTGATATATTTTCTCCATGTATTAGTCAATTGTGTATTTTTTGGTATTACACTGAGTTTTCAGAGAGACTCCAGAACTATATATATATTATATATATTATATATAGTATATTATATATGTAAAATAAATGACTGTACTATTAGTAAATTAAAAATCATATGATTAAAGTGAAACAATCTAAAAACATTATTTCAGTATAACTCAGGCAAATGTACACTTTCCATCTTATCCTATTTATAAGGTTCCCTAAGAACCAGAATAAGTTGTTTTTCTTTACATTCTGGTCTATAGAAGTCATCTCTTCTTTGCAGAGTCCTTTCTGGCAATAGTAATCCTGGAGCTTTTTACAGACTACATATTTCTGGAAAGCAAAGTCTTGTTTAAATTTGTCTTCTTAAATATATATATATATATGTATATGTATATATATGTATATATGTATATGTATATATATACACACATACACACACACATATATAGTTTATTAGAACTGCTAAATTGTACTACTAATCTTATAATACTAAAAATCTAATTTTATAAAATTATCTGCTTATGTGAAATACGGAGGGTGTATAATGTCAAGAGTGATGTTAAGAGCTTAATATAATGTTCAGTTTTGAAAACATTGAATGCAATTTGTCAACTCAGGGCAGGATGGTAGTAGAGGCTAGAGAATTTCTGAGTTTTGTGAAGACAATGACTGTTAATTGTTCAGATTCCAAATAAGTTCCTGGAGCTAGCATATATTCATTCTTTATTGGGGACTCAAGTTGTTCCAGGAATCATGACATAGTATCATGAATGTAAACATGGGCACACACAATACCAAAACATTATTCTATTTTTGTCTATATTCACTCATGCTACTTTAGCTGAATTATGTCCTCTAAAACTAAATGCTTAGAAATGGGCAAAATAGGCCGGGCGCGGTGGCTCATGCCTGTAATCCCAGCACTTTGGGAGGCAGAAGTGGGCAGACTGCCTGAGTTCATGAGTTTGAAACCAGCCTGGGCAACACGGTGAAACCCTGTCTCTACTAAAATACAAAAAATTAGCCAGGTGTAACGGGGGGCGCCTCTAGTCCCAGCTACTTGGGAGGCTGAGGTAGGAGAATTGCTTGAACCCGAGAGGCGGAGGGTGCAGTGAGCCAAGATCGCGCCACTGCACTCCAGCCTGGGCGACAGAGCGAGACTCCGTCTCAAAAAGCAAAAACAAAAACAAAAACAAAAACAAAAAAAAGAAAAAAGAAATGCGCAAAATAAGCTGGATAACATGGTTCCAAGAAATTAATTACTAACAGCTTTAGTTTAACAGACAGGATTTGTTATGGTTTAAAAAATTTTTTAAGGGATTGGGAAAAAAATCCAAAAATCTCTGATGCAAAAACAACATACCTGATTTTAAGAACATTTTCAACTATTTAGTGATAAAATCGCAATGATTCTCCATTTCACCAATGTTTGACAGTCTTTTTAAAGAAGCAATACTTTGAATGAGATGAAATCAGTACACAAATGACGAAAAGTAAATCTTTATACAATCCTGTACTTATACATGGATATATTAGTATACTATAATAATATTGAAAAAACTGAATCTCTTTTCAATAAGTATTTATGTGTAGATCCTGAACTGGGGCATGCAATAAGAAAATCAACCTAAAAATTCTCAGCCACCAAAAATATCTTGATTCTTTGCTAATTGCCTACTTAAAATATAACAGACTATTTACAAATACTTTAAAGAAAGTAATTACATGTTCTGGATAACATTTCTCCTGTTGTTATATTTTCTGTTATTTTCTGGGAAGTGCTTAGCCCTATTTAAAGAAATTAATTGCATCTTGTATTTTTTTAAATGATTAAGGGAATGTTTAATGTGTACTTTCAGATTCCAGAGAAATGTTGAAAAAATGAGAGTGGCCTTTAAGCTTCAAAATTCAAATAACCTGAAGTCCAATGATGGAAGCACAAATCATTCACTCATTGTTGTATCACATAAATGGTGCCTGGGCAAAAAATAAAGAGAATGGAAGAATAAATAAAACTTTTTCACTTCGAGAAATGTGATTTGACTCCTGGTATCCCCAGAAAGAGCTGACAGTGGGTGAAAGTCAGTATAAGAAAGATAATCCAGGGTTTCCAAGCATAGCAGCATTGTTGACACATGAACCGGTTGTGACAGGTGTGAACACTGAAAACTTATTATAAATTAGCCAAACTGTTCACATCATCAATTACTCCCCAGCTCAGTGATACTCAGGCTTCTTGTTCTTCCTTGTCTGAACAGGCTGTGAATATCTCCCTCTAATAACCATTCTGGGGTTCCTTTGTGCCATAATCTGTGTTTCCATTTTATTAAATTACTTCATCTTTCCGTTATGCCACATGTCGTAGGTGAGATGGAGTATAGAACATTTCAATATCTCGATAATAAGAACAGTAAAAATAACGCTAATTTAGAAGTCAAAGAAGTTCTTGAGACATGCATTTACACATGCATGTAATATAAGCTTATTTCAATCCTGTATAAATGGTATTATATATATTAGCCTTAATTCATGTAAGATGAAAATACAATTTGATCTGTTCACATCAGTGTAGCACCATTGATTTAGCACCTTTGTGCAAAACATCAGCTTTTCAATAAAAAGTAAAACGCAGCTGCCTATACTTTTTTTTTTTGTTTGAGACAGTCTTTCTCTGTCACCTAGTCTTTAGTGCAGTGGCGCTAGCATGGTTTACTGTAGCCTCAAATTCCTGGGCTAAAAGCAATCCTTCTGTCTCAGCCTCCCAAGTAACTGGGATCACAGGCACTTGGCACTATGCACAGCTTATTTGAAAAAATGTTTTTGTAGAAACAGGATCTCACTATGTTGACCACGCTGGTCTCGAACTCCGGGCCTCAAGGGATCCTTCCGCTTCAGCCTCCCAAGGCACTAGATTACAGGCATGAGCCACCTAACACGGCCAGCCTATACTTTTATGAAATGTTTGTTTTAATTATAGTTTTATATGTTTATATTTATATACATTATCTTAGAATATAAATATATAACATAAATATAAATTTTATATATTATATTCATATTTATATTTATATACATTATTTTCTTTTAGATTGCCTTGAGTTATAATTTACATACAATACAATTTTTGTATTTTTAATGTCATTTGATAAATTTAGATAATTGTAGATAGTCATAAACTCATCACCAATCAACAGTTCTATGACACTAAAAAGTCTCCTAATTCTTCTTTACAATAGTTCATCCCCTCCTCTGACCTCTGACCCTAGACAATCCCTGGTCTCTCAGTCAATATTGTATATAGTTTTTTTTATTTTCAGAATTCATGAAAATAGAATCATATAACATAGAGTCCTTTGTTTTTCACTTCATTTACTTGCGTTTGCATATATTAATTTTTCTAATTCATTGCTAATTAGTATTCTGTATGATGGACACATAGCAATTTGTTTATAATTCACCAGTTGATGGTCACTTAATTTTTGTCTGTTTTTTATTTGTATTATGAAACATGGTTTTATGAACATTCATATAGATGTTTCTGTGTGGATGTATGATTTTCTCTGTTTTTTGGTTTTTGTTTTTCTCTGGAGTACATACCTAGAAGTTGGATTGCTGGGCCATAGGATGTAAGTCTTGTTCTCTAAGAAAAAAGATGCCCACATGGTATTAAATGGGAAACATTAGTACTTGGGAGAATAACTGAGAAAATAGGGAGAGAAGCAAAAAAGAGAAGGCTGTGGGAGGTTTCTGACTGCAGTAAGTCTGCAGCAATGTGGAGGAGGTGGGTGAGATCTTGTGGAGTCCAATCCGGTGGAGTCAGAGAAGCCATGGGGCGTCCTGAAGCCAAAGTCAGCAAGTGGATGACTGACTCCCCTGGCTGCCGTTGAGGGTCTCCCTGGTAACATGGTCATGCTCCATCACCAGCTGAGGGCAGTGTGTGAGGACCACAGCCTCACTACAAAACTCATGGTGTAAATCCGAGTACAACAATTGGGACTCTCGGTCACCTCTGCTTCTTGTTGTCGGAGGTCCGGGGAGTGCTTTCTCCCACCCACCAGGTGTGTGAGAAGCTGCTGCTGTGTGCTTCATTCCCACTTGTGAGGGAAGACAGGTTTCAACCGCTTAACATCTCATGCTTTTCTTTTTGACTCGCCCCATCTAATGGAATACTGAAAAATCTTCTGTGTGGATGATCAACCTTAGAGTCTGAAGGGTGGAACCATGGGAATTATTAAGAAGCTGTTATGGTGGTCTTGGTGGCAAATGGCATTAATCCAAAGTCGCAGTTCTCCATGTGTGCTCCTAGGGGGACACTCAGGGTCTCTGGGAGTCTGTGAGGTCAAAACACTTTTCAGTTCTAAGCTTTTCACTTTCTAACTCTTACACATAAGTGTACCATGGAATTTTCTAAATGTAACATAACCTGATAGTTTAATTAATCTGATGGCTAATGCAATGTTTGCTCATCTATTCTGATGTTTTCTAGAATTTTCTAAATAGGTGTAGGTTATCATATGTGTGTTTTCAGAGATTATTCACCCTATTTTTAAGTATTTCAGCAGTGCTGTTTTCAGCTATCTTTGGTTACACCTGTAATAATCTTTGTGATGACATTATTATCCAAGAAATCATTAGTTAGAAATCCCCAAAATTTATTTGCTGCCATACAAAAAATCAAGAATTACACTCTGCTATTTTATTTAAACATTTTAAAACTTTTCTAAATTTTTGAATTTTACCTAACATTATTTTAAAGTTTAATATTTTTAAACTAAAGGAATGTATCTATTTTTAGATTTTAAAAATGGAAAACAGGAGACTCATTTACTCAATCCTAGATCACTATCTATTTCCTAAGATGGTGAAAAAAAAAATGAACCCAACATATCAGAAAAGTATCTCATGCATAGAATAGGAAATCTCCTCCAAAGCAATTGAGTAAAACTACAAATAAGAATTAAATAATGCAAAATGTCATAATTCCATTGACTTTATATATGTTAACAACTTATCATTTTAGCAACAGGGAAAATAATACCATGGTGCTCGTTATGGTAGGATCATTTTGAAACCAATAATTTAGAACTGTAAAAATGGATTGAATAATTATCTAGATGTGATCATCTCTTTAAAAGCCAAAGATTATCTGGTACATTTTTCCAATGCACAAATGAAAAGAACACTGATGCCTCTTGCTGGGAACACTGTCATATTCCATTGGCTGTGAAAGCACAGCTTGGTGAATATCAAAATCTTGTACAATTGACATTCCTGAATACTTGTTGAAAGAAATGTCAGTAAAATAAATCAAGGCAGTGACATTTTCACTGATACAGCAACTCTCCAAATTATAGGTTTAGCTGTAAGCATGCAGGATAAATTAATATTTTGTTTGCAGAATAACACATTTAACATTCAAATGGATGGATCTACAGATATGGATAGAGCTTTATTTTGCTATTATTCATCTGGTATCAACCCCAACAAATCATCAAAAATAGTCATGAATTCTTGGTGACAATCATAATTAGTGCAGAAAAAAAAAAACTTTTTTGAGTTGCATGGTTGATGTTGGAGCAACTTTGAATGCTGAACTGCCACAAGACACAAAGGACTTGCAAAAACACTGTAACCAAACTTTAGCTTGACCTTCAACTGCACTGGTGCATGTCCCAAAGCCGACCCCCAGTCCCTGAGCCCTTGTGCTAAGTCTTCCCTTAAGAAAATGCAATATTGCCAAACTGCAAAAATGTACATTGTCCCAACCTACACTGTCAAACCATTTTCAATGATTCTCTTCCCATCCCCCTTCTGTAATTTTCCATTCCCCTGTAGCCCACCTAGTTCCTTTTTGTTTTTTCTTTTTTATTTTGACACAACGTTGCTGACATTTGCAATAATGGTGCAGAAATGATAGTGGTTGATATTTCTGGGGCTTTAGCATGAATCGAGGCAGTAGAAACGAATTGCACCAGTAGTCGTGAAACTCTTCACTGCCACAAGCTCCCAATTAAAAGTAATGCCAGTTTTATTTAGTAATGAACTTTACTAAGCAGTAAGATACATTTAAGGTTATTAATCCAGACTACTGAGTATACATCTATTTAATATTCTGTGTAACGAATCTGGGAGTATATAAATCCCTCTGCTGCATACTGAAACCCAGTGCTTGTCCCCAGAAAAAGCACATCTGTGGTTGAGTTTCAAGTTTAACTAATTGCTTTTTTCACTTGATACTATTTTCAATCAGAAAAGCATTGATAGAAAAACAATATTTTTCAGACTCGTGTTTGTCAGATATATCTGAAAAAATGAAAAATAATGCTCTAAAATATTTGTAATGCATGCATAATGCATGCATATGACATATATACATATATCTCTATATGTAGGACTTTAAAGAAATACAATTGTGAAAACTTATTTTTGCCATAGTGAAATAAATAGCTTCCATTACTTAAAAGAACTTTCACACGAGATTTGTGACAATATTAATGAGCACATTTACTTAATATTATGTGATTAAAGTTGGCAACACATGAAAGATCTGCGTAATTCAGTAGACCAGTATTTTCCAAAATGACCCATTTGTACGGTTATAATACTTTGTATGGGTAAAATATTTTTTCAAAATTTAAGATGTGTCAATGGATTTTAGCATAACAGATAAACAAGTTCTTTGACATAATTATGCATTTCACATTGCAAATACTCTTTAAGAAACTGCCACTTGACAGTTTTAGTATAGTAGCAAATAAAAATAATCTATATTTATCTGAAAAAGCTCATTAAATACTCTTTCATTTTTCAGCTACCTTTTTGTGTAAGGCCAGATTTTCTCTGCATACTTCAACCAAAATAATAAACTGCAAAAATGTTGAATGCAGAAGCAAATGTGGGAATCCAGTGTCTTTCATAAGCTAGACATTAAAGAAAATTTCAAAAATGTAAAACAATGCTACTTTAAAAAAAGTGTAACTTACAGTTGTTTATAAAACAGTGTAAATTAACATGCATGGAATTTATTGCTATGTAAATGAATTTAAAATACATATTATATATACATTTTTAAAAAGTTTTTCAGTTTTAATTCCGGAACTGGTAAATATCAATAGATGTAAAGCTCTGCGGGACTGCTAATACCATGATGTTTAAACCTAGAAAGGGAAGTGGGTCACAGGTCCAAAAATTTGAGAACCACTGACCTAAAAGAAGGTAATAGTTGTACAGGCAGTGAGAAGTTGCAAACTTCCATGTAAATTTTAAAGAAATAATTAATGGCATTTCAAAAACAACAACAACAAATTGGGGATAGGAGGGATACTGCAAAGCATATAGTGGTCATAGGCATGGCAGGAGAAGAGTTAGTTTCTGACATGTCAACTTTAAAAATAACTGTTAGATATACAGGTGAAGAATTTGAGTTTTCAATTGGATGTCCTCATGTGGATTTCCATGAAGCAACTGTTGCTGAATTACACATTTGAAAGTTGTTAGAATATTGATGACATTTAAGGACAGGATAGCTTCACTCATCTCAGGAAACATGTGGTTGATCTACTTAATCGGCTCACCCCATGCCCTAAATTGCTTACATGTGCTTTTTCTGCAACTTTCCAATGTTTAGCCTTCAGGTTTGTTTGTTTATTTATTTATTCATTTATTTATTTACTTATTTTCTCTCTCTCAGAAGCCATGGTTTTAGTTACTTGGGCAACTGCGAAAGACTTTCTGAGAAACAGAAAACCCTCTCTCCATTATGATACCTCTCTGGAAATGTTAAACACTGAAAGTTGGAGCCAGGGCTGGACATGGTGGCTCACACCTGTAATCCCAGGATTTTGGGAGGCTGAGGCAGGAAGATTGATTGAGTCCAGGAGTTCAGAACCAGCCTGGGCAACACAGCAAGATCCCTGTCTCTACAAAAAATCAAAAATTAGCTGAGTGTGGTGGTGCACAACTGTAGTCCAGGCTACTCAGGAGGCTGAGGAAGGAGAATTGCTTGAGCCTGGGAGGTTGAGGCTGTAGTGAGCCGTGATTACGCCACTGCACTCAGCTTGGGCAACAGAATGAGACACTGTCTCAAAAAAGAATTAGAGCAAACATTTTCATTTTTCTATAAGTGTCAAGTTTGGTGTTCTGGCTGCTGGGTCTGAGGGAGAATCACAGAACTGGATCATTTCTTTGAGTAAACTCAGCCTTAGGTTTTAATCAAAATAAGATAGTTATGTTGAGGGAGATTGGTTAAATCTTCAATATCTGTGTGGGTTCATTTCTTTAAAAAAATTTCTAAGTGTTTGAAAACAGTTATAGTCTGGTATGTTATACATGCACATACAAACACACATATAAAAATATACATAGATACATATTACTATGTGTATATATGTTGTATATTTGTATGAACATATATATGCATATATATAATTTTTGATTTCTGTAACTGATCAGCCACTGAAAATTTTAATTTGTGTGAAAATGCTTTGGTAAAAATAAGAAAAATATTATCTTTCTAGCTGATCCAGTAATATATAAAATGCTTTTAATTATCCCATGCATAAATTTAATGTTTCTAAAGATGTCCCCCAAAAAATACTTTTTTTTTTAAGACAGAGTCTCGCTCTGTCACCTAGGCTAGAGTGCAGTGGTACAATCTCAGCTCACTGAAACCTCCGCCTCCCGTGTTCAAATGATTTTCCTGCCTCAGTCTCTCAAGTAGCTGGGATTACAGGTGTGCATCCCCACACCCGGCAAATTTTTGTATTTTTAGTAGAGACGGGGTTTCACCACGTTTGCCAGGCTGGTCTCAAACTCCTGACCTCAGGTGATGCACCCCCCTCGGCCTCCCAAAGTGCTTGGATTACAGGTGTGAGCCACAGTACCCCACCAAAAAGCACTTTTAAAATTTTTTCTAATGTTTAATAAAATGCGTTTTCTGTAAAGTCTTTGGCCTCTGTCTTAAACTAGTTTTTTAATTTTCTCAAATACTCTTACTAGTGTTAAAACCATTATATACAAATAAGAAATGGTATTTAATAATAACTGTTAAAAGTGTACTTCTATTTCTTATCTGGGCTAAACAGCTCTATATTTTCTTTGCCTTCATAAGTTTGATTTTGAGATGAGAAGTCTTTCTTTAGTTTATTCTAGAAACTTATGCAACTTCCTTAGTCCATCTTTGTCTATAAAGCTTCCAATTGTAGCACTGATGTCTCCTGAGCCTGATGAAATTATATCTCCCCTTCAGCAGTAGAGTTTCTTTACGACATAATGTTCTGCCCATTGTAATTCACAAGGAATTCTGTAAGTTTAAAACAATTGAAGATGTCCTTTTAAAAATATGCAAGATTAGCAGTATTTAAGAGTTTTACAATTAAAAAAAAATACATCATGGGCCAGGCACGGTGGCTTACGCCTGTAATCCCAGCACTTTGGGAGGCCGAGGCGGGTGGATCACGAGGTCAGGAGATCGAGACCATCCTGGCTAACTCAGTGAAACCCAGTCTCTACTAAAAATACAAAAAAATTAGCCAGGCATGGTGGTGGGTACCTGTAGTCCCAGCTACTTGGAAGGCTGAGGCAGGTGGATAACTATAAAGGATAACTGTTCTCCTGTATTAGGTACAGCCTGGGAAATTTCAATGGTTTTGTTTGCTGTTGAAGCAGAAGAAAAGGGTGTTTGGACAAACAGAAGTATCATAAGTGGCAGCAGTCCAGTTGGCTGGACTGGCAGTCCGGCTGGAGCCGCAGCAGAGGAACATAAATTGTGAAGATTTCATTTTAATATGGACATATATCAGTTCCGAAATAATACTTTTATAATTTCTTATGCCTGTCTTTACTTTAATGTCTAAATATAAATTGTGAAGATGTCATTTTAATATGGACATTTATCAGTTCCCAAAATTAATAGTTTTATAATTTCTTATGCCCATCTTTACTTTAATCTCTTAATCCTGTTATCTTCGTGAGCTGAGAATGTACGTCACCTCTGGACCACTGTGACAACTGTGTTAACTGTACAAATTGATTGTAAAACATGTGTGTTTGAACAATATGAAATCAGTGCACCTTGAAAAAGAACAGAATAACAGCGATTTTCAGGGAACAAGGGAAGACAACGATAAGATCTGATTGCCTGTGGGATCGGGCAAAATAAAGCCATATTTTTCTTCTTTCAGAGAGCCTGTAAACAGATGTGCAAATAGGGAAGATATCGCTAAATTATTTTCCCAGCAAGGAATATTAATAATTAATACCCTGGGGAAGGAATGCATTCCTGGGGGAAGGTCTATAAACGGCCGCTCTGGGATTGTCTGTCTTATGTGGTTGAGATAAGGACTGAAATACGCCCTGGTCTCCTGCAGTACCCTCAGGCTTACTAGGATTGGGAAACCCCGCCCTGGTAAATTTGAGGTCACACTGGTTCTCTGCTTTCAAGTCCTGTTTTCTGTTGTTTAAGATGTTTATCAAGACAATCCATGCACAGCTGAACATAGACCCTTATCAGTAGTTCTGTTTTGCCTTTTGTCTTGTTTCCTCAGAAGCATGTGATCTTTGTTCTCCTTTTTGCCCTTTGAAGCATGTGATCTTTGTGACCTACTCCCCGTTCGTACACCACCTCCCCTTTTGAAACCCTTAATAAAAACCTGCTGGTTTTATGGCTCAGCTGGGCATCACGGTCCTACCGATATGTGATGTCACCCCCGGAGGCCCAGCTGTGAAATTCCTCTCTTTGTATTCTTTCTGTTTATTTCTCAGCCAGCCAACACTTATGGAAAATAGAAAGAACCTATGTTGAAATATTGGGGGTGGGTTCCCCTGATAGGCAGGAGAATGGCATGTACCTGGGAGGCGGAGCTTGCAGTGAGCTGAGATCGCGCCACTGCACTCCAGCCTGGGCGACAGAGCGAGACTCCATCTCAAACAAAACAAACCAAAACAAAACAACAACAACAACAAAAATACATAATGAAGTCAAACCAGCCAAACTGTTCTTTCATGAAAAGTTGCTTTCTCACCTCTCTCCTAGACTAAAACCATAGGTGTGTTTGTTGTTAACCCTGAGTGGAGGCATGAGCAAGTCACATCCTTGCCTGCATATCCACCACCTCCTCTTCTCAGCTGTGAGATCTCTCCAGGCTGACCGTGCTGCACCCACGCCACAGCAGACTCATAGGAAAAGATGGCCCTGACACTCCTGGGTTGGGTCTGTCTAGGTAGCTGGACTGCTGCCAGTTATGATACTTCTGTTTGTCCAAATGCCCTTTTCTTCTGCTTCAATGGCAAACAAAACCATTGAAATTTCCCAGGCTGTACCTAATACAGGAGAACAGTTCTCCTTTATAGACTCAGATATCCATAATATCTGGGAATTCTGTGGTCCCTTATCCTTTCCCTTTTCCAGAAATGGCCTGGGTTCACCAGTAGCATACAGCACCCTTAAGGGTCCCACTGTGTTCTATGATCTCCTCCTGCTGTGCACTTTCAGTAGCTTTCCCAGTCTGAAGAAAACATGGCTTTAACATTGGACTAATCAAACTTCCTTTCAAATCTATATTACTCCCAGCCAAAATGTTTTTGCCATAATGCCTTTAAAGACCAATAATTTGTCCCCCATCATGCCTTCTCCAAGGCAAAAGATATTGCAGGTGTGGTCAGCCACATCCTGGGTGAAACAGAGCAGCAAAGCATATCGTGGAAAGGGATAGTTCTTGGTATTTCAAAATATCCCATGCCTCACTTTATAAATGTATCTGAATCCCTGACATTCCTCATTTGAATATTATATATTAATATTTTTAAATATGCGTAACTTTATACATATATTTATTTATTTATTTCCTTAGGGACAGAGTCTTACTCTGTCGGCCAGGCTGGAGTGCAGTGGCACAATCTGGGGTCACTGCAAACTCTGCCTTCTGGGCTCAAGCTATTCTCCTGCCTCATCTCATGAGTAGCGACTACAGGTGTGAGCCACCACACTCGACTAATTTTTGTATTTTTAGTAGAGATGGGGTTTCACCATGTTGGCCAGGCTGGTCTCGAACTCCTGACCTCAGGTAATCCGCCTGTCCCAGCATCCCAAAGTGCTGCGATTACATGAGTGCACCACCACGCCCAGCCACATATCTTTATTTTTTGGTATTGAAAGTCATCGTCAAAAACTGACATAACCACTAACAGTTTATTATACTAAGTTGAACAAACATGGGATTTATCTCGGGTTAATTTTACAAGCTTATTAAAGGCTCTGCCTATGAGCCCTTTGACTTGTTACCCCATTTATATATATGTAATTTTGAATGTATATAGTTATATATTTGTTATATTTATTCTGGAGAAACGCATCACTGATATAATCTAAGAAAGAATCAGTTCCCTTTCTAGCACTATTTTTAGGAAGAACATTTTGACGCTTTGTCTTTCTTTGTACATTCTTCTCATGCGTGAATGGTGAAAAAGCTCTGCTATCATGCACACAAACCAATCTTTCACACAGGAAGTGTGTTTTAAACAGAAAGAACATTTTATCTTAGAAGGGGGAAGGAATGCAGAGTCTATTGCAGATGTCATTATCTTTTGTACCTTTTTTAATCTGGAAAGACAAGAGATGTATAAAATAACATTTCGCTCCCTGGTGTTTTCATAATATCACACAATAATTTGATGGTTCTTGTCATAAAAATATGATTTGAGTATTACTTAGAATCACGTTTACTAGTCTGAAATATCTTAAATAAGTTTTTATCATAAATATCATTAGTTTATTTTAAATATTAGTATACTTGTCAGCACTGAAGAACATGGATGCTCATAGTAACATTAATTATCACATAAAGGTTTGTGATATGACATGCTTTGTCCCTCATTTCCATGAATAAATGAGTTGTTGGTTGGTTCTTGATTTTAAGGTACAACAAAGGAGGAACAGTTGTCCTTTATACCCTCAAATGCCCACTATATATTGAAATTCTTTGGTCCCTCGTCCTACCATTTTTCCAGAGATGGCCTGGATTTGGAGGTAGCACACAGCACCCTTAAGGGTCCCACCATGATAATCAAAGAGAGTAAAGAATTTTAGGTTCAAAAATGGTATTGTTTTGGCCAGGCGCGGTGGCTCACGCCTGTAATCCCAGCACTTTGGGAGGCTAAGGCGGGCAGATCATGAGGTCAGGAGATTGAGACCATCCTGGCTAACATGGTGAAACCCCGTGTCTACTAAAAATACAAAAAAGTTAGCCGGGCGTGGTGGCGGGAGCCTGTAGTCCCAGCTGATCGGGAGGCTGAGGCAGGAGAATGGGATGAACCTGGGAGGTGGAGCTTGCCGTGAGGGGAGATTGCGCCACTGCACTCCAGCCTGAGTGACAGAATGAGACTCTGTCTCAAAAAAAAAAAAAAAGTATTGTTTTTATAAATATGAGCAATATAATCGTCTCATTATGGAAACTGAAAATTCATCTTTTTTTGCAAAGATAATATCTGCTACAGATTTTGAAAGCCTTTGCTAATAATCCCTGAATGCAAAAGTTCATAATGAGTCCAGTTGTATCTTCTATGGTATAAAATCACAGAGCAACATAATCAGCATCCTTTTGGGGACAAGTATGAGAAGCTGGGTTATGATAGTTGTGGTGGGGACGTGATCATGGTAACTTTATTAATTTCCTACTGCTGCTGCAACAAACTACCAAAATTTAGAGATGTAAAACAGCCCAGTTTAGATTTCTGGAGATCAGAAGTCCCAAATCAACCTCACTGGGCTAAAGCCAAGGCATCAGCCTGGCTGGGTCATTCTGGAGGCTCTAGGGAAGCATCTGATTCCTTCACTTTGCCGGCTTCCAGAGGCCACGTGCGTTCCTCACCTCATGGTGCCTTCCTCCATTTTCAAAGTCAGCACAACATCATTACATATCCATTGCTGACTCTTAACCTCACTGCCTCCCTTTCATAAAGACCTTTGTGATTATACCAGGTTCACACATACAATCCAGGATAACCCCTCATCTCAAGATAATTAATCACTTCTGGAATGTCCTTTTTGCCATATAAACTAATGTATTCCAGATTCCAGAGACTGGGATGTGGACATATTTGGAGGGCCAGCAAACAGCTGGATAGAACTTGCATCAGTGGTTAAATACATAAGTGCATATAGAGAATCTGATATTCTTTACAACTTTCCTCTGTGCTGATGCTAGTTTTACAATATCACTATATAAACACTTAATGTTTCTACGTGAAGAATATATTCTATTATCAAACCCATTAAGTCTTTAAGCCCTGAATCACCCTAATATTGTAAACTTTTCACAAGGCCATACATTTATTTGATTATTCAGATTTGCAAATATGATTTAGGGTAACTAAAATTTCAAATTTCTGTCCTTAATGAGAACATATGCAGAAAAATCATACTACACTCTTTCTGCAAATCCTTTAAGAAATGCATACATAAAATGTACAGAAACAACAGCTGACAGGTGGGCACAGCACCCCAGATGCACCTACGTAATTCATAATACCATGTCTTGGATTTGCTTCTATTCAGTCTACATTTTATAACTGTTTTGGTTCTTGAAACTACTACTAAAAGGGTATGGTAAGCAGTTTAATGTTGTTAGATGAGTGTTATTTCTATTAACATCAGGCACTGGATTTTTTGTTTTAAGGTTTGCATTGTTCTCGCTTGCTGTTTTTCTCTCTCCCACACGTCTTATTATACAGTAGCGAATGGATCATTCAGCACACCAGGCATTCAGGAAGAATAGAGCCTGATTATTTGGGTTTATTTATTTACATTTTCAATTATTTTTTTAAAGAAGAGAATCATTTATTTTAATGCTCAAATTAATTATTTGACTCAATGATTAAGTGCACATTTGACAGTAAGGCTTCCAGAGATTTAAGCAGCTTTGAAAGAATTCACACAATCCCAAACTGGAAAAGTAAAGGAGTTTCTACTTCGTATGGGGGCTTTGGAATCTGCAAACTGGGACAGTCAAGTCTAGCTGCTGTTCCTTGGTCCATTTGTGTAGAGTCCTAAACAGGAGGCCTTCCCTAATCATCAGCTGATCACAATAGAAAGGTTTCGATGCTCAAGCTCTTGCTTATCATCCATCATCTAAAAACTATATAATATTACATAAGTGAAATGTAAAACATCGATTCACCTGCACCAAAAGAACTGTTAGTTCAATTAAAATATGTAAATCTTAAATGAAAATAATTAGTTAAAATGTTACAATATATTTTAGATAACATAAAGGACCTTTCTTTTAAATGTCCTCTGTGTGCACTGCATAGTGTATTACCCAGAGCATGTCCAGATGTTTTTCAGTTTCCTGACTTTCTGATATGCTTCCCCTGGAGAGATTTGTACAAATCTTTGTAATAAAAATAGTCAATCAATTGTGGCCAATCCAATTATAAAACAAGGAGGAGATCAATCGAAAGCTTTGTTGCAATGAATATTAATATATGTGTGTGTGAGTGTGTGTGTGCATGTGCACACACATACACTTTTATTACCAAAAAAAGGTTTAAACTAGATGAAAAAATGACTTGAAAGCCAACTAGAATCTGTGTGTTCCAAGGACAGGAAGGTGCCCATCTACCAGCCTCCATTTTGCTTCCTCCATTATTTGTCTTCTCCTGGAACACTGCTATCAGTATGTAAAACATGCTCCACCTTCTACTGCATTAAAGTACCCTTGACCCCACATCTCTTTTCACAATCAACCTATTTCCCTTTTCCCCTTACAGAACAATTTGTCCACACACAGATGATGTCCACTTCTTTTTTTTTAAATTCTCTCTTCATTCATCTCTGATCCAGTTGCTGAACTTTGCATTTTACAAAACCCTGTCATCAAGTTCCATTATCTCCCTGCCACTCATATCACTGCGTTTTGTTAGTTGTCTTGTTTCTCAGTCTCTCAGTACCATCTCTTACTTGAAAAGATCTTGCCTTCTGAAAGATTACATTTTGCTGTATTTCCTTTCCTTTTGAATTTCCTCCTGTATACTCCTTTTAGTCTCTTAGAAGACTGTTATCAAACCAATCTTACCAAACTCTAAATAATAGAGTCTCCAAAATTTTATTCTGAGATTTCTGCTCTTTTCTATACACATTTTTATTTAAGCAATAGTATTGCCATGCGTGGCTTTAAAGACTATGCGACGATGTGTTAACATTACCAAAATACCTGCTTGGCATTTCCAGTGCAGTGTTTAAAAGGAATCTTACCTTTAATGTATCCAAAACATAAAATTCTCTCAGTTCCACCCCTCCTAATCCCTACACACCTGACTTTTCTTGGCACCTTCATTTGAATAAGCGGTGGCCTCATTTTGCTCAACTCCTAAACCTATGAATCTAGATTCTTCCCTACATCTCTCATACCCAATTGAGTAACAAATTTTATTCCCTTTCTCTCCATCTTCAATACCACTAACTGTAGGTAAAACTACCATAACCTTTCTCACTGAGGTATGGACCTCAGTTTTGCAAGGGTCTCTCTTTGCTTTCCTTCCTGCCCATTAAAAACCATTCCTTGTATGACACCAAGTACACTTTGCATTGCAATTTTTTGTGTGTGTGCTTTCCTTTACACAAATGGAACCTAAGCTTCTCAGAGGATGCAAATCCCTACTTTGGTGTCACAATTTCATGCTCCCTTCTTTGTTCCGTGTGCTCTGGATAATTTTTCATTCTTAAAAATAGAAGAAAAAAGAAAAGGAATATACAAAAAGCATATTTATTCCTCTAAAATTAACACACAAAAACATATTTCTTCTTCTAAGATTTTGCAGTTACTATTCTTGGCCTTCCTTTTCCTAAAATCTTCTCATGACCCACTCTTCTAAGTATCTTATGTCCCAGCTCAAATTGTAGCCCTGGATGATGTATAATCTTCTTCCTCAAGTACAAATGCATGTTCTCTTTGTCTGACAAGCTATAATCTAAAAGAACAATAATTCTCACCTCTGAACCGACAATGGCAGAAAACTGGGATCTGCAAATACGATGGACTGCTAGAAGGTGGAACATGGAAAACACACATCACTCCCTTCTCCACGGCTGCTGGCATCTCACTGGACTGATATAGGGAAGACTCCTTGCTGGCATGGCAGGGAGTCTCTGTGCTTTGTCCTAACTGTGCCATTTAGCAAAACTCCCTTGTGGTTTCTGCCTGTGGCTCTGGCTGTCCATTTCAGGGGATCCTTCCTTGCCTTCACTTTCCTTGGCCACAGCACACAAGGGAACTTCAGAGGATACAGCCTTTGAACCCGTCCTCTTGGTGAGAGTTTAGGGACATGGGGATTATTTTAGGGGATTAAGAGTCATGGACAGTTGCAAACCAGGTTTAGGGGTGCTTTGGCAGTACTTAACCCTGCAAGAGTCTAGCAAGCTGTGGGTCTGATTGGTTTCAAGTATCAAATGTTATTCAGCTCATCATAACAAAACATCATATCTAGATCTAATCACATAGGTGTCTTTCATTTAGCTTCCGTGCTCTGTGGTATCACCCTCTTTCAAATTTAGGCTAGTTCCTAGTGGGTAATTGAAACAATGGGTTTAGATGAATAGGCAACACCCTTAATCTCAGTGTTGCCAGCAGGCAAACTTTCATCTCCTGCTATGGCTGCCACTTCATAGCCTGCTTCAGTGCGGGGCATAAAACAGTTGGCGCTTTACACTTTATAAGGTTCCAAGTTATGTGACTATAAGCAAACCTACATTGTAACACGTTATATTGCTTTGAAAGCCAAGTTTTGTAAGAGTAGACATTTTTCTTGTTTGTTAATTGATTTATACCAGCTGTTTAGAATAATGCCTGTATAGAGGAAGTGCAGAGTACACGTATGTTGAGTAAATGAATGAGTAAGCAAATGTATAATCCATGTAATTTATTAAAAATGCCACATATTTTTATGGATGCATTAATATGTAGTAATATTACAATATATATGCTGGGATGACAAGTAGCAGCTTTACAAGTGGCTAACCACTACGGAAGATGGAGAAAAAAAATTTGGGGAGATGGAGTTTTAGTTATGTCTATAGCTGTTTATAATTCATTGAAAAATTCATTTTTCACAGCTAATATTTCAATTCATTGAAAATAATGTTTAAAGCAAATATGGAAAATGTGAAAATATTAATATTTATTATGTGTAGATACCAGGTAACTTCACATATCTTTTCCTTTTTCTTTTTTGAGACAGTCCCATTTTAATCTTTTCATAAACAGTATTATTAAGGGTTAAATGACATAACTGTATTTATTTAAAAATGCAGTTTGATAAGCTTTTACATAGGAATACACTTGTTTCCATCATTGCCACAACAAGGATAATGAAGATTTACATTCACTCAAAAGCTTCCTGCGTTCTTTATTCCCCCTTTTTCACATATTTTGTATCAGGTTAAAATAGTTTATTATTTAAAATGTTAAATTAATTTAAAACAACAAAAACAGATTCCATAAATATGTGAAATTAAAGTGCTAGAAACCTACCTCTGCCCCCACTGAATATTTGTAAGTGGAGCTGCTCCAGTTTTATGAAGACCTCGGGTATTATTGAGGCCTCAATACCACATGGAAGTTGCAAAACTATTGTATAATGTTCTTCACTTCCTTTTTATCTATTGCTGCCTGTCTCTCTTTGGGTCATCGCCTTGTCCCTACATATGGAAGATAGCTTGAGAATCATTGCAGACTGAACTTTGCACCCAAGACTACTCTTCCTATTTGGACCCTGACTTGGTTTTCTGGAGTTAACCTTCAAAAAATTCCCATATGTTTTTACTCTTTGAGGTGTTTTAGACATGTATAGTTTCTGTATTTGACACTATGCTCAGTTTTCCCAAAATACACAACCTGAGACGAAAACTTGTAGGCAGGTATGTTATCAGGAGATGGGGAAACATGGAGTCTGGAAGGAGAGACAGTCCAGCCCAGCATACTTTGTTGAACAGCAGGCAATGGGCTCCGTGTTGCTGGGCACCTTAGGCATCAGCCCAGTGGTGTGAAATTCTCCACTCCTGCTATGAGGCTGAAGATGCTCCCCCAGACATCTCATCAATGCACAGTGGAAGCCAAGGAGATCCAGGGTGGAACCAAGAGATACACAGTGTAGGTAAGACCAGGGTCTCTAGGCCTGCAAAGGTGATTATGGCAGCACTGGCCACAGGGAAGGTGACTGCGGAGATAAACATAGTCCAGCATGGATATTCTGCTCCTTTGAGAATGTGATTATATTTTGTTTATTTCATAAACAAACATGGATTGGACACCTAGTAAATAATGATATAATTTTTTATCACCCTCTAGGGACTGGCATGTTATTTTGCCCATTATAGGCAACCGATGTTTATATTATTCTAGTTAACATCATTTCTTATTACATGAATAGCATGTCTAGATAATTTAATCTTTCTAGTGTTTATCAAAATATTAGATGATTGAGTTCAATTAAATTGTAATAATCACTTACCATCAAAAAGGAAGCATATTAGCAATAAGTAAATAGATAAATAAATTGATTATTTGAGAGACCAAAGTAATTACAACCATAAAAATACTAGTAAGAGCAAACACCAATATGAAAATTTGTGCCAAGCACTATCCTAAGATCTTATATCAGTTAAGTCACTTTATACTAATGATAATATTTAAGTTGTCTTAATGTCGCTGTTTTCAAGACGAGCAAACTGAAGTGCAGACTGTTTTGTAACTAGCATCTTATGAAAAAATAAAATGGAGTAATTTATAAGCCTTTACACCATTTTTTCTTTTCTTTTTCTTTAGAGAACAGCAGATACTGGTGCTTAAAAAGTGGACACAGGCTGGATTCATATCCTGACCTTGCCCTAGCTAGGATTCATATCCTGACTAGCTCTGCAATTTTGAATACGTTGTTATTAATTTCTTTAAAAATAGTGTTAAAATTACATGTGAATATAAATAACATATTTTATAATAAAATAGCTACATTGCCCCAAACAAATAATTTGCAAGAAAACTGACATTGTTTTATACGTTTTGCAAATATGCTTAATGTCGGACTTACTTGACGAAAGACAGCTGGAATCATATGAGCTCCTGCTCCTGCCCTGCTTGGAGATGATACATCACTGGTCTGTAGAAAATAATGCCAGTAAACAAATGTGAGAGAACGCCACTAAACAGTCATTATAAAAATGACTCTGAGCTCATGAGCCCCCTGAAAGTATGTCAGGGGTCCTCTGAGAAATCCCCACAACCCACTCTGCTAATGGCTGCTAAAAATGCCAACATTGATAATCAATTGAAACAATTCACTCCAAAGTAAAATTGTCTCATAAAACACTCCTAAGGTATTACCTAGACAAATTCAACAACTGATCGGCTACATTTATCAGTTTTCCAGTGACTTTTATATATATGTATGTATTTACATTTTTATAAAGATTTAATGTAGCCCATCTGATTTTAAAAAACTAATTTAAAAGTTTAGTAATACTTTTGGAAGAAAGAATTCTTTTCATTGGATAGCAAAATACCAAAGCAAGAAAGTTTCCAAATGCTTTCAGAATTCCATAATACTTAGTTAACCAATTAAACAAAAACACTTAGATATTTCTCTAGCCATGGAGCAGACGGAAGGTGGGTGTCAGAATTTTGTGTCTCATAATGCTTGTGCAATAGTTCATTAGGTTCTACATGTGAGAACAAAATAAATGCTTATTAAAGGTCAATTCCTGGGTACAAGCCTCAGGTTCTTTTTCTTTCTTGCTCTTCAGAGAGAACATAAGGAGCCCCATTTGTAAACCTATATTGTATTCCAAGTATTATGTATTCTCTTATGATTTTGCTTACTTTCTGTTTAAATAATATATAAGGTATTCACTTAACTTTTTATATGTATGTTTCTTTCTCTTAAAATGCCTAACAATTCGGAGTAAAGATATTTTTCATACAATCCTACTTAGAGGTGGGGAAATTTTTTTTGGTTGTTATTAGTTGTAGTTAACAGCCCCATCTCTAATTGTCAACCACTATTAATTGAAAAACAGTTAATCTCGCCCTACCATGTTTCATTCAGTCAATATTTCTGAACTCATTTTAGTTCTGAATCATTTAAGCAGAGAGTCTCCTCTTGGTGTTGTTTTGCCTGAATTCTAAAACAAGGAAGTTGTTAATAGCTCTGCCTGCATTCCAGCTTAATTAATCCTCGATAGAACCAATTATACATTAAACCACATTATCTGTACATGAAGAAATCTCAGATTCCCTGTATAGTCTAAATTCCACTTAATGCTTTTCTCATTCTCAACAGTATCCTAAAATCCTATATGCCACAATTCTCTTGGTGATCATACACCGCAATACTGCATTCCTCACACCTGCCCCTCTAAATAAAAAACTGATTGTAAACATTCTTCTCATGCTGTCCTACTGGGACTCAACATTCATGTTCCCATGATTTCCTCAAACATTTTCTCTTCTGTTTTCTCCACCTTTTCAATAATTTGATAAATATTGCTAATTAATTTTGTTAAAATTTGTTTTGTAACATACATCACTTTCCACCTTGCAATATAGTCTCTGTGTAGTTATATTATTGGTTAAAATGTCAGATTTATAACAGAGTTATTTTACTTTTTTGTTTTCTGATTTATTTTGTTCTTTTGCCTAGGAATTAATCAATATTTGTTGACATAAATACCTCACTCAAAATATATATGTCAAAAATAGGCTACAAAATATGCTTTGTTTTGGTGCAGAGTAAATTTTGAGAAAGAAACTATTTTCACTAGATCTGTAAATATTAAAAATATTCATAAGTTATAAAACAATCAGTAATATACCACATAAAGGGTGTTTGCTTCTTTAGAAACCAAACCAAAGTGAATGGAATTAATGTTCAAATGCAAAGCATCCCATAAGCTGTAGTACAAACTGTCCCACATTACATCTGCCGAAGTCCTTCCTGTATCTAATGCTTATATTAATTAATTGCCAATGGTTTTCCACCAAAATAATCCATTTTAAAACCCATAATTTAAAAGATTATTGAAATAATAACAAATTGTGAATATAATTTTGAATCATTTTCAGATACAATACTATTTTGCTCATTTTTGCTTTCTCTGGGAATTATAAACTTTCAACATTCAAATAAGAAGAGTTGGAAAATCGAAACAGACAAATGACTTTAGAATAAATTGAAAACACTAGCAAATAATGACTGCCGATAAAGAAAAAAGATAAAAGATAATTCTACACAGAAATGCTTTTCAACTTTTTTTTTTTTTTAGACAAAGTCTCGCTCTGTCACCCAGGCTGGGGTGCAGTGGCACAATCTTGACTCACTGCAACTTCCACCTCCTGGGTTCAAGTGTTCAAGTGATTCTCCTGCCTCAGCCTCCAGAGTAGCTGGGATTACAGGCACCTGCCACCACATCTGGCTAATTTTTGTATTTTTAGTAGAGACGAGGTTTCACCATGTTGGCCAGGCTGGTCTCAAACTCCTGACCTCAAGTGATTCGCCTGCCTTGTCCTCCCAAATTGCTGGGATTACAGGTGTGAGCCACTGCACCTGGCCAGTACTTTTCAACTTTTAAGGAACAGATAATACCATAAGATTTATTAAATTTGTATGTTAGAAGATACCTTAAAGACATAAGAATTATTCGAAGAATGTAATCATAATAGAATTTTTTTTTTTTTTTTGGGACGGAGTCTCACCCTGTTGTCCAGGCTGGAGTGCAGTGATGCAATCTTGGCTCACTGCAACCTCCGCATCCCAGGTTCAAGAGATTCTACTGCCTCAGCCACCCGATTAGCTGGGACTACAGGCGTGTACCACTGTGCCTGGCTAATTTTTTGTATTTTTAGTAGAGACGGGGTTTCACCGCATTAGCCAGGATGGTCTCGATCTCCTGACCTTGAGATCTGCCCGCCTCGGCCTCCCACAGTACTGGGATTACAGGCGTGAGCCACTGTGCCCGGTCGATAATAGAATTTTTAAGAAATCTTTATAGAAGATTAAAAAAAATTTCTTCTTACAGAAAAAAGCTCTATTTTGATTATTCTATATAATTTATTGAAATGCAATGTGTATATTAAATCTTAGATGTTTCATTAATATGAAACAAGCTGACAGCATTATTCTTAGTAAAAAGCTAGCAGAATTCTAGTCACATTTTAATAAGTGAGTTATTTTTGCTGCTTTTGTTCATAAATAATAATAAACGAGTAATAGATAAAATAATCATCATGTAATTTTCATTTCACAGGCATTATGTTCAGCATTTCTTATGAGTCATTTTTTTTTGAGCCTGCATCATTGTAGCTGCTAGGGATTCATCACTCAAGAAAATGTGGCACATATATACCATGGAATACTATGCAGCCATAAAAAATGATGAGTTCATGTCCTTTGTAGGGACATGGATGAAGCTGGAAACCATCATTCTCAGCAAACTATCGCAAGGACAAAAAACCAAATACTGCATATTCTCACTCATAGGTGGGAATTGAACAACGAGAACACATGGACACAGGAAGGGGAACATCACACACCGGGGCCTGTTGTGAGGTGGGGGGACGGGGGAGGGATAGCATTTGGAGATATACCTAATGTTAAATGATGAGTTACTGGGTGCAGCACACCAACATGGCACATGTATACATATGTAACTAACCTGCACGTTGTGCACATGTACCCTAAAACTTAAAGTATAATAAAAAAATAAAAAAATAAAAAAATCAAAGTAAAAAAATAAAAATAATAAATAAATAAGAGACAAAAATAACTGCCCTGCGGAGTTTCCCACGGGCCCATTAGGGAGTTATTACGTAGTGGCCACATTTTACAGATGAGGAAACAGACTTAAAAAGGCTAATTAATTTTCTCGAAGTTACACAGTAAGTGGCAGAAGTGATTCAAACCTCAGGCTATTTAGTTCCAGGGTCCATTTTCTTATTTATGCCCTTTATTACAGTCCCTCCATTCTTTATAAATTTGTACTGAATTCTGCAAGCAGGGAAAAATAACATGTCGAAACTTTGCAAAGCAGCCCATGAAAGCAGGGATTTGTCTTATTTGATACTGATTTTATTTACTCCCACGGGAGGAAAAGAAAACCCTGTAAAAAGAAGACCCAGGCTTCCCAAGAGACAGGCTGAGAAACACGTTAAAGACAAAACGAAACAGCTGCAGGGCCGTGTTTCCCATGAAAAGACCCCCGCTCTACCAGTTCTTCACTTTAATCTCAAAGAGGACTACCAGCAGGAAAATGCTGTCAGTAATTTACCACATAAACTGTGTATATTTCGTGAAAGCCATAGAAACCAAATCAAAGTGGATGGAATCAGTCTTCAAATGCAAAGCATCCCATAAGCTGTAGGACAGACTGTACCACACCACACTCTCTGAAGTTCTTCCGATGTCTAATGCGTATATTCATTAATTCCCAATGGTTTTCAAAGAAAAATGGAAATTTCTGGATTGGCAAATGTGACGGTACTTTTTAGGTCATAATGAGAAGACTCCCTACTTGGGAGAAAGAATAGTTACCTCCAGCTCCCTGCTCTTTTTTGCTTTCTTAGAATCAGCTTCCAAGCGTGCAGATGCTAATGAAAACTTTGCCTCTGGTTGGGAAGTCTGGGCCGATGATGAGCGGAGGACATTTTCTCCAATGATGCTTATGCTCACCGTGTGCAGTGAACAAGCCTCTCTGTCGGGTTTAGAACTGAAACCACCTCTGGCTCGAGCTAAAGAACTTGGTAGAGTCCAGCCTAGATCACTGAGTTTTTACTCGAAGGCCAGACCATAATAGCAAAGAAGATTATGTATGGCTGAATCTTCTAATCTTATATTGCTCACTTTAGGAACTTTCAGAGGTAGATAGGGGACTCAGGGCAGGGTTCTGGCTTTGCTGGCATCCTCTAGGTAATATCACCATTCCATCAACACATTTATTTATGAAAATAAAAATGAATGATTACATTCAGACATTTGTATAGGTTAGTATTTCATTTGATTTAAGTTGTATATTTCACTCACCTTCTCATGAACTCCAAATTATGCTACTAAACCAATCTTCCCACCTCCATGAGCTCCCCACACTCTCTATCTTCAATTGCTTTATGTTACCTGCAGAATACCTTTCCAAATCCTTAGTCTAATGTTTGAACATTTCAAATATGGTCTTGACCTACCTTTATGTCATCTCCATCTATCATTGTATTCAGCAAAAACGATTTTATTTTTGTTTCTCAACTATATCTATATGTATACCATGCTTCTTTTCCTTTGCTTAAATTGTTATTTTGATTTGGTATATTCAATCATTCCTCTTTTTTCATCTTGTTCTACACATAATCCAAGTGTCAGTTTTACCACGGTCATATTCAAACTAGCCTCATTTTCTGGTTCTTGAAATGTCTTTTATTCATTTGATACTTAATTATAAGTTTTCTTATGTTATTTTAGTGGATATGCATCATAACGCTACATACACTGTGAAATTTGGAGGTTAGGTATGCTATCTTAAATTTACTTATATTCCCTGAATGTTGGATAGTGCTTTGAATATATTAGGCCTCCTTATTTTTTGTTAAAATACATACATATATATACATATATATATATACACACACACACGTGTGTGTGTGTATGTACATTATATGAATACGATTCTGTGAAATACAAATTGCATAGGTGAGGGTTTCTTAAAAATACCTAGCAGTTAATATGACATTTAAACAAAGGAAAATTTCTGGTGGTGCTATCAGTATTTCAAGAAAAGAGGGAATTTCTATTTATTTGAATGATCCAGATAGTCACAGAAAATTCAACTTTCAAAAACCAAAGTGAGTGATCTTTCAGATGAGGTATCAAAAAAATAAATGCCAATCGTCCAGAAGGTGACTGAATTTAAAAGTTTTGGTTGCCAAGCAGAATGTGGTATTTTCACAGAAATCTCACCAAGCGTGTCCTTCATGATGCATGCCACTAATTAGGCATCTGTGCGCACCTTATGGTTGATGAATTAAGAAAAAAAAAAAACCCTCTCTTTCTTACAAAAAATACACCTACAACTTCTAAAGAAAAAATATTTATGTCTGAACGTTTCAAGATAGTCACGGTAATGAATTATCACAGCAATGACTGCTGTTTCTGTGAATTATTGAAGTCCATTGTAATCAGTAATGGTATCTGACGTTTTCTAAATGCCTAATATTGTTCTCAGCATGAGAATGAGTGCCCAAAACTCCCTATCTACAAGAAGGATGCTAGTATTACTCTTAGAAGGTCCCAAAGCTAGTGTTTGACAGAGTTGAGGTTTGAACCAAGGGAATCTGTTCGCAGTTTCTGTTCTTCTATCCACTGTACTATACTATTCACTGTAGGAAGGCAATTTTATTAAACAGAAAATTTATGGCAGAGAGATGAATCTTAGGCTTGAAAAGTAAGGTAACATGAACAATTTCAAGAGTACGTACTAACCTTAGAACTAATAGGACCCAGGCCTGGCGCAGTGGCTCATGCCTGTAACCCCAGCACTTTGGGAGGCAAAAGTGAGTGGATCACCTGAGGTCAGGAGTTCGAGACCAGCCTGGACAACATGGCAAAACCCCGCCTCTACTAAAAATACAAAAGATACCCTGGTGTGGTGGCGTGTGCCTGTAATCCCAGCTAATCCAGAAGCTGAGGCAGGAGAATCACTTGAACCCAGGAGGCAGAGGTTACAGTGAGCCTAGATCACGCCATTTCACTCCAGCTTGGGTGATAAGAACCAAAAACAAAAGAAAAAAAAAAAAAGACCCAGTGAACTGCAAACATGCTAAGTAGGTGACTAATAAAATTTCTGTAAGCAAGACTGTTCTTTATGTGAGCAGTATAATATTTCATGAGAGCAGTGAAACATTTAAAGTTCTTAGGTTTTATTTTATGAAGAGTATATCATAAAGCTTGTAATTTAAGACAAAAAAGATAAAATCAAGTTTATTGCTTCTTAACAAGTACTTATAATGTACAAAACACGGAAGTTAGTGTTTCATGGATTATTTTACCTAATTCTTTCCATGCCTTAAGAGGTAGTTATTACAATGAAGTAATATTACAATGTATTATTTAATTAAATATTAAAATTTAATATTTAATTAAATTTTAATATTTAATTAAATTAATTAAATATTAAAAGTAGTATTACAATGAGGTAAAATTTGATGTAAATTTTATGTTTTAGAAAAACTTTTCATTGAGTTATAGCACATTAGACAATGAAATTATTGTATGCACTCTTAGACACTGATGCATTACATAGTTGCTGAACTAAGCTGATGGAATGCACCCATAGTTTTATGGGTAGTAGTAGTTCACTGTTTCTTACTATCTTAGAATATTGCGTTGTATACATTTACTATAATTTATTAATTCCTTCTAATAGTTATGATAGTTACAAACCATTTAGTTGTAGGCTATTTTGAATAATGCTGCTGTGAAGGACTCTGTACATGTTTTTTAGTGCATGTATATAAGCATTTGGGAGGGCATATACCTAGTAGTGTAATTTCTGACTTATAGGAATATATATATATATATACACAGTCCTGTAACTCTATACACATATATATGCATATATATACATACACATATATGTGTGTGTGTGTGTGTGTGTATCTTCAATTAGTAGAGTTTACAGGAGTAAACAATTTAGTACAGTTACAGGACTGTATCTATACCTATGTCTATATCTATATTCAATTCAGTTGACTTTGACAGCTGGTTTCCAAAGTAACTATATAAACTTGCAATCCCATCATCAGTGTACAGGCCATCCAAATTCTTCACATCCTTCCCAAATGCTTACTATTTTCCATTTTGTTTTCAAGTACTGTGTATTACAAGCACAGTACTCCCTTGTGTTAGAAAGTAATATGTTCAGCTTTTTAATTCTCTTTTGGTTAAGAGGGCAGTAGATAAATGTTCTCTGGTATTCTTGTACACTTAGTTACATTTGTATAAAATTCTGACTGCCAAATGCTCAGACAACAAGTGACAAGGCAGAATTATTTAGAGCATTAAATCTTGAATACATTATTGAATTATGTATAATTTGAATTATAATAATATACATATTGAATTATATATTATTGAATTAGTTAATGTCCTGAAGGCTAGCAGATTGACAGTTGCATATTCGGCATGCTTTGCTTTTTGAATTTTATTTTTCATTGCAGATTTATTTCACAATACACAATAAATTTTGTAAACAAACCTCAAATTTATGAATAAAGAACCATTTCAAAAATTAAAAAAGGTAAGTAATATATTTAGCTTTTTGATTCAGATGTTGACGGATGGATTCTTTGAAAAGTGAGGGTTCCATTAAGATTGTACTGGAGACTCTGATTTGGCAACATTTGGCGGGACCCACAGATAAACAAGGACATTCATCAGGTCCTTTGTTCCCCAAATTCAAAAGTCCTGTCAATCTATTGCCAGGAATGTCTCTCAAGAACAATCTGACCTCTGACTAATCTCATTGAGTCCTAGTTGTTGAATTTATTTTGCTTTCTAAGAATATGTTGATTATACTTTTTGGTCCAAATGTGCACGGTCTGGTAAAGATGATTATTAACCTGTTTAGCCGTCTGCTGCTCTCTTGGTTCTCAAAGTAAGTTTGTCTATTTATATCATCTCATCTTACATGGTCTTGTTTTCTTCCTGAAACTCTTGTGTCTGTTGGCATGTATAAACCGAAAAGACACATGATTTATGTGTTTATTATGTGCTATTCATGATAGCAGAGACATGGAATCAACTCAGGTGCCCATCAGTGGAGGACTGACTGGATAAGGAAAATGTTTTGCGTATACACCTTGGAATACTATGCAGCCATAAAAAAAGAATGAAATCATGTCCTTTACGGCAATGTGAATGGAGCTGGAGGCCATAATCCTAAATGAATTAACACAGGAACAGAAAACTAAATACTACGTGTTCTCACTTATAAGTGGGAGCTGAACATTGAGCACACATGGACATAAATATGGGAACAGTAGACACTGTGGACTACTAGAGGGTGGAGGGAGAAAACAGGGTTTGGTGAAAAACTCCCAATCAGGTACTATGTTCGCTATCTGGGTGATGGAATTCATACCCAAAACCTCAGCATCCTGGAATATTGCCATGTAACAAAACAGCATATCTACTCCCATACCTAAAATAAAAGTTGAAATTTTTTAAAAAATACAACAACAAAAAAGTATTCTATGAGAAACAAATGACAGCATAGGCCCAATAAATCTCCTATCCAAGCGAACTCCAATAACTAATGGTTATGAGTCCATGTGAGGCAATCAAATTATGCATTGGTAATTGGTTAGATGTTGGGTTGGGTTCCTTTTGAAATCTATGTTTTTTTTTTCTTTTTTCTTTGTTGCCTTTACAATTTTCTCTTTACCATTAGTTTTCAACATTTTAAATATAATGCACTTTAACACTACCCAGGTTTCCCTGAACTTATCTGTGGTTTTCTACTTTTTGTTATACTTAAAAATTACCACACATTATATCTTCACATATTTCCTTATCCATCTTCTTTCTCATCTCCTTCTAGAGTTTCAATTTATACCTATGTTTAATTATTTAATATTATTTTACAATTTGTGAATACTCTGCCTTTTTTCTTCTTTATTCTCTGTTTTCTGGCTTGGGTAATTTCTTTAAGGTTTATCTTCAAGTTTACTAATCCTTTCCTTAGCTGTGTCTAGTCTGATGTTATTAGGAACATCATTAGTTGTGTCCAGCAAATGTTTCAAAAACTTTCCTTATCTCTTTTACCACATGACTTTTTTCACTTCTAGATTATCAGTGTCACTCATTTCATAATTTTAGTGCTACTGCTGAAATCTGTTAATGCATGTTGTCCAATTCTCCACTAAAGCTTTTAACATACTTTCATATTTATTTTAAATCTCTCTCTGTTTCCAAGACCTGAGTCATCACTCAGTCTAATTTATTGATTCTTGTCTCACTGCACGGTGGATGTTTTTGTTTGGTATGGATTTTCTTCTTCCCAGAGTAACACTGCATAATTGACCTGATTCAAGGCTGAGTGACAATTTGGGTAATTTTAGCCTAACTTCAAATTACCTCTCTATCAAAGGTGTACCCCAACAAAGTTTTCAAGTCAGAGCCTGTTGTGATCAATATTGTCTCCACCCCAGCAGAGTCTTGCACTCCCGTGTTTTCCTCCTTCCAGCAATGAGACTGATGAGTAGTTCTCTTTATATTTCAGGAGTTTTCAGCAAAGCTCTTTAGGCTGTCACCCCAGACTCAGGATTCAGTAAATGTCTAGAAAGGAAAATTGACCATGTTTTTGAGGCCATTCTTGCAAATGCCCTATGGGTTTCTCTTTCCTCCAGCAGCAGTTTTCTTCCTAAAAGATGACTGTAATGACAGTCTCTTACCCATGCCCAGAACTGTCAAATACGCCCAAGAACAAATCAACTGCAAAATGTTTGCTTAATCCATTGGGTTCTCTCTTCTCTGAATTTTTAGCTACTCTTGTTCTTGTTATTTGACCACTCTCTGATGCCTTTAATGAAATCATTTTTGCCTTTTACTTATCAAAGTTTTCAAGTTTTTGTCACCAAGAACATTGGTCTGGCATAAACTACCCAATCCTCTCTTGATACAGAAATCCATAATGCTATTTTGAAATAGGGTGACATTAATGGTCTCATTTATACGAGAAAATCGTACTAATCATAATATGATCCCCCAGATTTTGAAGCCTTAACAATGTTATATAATTTACAATGTGGTTTACCTTCCTTGGAAGTTGTAATTTTTGTTAATGTTTTTGCCATAAAATTGTGCTTTTACAAGTACGAGTCAAAAATTTTTGGACCAGCTGCTTATTTGCATAGTATCTAGTTAGGATTTTGGTTTTTATTATCGCTGTTAGTATTTAAATTGTTTTAATTTATATAAGATGCCATCTAAATGTTTTGTTCAGTTTATAGTTCTAGTGTTAAAATTTACACTTCAAAATTGGAACAGAAGTTGTATTAATAAATTACAACAAGATGGTGGAACAATCTTCATACTCTTTTCTGTTGTTTTATAAGAGAGAATTTAAAGAAGTATATTAGATATAACGTCAAAAATAGAAGACAGTATTAAAGTAAGACATGCATCATGTTTATCAATGTATGCATTCTGTTAATTTTCTTATTTCCAACACTCTGTGCCTCCTGAAAGATCAGTGTAGAGCTACATGAATTTCGAATTACATACTATATAAATATGTACTATGGAAGAAAATTAAATAACTTGGTAAAATACCAGCCAACAAATGATAGACTCCAAAATACTTTTAATCATGCTGTACCAGCTTTCTAGGCATCTTCATAGTTGTGTTCCCTTCACGTACTCAACAGAAATTTACTGAGCATCTACAGTATTCCAGAAGCCATTTTGTATCTAGGGATGCAAAGACAACTAGGACACACCTCCTGCCTTCATTGAGCCAGGAGGCTATTAGAGAAATTTGAGCGTAATAAGATGTGAAGATGTGATAGTGCTCAAAAAAAATTAAATAAAACAGGAGATAATTGGATTTTTTTCCAGAAATTATTTTTTGGGACTTGGAAATCAATCAACATTGCTGCAGAGGTGGAAACTGTTACATTATAAAATGATTTAAACTGTTTAAAAGATTAAACATGATTACTCATTTTTTAGCATTAAAACAAATTACCTTTCAGAAAAATATTCTATTTTATTTTTATCATACCAAACCCAGTCCCTTTACATTTAACTCATCAACACCTTGGCATGAGCTCTCACGGAGTGTACTTCATTAATCCCTCACCCTTTCAATTTGATCATTCTTCTTTCTCTTCCAGGAAGGAATTTTATACTTCATCGATCTGAAAAATAGCTACTTATCTTTTAATACTCAGTCTAAAGGTCATTTCCAGGATGATTTTAACTCCATCCCACACAATGGACAATGCAACAGGATTGACTTCACTGTTTTAGCATATCTACCACTTTATTGCACTAAATTGTTTTCTGCTTTTTCCTCAGTGAGTGTGAAAACTCAATGAGAGAAGGGGAATATCTCCTTCATTTCTGTACTTCTCAGCACATAAAAAGAGTATTTTTTAAAATAAAGTATTTTAGTCCTAGATGTATGTCCTAGAGTTTTCTACCTTTCTCTAGGTTTATTATATCAATAATAAATTGTGTGTGACATAAGACCTGTATAGAAATGTTTACAGTGACATTGTTTATATGGCTGGAATGGAGCCACTGTAATTTATGGGGAGGGGAGCATAGATACATTTTGGTAGAATCATACAGCAGAATGCTGTGCATCACTGAGAAGGAATGTATTGAGGCTAAATGCATCAACAAGTATGACTATAACACCCATAACGCCAAAAGCAAGCTACAGAAAATAATCACCATGCAGTGCCATGTCTCTAAAGTACAAATTACAAAATTTTATATAGTTTTATGGGTTTCTACATAGTGAGTGAAAGCATAATATGTTTGGGAATGATGAATACCAGTGGCAGGGTTGTGGTTACTTCTGGATGTGTTGGGGCAGGTGAATGTCATCTAGGAGGACAAACCAAAGGCTTCAGCTGGCAGGGAGTGCTCAGGAATTCATTACTCTACTTTTTATAACTTTACAAATGTTTTTCATGAATACCTAATGTAACAGTTACTTTTATATGTCAACAGGACTAAGTAATGCCCAGATAATGGATAAAACAGCCAGGCACGGTGGCTCACGCCTGTAATCCCAGCACTTTGGGAGGCCGAGACGGGTGGATCACCTGAGGTCGGGAGTTCAAGACCAGCCTGACCAACATGGAGAAACCCTGTCTCTACTAAAAATACAAAATTAGCCAGAGTGGTGGCGCATGCCTGTAATCCCAGCTACTCGGGAGGCTGATGCAGGAGAATCGCTTGAACCCGGGAGGCAGAGGTTGCGGTGAGCCGAGATCATGCCACTGCACTCCAGCCTGGGCAAAAAGAGCAAAACTCCATCTCAAAACAACAACAACAACAACAACAACAACAACAACAACAACAACAACATTGTTTCCAGGCACGTCTGTGAAGACATTTTCCAGGGAGAGTAGCACTTGAAATAGTAGACTGAATTAGGAAGTTCTGCCCTCACCAATGCAGGTAGGCATCATCTAATCCATTGAGGGATCAGACAGAACAAAAAGGTGAAAGAAGGGCAAATTCACTCTCTCTATCTTCTTGACCTGGGATGTACATCTTCTCCTGCCAAGGGACGCTGGTGCACCTGGTCCTGGGGCCTTCAGACTTGGACCAGAGTTGACACCATTGGCTCTTCCGGTTCTTAGGCCATCAGTTTTAGACTAGAGCTACATCACCAGCTTTCCTGCGCCCTCAGCTTTCAAACAACAGATCATGAGACTTCTCAACCTCCATATTTACATGAGTCAATCTCTAATAATAAATCTTTCTCTCTCTATTGATATATCAAAAGATAGAAAGATAGAAATATATATATATATATCTTTCTATTGTGTATGAGTTCTTAAGTGTTCATACACAATACGCAGATTCCTTGGGATCTTCTATTTAGATAATCACAGCATCTGCAAATATGAACAGTATTATTTATTTTTTGTTGTTGTTGCCTGATCTGTAAGACTTTTATTTTCTTCTCTAGCCAGAATTTCCAATGTTTCCAACATTTTTGAATAAAAATAGTAAAAAATCCTTCAGTTTTCCCAATAGATCGATCTATCATCCATCTATCTATCTATCTATCTATCTATCTATCTATCTATCTATTATCTATCTATCATCTATCTAGCATAGTTTTAATTTCAGTGTGCATGTGTTTATTACTAGTTTGTATAAATATAATTGATTTTGTATACACATCTTGTATCATGCAAACTTACCAAATTTGTGTATGAGTTCTATAAGTGTGTATTGTGTAGGTTCCTTGAGATAATATATTTAGAAAATTATGACATCTGTAAATATGAAGGTTTTTTTTTTTCTTATTTTATTTTGAGACAGAGTCTCACTCTGTCCCAAAGGCTGGAGTGCAGTGGCGTGTTCTAGGCTCACTGCAACCTCCACCTCCAGGGTTCAAGTGGTTCTCCTGCCTCAGCCTCCTGAGAAGCTGGGGTTAGAGGTGCACTCCACCACGGCCGGGTAATTTTTGTATTTTGTTTTTAGTAGAGACAGGGTTTCACCATGTTAGCCAGGTTGGTCTTGAACTCCTGACCCCAAGTGATCGGCCTGCCTTGGCCTCCCAAAGTGCTGGGATTACAGTCATGAGTCACTGTACCTGGCCCTTATTTTTTCTTTTGTGATTTATATGCCTTTTATTTTCTTCTCTGGCCTCATTTCACTGGCCAGAATTTCCAGTATTTCCAACATTTTCGAATAAGAGGAGTCAAAATTCCTTGATAGTTTTCCCAATCATAGGGATAAACATTTGGTTTTTCAACATAAAATTTGATGCTAGCTGTAGTTTTTTTGTGGGTTTTTTTTAAATCAAGCTAAAGAATTTCCTTTATATCATGAGTGGGTTTTAATTTTTCCCAAAGCTTTTTCTGCATCAACCCATATGATCAGGTTATATGATCACGTTTTCTTTATTACTCTGTTAATATGGTAGACTGCAATAACTGATTTTCATATTATTGAACTTCTTGCATACTTGCAGTAAACTCCACTTGGTCAGAGTTCATACTTCTTTTCATATAGTGATGTATTATATTTGCTAATATTTTATTAGATTTTTAAAAACCACAGTCAAAAGGCACATTAGCCTATAGGGTTTTTTTCATACCTTTTGTCTAGTTTTGGTATCAGGACAAAATAAGCTGCATACATGTGTTTTATCTTCTAGTTTTTGGAAGAGATTGTGAAGAATTAGTGTAAATTCTTTAAATATTTGGCAGAATTTTCCAGTGAAACCATCTGGACCTGATTATTTCTTTATTGAGAGTTTTAAAGTTATGAATTAGATTTCCTAAGCAGTGATGGTACTATTAAGATTATTTCATACTGGGAGAGTTGTGGTAGTTTTTGTTTTTCAAGGAATTGGTTCATTTAACTGAGTTGTCAAATTCGTATGTGCAGAATTGTTGGCCGTATTCCTTTTCTATACTTTTGATTTCTGTAGGGTTGATAGTGATACCCTTTGTTTCATTCCTGAAACTGGAAAATCATGTCTTCTTTCTTTTTTCCTTTTTTAGTATCTTTAGAGGTTTGTCAATCTCACTGATTTTTTTCAAAGAACCGGTAATATGTTTCATTGTATTTCTCTATTTTTTTTTCTATTTTCAATTTTATTGATTTCTCCTTATTCTTCCTTTTGCTTGTGTTGCATTTATTTTGCTCTCATTTTTGGTTCTTGAGGTAAAAGCTTAGATTTTTTGAGATGGTTATTTCCTAACATATTTGTTTAGTGCTATGCATTTTTTCTTAGCCCTCTGTGCCTCACGAATTTTCATGTACTATATTTTTCTAAAATTTTCATCTAACTCAATGTGTTCTTATTCTTATTACTGTTTTCTTTGAGACTTTCTCTTTGGCTTATGGCTTATTTAGAAGTTTGTTATTTACTTTCTCTGTGTTTGAAGATATTCTGACATTTTTCTGTGATTGATACTTAAACTGGTTTTATTGTGGCCAGAGAAAACACACTGTATAATTTCAATTCTTTCAAATGTGTTAATATTTGTTTATGTCCCTGGATATGGTCTATCTTAGTATATATTTTATGAGCACTTAAAACCAATGAGCTTCTTTTTGACGGAGTATTCCATGAATGCTGATTCAATACTCTTGATTGATGGTGCTGTTGAATTCTTCCACATCCTTGCTGGTTTTTTATGTCTAGTTATTTTATCAGTTGTTGAGAGATGGTTGTTCAAATTTCTAACTATAATTTTACATTTATGCATTTTTCCTTTTTGTTCTATCAATTTTGTTTCATGTATTTTATGGATCTGTTTTTTGGTGCTTACATGTTTATAATTATCATGTTTTCTTGGGGGACTGATTTTTTATGATTGTAAAATGTTTCTTTTTCTCTTTTAATTCAATTTGCTCTGAAATCTAATGTGTCTAATATCAATATAGCTATTTCTTTTTTCTAATTAACATATGTGTAATGTATTTTTCCATCTTTGTATTTTCAGCCTCCTTATATCATTATATTTAAAGTGACTTATTGTTGACAGTGTATAGTTGAGTTGTGATTTTTAAAATTGTACTCTACCAATCTCTGTCATTTAATCAGTGCTTTTAGATCACTTATGTTTAATACAATTTTTGATATGTTAATGCTTAAACCTGACATTTTTATTTCTTTTTTTCCTCTGTATTTCATTTGCTGCTTTCTTTTTCCTGCATTCCTGTGGGTTACTTGAGCCATTTTTAGAATTTTGTTCTAATTTATTAATAGTGTTTTTGAGTGTCTCTCTTTACTGTTAATTTGTAGTTGTTATAAATATTGGATTATATATACACAACTTTTGCTATCTACTAGTGCCATTATTTAATAATAGACATTCCAGAGAGAAGTGCAGGAACTGTTGCGAGTGGGAATTATTTAAAAACTAATTGCGATAATTTAATAGAATGAAGAAAGTGTAAGTTATCAGACTGAAAAGCCCATTAAATTTACAGCAGAAAGAACAGAACTAAACATTCAGAGCATACAAAACAAATACAACGTCTGAAAGGCACCCTGAGAGAAAAAGCAACTGACCTACAAGGGAACGATATTTAGCCTGGTGGACATTTCATCAGCAATGACCCAGGCAATAAGAGGATGAAATGCATATTTAAAATGCTGAAGAAACATAACTGTCAATCTAGAAATCAATATCCAGCCACATTATAATTCAAGAGTGAGGGCAAGATAAGGACACTGAAAACACACAGGTGAAGAAAGCTCTGTGTGTTCAGTTTAGTGCAACCAAAGTTTAAATTGTGCAAACAAAATTCTGATGGATGAAATTAGTGAAACGTGGATAGTTAAATAATACCTTAATCATTTAGATAAAATCTTCAAACTATCTTATTTATGTACACCCTAAAATAATTTTGAAAAATATGTATCCCTTCACGTTTGTTTAAGGTGCCATCCATGTAACTGAAAGGCTGTGTCTTTGGACCAAAATCTCCCCAGCTTCCCTCCACAACTGCTCCAGCTCCTGCTAATTGCGGTTAATAACAACACCTTGTATTCTTAAAAAATGCTGGGAGAGTAGATGTTAGTGTTATCACCAGAAAAATGATAGCTACGTGAGGTAATGCATATGTTAATTAGTTAGATTTAGTCATTCCATAATGTATATATACTTCAAAACATCGTGCTTTATGTAATACATTCATATAATTTTATCTGTCAATTTTAGCAACGTTGCCATCTAACTTTTTTGTCTTAAGTTTAAATCATTGCAATGATCACTATTACTAGGGCATGGTATATACATTTATCTTTTTAAAATAAAACCGTTACCGCACAATATTAAATGCATGTGATGGATCCTTAATACCATAAGGATTTAAAAACTTTCAAGATCTGGGAAAAATGTGTTTCACTCTACTGTAAACCAAGTTAGCTTCTACTGTTCATGGATGCTGGCAGAAGACCTGGCACTCGGGGGTCAGGCAAAGGATTTTATTCTTCACAGCAAGCAGACAGCATGACCTTCATGTTTGCACGAGGTATACCTCCTCCCAGGTCCCATGGAAATAATGTCAAGTTGGCTACCATATGCGCACTTGGTCTGTGGCACAGCTAATGAGCCCCAAGTTTACGATTTTCCCTATCTTATAAATTGGCTGCTGGCATACCTGCCTAACCTTTGTCCTGGAGGGAGACATTATCTTTCCTGGTGAAAAGACAAATCTGCTTTCTGCATTGAAGGGAGACTCTCTCTTCCAGTGCTATTTGCTACAGAAACATCCTTGAAAAGATAGCTTGGAACAAAGCTGTCAATGCTTCATCATAGACACAGTATTTACGATATTATCCATGATCTGGTCCATGCCTGCCTGTCTTCTCAAGCCATAATGCAATGAACATGCAATATACACCGATAGAAATTCTGTGAACAAGCCAAGCTAATAATAATATCTAATATGTATTGAGCTTAGACTCTGACATAATACTTTTTATAGTTTATCTTAAATGTATTTCCTAACAACCCAGTCAAGCGTCATCTTCAAAACTACAGGAGGAAACAGAGTTGAAGATTTCAAACTGTCTCCCTAAATGGCTTGAATATGGAATAATTTCTGCTTAGAATTTCACCCCAATTCCAACTCCTTCTCTGCCTTTGTATTGAGCTGATTCCCACTAGTATTTTCTGCTTCAGTGCATGTGTGCACCTTCAGTGCACCTGTCACCCAGTGCACGTGGGGACAATAGACTCTTTTCTAACCCTTCAGGCTAATTAGGTCTATCTCTAATGAGCATCTGTCAAACACTCTTAAACCACTTATCAAAACATTTATGTCTGTTTTGTCACTTGCCTATGTTCTTAACCTTAATCTCTTTGAAGGCCCAAATAAGTTTGGCTAATCTTTGCACCTTTGTGCCTTAAGCCGTGTGGTTATAGTAAGTGTTGCATAAAAGTTTGCTGATTGAAGGGGCACATATCACTTAATTTTTTATGAATTTTAAATTTCCCAACAGGACAGAAGACTCTTGGTGTAGCCTTCTTTAAGGTAATATTAAACATAAGCACAGTGATTATATAATACAAAAAACTATATAAATCATCAGTATAACATAGTAAAATGAATGGCTTTCATTTAAACACATATTGGTGACATTTAATCTCAATTCTGAGGCTCTTTGAGTACAGAACCAACATATATTTAGCTCTGAATATATTGTTATTTATATATAATCATTAATGTAACATGAGTTTTCTTTATTATTATTATTATTATTATTATTACTATTGTTTTTTGAGAGAGGGTCTCACTCTGCCGCCCAGGCTGGAGTGCGGTGACGAGATGTCAGCTTACTGCAGCCTCCGCCTCCTGGTTCAAGTGATTCTCCTGCCTCAGCTTCCTGGGTAGCTGGGACCACAGGTGCCCGCCACCATGCCTGGCTAATTTTTGTATTTTTAGTAGAGACAGGGTTTCACTATGTTGGCGAGGCTGGTCTCTTAACTCCTGACCTCAAACGATCAGCCCGCCTTGGCCTCCCAAAGTGCTGGGATTACAGGCATAAGCCAGTTTTCTTAATTGTTAAAGGAAATCCCTTTATTTTCCTGAAGCACTATATCCCCATTTTTTATCCTTTTATTAAAGTCCATTGAAATCAAATCAGAACTGTCAACCTCTGGGAATTAGGTTCAGGAACTACACAATATTAAATGAAGGGGAAGAAACTCTATGAATTTGTTTTTGTTTCTTTTTTTTTTCACTTCCTATGCTACATACGCAAAGACCAATGGTTCTTTTTTAAGATATTATAAAACTATTCCCTTAGCTTTTATAACTTGTGTGGTGAGGAGTAGAACTGTACATGCAATTTTTACTAAGCCTGATTTAAATCAAGTTTTAGAAATTGGATGCAGCGCTCTTTCCAGGCAATGAAACATGCCTTTTGATGTTAAATTGGCAAGACTTTCATGAATCCATTAAAAATTTCTTTATCTCAGATGACACATGTTCTGATTTGGATTTTAATTCTTACATATGCAGGTAAGGAGCTACTTGACATAAAGGAAATGGAATTTTTACCATCCTAGAACACCTTCTCAGCAGATTCTTTTTTTCTTTTCTTTTAAGTACTTCTGTGTCACATAATGACATTGAACTTGGTTAGAAAGTGTCAATTAGCCCTAGTGATGAGTGTGTATGTCTGTGTATGTGTGTGTTTGTATAATCAACATAATAGTGTCCAAGTACACAGATTGTAGAGTCAGAGGGCTTGTGCCCAAAACTGAGCCATACCGCATGCTTAAGTACACAGATCTTAGAGTCAGAGTGCTTGTGCCCAAAACTGAGTCATACCACGTACTTAAGTACACAGATCTTAGAGTCAGAGTGCTTGTGCCCAAAACTAAGTCATACCACGTACTTAAGTACACAGATCTTAGAGTCAGAGTGCTTGTGGACAAAACTGAGTCATACCACGTACCTAAGTACACAGATCTTAGAGTCAGAGTGCTTGTGCCCAAAACTGAGTCATACCACGTACTTAAGTACACAGATCTTAGAGTCAGAGTGCTTGTGGACAAAACTGAGTCATACCATGTACCTGCTTGTTGACCTCATGAAAATTACTTTAACTTGTTCTTTATGACTTTACGTTTTCTTTTCTAAAATGAGAAATAAAAGTAGTATTTTTCTTAAGCATCTATGTGTATACTTACATACATGTATAGCCTAGAACCATACTAAATTACAACATAATGTGTCAGAAATACTAGTTATTATCGTTAAAATTTATAATGTCTATGTAGACATTATAAGACACTATAGACATTATAAGAAGGCAATATAAGAATAAAGAAGAAAAATATAAAGGAAGAAGAAGGCATGAGGGAAAAATGAAATAATTATTTATTTTAGTTTCTCCACTAGCTTTGTTTTGGTATTGACACAGTGACTCATTTTCCATGTCATTTCCTGTAGTCTTTCTCAGTTTCAAAGTTGTATTCCACTACTGGAACTTTTCATGGAAATATTATTCTAAGCTGGCACCCCTCCCTTTTGTTTAAGCAGAATGTATAACCTGCACAGAAGAAAAGTCAGCTGAGAATGGTAAAGAGAAACTCAAATCGAATAATGTCGTAGGAGACCTAGTGAGAAGGACATCGCCATCCACTCCACTTGCACTTCTGACATCAGCCCTTCCATAGCCATCTCCCGCTTGTCTCGACAGACTCCCTAACGCTTTTCTTTTTCAACTGGGAAGTCCCTCGACATCTAACTCTCGTCCTATTTACATTAGTTAAATGATGCATTTCAAAATGCTCAGTTCGTACATTTAACTCTTCGAATAGCTGAGCCAAATGTTAATTTGATTCTCATGACAGCTGATCGGCTCTCATCTTTCCTTTTGCATTCAGGTTGCTCATGGCTCATTGTGGGGATCCCAATCTTATTAGTTCAATTTCTCATCTTGCAATCACTGCTAAAGTGACTCCAAATCCTAACAATTTTCCTCTTTAGTACTAGGTACCATTAACAGAAGCACTCGATTGGCTCTTCCCCAGGAACTGAGGGCAGGATATGCTGTATAGCGTATTCTATATGGCTTATATTTTGGGCTTCCATGAAACAAAGTCACCACTCAAAAGAACTTTAAATTAGCATACTCAGGAAATCAAGAGCTCCCAATGTAATTAGCATACAGCTGCTAATTATCAAGTGAAATGCTGCATTGAGGAGGGAAGGGAGTTTACTGTTGATTTGGGTGTTAACATGAACAGATAATTTCAAACCACTTTACTTTAGCATTGTCATTATTGAACATACGTTTCTAATTCCACAGGATGCAAAATTTCATTTGAAAGATATACAAGGCAACTATTTCTTAAAATGTACCTTAATATTGTTCAATGAGTTCATTCGAATTTTGGATTGTGTTATATACCCTTGTAGACAGCAATAAGTATAGAGTTTTGTCTCATAAAAATTAACCATAACAATATTGTTAAGATGCTTTGTAAGTTACAAAATGCTTTATTATGCGTAGCACATATACATAAATATTCTCAATAAGGTCTTTGCAATATAACCAGCTTTTCCAGATATGCGAACTAAGAGTTGCATCTATTTTATTTTTTCCAATTTATTACTTTAACGTGTATCACCTTTATTTTTGGAGCTGGATCATTTCACTTCTCAGTGCTCCCGCGTGGCTCTTCCAAATGCACCCATTGTCCAACAATTCCTGCAGTTTATTCTGTTAAAGGGGAAATAGACCTATTTCCAAAGGATGTTTTTAGAGAAAAGTTAAAAGTTTGATCAGTTGAGGGCTGCCTTTGCTCTATTCTGCCCCTCCATTTGCTATTGACAAGCAGTCTTCCATAGTGAGACAGACAATTTTGCACTCTGCAGCTATGCTTTTGATTGGGCATATTCTAGTGCAGAATTCAGAGGCGCCCCACCCTTGATCCCTAGCTTTCCGTTGTGCTTGTTCACATTCACAAGTCAGCCCCTGTTCACAAAAGCTTGGATCTCTAGGCGCTGTGGATAGCATGTGAAAAATCTGGAAAGAAAAATAATTATCCATTTTAGGCATGTCTGAATTATAAAGTTTAAGAAAGTATGTAGCAATAGATGAGTCTAAAAGAGTTATGCAGTTGTCACGTCAGGAAGTATCTTTTAAAGCCATACATAAAACTTTATACACTATTCCGTGAGAAATGGGGAAATTTGAAATGTTTTAAATAGTGCATCAACACTTTCAATTTTGGTTAATAAAGTGAACAAAAACTGCTGGGTGGAAAAAAGATTGAAAAGAGACTAAAGTATAATTTCCAGACAGGAAACTATTGCAGTAATTCATGTGAGAGATAATGATGGAGAAAGGGATATGTTTGAGCAAATGGGTAGCGCAGTTTACTGAAGCAAGGAGCACAAAAGACAAGTCAGGTATTTTTCTCAGTAAAGTGAATGTGAAGAGCCATTTTCTTGAGTCATGGACGGGAAAGTAACAAATCTCATATTCATGCAGAGTTATGAATCATGAGACTTCTAATGTAACACTTTTAAAAAAAAAACCTTCTTCGCAAGGGTAATTTGCAGTGCTTCTGAATAATTACATACAACATGTCAAGGGTTCTAATTACATATTTGGTCCTCGCAACAAGTCAATAATCTGCATTGCACATTTTATTCTGCAGGTTTTACAAATATCTTTACTTTTCCCTTGGGAAAACTGTATCTGAGGCAGGTTATTTTCCAGGCCCAAGACCACGCCTCCAAAAAACACAAAAATTTCAAACCTTGAATGCAAAATCAAGTTCTCAGATATAAAATTATGTGCTTTTCAGTCTCCAATATTGCATTGCCTCTCAAAAGCAACTGTTAAAGACTACCCAACTATTACATATTGTCTGATTCATTCAAACAGTTAAATGTTACTATTTAAAAACCATTTCTCACTGACATTAATCCAATATTTTAGTATCTTTCATTCCAAAAGCTTATATCCATTTTAATCTTTATACGAAAATATTAACTTTATCAATATTCAACAAAAATGTCTTAATTAGTACATTGTTTATATTAGCTATTACTGTTGTTCTCAGTAGAACAGAGGAGAAAAGATACATCTCAAAATGTTTCAAAAAATAGAGAAAATAATTACAAATTGTAGGACTCAGGGATAGAGTAGATAAAATTGAGAGAGAACATACAAAAGTAAATATGAATTTGATATTTCAAAATAAATAAACAAGAGATGCCATTGACAAACACAAAAACTTAGAGGAGGGATTGGTTTGACAAGTGATGCATTTGATTTTATATGTGTAGAAATATTTGAAATCTGAAGTCACAGAGTAACATTAAATGGAAAGATGAGAAGAATTAAAAATATTCGCGTGAACTACACAAAGAGGAAAAAAAGTTTTTATTGAATGAGTCAACACGAGGTATTGTGCTAATTACTCCATTTTGTTTTATCCAATTATTTACACAAAAACCCTAGGGATAGTTAGTTCTACCCCATTTTCAAAAATAATAATAATGATGGTGATAATAGAAGCAGCATTAATTACATATATAATATTCTAAGCATTGATACTGATTAATTAATAACCCAAAGAGTCTTCAGAAACAGATTTGTTTTACCCATTTTACAGATGAGGAAACTGAGGCACAGAAATTTTAGTTCTTGCCCAAGATAACCCTATTACTGAAAGTCATAAGACTCAAATCCAGTTATAAAGCTTCAATGGGTTTAACTACCTTTAAAAATAAAAATTAAATATTTTTAAAATTCTTTGTTTTTTGAGCAGTTTTAAGTTCATAGCAAAATTAAGAGAATGGTACAAACATTTCCCACATGCCCTTCGCCCCAACACATGTGGAGCCTCCTCCATTATCAACATCCCCTACCACAGTGGTGCATTTGCTACAGTTGATGAACCTACATTGACACATCATAATCACCATAGTCTCTAGATCACATAAGGATTCAATCTGTGTACATCCATGGGTTTAAACAAATGTATAACGACTTATACCCATCATTGTGTTAAATGCAGTATTTTTACTGTCCTAAAAATCCTCTGCCCTCTGTCTATTCAGCCCTCTCTCTGTGACTCCCTAGCAACCACAGTTATTTTTTTTTTTTTGTATCTACACCTCTGTCTTTTCCAGAATGCCATATAGTTGGAATTATACATTATGTAGTCTTCTCAGAATGGCTTCTTTCACTTAGTAATATGCATGTAAAGTCCCTCCATATCTTTTTATTACTTGATATTTCATTTCTTTTTAGTGCTGAATAATATTTCATTTCCTGAATGCACCACAGATTATCCATTTAACCGCTCAAGGACATATCGGTTGCTTCCCAGTTTTGGAAATCATGAATAGATCTGCCATAAACATCTGTGTATACACTTTCGTTTGGACATAAGCTTTTAAATCAAGTGAGTAAATATCAAGAACTGAGATTTCTGAACTGTATGGCCAAAGCATGCTTAGTTTTTTAAGAAACTGCCACATAGTACCAAAGGGACTGTACCACTATGTGTCTCCGCCAACAATAAATGCAGTTTATGTTGTTACACACTCTCATCAGCATTTGGTTCTAAATTTTGGCAATTCTGATAGATGTGTAATGGTATCTCAATGTTGTTTTAATTTGCATTTCCCTAGTGACATAAGATGTGGTACATCTTTTCCTATCCTTATTTTCCATGTGTATATTTTCTTTGGTGAGATATCTGTTGAATAGTTTGGCCAATTTTTTTTTTTTTAAATGAGACAGAGTATCACTCTTGTTGCCCAGGCTGGAGTGCAATCAGGTGATCTCAGCTCACCGCAACCTCCGCCTCCCGAGTTCAAGTGATTCTCCTGCCTCAGCCTCCCGAGTATCTGGGATTATAGGCATGTGCCACCACGCCAGGCTAATTTTGTATTTTTAGTAGAGACGGGGATTCTCCATGTTGGTCAGTCAGTTTGACCCATTTTTAAATCATGTTGTTCATTTTATTATAAACAAGTTTTAAGAGCTTTTGGAGACATGGATAGCAATACTTCAAATGATCTTATGAAAATATTTTCTCCAAGTAGGTAGTTTTTTTTTTATTTCTGTTGACATTGCCTTTCACAAAGCAAACATTTTTAATTTTGATGAAGTCTAGCTTATCATGTTACCTTGATAACCAATACCTTTTGGTATTGTATCTAAAATGACATCAGTATACCCAAAGTCAGTTAGAATTTTTTCTGTTGTTATCTTGTAGAAGTTACATAGTTTTGTGTTTTACACATAGGACTAAGATCCATTTTGAATTAATTTTTTGAATGGTCTCTATCTAGATTTATTTTATTTCCTTGTGGATATTTAGTTGTTCCAGCACCAGTTGTTGAAAAGATTGTCTTTGCTCCATTAAGTTTCCTTTGCTTTCTTGTCAAAGATGAGTGGACTATATTCACGTGGTTCTATTTCTGGGCTCTCTACTCTGTTCCATTGACTTACTTGCCTATTCTTTCACCAATAGCACACAATCTTGATTAGTGCAGTTTTATAGTAGATCTTGAAGATGAGTACTGTCAGCCTCTAACTTTGTTCTTTTCCTGTATTGAGTTGACTATTTCGTATCTTTTGTCTCTTTACACAAACTTCAGAATCAGTTTGTCAATTTCTACATGATAAATTTCTGGGGTTTTGATTGGGATTGCATTTTATCTATAGATCAATTTGGGAAGAATTGACATCTTGACATTATTGTGTCTCCATATCCATGAATGTGGGATATCTCTTTTTTACAGTTCTTTGATTTACTTCTTGGAGTATTGCAATTTTCCTCATATATACCTACTACATAATTTCTTAGGTCATTACTTAAATATCTCATTTTGGGTGGTGCTAATGTAAATAATATTGTGTTTTTAAATTGAAAATTACTTCTGTTCATTGCTGGTATATAAAAAAGTAATTGACTTTTGTATATAAACCTGATATACTGTAACTCTGCTATAGTCCCTTATCAGTTCCAGAAGTTGTTTTGTTGATTCTTTCAGATTTTTTACATAATCATGTTGTCTGTGAACAAAGGCAATTTTACTTGTTGCTTCATTTTGTATACTTTATTTCCCTGTCTTTTTGCATTAGGTAGAACTTCAGCATGATGTTGAAAAGGAGTAATGAGAGAGGACATTCTTGCCTTGTTCCTGATATTGGTGGAAAAGCTTCTTACGTCTCACCATTAAGGATGTTAGCTAAAGCTTTTTTGTAATTTTGAAATTTTTCTTTATTCTGAAAATTTTTATTAAAAATGGGTGCTGCATGTTGTCAAATTCCTTTTCTCCATCTAGTAATATAATTGTGTTATGTTTCATTAGCCTGTTCATGTGATTGTTTATGTTGATTGATTTTCAGGTGTTAAACTGGCCTTGCCTACCCAGCATAAATTCCACTTGGCCATGGTGTATAATTCTTTTTATACGTTGCTGGATTTGATTTTTGAAAATTTTGTTGAGAATTTTTGCATCTATCTTTATGAGAGATATTGGTCTGGAGTTTTCTTTTCTTGTAATGTCTTTTCTGGTTTTGGTATTAGAGTAATGGTGATCTCACAGAAGTATTTTCTCGGCTTATATTCCCTGAAAGGTATTGTAGATATTTGCATAATTTTTCCTTAAATGTTTTGTAGAATTAACCAGTGAATGTCTCTGGGCCTGTTTTGGAAGACGATTAATTATGATTTAATTTCTTTAACATAGGCCTATTTAGATTGTCTGTCTCTTCTTGTGTTGAGGTTTGGCACATTGTATCTTTTAAAGACTTGGTCCATTTCATCTAGGTTATAAAGTCTGTGGGCATATAGTTGTTCATAATATTCCTTTATTATTGTTTTAATGCCCATAGAATCTGTAGTGATATTTCCTCTTTCATTTCTAAGAATTTGTGTATTTTTTTTTTCTTAGCTGGCTAGAAATTTATTGATTTTATTGGTCTTTTCAAAGAACCAGCTTTGGTTTCTTCGATTTTCCCTGTTTACTTTCTGATTTCAATTTCATTAATTTCTGCTATCATTTTTATTATTTTCTTCTCTCTGTTACTTTGTATTTGAAATATTCTTTTTCTGTATAAGCCTGATTATTGATTTTAGACCTCTCTTATTTTCTTATGTATGCATTCAGTGTACAGATTTCCCACAAAGCATTGCTTTCACTGCATCCCACAAGTTGTGATAGTTCATGATTTTATTTTCATTTAGTTCAAAATATTTTAAAAATTTATTGAGTTTTTTTTGACTCATGTATTCTTTAGAAGTATGCATTGTTTAATCCCCATGTACCTTGGTATTTTCTAGTTACTTTTCTGTTATTGATTTATAGTTTAATTCCAATATAGTCTGAGAGCAGAAATTGTATTTTTTAATTTTTTTCAAATTTAGTCAGGGTGTTTCATGACACAGAATGTGGTACATCTTGGTGAACATTCCATGTGAATTTGGTAAGAATGTGTAATATACTGTTTTTGAATGAAATAATCAGTAAATGTTGATTATATTCAGTTAAATTATGGTGTTGCTGAATTCACCTGTGTACTTACTGATTTTCTGCCAGCCAAATCTGTTTACTTCTGAAAAAGGAGTGTTGCAGTCTACAATTATGATATTTGGTTCTGCTGTTTTTTTTTCAGTTCTGTCAGTTTTTTCCTCATGTAGTTTGGTGCTCTGTCCTTAAGTGTGTACACATTAAGAATTGTCAAGTCTCCTGGACTTTTTATCATTATGCAATGCCCTTCTCTATCCCTAATAACCTTTCCTTGCTTTAAATTCAGCTCTGTCTGAAATTAATATAGCTTTTTCTGTTTTCCTTTGACTACTGTTAACATGTTATGTTTTTCTCCTTCAATTTACATTTAATGTATATGCATCTTTATATTTAAAGTGGTTTTCTTTGTTTGACAACATATAGTTGGTCTTCTAATACACTCTGACAATCTCTGTTTTTTAATTGATGTATTTATACCATTGATACTCAAAGTGACTATTGATATAGTTGAATTAACATTTACTGTATCTGTTACTCTTTCCATTTGTTACCCTTGTTTTTGTTCCTATTTTTGTCTTCTGCTATTTTTCTACATTTTATGGCTTTCATTTTGTATTTTTATTTTTCTCCTTATTTATTATATCAATTACTTCTTTTTTAAAAAGAAAAACTTTTTTAGTGGTGGCCCTAGAATTGTCAATATACATTTACAACTAATTTAATCCAACTTCATTTTCAAATAAAACAACACCCACTTCATTGATAGTGTGAGTTCCTTATAATAACAAAATACTCCTAATTCCTTCCTTCCATAACTTATATCATTGCTGCCATTCATTTCACTTATATATACGCATATAGAAGTACATTTATATAACATACATAAGCCCACATAATTGAACACATTGTTGCTATTATTTTGAATGAACTATTTTCTCTTAGAATATTAACAAAAATAAGTTTTTATTTCATCTTCACTTATTCCTTCTTCAATGCCCTTCCTTTCCTTAAGTGTATCTGAGTTTCTGACTTTTAAGAAACCTTTTTTATTATAAGGAAGTCAAAGTTTCCTAATGGTTTCCTAATTGGAAATATATAGGATATTTATATATATTGTATTAGCCAATTTTCATTTTCATGCTGCAGATAAAAACATACCTGAGACTGGGCAATTTACAAAGGAAAGAGGTTTAATGGAGTCACTGTTCTACGTGGCTGGGAGGCCTCACAATCATGGTGGAAAGCGAAAGCCACATCTCATGTGGCAGCAGATAAGACAGAATCAGAGAGCCAAGCAAAAGGGATTTCCCATTACAAAACCATCAGATATTGTGAGACTTATTCACTACCATGAGAACAATATGGGGGAAAACACCCCTATGATTCAATTATCTCCCACTAGGTGCCTCCCACAACACGAGAGAATTATGGGAGCTACAATTCAAGATGAAATTTGGGTGGAGACACAGCCAAACCATATCATGCATTAAAATGTGAGAATTAAAAGCCAGTCTTTTTAGATGTAAATTCCTTGTTTTCTTCATTTCTTCATGCTTTCTCAAGAAAATAAGTTTAAACCCACAAAACAATATGTTATTTAAGGAGACAAATACTGAAATAAAATCCAGAATAATCAGGACAACCTACTGTGGACAGAGAAAAGGAACAGAAGGTCACTAAAAGAAAACAAAAAAAAAATAACTAAAGATTAATGAGACATCCAAGAAAGTAGCATAAATAAAAATTGATGAAGAAAATTCACTGTAGAGAGAGTAAGTAGTTAACAATGCCAGTTGTCAGAGACAGTAATACATTTTAGGTTGGATATGTGAAAGATGTCTCTATATTATAAAGAAATATAGATGTCTCTATATTATAAAGTTATATATTAAAAATTATATTAGGTCAAGGCTTAACAACACATTGAACTACACCATAAAATGTAAGAATTTTTCTCACCAAAATTCTTCTCATCTCTGAATACTATTTTTAGAGAAATAAAGATATCGTTGACTTTTAAAGGTTTTTATAATTATTCGGATAACAAAAGAATCAGAATTTAGAACACTTAATAAAGTCATCAAGGCTGTGTTTTCTGAACACGTCAAGTTGTTACTTTTTTTACCTACTGCAAATAGAATTATTATGTGTATTAATTTAATTACTGCTTTTAAGTCATTCTTATCATTTCCCTATTTTTAGAATAAAGACCTTTTACAAAACATTTTTCTTGTCTCTCAGCTCCTCCAAGATTATTACCAAATGTATCATATTTTGTCATCAGTTAATTGACTGATAGAGGCATTGTCATCATAGAGCAGACAGGAGAGGGCAGAGCTTCCTGTCAGCACTGAGCTATCATTAGTGCTTGCTCAAAATGCTGGGTCACAAAGATTTGTATGATCACCATTCAGTTCAGAAAGGAAAAGTTGCCATGATCAATTAGTACCATCAGCTGTGGTGGAAGAAGGAAAGGGTGGAGTCTATAGGTCATAAATTTACCATTCCAAGATTTTGTACCACTATAGACTGAATGCTTGTATCCTCCCAAAATTCCTATGTTGAAACCCCAATCCCTGTATGATGGCATTTGGACTTGGTGCCTTTGGAGGGTAATTAAGGTTTGATTGGGTCTTGAGAGAAGCACTTTTATAATGGGATTAATGTCCTTGTAAAAGGAAGAAAAGATGTGAGATCTTTCTCTCTGTCTTCATGCTCATGCCAAGGAAACACCAAGCAAAAGACCTGAAGAAAGACATCATCTGCAAACCAAGAAGAAAGTCCTCACCAGGCAGTGAACCAGATGGCATCTTGCTCTTAGACTCTGCAGCCTCCAGAACCATGAGACATAAATGTCTTTTATTTAAGCCACCCAGTCTGCGGTGTCCTGTTATAGCAACTGCAGCTGACTATGACAAGTTACTTAGGACTAAAATTTGTATAACAAGAGTTTCCTCCCAGGTCCAGCAGTAGGATTCTTCACTATGAAATGGGATATAGCAGGGAAGGCTTTGTGAACTTAGCTAAGTGAGTACTGGCTGCACACTTGACCTACCCCATAATCACAGTGGAGTTGAGTGAGTGCTCTGGTCAATAAACTTATGAGAAATTAGAAAATTCTTAGAGCATTCATGTATAACTAGAAGCAGTGAGCCTTCCAAAAAGTGTGGGATTCCTGATGCAGATGTGGAAACCTCCAGTGCATTTGGAGGTTTGCATTTGCAGAGATGCAGAATATGGAAGAGATAAGAAAATAACCTTAAGTATCTTCCACATTCATAAAATAAAGTTAAATCTAAAGAATGGTGATAAAAACTCAGAAAGACAAATATTGAATGATCTTACTCATATGCAGGAGCTGAAAAGCAAGTTGATCTCATGGAGTAGAGAGTAGAATGGTAGATACTAAAGGGCTGGGAAGAGTGTGGGTGGGCATATGTTGCAGGGTGGGGACCAAGAGAGGTTGCTTAATGGGTACAAATATGCAATTAGATAGAACTCACCCATTCTAATGTTCAATAACAGAATAAGCTATCTGTAGTTAACAACAATGTATTTCCTATTTCAAAAAAGTTAGAAGAGAGGGCTTGAAGTATTCTCAAAACATAAATGATTTAAATACTCAAGGTCGTGTATATCTCAAATAGACTGACTTGATCATTACACATTATATGCATGTCATGAAATATCATGAGTATCCATAAATAGTCACAATAATATGTGTTAATACAAATAAATGTAAAAATGAATAATTAAAAAATAGTGATACAAACTAATAATAATTATGACAATAATTAATAAAATTTTAATACTATGTAATTGAATTAAAACTTTTACATGTATCTGTTCCTTCATTCAATTGACAGTTATTTCATCTTTCTTATATGCCCAGCACTAGTACAGACATTGATTATCCAGTGGTGAGAAGAAATCAACATGGTTTATCCTCTAAAATAATTTAGAACCAATAATATTATTTATTTTTTCTTATGACCTTGAGAGAAATTGGTAGTATAATTAACCTTATACCTACATACAAAGTATGAAGTAATTGAGGCTTAGACAGATAACATGATGTGTCCAAGGCTCCTCACCTACTAAATGCTATTGCCAGAATTAGTTTAATAAACTCAGGCCAATTGAGAGTCAGATGCCTTCTTTTAATTACTAAATGATATATAAATAAGTAAAAAAAAAAACTTTAAGTTACCATGTCATAACTGTTAAAAGCAATAGGAAGAATAATATAATAAATGTAATCATGTTTACTGGTTAAGATGTGGGCTCAGTTTGAAGAAACTAATTAGAACTCTGGTCTCAGTTCTCAGAATAGCATTAATTGAAAGTGGAAGAATATTTTCTTTTATCTATTCCAGTAAAGCACGCTGCTACCTGTCTGGTTAGATACAAAGTTGAGAGAGGGAAGGGTCTCAATCCAGTTTTGTTTTATTTTGAGAAAGAGTCTTGTTCTGTATCTCAGACTGGAGTGTAGGGATAATCATAGTTCACTAGCCTTGACCTCCAGGGATCAAGCAATCCTCGCACCTCAGCCTCCTGAATAGCTGGGGCTACACACATACACCACCTTCCCTAGCTAATTTTTTATTTTAATAGCAATAGAGTCTCCCTATGTTGCCCAGGCTGGTCTTGAATTTCTGGGTTCAAGGGATCCTCCCAACTAAGCCTCCCAAAGTGTTGGGATTACAGACACGAGCCACTGTGCCTAGTCCAGATTTATTTTTTAGGAAATGACTTCAGATCTCTGTAATGTTTCAAAATTGAATGGTTATGTCCTTCTCCCTTAACTCCAACACACAGAAAAAGAAGGTGGTATGGTTTGAATAAAGAATGAGAAATATGATGAAAAGCTGGGAACAAGAATGCCTTCTGATGGGGAATGGCTGGCGCATTCTTAGGACCATGAAGATAAGCAGTAAATTAAGTAATGTTTCCTAGATAGAGCTGCAAATGCTGTGGGACAGTCCTCAGTTCCTCCTAAGTGACAGTTCTGTGACTCTGGTCTTTATGGAAAGGAAAGGAAGCAGAGTGATGTCTACAGTGGGAAGAGAGGATGGCAAGAGAAGAGGGCATACGATATGACTGCATGGCTTGGGACAGGCTGCAGTACAGCAGGAGACCACTTCATCAATGCAGCCGTGAGAGACACAAGCCTCCTGTGAATAACTGCAAACATTGGGTTGTTCCCAGTGCCAGAAACATAACTGGTTAGGCCCAATGCAAAATGAAATGCAGAAACCATTATCAAAAAAGAAAGAAAGAAAGAAAAAAAAAAAAGCAGGAAAATAGTGCTGTGAAAAGCAATACATATCAAACATTTTTACTTTAAAGATATTGTATTACTTACAGAATGGAATAAAATAATCATGACAAATGAGTAATAGCATAAAGTTACAAATTGCAAAAAATTGCAAAAATAACGTTGCAATGTATTAATGTGATATAATACATAGTCATAGTGTATAGTATTAATGCAGTATCTCAATTGGGCATGAGAAGTTTCTGATTTGCTTTTCCATAAATTAATTGATCTTGTCATCAAAATCTACACTTTTAAACAATTCATTTTCAATAGATATAATTGAATGTGGCATTAGTTGTTCTTGAGAATGCAAGATGTTAAATATTTTGGGTAATTTTCAATTCTGAGAAAGACATTTTTGTCTTTGATGCAACTGCTGTTGAAGCTATGAGGTGTATTTTGTAGGCTGTAATAAAATTGGGATACATTTTTATAAATTATTTTTAGATAAAAATTGATCACATCTAGAGCTGATAATTTTCACAGAAGAATTTTTCTCAAAAGATTTTAATTCTTTACACAAGTTAGTTCCATCTATGTTCAAATTCAATTTTAAATGCAAATTTGAAGATTTTTAAGAATTTCAAGGCAGCAGCAGAGCAGCAGAGCATTAAACTAATTTTAGGGCAGGGATTCTTTTTTTTTTTTTTTTTTTGAGATGGAGTCTCGCTCTGTTGCCCAGGCTGGAGTGCAGTGGTGCGATCTCGGCTCACTGCTAGCTTTGCCTCCCGGGTTCACGCCATTCTTCTGCCTCAGCCTCCGGAGTAGCTGGGGCTACAGGCGCCCGCCACCGCGCCCGGCTAATTTTTGTATTTTTAGTAGAGACGGGGTTTCACCATGTTAGCCAGGATGGTCTCGATCTCCTGACCTTGTGATCCCACCACCTCGGCCTCCCAAAGTGCTGGGATTACAGGCGTGAGCCAATGCGCCCGGCCACTTGACTGACATTTTTATCTCTCCAACTCAAGTTACACTCTATTATTGGAATTTAGAAAGAGACTCACTTATAATTGCAGGGCCAGGTCATGGTTTCTATTCAGAAGAGAAGCCAGCACACACCAACTACTCAATATCATAATTAGTTAGGAGCTTTGAGAATTTCTTCTAGAAATATTGTCCTTTCTGAGACAAAGTTTGGACTTTGGGAAACACAATGCCATGTGTTAGTCCTTCCCCTTGGTCTGGGACATTAGCGGTCACTTGGAGAAATCTCTCCTGACTGCCTCATTTATCAAAAGTAACAACTCCTCTCAATGTAACCTTCTATTACTCATCTCAGGATCAGGTTTGTGTACTTCCTTATTCTTGACACAAAATGCAGAAAATTAGCTTGCCTGGAATGAGTGTTTGTAATTAATATGTATTTATACCTCCACTATTATTCAACTACAGTGTGGCCTAGGGACTCTTGGAGGTCCTGAAGACCATTTCCATAGACCTATTAATACAAGGTTATAATTACCTTCAGATAAATATTAAGATATAAGTTTCCCTTTTCACTCACATTCTCCAATAAAAATAATCAGGGATCCTTGGAGAAATACTTGGTTCTAAAGACTGGGTCAAGAAACACACACATACACATATTGATGGAAGAATGTCAAAGCAGCACAGGATCCAACCGTAAAAGCTTCCAACGGGCAAAACTGGAACAATTTGATAGTACAATAAATAAAATAATAGTGGTATCTTTACTCAAAGTATAAAATAAAATATCCATTAGTCCAAACTAATAGAAATAAATACTTGAATAAACTAATAAATGGGAGATAAAAGACAAATCTCCCTTGTAGAAGAATTCCAAATAATTCATGTAGGTATTCTGTCCTCAAGGAGGGAGATTAAATGAATGCCCAACTTTAAAGTATGGGCTTCACATAGTGACTTATTTCCAAACAGTGTTATACTAAAAGGGCAACAAAAAGGGTAACTTTAGATTAGAGATGACAAACATTACTTCAGCCAAGTCATCAGGTCAGTGTCAACAGTGATAAGCCATGTCAATAATATTTGATTTGATGTGAATAAAATTTCACTTTACCGCTGTGGTCTGCCTCCACCAAACCTGTAACTCCAATAGAATTGTAGGGAAAAAAAATAAAACACCAGGCAGATTCCAATAGAGCAGCGTTCTACAAAGTACCCGTCTGAAACTCATTAGGACTGTCAATGTTGCAAAAAACAGGGAAAGACAGAGAAACTATCACAGCCAACAGGAATCTAATCACACATGATGCTGAAGTGTAATGCATCCTGGATGGGATTCCAGAACACAAAACAACATCAAGCACAATCTGTGGGAATGTGAATAAATTATGGATTTTAGTTAATAATGTATCTATATAGGTTGGTTACTTGCAACAAATATAACATAGCAAATTAAATATTAATATGAGGTAAAATGAGTGGCAATGTATATGGGGTACTCTGCAGTATCTTCACAAAAATTTCTGCAAATCTAAACTACTCTGAAAAGCAGTCTTAAAAAATACTTGCCACAGAAATATGAATAAGAGAAGTACTAGCATAAATGATATATCCAAGACCATAAATATCTATTAATTTATGAATCTTCAACTATTTAACACTTTTATAGTACTTACTACATTTCAGTAACAGTCCCAAGTACTTCACGATATTAAACAATTTTCTCCTTATAGCAACCATAAGAGGTAATTATTACTATTATTTTTACTTTGCAGATAAGGAAATAGTCACAGTGATGTTAATTATTATAAAAGGTCACAAAGCAAGTAACGTTTGAACAAAGATTTGTCTTCAGTCATTCTGCCTCCAAAGACAACGCTTAGCCATTTTTAATGCTGTGATAATTTCACAAATAAAGTGGAAAAAGACAGGAAAGAGAGGAAGATAATGATATTCCCATATTTGCCTAACTGTCTTTTAACTTTCCCATCCCTTTGACTTCTACTAGTCTCAGAAAAGGAAAGTCAGCTAAATGAGAAGGAAAAGTAAAAAAAATCGATAGTTAACTTAGCTCTCTCACGTACTCACCTTCCTGAAGGTCTGAAAGCAAATTTAGGAGCATTTAGAAACATTTTTTGTTTGGGGGTAACTTTCTACTTTGGTGGTAACCATTACAGTCTTATTCCATCTGAGTAAATACTGATTGAAAATAAGGACATTTCCCCCACCCCCGAGTTTCTGGAAGTATGTTCTTAAGCCCTGGCTTTATTTACCTATAGGGTAGAAGAGATTTGGGAGGAGAGAGAGGGAGAGGACAAATGAGCAGAGGTACAACTCCATGTGAGCTGTGAACTCTAACCTCTGAACGTTTCACTTGATTGGACCATGTATTTGCTGCTTTCTTAAGTATGGAATGTGACACGGTGGGGAACAGGAAGAATCCTGAGTTATTCCGAGGTATCAGTGATTATAAATAAATCAGCAGTAGTTAGCAGAAATTATACTATGCTGATCGTCAAGGCACTGAGTTCACTGAGTTGCTGGATCAGTGTATCGGTAGATTCGGAAGTTTCAATGTTGGTAGATCAAGAAGTTTCCATGTTGGTTCAAAGTTATGGCTGTAGCAGTAACATTTAACTGGGGATCTATATAAGTCAAGGTGAGAGCATCATAATTTATAGGGTGACACAATTAAAATTCATCCACAACTGCAATCTATTAGCATATGTGCGTCTTTAAAACAAATTATAGAGATGCATAAGAAAGTGCTATAATCCCTGTCCCCAACTTCCTCCAAAGTCTTTAGAGCACACAATAGCTGTTGCATGACACATTATTGCAAAACTTACCACACAGATTTTGTGAGTCACTAAGATGTTTATTAAATACTACACTTTATGCAGGGTTTTAGGTTCAATTTTTTTTTCCAGAGCTCCAGTTCTGCTCTAAGATTTGTCTTTTCCAATACTACAATGAAATTTTTTTAAAAACCTTTTTTCAATGGATTCCTATTCATCACAAGTCCCAAATAAAAGAAGTAATATTGCCCTAATGTCTGCCATAATTGCTAGCTGATTTTCAGGGTGTTGGAAAGCCTGAGGTGTCTCGTTGGCTGCTGTTTTAGAGAGTAACAGATCTCTGGAGGATGTGATCTAATGAACTTTACTGGGGTAAATTGTCAAGCACTCATCTGTCCTTTTGCCTTTGACCATTGTTTAACCTACTTCAATTTTCACAGAAATGAAATAAATTTTCGTCAAAGCAGCTAAATATTTAAGGTCAGGAAGATTGCAGAGAACTCAGAACAGTGATTTTTATCTCAGTACTTACATTGAAATATAAGAAATAATGTAATCTGTAGGACATAATATATGTTTAAATTGAAATACGGTGACATAGATTAGCTCAACCAACACTTTTCTTACACTAAATCTCAGAATAAGGTATATTTGCATATAGAATTTTTGTTTAATTTCAATACGTGTTTCATCTTAAAAGTTATACTAATGCAATTTATTTTGTAAATGGTGTTTGAACTCTTTTATTTTATTTTTTTTGAGACGGAGTCTCACTCTGTCACCCAGGCTGGGGTGCAGTGGCATGATCTCAGCTCACTGCAACTCCGCCTCCTGGGTTCATGCCATTCTCCTGTCTCAGCCTCCTGAGCAGCTGGGACTACAGGCGCCCGCCACTATGCTCGGCTAATTTTTTGTATTTTTTGGTAGAGACAGGGTTTCACCGTGTTAGCCAGGATGGTCTCGATCTCCTGACCTCGTGATCTGCCCGCCTCAGCCTCCCAGGGTGCTGGGATTACAGCTGTGAGCCACCGCGCCCAGCCGTGAACTCTTGTTAAAATGTCACCATTCTTTTTCAATACTAAAATGCATATCAGGATTTGGGGCACTATTTCTGAGATATAAATATGACTTTGGTACATTGTTCACCTCGAGTTCACTGTGTGTGCATGTGTATATTTAACGAGACTCCGTTATGTTTACAGTGTTCAGTACTATGAGTGGCTTATTCCAGGGACTTAGATTACTCTTAGAGAGTCAGAGGTTGATATGGTTTGACTCTATGTCCCCACCCAAATTTCACCTTGAATTGTAATCCTAGTGTTGGAGGTAATGCCTGGTGGGAGGTGATTTGATCATGGGGGGTGGTTTTTAATGGTTTAGCACCCTAGTGCTGTCTCATGATAGAGTTCTCAGGAGATCTGGTTGTTTGAAAGTGTGTGGCACCTTCCCCTTCACTCCCTCACTTCCTGCTCCTCCACCACGTGAAGAAAGTGCTTGCTTCCTCTTTGCCCTCTGCCATAATTGGACGTTTCCTGAGGCCTTTCCAACCATGTTTCCTGTACAGCCTGTGGAACTGGAAGTCAATTACAACTATTTTCTTCATAAATTACCCAGTCTCAGGTAGTTCCTTCTAGCAGTGTGAGAATGGACTATACAAAGGTTTCTTAAAATGACAAGTTTAGTGAATTATGAAAAAATCATAAAGTAAAAATCGTCATCTCCTAGAATCTTTTGTCAGAGATCATTAAATGCTGTAAAATGCCAAAATAATCTGCAGTCTGCTAAAAAGTCCTCAGATCTACAAAACCTAAATAAAGACTTGCAGGGATGCAATTTCAAGAGAAACTGAAAAGCCCTTGGCTTGATAGAGTTCTGCAGCGACAGTATACTAGCATGGGGGAAAACAGCTACTATGTTGACAGTAATCTAACAATATGGAAGATTTAGGTTTTTCTAGAGAGATATGCTATCTTGTTTTATGCCTTTTTACAAAAAACAGAAATATTTTAAGACTGAATTCAATATTGCCATGCCTTAATTTTTGGCTTTTGCCTGCATTTACCAAAAATATCTCACAGGTAAGTTTTCTTACTTGAAGTGAACATTTTTATTAGTATTTTCTCCAAATATACTTATCTTTAAGCCTGCAGCCCACTTCAGTGTAACTCTACAATTACAGTCCTCTTATGTTTGCCTGATAGTGAGAATATATTCACAAATTTAAGCTGGTTCCAGTCGGTTGAATAGAAATATAATTTTAATGTGGAATATGGCTTTTGAGGGGTGGCTGTTGTAGGGGAACTTTTGGTATGAGATTGGAAGAAAATTCTGCTTCCTAATTAATTGAGGCTGTTTATGAGACAGTGAGCTCTGAACGCCATGAGATAGACAACTCCCAAAAAAGGTTTTCACAAAATCCACCCCCCCTATTTTTGGAAACAGAGCTGCCCAGGCTGGAGTTCAGTGGCACGATCTCGGGTCACTGCAACCTCCGCCTCCCAGGTTCAAGCAATTCTCCTGCCTCAGCCTCTTGAGTAGCTCGGCCTCCCAAGGTGCTGGGATTACAGGCATGAGCCACCGCGCCCGGCCTTCCCATTTTTTTTTTTCTATTGAAGTAATATTAAGGAGTAATAAACCATTAAGTACATTATTTCTTCAGCCCTCTGAGATTCTCTGAAATATTTCAAAAGTGAAACAAACAGAAACTCCCCAAAATCTTCCACCAACCTTATCTTAAGAAGTATTAGGTTGGCGCAAAAGTAATTGTAGTTTTGCCATTAAAAGTAATGACAAAAATAGCAATTATGTTTGCAACAACCCAATATATTTTGAAAAAGCACAACCCCATCTACAGTTAAACTCTATGTATCCAAGAGTCAGCATTCTCCTTAGAGACAAGATAACCAGTATCCTTTTTAAAACATTTTGTACTGGAAGTGTTTTTTCCAATTCCAATAATTCCAGTCTGTTTTGGGGCCTGAGTATTAGTCATGGTTCTCTAGAGGGACAGAACTAATGAAATACATATAATTATATATTAAATTATTTATTATATAATATAAAATATATTTATTGTTAAAATAAGTTAAATTATATAAACTAAATTAATTAAATTATATAAACTATATTAAATTATATAAAATATATAATATATTAAAATTTATTATATAATAATATAAAAATTATTAAATTTATTATATATACACAAATAAAGGGGAGTTTATTAAGTATTAACTCACATGATCACAAAGTCCCACAATAGGCCATCTACAGGCTGAGGAGCAAGGAGAGCCAGTCCGAGTTCCAAAACTGAAGAACTTGGAGTCCGATGTTCGAGGGCAGGAAGCATTGAGCATGGGAGAAAGACGTAGGCTGGGAGGCTAGGCCAGTCTCTCTTTTCATATGTTTCTGCCTGCTTATATTTGAGCCGCTCTGGCAGCTGGGTAGCATACTAAAACCAAAAGAGGATAACATGCATTCCTATGGTTATTATCAAAGTTATTTTTCATTATTTTCATTTCATTATATTTTCAGCATTATGTAGAAAATATCTACAAACATTTGGGGAGTGCCAATTATAAATGTTTTTCAAATTTTCTAAAGCTTTTTATGTTTTCAGATATAATATTTAGATAATAAATACAATTTCATTTCCCTTAATTGAATACCATTACTGTAACAGAAATATTTTGTTTGAGGATTTAATTTAGATGGATTTAATTATTTAAAGCTGTAGAGATTTTCACATAAACAAACTTGAAAGGATTTTAAATTGCAACAGTATGCATAAATGATATATAATGGAAGCCTGGTTCTACAGCTACAGAAGAGATACACAGTATTTAAAATAACATTAGATTAAATAAATTATGTTTTTGTATTATAATTGCTTAAAAATAATAGTATGAATTTGAAATAATAATATATGGTTTTCCCCTGAGTCATATTGATTAAGTCATTTATTATTTTTCACTGTCCCTAGTGCCTTATCTGAAATGATAATAAACCACATAATGTATACTTTCCATCCAAAATTTATGATGTCAACTTTTTATTTTGAAATGATTCTAGATTTACAGAAAGTTTCAAAGGTAGTAAAGAGAGGTCCTGCATACCCTTGACAAAATTTGCCCCAAATGATTACATCTGGCATAATTATGGTATCAAACCAGAAACCTTACAAAGTTACAATACGTGAGAATAGTTGTATACCACTTATCACGTGTACATTTGTGTTGCTACCACACTGTCAAGATGAAGAGCTATATCATTACCCTCAGGATCTTCCTGCTGCCACCATTCACATCACACCCTCCTCCTTTGCACGATACCGACACTAGCAACAGCAAATGTATTTACCATGTTTATAGTTAGGTTATTTTGAGAATGTTATATAAATGGAATCATACAGAATATGACCTTTTGAGATTGACATTTTTCACTCAGTATATTGCCTTAGAGGTCTATCCAAGTTGTTGTGTATCAATAGTTTATTAAGTTTATTCCCTTTTATTGTTAAGTAGTACTCAATGGTATGTATGGGCCACATTAAAAGAATGGGAAAACTGCATATATAAAAATATATAAAACAATGTGATATTATGAAAGGGAGGGCTGGGCATGGTGGCTCATGCCTGTAGTCCCAGCACACTGCGAGGCTGAGGTGAGAAGATTACTTGAGCCTAGGAGTTCAATACCTGCCTGGGAAACACAGTAAAATCCCCTCTCTACTAAAAATAAAAAATAAAAATAAATAAAAATAAAGTCAGCATGGTTGTGTGTGCTTGTAGTCCCAGCTACTTGGGAGGCTGAGGTGGGAGGATATTTTTTCTAATTTTAATGCCTTTGTCAATATATTTAACTATATTTAAAACTTAATATGAAATACAAATCATAAACAGTATGCTAAGAAAGCATGTATTAAATAGGTGTGTGGAGTTCTTCAGAGAAACAGAACTAATAAGATATATGTGTATTAGTTCAAATATACACACATCGTATTAGATAATTAGTTCATGCTATTGTGAGGTTTAAATCTGAAATCTAGGCTGGGCACAGTGGGTCATGCCTGTAATCCCAGCACTTTGGGAGGCCGAGGCAGGTGAATCACAAGCTCAAGAGTTCAAGACCAGCCTGGCCAACATGGTGAATTCCTGTCTCTATTAAAAACACAAAAAAATAGCTGGGCATAGTGGTGGGCGCTTGTAATCCTAGCTACTTGGGAGGCTGAGGCAGGAGAATAGCTTGCACCCAGGAGGCGGAGGTTGCAGTGAGCTGAGATCATGCCACTGCACTCCAGCCCAGGCGACAGAGTGAGACTCCATCTCAAAACAAACAAACAAACGAACACCTTCACAGCAACATCTAGATGCTTTTGACCAAACATCTGGGCCATATAGCCTAGCTAAGTTGACAAATAAAATTATCCGTCACAGAAAACAAGTCTATTATGGAACATGGCTTGTTAGGAAATCTACTTGTAGTAGTTATTTCTTAAATTCCTTGCATTTCCAACAGGAAAGTTGTAGAATATTCTGTTTGTTAAAGAGTTAAGTGAACCAGAGGATATGTATTGATTAAATTGCTAAAACTATAAGAATGAAGTGTTTCTTGTGCTAATAAGAAGGTGCCATCCTTATAGCTGTATTGCTACTAATGAAAATCAAATAGCCATGAGGCCACTTGTGAGCACAAGTGGGGAAGAGCACTGGCACGTGGCGAATCATGCAAAATTGAACACAAATTCTGAGAAAAGTAAGTAATTGAAATGCCAATTCCTTTTACTCCAATCTTATCAAGAACTCAACTGTAATCTCTTCTTTTGTCTTTGTTAATCTGAATAACATGCACACACCAGAGAAATCAGGCTACACGTAACATACTAAAGATTATTTTAAGCTATTTTAATGTATTGACCAGTTATAATTTATTTTACAAATTCTATATTGAAACCTAATGTAATAAAATAGCAGTTACCAAATAGAAGGCTTCGTTCAGCTGCTTTACAACAGCACAGCAAACTCTTGGATGTAGCAGCCTTTGCTTTTCTCCTCTCATGTATAAAATGACTCAGGAGTTAGTAACTCCATAAATTATTTTCAGCTGTCACTGGACCTGTTGATGAGCACCAGGAGCCTTCTCCTGGTACATGGTTCCAGGAATGATATTTATGGTAAGAAGGCAGAGAACCAAAGGGGAAGGAGTCTGAGTGGTCCCGAGTAGACCTCAAATAACTTTTAATCTAATTATCCTGATGATTCCTTCAAACTCCTGCACTTTGTATCTGATGACTCTGATCTCTTCTGGAAAGGGGCTTCTAGTGGGAGCTAGCTCTGTCAGCCTGACCTCGTCAGCTGTTTCTTCTCCGGGATACCTTCCAAATTTGTAGACTGCTGTTTGCTCCTTTACTATATTATGGCATTATTATGCTGTCTCTCTCCCCATCCCTTACACAAACACACATGCGCGCACAGACACACACACTTATATATGTATATATACACATATATCAAAAAAGTCCCACACAATCCTCATTTCTTAATGGTACAATGAAAGCCAGCGTGCCAATCCTTTTGTGAGTTAATAGGCCTAAGAAAATTCTTCAGGTACTATTAGCAAATTCTAATCACGTCTCTCTTAGAATGAAGGTCCATCACATAACATTTACTTTACTGGAATTGAATACTATCAACTAAGCCAATACACAGACAAATCATAAATGAAAACAACAAAAGAAAGAGAGAGAGAGAAATAGAAAGAAGGGGAGGATAATTCAATGGGTAGCTATAAGTTGTCCTGCCCTATTGAGCATCAAGCATTTGTCCACAAAGGATGAAGGCAATGACAGCAAAACAGTAAAAGATTTTTTTTGGAAAAATCTAAGAATAATGCATAAATAATTTTAATAATTTATCACTATTGGCAGAGAAGTGAAGCACAATTGCTAAGGAGGGCAGGCAGTAGATTGTGAAGCCTTCAGGAAGAAGCTGAAAAAATAAGTGCCATGGAGAAACATGGGTTAAAGAAGAGTTAGCAGATGGATACGGTTATGCACGGAATAAAAATACCTCTAATAGGAAAAACCATTAAATTGGAACCTTTATAAATTTGGTCATATGTTTAAATAATAAAAACTTTCCAAGATTTTAATTTTGTATAGTAGTCCTCTATGGAATCACTTAATATGTATTTCTTTGTACATAGTGTACTTATTCTTAAATATTTCTTGTATTGGACTTCAGGAACAATACAATGTGTACTGTAATTTTGGGACAAAAGCTACAAAGATAATTTTAAACTCGTACATTTTTTCTTTTATATTGAATCCAGCACAAAATTACATCATGAATCTCAAAACCATTCTGACACAATTAAGAGTTATAATATTATGATGAATTAACATGAGAAAGATATTGATATCTTCTCATACTCATGAGAGAGAATAATGAAATTACATTTAAGGAGTAGTTGATAATGGATTATAGCAATTTTATTCAATATCAAATGACACATAATTCTTAATAACTCTAAATTAGAAACACATCTTTCCTAATAATATTTTAGACCAAGGCTATATCTGCCCTATGCTAAACTATGATTGATAACTTAAATTAAGTCAAATAATTTAGGTTTAATATTTCAAGTAGTCAGACCATTCACAGATCAGTTCAATCTTAATAGTTAACTTTGTGATTCTAAATGGATAAAAAATATTACCACCATTTCCAAAAAGATTCTTCAGTTTTTCTTACTGACATGTTTAAATTTTACATGATTTATTTAGTGAAGAATAAAACCATTTTAGAAATCTGAAATATTTAGTATTTCTTGATACATCAAGCATTATGTTTTTATTTATTCTATATTATTTATTCATCAATTAATCTTGTTCATAATAGAATACTATGAGCTGTTATTAGCAATTACCTTAATTGGCAGTTTACTTCAATATTTGTTGAAGGCACAGTAAGTTCTTCCAGCATCTATATATAAAATGCTGTTTTTTGTACTTCTCAGCTGACTTATGTTGCTCTTGTTTGGGGAAGAATTTATTTTGCTTTATTTTAAATGACACTGGCCTTTGATTTCAATGTCCTGAATATAGTGGAACACGTATACAGGCATGAAGTTTTGACTTCACTGAAGTCAACTGAACTTATCGTCTTCTAGTAAAAGGCAAAATACATATATGATTAAGTAAGTCATAATTGACTATTCTTTATTAAATTCTTTCTAAAAAATTTCAAAGTATATTTTTTTCTTGGATAAGGGATCCTACTCTTACTAATAAAAATTCACATCTCCCAGCTTTCTGTTGTTTTTTTTTTCTCACTCATCTATCATCAATTGCTTTGTAAAAGAACAATTAACCTGAATTTTGATTTTTTTTTTCTGTAAATAATAATAACAGTAATTCTTTTGGAGTGTGTGAATCCAGAATGCCTAAGTTGAAGCTAATCATTCATAGATTTATAATTTCAGAACTATCATTGGAAAAGACTGGAAGAGAGGGTAGGAGTCTTTGAGTGGTCTGCTGCTGCTGTTTTCATTGTACAAGTCTCCAACAAAATGAGATCTAAAGAGCAGTGACTTCACGGTGTTAATTAGATAAGCACATCTGGGTCCATGTGGCTAGAAGATTAGTATCATTATATTAGATGTTATCTGGGAAATAAAGAATTAAAAATAAGTCAATCCATATAGCTACCAAAGTTTATCTGAAAATCATGTGAGTTACTCATTTCCCTTAATTTTACTTACTGTTTGATTTTGCTTTTCAGTTGGATTTTACACATATGGTAATTGAAATAGATAGAATAATGGAAAATATACATTTAAACAGATACCAGTCAAAGAATGTGGTTAAAAGAGAGGGTTGTAATGAATCATTATATTTAAGGGGCTATGAAAATGCCTAAATTTAAAAAAAGGGAAGATCTAGACAATATTCAGAAAATATAAATAGAAGAACTTCTATATAAAGTTTTATAAAGTTCTATGAATAGAAGTGTGTTTAATGATATATATGTTTAATTGTGTATATTTATGGTTACTCCAGTGAACTTTAAATTATGAAAGATGCATTAGATTGATAGATAATTATGTATAGTACTCAATCCTTCAACCATTGCTTTTTTAAACTTAGTCTTTGCAATACAATCACTTTATAATATAAATATATTTTTCATCTATTAATATGCAATCTATTCTGTAACCATGAGGTAAACAGAGACAATTATTAATGAACAAAATATGAAATGCAATTTAAGCAATATTTATAGTTGGGAACTTAATTTAAGAAATCATGAATGAAGAATACTATACGCAATGCCTGACCTTCAGATGTATAACAGTAAAAGAACATTCTCAAAAACTGTTACAAGTTTACAAAAGTTAAGATATAGATCCTCTCCCTTAAAAACATATATGTATATATATGCACATACATATTTCAGAAAAACCTAAGTTAATCAAATTTAAGAAAGCAAGTAAAATAAAAAATGAAATCTAAATTAAATGTGTTTGGTTAAATCTATTTTTTTCCCAAATTTGAGTATAGAAATTCTATCAAAAGTTACATAGTATTATCTTAGAAAATAACCTCATACTAAACAAAGACAAAAAAATATAGAGGAGAATTTGGGGTCAAGTAAATACATGTTAATTACTAAGATATTACAAAAACTAATAATTATTTTCATGTTTTCTTAATAAATATTTTCTTAACTCCATTAGAAAATGGGGGAGAAAAGGCACAGGTATTTGAAGGAGAAATACAAATTACTGCAATTTTTTTGTATCTGAAACACAGAATTCATTTCTTTTTTGCAAGAGCTCATAACACATACACAAAAATAAACCATATGTTGGTCCATAAAATAGTTCTCCATAAATTTCAAAGGATTACAGTCACAGTCATGCAGACTATGATCCCTGCTCACAATACATTTAAGTCATAAATCAATGCCAAAAATAAAACTAGAAAATTCATACACATTAAACAGTACACTTCTAAATAATTAATTGGTCAAAAATGAAACCGTGATGAAGATAATAAAAAAGTAGCATGTATTATAATGAAAATACAGACCGGGAGTGGTGGCTCACGCCTGTAATCCCAGCACTTTGGCAGGCCGAGGCAGGTGGATCACGAGGTCAGGAGATCCAGACCATCCTGGCTAACACGGTGAAACCCCGTCTCTACTAAAAATACAAAAAATTAACCAGGCAAGGTGATGGGCGCCTGTAGTCCCAGCTACTGGGGAGGCTGAGGCAGGAGAATGGCGTGAACCCGAGAGGCGGAGCTTGCAGTGAGCAGAGATCGTGCTACCGCACTCCAGCCTGGACAACAGAGCAAGACTCCGGCTCAAAAAAAAAAAGAAAATAATAATAATAATAATGAAAATACAACACACCAAAATTATGTGTGGCAAATGTGTTCTCTCTCCTGAACTTGAAATACCCTCCTTTTCCTGCCCTTGGACATCAGAGCTCTAGGTTCTCCAGCCTTTGAACTCTGGGACTCGCACGGGTGAACCCCCGTATTCTCAGGCCTGCTGCTCTGGACTGAGAGTCCACTGGATTCCCTGGTTCTGAGGCTTTTGGACTTGAACTTAGCCGCGCAACTGACTTCCCTGGGTTTCCAACTTGCAGATAACCTATAATGGAACCTCCCAATCTCCAAAATCGCATTAGCTAATTTCCCTAATAAATCCCTTCTCCTCTCTCTCCCTCTCTCTCTTTCTCTCTCTCTCTACCTATCTATTTATTATCTATCCATCTGTGTATATCCCATTGGTTTTGTCTCTTTGGAGAATACTAATAAAAAGAGAAAACAAGGTATTGCCATGACTGAAGATTTTGTTTGTATATGTTTCAATATAAATGGAAAAAAGTTAATTCTCACCTACATATCACACAAAACACCCAAATTAATTTATGATGTGTCTTACACTTAAACATGATAAATCTAGATGTATTTAGAAGACAATGTAGGGTATTTTTTTGATCTTAGAATACGCAAATGTTTTAATAACAAGGCACAAAAAGGTGCAGATCTTTAAAAAATTGTACTTCATCAACATTGAAAATACACGTTCATCCAGACAATGTTTCGTAAGGATGTGGAGAATTTGTAATCCTTATTCATTGCTTGTGGGAAAGTAAAATGGGGTAGCTGCTGTGGAAAATATTTTGGCATCTTCTAAAAGTTAAACATAGAATTGCCATATGTCCTGGCAATTCCACTCCTGGGTATATACCCATTAAGAACTGAAAATGGATATTCAAAAATATACTTGTACATGAATGTTCTCAGCAGCACTATTCGCGATATCCAAAAGATGAAAACAACCTCAATGTCCAACAATAGATAAATGGATAAATACGTTATATCCATACAATGGAATATCGGTTATTATAATGAACAAAGTAGTGATAAATGGCACACCAGGGATGTTTCTCAGAAACACCATATAAGCGAAAAAAGCAATAACAGTTAATATATAGTATGATTCCATTCATATGAAATACCCAGAATAGACAAATCAATAGAGAGAAAGCAGATGAGTGCTTGCCACAGGCTGAGGCGAGAGGGATAGGGAGAGCCCCAGATCTCCGTTAGTTTTGAAACTAAATAGAGCTGACGGTTGCACAACATTGTGAAGGTTAGATGCCACTGTGCTGTACACCTGAAATGGTTAATTTTATATTATGGGAACTTCACCCCCCAAAAGATAATGTTACGATAGTGAAAAGACAAATTATAGACTGGGAGAAAAATATTTGGAATATATATATCTGACTCGGGACCTACATGCAGAATATCAAAAACATACTCCTAAGTAACAATAATTAAAAGGAGATGAAACCTCTCCTCTTTCCCAGATAGGTAAAAGTCCTTAACAACTAAATCATAAAAGAAGATATACATTTGACCAGTAAGCATATTAAATAATATTAAAATCATTAATCGTCAACAAAAATGTGCAATATCACTATTTATTCATCAGAACGACTAAATATGTTTTTTTAATTTAAGACAGCAAATTTTGAATAGTATGGAACAGCTTGAACTCTCACATATTTCTGGTGGATGTGTGGAATGCAGTAATGTTGGAAATTTGCTTGGCATCTTAAAAAAGAAGCCTTTAAATAAAGCTAAATACAAAACTATGATACAACAAATCTACTTGTAGGTCTATACAAAAAATAAATTACTCTGTATGTCCACAAGGACTGTATAGTCCGTCTGCCCGGCTGGCACAATATTAATAAAATCACACAAATTAGTTGCTTAAACAATAGAAATGTATTGCTCACAGTTCTGGATGCTGGGATGTTCAAAATCAATGTGTCAGCTAATTGAAATTTAGGTGAGGGCTCTCTTCCTAGCTTATAGATAGCTGCTTTCTTACTGTATGTGTGCATGGCAGCAAGAGAGAGAGAGAGGACACACGCACACACACACACACACACACACACACACAGGGTGAAACAGCGAGCACAACCACTCTCCTGTTTCACTAGTTGCTATGGTATTAATGGGACCCCCAATTTCATGTGTTGGAAACTTAATCCATGATGCAATAGTGTTGGGTGGTGGGATTAAATGGGAGGTGTTTGGGTCATAAAGTCTTTGTCCTCATGAACAGATTAATGCCTTTATAAAATGGCTTGTGGGGGTGAGTTCCCTCTCTCTCTCTCTCTCTCTCTCTTTTTTTTTTTTTTTTTCAGAAGGAATCTCACTCTGTTGCCCAGGCTGGAGTACAGTGGCATGATCTCGGCTCACTGCAATCTCTGCCTCCCTGGTTCAAGCAATTCTCCTGCCTCAGCCTCCCGAGTAGCTGGGACTACAGGCGTGTGCCACCATACCCAGCTAATTTTTGTATTTTTTAGTAGAGATGGGGTTTCACCATACTGGCCAGGCTGGTCTCACACTTCTGACCTTATGATCAGCCTGCCTCGGCCTCCCAAAGTGCTGGGATTATAGGCGTGAGCCACCACGCCTGGCTGTGAGTTCTCCGTCTTATGTTCTTCTGCCATGTGGGGACCCTATGTTCATCCCCTTTTGCCACTTCCACCTGCTACCAGGTAAGAAACCAGCGAGAAAACCTGCACCAGATGCTGGTACCTTGATATTAAATGTCCTAGTCTTCAGGGCTATGATAAATATATTTCTGTTCTTTATAAATTACTTAGTCTCAGGAATTCTTTTATAGCAACACAAAATGCACTAAGACACTAATCTATCAGGCCAGGGCCCCACCCTTATGAACTGATTTAACCTTAATTACCTCAGGATAAACCCTACCTTCGAATACTCACATTGAGGGTCTAAACCTATAAACTTTATGGGGACACAATTCAGTTCTTAGCAAAAACCAATATTAAAATGTTCATAGCAACTTCATCTAGCTTAAAACTAGAAATAACCCAAATATTCATCAGAGGAATTGACTAGCAGCCCATTTGGTCATTAGTATACTCAGAGAATAGAATACCATACAGCAATAAAAAGAATAAATTATTGACCCATGGAATAACATGACTGACTCTCACTCTCAAATATATTGTGATGAGCAAAAGTAGCTACAAAATATTACAGGCAAAAGAACATGCAAATAAAATAGTTTTAGAAGTCAGAATAGTGGTGACCATGGAATAGGGGTGGAATTGAGAAAGGGAAACAAAATACATAAGAATTGGAAAGATTAAAAGGTTTTGTTTTCATAGGGCTACTGTCAGGAGATGAATTGTGTCCTCCTAATATTCATAGGTTGACATCCTAAATCCAGAAGCTCAGAATGTGACTGTATTTGGAGATGGTGGTCTTAAAGAAGTATTTAGGATACAGTGAAGTGAAGTCCCGAGGTGGGCCTAATCCAATATGACTGTTGTCCTCGTGACAAGAGATTAGGTTACAGAAATGTACAGAAGAAAGACCAGCTGAAGACACAGGGAGAAGATGGACATCAACATGAGAGAGGCTTCAGAAGAAAACAACCCTGTGGACCCCTTGATCTTGGACTTTTAGCCTTCAGACTGTGAGAAAATAAATTGCTGGTGTTTAAGCCACCCAGAGTGGTACATTTTTATAGCGGCCCCAGGAAACAAATACAGCTACATGAAACTACTTTACTCATTATTTATGATTACTTATATAAAGCTCTGGTAATTAGGATAGAGGGTATTTGGTGTAGAAAGGGAAGATTCAGTAATGGAAGGGAAAAATGGACTCACCAAAATACCACTCCCATTTGAAAATGCCATTGAAAAGATATGATGTTGCCTAGCAAGGCAGGAAAGCATGGATGTTTAATAAAGTGGTTCACATTAATACACCATCCATATGGAGAAACAACAGAACTTCTATCTTAAATCACAAATTCAACTTCAGCTTTATTAAAGATCTAATTGTAAATGTCAAAAGCATAATAAAATATTTTAAAAATAATATGGAAGAATATCCTTACTCCTTTGGATAGGAAAGCATTTCTAATACATGGCAGCTCAAGAAGCATAAACCACAAAAGAAAAGAAGGAAATGTTTGAGAATATTAATGTTAAGAAATTCTGCTCCTTAATGTAGACCATAAATTAAATGGAAATAAAAGTCACACATTTACAAAAGATATTTTCATCCCATAAAACTGATATTTACTCTTCTTCTGAATAGATAAACATGCCAGTGAGTCTTTAACCACACACACACACACACACACACACACACACACACACACACACACGCACGCAATCACACAAAACACTTGAATTTTAGAGGAAAGGAAACAAAAGTGGTCAATAAACATACAAAAACTTGCACTGCTTCATTATTAATCAGGGAAATGCAAATTAAAACCACATGAGGCAATAGTTCATGCTCACAGATTGACAATTACTAGTGTTTCTGAATTATCAAGTGCATGAAAGGATTTGCAGCAATCACAACTGTTTACATATCACTGCTCTGAATCTACATCACACACACAACCTGAAAACAATTTGCCATTATCTAGCCACGCCGAAGAGGAACCAATCCTGTAAGCCAACCATTCCATTATTTCATGAATAGTTGTAAACATGCCCCCAGGAAACAGGTAGGAGAGTGTTTCTAAACACACCATGTGTCAAAAAATCTGACGATGAAAACAAGTAACAATAAAAACTGGTAATAATAGAATGAAAAATAATATTACAAGTTCATAAAATTGTAACACCACTGTGAAAATGAATGACTTATGTCTACATGTACTGACATTTTTTCAGTAAAATTTTGGTTCAACAAATAAAGCTACTGAAAAATAATTTTAATATGAATCAAATTATTTTCAGTTACAAACAAGCAAAAGAAAACTATATTTAGAAATACAAAATATAAAGTAAATACAATGAATAATTAGCGCAATGTGAACACCACTTCTTTTTCTAAGGAATAAAAATGTTTATTTTATGTAAAATCATCTAATTCTCACATAAAATTGTGTTATTGTTATTATTATAACAAAGTCAATAAGGTTATCTGTTTTACTGTTGTTCATGCTTCTAGCATGTAAGAGTGAGCATACGTGTGGACCACAGGCAAAAAGACGATCCCTATAAACAGGAATTTTGCCTCATTGTCCTGATTACCTGACAAGCATCTAGCAGGGTGCCCAGAAAAATAATATTTTTGAATGAATTGAATTATCTGAATAAATGAAAAGAACAAAAACAGAAAAAGTTCTGACATTACATTTCAATGATCTGCACGATTGTAAAGGAATCCTCCTAAGGCAGAAGAGACAAAGGGCTTCAAAGCTAATGACAATGATGTCTGTATTACCAAAATTGTTATCAGATTCTTGCAATGTTAATCTTTGGACAATTTACTTCATTATAGAACCTTATTCCTAGTCAACATTTAAAAAAAATTAAAAAATTAATATACCTTAGTGCTAAAATGACCATAACTTAGACAATTTAAATTTGTTTATATTTCAGAATATCATCATCATGAAATGGTTCTGATTATAGTTTATAAACATCAAGATGACATCTTAGTCAACTGGGCACACCAGGATTGTTGTCAATTGTTATTGTGCAAACTTTAAGAAATTTTACTAATGTTCTATAAAATATAGACTGTTCAATTATAAATGTATGAAAATACAACTATTATCTCCCAGTTTTTGAGCAATTACATAATGTTGAATGTGAATCTGTTTGTCACGTCCTGTAACAAGTTAAAGTTATCTTTTTGGTAATCAAACAATAAACATTTAAGACCGGGCGCGGTGGCTCACGCCTGTAATCCCAGCACTTTGGGAGACCAAGGCGGGAGGATCACGAGGTCAGGGGATCGAGACTATCCTGACTAACGCGGTGAAACCCCGTCTCTACTAAAAATACAAAAAATTAGCCAGGCGTGGTGGTGGGCACCTGTAGTCCCAGCTACTCGGGAGGCTGAGGCAGGAGAATGGCGTGAACCCGGGAGGCGGAGCTTGCAGTGAGCTGAGATCGCACCACTGCACTCCAGCCTGGGAGACAGAGCGAGACTCCGTCTAAAAAAAACAAAACGAAACGAAACAAAACATTTAAAAATGAAGAAAAAAAATCAACAATATAAAGATTTCCACCATATAAAGTTCTTAAGAGTAAATAATAAAAGTCCCCCTTCAGTGTCATTGTCCCACTTCCTTCTTTTTCTTCTGTTGGAAACAGCGTGCATCCCTCCAGACCTTTTACTGTCCATTTATGCTTAGAATTGGTAAATTCAAAAATACGATTGAGATACATATTTTTCGTTTAGATAAATATGATAATATCATAGATATGTTTCTAAAACTCACTGTAATTCTTCATTTGATGCATTTTGGAGATTGTCATTTGGTGTTATTTTATTAATCAACTCTATTCTATTTAATTTCAGCAAAGTGTCTTACCCACATTTGAGCTATCCTTCTACTGATGAATATGCTTGCTGTTTTTGTTGCACCATTAGCAAATGCTGCATAATATCCTTTTGTGTGTCTGTGTGTGCACCGAAGTTAATATTTCTGTAGGATCTCTCATGCAGATGTGTAATTGTTAAGCAAATTTTAATAAATACAATCAAATTGCTCTCCCAAAAAGCTTTTGCAATATTTGTTCTCAATATTTTGTCAACATTGTATATTATCAATCTGTTGGGTAAAACAAGATAATTTTTAGTTTTTCCATGCTTCTAGTGACTAGTGAGTACCAACATAATTTTACATGTTTAATAGACAACTGTGGATTTAGTAAATTGCCTCTTCATTTACTTTATTCAGTTTTTACTTTGGTTGGTTTTCTTTTCCCTTGTCTATTTGTGGGAACTATTTATAAGTTAAGAATGTTAATTTTTTTTCTTTTCTAAAAAACATGTTTATAGTCTAGCAGGTATCTTAAATAATATTAGTACAAATTGAATATTTTTAATTTAAACACTTTAATTATATAGCTATATATTTTCTACCACTCATTTTTATTGCCTGATACGGTGTTCTAGTCCCCTAGGGTGGGCAAGAAGAGAACTAAGGATATTGTAACAATGCTCCTGGACTGCCTTTGTGCTTAGAAAAGAGTAGAGGCTGTCAAGAAGTGTTTTTGACCAGAATCTGTCTATGAGGCAGCTCTGCTGTTGGGCAGCTCTGCTGTTCTAGTTGAAACTTGATCTATTTCTCTTTGTAATTACAACGGGTTCATGTTGAAGAGCCATCTTTTGTAGTATTATGTACACTTAAGTATCAGTATGCAGGTATGGATAATTCAACTATAATATATATATAGTTTTTATAGACATGCAAACTAATTAATGTTCCAAAATATAATTTCTATAGGAAATCCATTCTAAGTCACAAATAAACACATAATGAATATACAATTTGAATTTGTCTTAATCATTAGTTAAGATTTGGGGAGATGAATGCAAATTAAATTAATGCAGTATTTCATTTAAAACTAGCTTTGTTGGCTATATACTTTTTTAGAGTTTTTGTCTTTACAGGGACACTAAAGCTGCTTTAACTTTATATCACCATCTAGTGGCAGAGCATATACTTCTTAGAAGGAGACAGTAGAAGAAGACTGAAAATTAAAAGTAACCATGAAAGTTACAGAAATACAAATATCACATGTTCTCACTCATAAGAGGGTGTTACAAACGGTGTACAACTGGATGTAGAGAGTGTGATGATGGACCCCGGAGACTTGGAAGGGCACAAGTGAGAAGAAGTGGAAGCTGAGAAATTACTTACTGAATACAATGTACGTTATTCAGGTGAGGAATACCCTAAACTCCTGACGTGACCACCACATATGTAACAAAATTGCACTCCTTCCACAACAATTTATATAAATTTTTTAAAGTAGGGATTTTATGACGGCTTTATCATATTGGAAAAAAAGTTCTCCAAATATCAGGCATACACATATTCAGAAAATGAATTGAGGGTTAATTAGTTAGTTATACTTCTGATTTAAGTATGCATATTTGTTTCTATTAGTACAGAAATTCAAGAGAAAAATTATTTAAATTTATTCATTTTAATTTATATTATATTGAGTATCCCTTATACCACAAACTTTTACATTCAAAGGGCCATTTTGTTTTTATGGATATATTCTACAGAGCAGTTTAAAGCTGTTGCTATTTACTGCCTACCTGGCTTTGTAATTCTTTTGATGAGAATTTTTAAAACTATTATCTCTCATGAAGCCATATTATCTAGTGTTTTCTTTCCAATAATATTACTGGAAAAATATTAAGGGTACTAAATTAGGTGAATAAGTGGATTTTTAAGTATTAGGAAGAAAGAAAAAACTGAATTTTACTAATAATTCAATTTCTAGTATATCATTGAATGAAAAAATTGTTTTAAATACAGTCTTTTTTCATCAAATGTGGAGTTATTTTACAAGTGTCGTTCTTTGCTTGCTTCCAATTTCCTTTGTTAGCATATGCTGACTTCTCTGTTGTCTTTCACTAACCTAGCATTATCTTATGATAAACAGAGGAGAATTGCCTAAACACTTTTTTCTTTTAATTTTGGAGACTTTATCTGCAATATAAATAGTCTTTATGTTACAGTCGTCATGTCATCATTTTGTAGTTCTAGAAAGATTCTACTCCAGAGCTCCTGCGTTGCCATTCCTACAGGTATCTCTGTGCCTTTCTTTACTGAAGGGGAAAGGCATGCTTTTAAAATCACGCCGTAGAGATGTGCAACGTGGAAGTCCCGCATTTGATACTGTGGGCATGTCTTTGCCTTGCCTGTAGTGACCAGCAAGGTAGCGACAAGTCCTTTAGTAAAATCTTGTAACATGAAAAATTGGGCAGGTTTGGAAAGCCTTCTAAGAGTGACACCAAATTAACGAAGTAATGTATGCTATGATTCGCTAAAGATTCCTTGCTGAGATAGACACTTTGAGGTGAAGCTCAAACAGTTATTTTCAAAGTGAAATTTTATTAAATAGACCTAAGTTGCAATTATGCTAACATTATAATTATTCTAACTGCTAATTCACTTTCAAATATAAACACAATACAGTCATCTGTCAGAATTATATTCATAAATCATGGGACCCAGCAGGATCCACAGACAAATGTGCACTTTAATAGGAAAAAGTGCTGTGAAAGTAAAATAAGTTTCATGTTGCAGCCAGTAAATGCATTACAGCCTAAGTTCCAAGAGGAGGCTTGTCACAGCAAACTCATTATGTAGAAAGTATAAACGGACTTGGCATAATAACGGTATGAATTTGGAAGAAAAGTGAAATTATAAGGTATAATTATTGCCTTGTCCTATAGATTCTACAGAAAATGCATCGAGTCAAATCTATTCAGTAGTATTTCTCAGATGCTTAAATGCCTTGATAAAATATGTCAAGGTATTATTTAAATCGTTGTATTATTTTAATCATATGCGGTTTGGTAGGCCAAATAATATATAAACACAGGCAAAGTTAGGTTGCATGTTATTCACATTTATTTTTAATTTTCCTAATGAACTCTAATCTTTATAGTAATAGTATTTTGCATTCTTTCGTTAAATTAACACCAGGAGTATCAAAATGCAGCATTATCTGTAATATGGTTAATTGACAATTTATATGTATATAATATATATATATAACACATTAAAATATAAGTTTATTTAAAGGTATGTATTTAACTGTAAGATTAAACATCAATATTTTGTTATATATGCATAGGCATAAAATATGTGTTTACAAGTACATGGCTACATTAATTCATTTCAGAATGCATTTCTCTGTAATGGGATCCAGTGATAAATAGGACAAAGTTTCTGCCTCAAATAAACAGATAGTATAGATGATTTGACATTATGGTGATTGATAAAAAGAAGTTAAACAGGGCAATAAGCTATCTCATGGGGAAGGGAGGCCTCACATTTTGAAGGGAATTTCAAAGAATGTGTGGACCAATTGCAAAACACCAAGACTGTAACCAACCCTGCTAAAGACCTACACAGCAGCCACAGTTTTCAGTACAGTACGGTATTAGTCCATTCTCACATTGCTATAAAGAACTACCGAGAACTTAAAGTATAATAAAAAATAAATAAATAAAAATAAATAAATAAAAAAGAATTACCTGAGACTGGGTAATTTATAAAGAAAAGAGGTTTAATTGACTCACAGTTCTGCAGGCTATACAAGCAGCATAGCTGGAGAGGCCCAAGGAAACTTACAATCATGGCAGAAGGTGGAGTAGAAGGAGGCACGTCTTACGTGGCTGGAGAGGGAGAAAGAGGGTGACAGGGAAGGTGCCCCACACTTTTAAACAATCAGATCACTTGAGCTCTCATTCACTATCCTAAGAACAGCAAGTGGGAAGTCTGCCCCCATGATCCAATCACCTCCCACCAGACCCCTCCTCCGACACTGGGGATTAAAATTGGACAAAAGGTTTGGGTGGGGACGCAAATCCAAACCATATCAAGTACTTAAAGGACTTTCAGCTTCGTCTTTGTTTTTGGTCCCTAAATATTTACCCTTTTTTAAATGAGCTTAGTCATATATTCACACAATTAAAAATTAAAGTATTTATCTAGCATTTCTTATAATTTTAAGCAAGTAGTTTTGCTCTAACCCAACAGTCTAATATTTCCAGAAACAATATTTTAGTATACACTTCTCTTTACAAAATTTCCAAATGTCTTCTTTCTGTCTTTCATCTTCTGTCTTCTTTCTCTCTTTCTTTCTTGTTTTTTTTTTTTTTTTTTTTGAGACGGGGTCTCATTCAGTCTCCCAGGCTGAAGCTGTGGTGTGATCTTAGCTCACTGCAATCTCCGCCTCCCATGCTCAATCAATCCTCCCACCTCAGCCTCCCAAGTAGCTGGGATTACAGGAGCATGCCGCCATGTCTGGCTAATTTTTGTGTTTTTAGTAGAGACGGGGTTTTTCTATGCTGCCCAGGCTGGTCTCAAACTCCTGGCCTCAAGCAATCCAACCACCTCAGCCTCTCAAAGTCCTAGGTCCAAATGTATCTTTGAAGCTACACTCTTCAAATTTAATATGAAACTAAGAATAAAAGACAGCTATGATACAAAGTTATCCTCAATAAGATAGAACTTCTACTTTAATGCCAATACATTGCCTCTGTGTCTCAAAACTGAGCTGTTCACAGAATCTATAATTTTTATTGTGTTCTTTAAACTCAATAAAGAAAGATTCTTTGCTTCATAGGATTTCTGTTGAATAAAATGTCACTTAAATGAACTTTTACCCAATAGTAACAATGTGTATATAGTATATTTTCTTAAAATGTGAATAAAATTTTAAGAATATACAGTCCTATATTAGGAAATTCAATGTTGGGAATTTAGGTTTTGCAAATTGTTTAATACTAAGTAGCTTTTAAAGATAACTAAATATCAGCATTTAAAAATCTTTAAGTGTTCACAATCAAATATATCAAAGCAGATTAAGTAACAATCAAAATCTGTGACTAATGTCATTTCTTAACAACTTACCACATTATTTTAAAATAAAAATTTGTTGTAGATGACATTATTTGAATATTTGTATCAGAATGTATCATGAACCTTTTTATAGCCATTGTTTGCATACTCTGAACTTATGGTGTCCAATAGTAGTGACCATGGACCACTTGAACTGTGGCTAGGGCAACTGAAGAGCTTATATTTTCATTTTATTTTACTTAAATTTAAATTTAAAGAAAAAACTGGCACTTTGAGTCATTGGGAAACTTTTAATTATGTTTGCAGCAAAATAGGTATGTGAATCAACAAATTTTGACTATGAATTTATAAAATTTACATACAGATCAAGTATTTTAAGTGAATGATAAATATTAAAGTGTGCAATAAGTATTTTACTTTTATTTTCAAATTTTTATTAGCAACAGAATCTCACTCTGTCTCCCAGGCTACAATGGTGTGATCATAGCTCACAGTAACCTTAAACTCCTGGGCTCGAGTGATTCCCTCACCTCAGTCTCCTGAGTAGCTGAGATTACAGGTAAGCACCACCATGCCCAGCTAATTTTTAAAATTTTTTTTGTAGAAATGAGTTCTCACTATGTTCCTCAGGCTGTCAGATTTTTAAAACAATATGAAAAAATAATATAAAATATTTCATTATTAATATATCACATTAATTACATTTTGAGTGACAATTTATATATTGAATTATATATTTTAAATTGAATTGAAGATTTTTACTACTTAAAAAGAAATTTTAAAAATTCAAAATACACATGTAGATCATATTTTATTTTCTTCAGAGTTTCCTCAGAGTTGCTTTAAGCTATAGTTTAGAAATTACAGGCCAGTATTTGTCAAATTCCTCTATTCTGTAGGTATTTGAGTATAATTCCTCCTGTTATTGACCTAAGATGTAATGCATTCAAATAGAATAGAATATGAAGAATTCAAAAACTGAGATATTAACTTCTTGTTTTCCACAGAATTAATTCATTTACAAAGTTTAATTGTTGTGCTTTGAAAATTGAATATGGTACTCTTCTGTCTTTTTTTCCGAGGTTCTTCTTTTATTATTTTTTTAAAATTTTAATTAGTGTGAATACATAACAGGTGTACATATTTATGGGGTACATGTGATATTTTGATTCAAGCATACAATGTGTAGTGATCAAAGCAGGATAATGGAGACATTCATCACCTCAAGCATTTATCATTTCTTTCTATTAGGAACATTCCAATTCCACTCTTTTAGTTACTTTGAAATATGCAGCAAATTATTGTTAAGAATAGTCACTCTATTCTGTTACTGAACACCAGATCTTATTACTTCTATCTAACTGTATTTTTCGACCCATTAAACAACCCCTTCTCCCCTCCCCTCACTACTGCCCTTCCCAGACTTTGGTAACCATCATTCTACTTTTCTCTTTCATTAAAGGTTTGCTGTAACAATGAGCTATTTATGCCAGTTTTGCTATTTATCCATGCATGATTTTTAGCTATTTGTCTTAAAACCGTATACACTGTGTGATAGAGTGTTGATTTGCAGTAGCTGACACATTGCAGGAGTGTCATTAAACACTGAAACCAGGATAAATATTTGAAGAGTTAAATGTTTGAGGTTTGTTTTATGGTTTGGGACAACTTACTTGTATTTGTATCTGCAAACTCCAATTGTACATTGAAGTTATCAATATGAGAAGTGACAACATTCAGTTATGATTTTAAAATGTCTAGAAAATTAATTTAGCCAAATAAATGTCGCATCCTGTCATTCTACCTTGTGATGAAAGAGTTCTGAGAAGCTGATGGGAATACACGGCATTAATTTCAGTGTCTGTAATGCATATAGCTTTTCATAACAATTGTAACAATAATAAACTTCAACTTAATATAACTGTAAATAATAAACTTCAATTTAGTTATTTCAATACACTATCTTTCTGTTTTTCTTCCATCTTTTCTACCCTGTAAGGCATCTTTTTTTTATATAAAAATATATGATTCTTGGTTGATAAGACATTTATAGAGTCACATAACAATATAAAGCTTGGGATTTAGGGGAAAGCCAGGCTAAAAAGTTATAAGGGAATTAAAAAGTTTATGACATTAACCACTAATGGTGGTTGACATTAACCATTAATTCTCTCAGGAATGAGTTGCTTGAACTACATTCTTCAGAAATGTAATGAGAAATCTAAAAATCATTGTGATCAGAAAATAAAGAAAAATGATAATGAAGTGTTTGTGTAAGGCCAAATAATGTATCAATAATCATCCACTTTGAACCAGAATCCCCAGTAAGACTAGTGCCTCTAAATGGAAATATAGAAATAAAGAAGGGGACATCACAAAATTGGTGAAAGTTACAAACTTGTGTTGGAACACGTTTGGCGTGGAATAGCCTAGTAGAAAATTTACTTTTATATTTATGTAATTACTATATTTTAGATATGGGGTTTCCTTATGTTTCCCAGGGTGGTGGTCTCTAATTTCTGGGCTTGAGCAATTCTCCCACCTCAGTCTCCAGAGTGGCTGAGATTGCAGCCTGAGCCAATGTGACCAGCATGGTAGATATTTAAATATGAAGCTGAATTGGACTTAGGAGAGGTATCAGGGCTGGAGGTACTGTTTTATGGGCAACTTTGTTAATTCGTAGGAACAGGAGAAGGGTCTACTTAGAGGTAGACTTGCCATTTTTCAAGAGACAAACTCCCATCATGGGAGTGCTACTTACAAGGGGCCTCTCCGTTTGTTATTGTCCTTATAACACCAGCCCCAGGAGACCAAATAGGCCAATTATATAATTTATAATAAGAATTCCTGTGATGTTCCCCTTCCTGTGTCCATGTGTTCTCATTGTTCAATACCCACCTATGAGTGAGAACATGCAGTGTTTGGTTTTTTGTTCTTGCAATACTTTGCTGAGAATGATGGTTTCCAGTTTCATCCATGTCCCTACAAAGGACATGAACTCATCATTTTTTATGGCTGCATAGTATTCCATGGTGTATATGTGCCACATTTTCTTAATCCAGTCTATCGTTGTTGGACATTTGGGTTGGTTCCAAGTCTTTGCTACTGTGGGGTGGGGGGAGGGGGGAGGGATAGCATTAGGAGATATACCTAATGCTAAATGACGAGTTAATGGTGCAGCACACCAGCATGGCACATGTATATATATGTAACAAACCTGCACATTGTGCACATGTACCCTAAAACTTAAAGTATAATAATAATAAAATTAAAAAAAAAAGAATTCCTGCCACAACTTCTCTTTAAAAATGAGAGAGAAAGAAAAAAATATTATTACGGGCTTAATGAACAAAAATTTAGAACATGAGAAAATGGATAATTTAAGGGTTGAGTGAAAATAAGCTGTGTCACCATGCTGTACATTAAGTCTTTAGAACTTTTTAATCTTATAACTGCAAGTTTATGCCCTTTGACCAACATCACCCCATCCCCGTCCCCACCCCCAGTTCCTGGCAATCACCATTCTATTCTGTTTCTCAGTTTGACTTTTCAATACTCTAAATATAAGTGGAATCCTACAGTATTTGTCTTTCTGTTTCTCATTTACTTCATTTAAAGTAAATCTTTCAGACTTACCCATGTTGTCACAAAGGACATAATTTTTCATTTTAATCCTAAATGTTTCCTTTTTTGTATATACACACACACACTCATATATACAATATATGTATATGTAGTTTGTGTGTGTGTGTGTGTGTCTGTGTGTCACATTTACTTTATCCATTTGTCTGTTAACAGACACAGGTTGATTCTATATCTTGGTTCATGTGAATAACCCTGTAACATACATGACTGCAGCTATTTCTTTGACATACTGATTTTATTTCCTCTGGATACATATACAGACAGCTAGATCATTCAACGCATGTTATAGTTTGGCTTTTTTGTAATAGCCATCCTTACAGGTTTGAAGTTATACCTCATTATGGTTTTCATTTGCATTGCATCATCTTTTCATATATTTGTTGGTTATCTGTACATCTTCTTTGGAAACATGACTATTCAGGTCCTTTGCTCAATTTTTAGTTTTTTGTTGTTGTTGTTTGTTTTGCTATTAAGTTGCAGGAGTTTCTTATATATTTTGGAAGCTAGCTCCCATCAGATATATAGTTTACAAATATCAGATAGCTTCTCCCATTCCACAGTGTTATGTTTTCAATTTGTTGATTGCTTCCTTTGCTATGTGGAAACTTTTTTAGATTGACACAATTCCACTTGTTTATTTTTGTTTTCGTTGCCTGTGCTTTTAGTGTCATATACAAAAATTTATTGCCAAGACCAGTATCAAGGAGCTTTCCTCCTATATTTTATTCTAGAATTTTTACAGTTTCAAGTCTTATCTTTCAAGTTCTTAACAATTTTCAGGATTTTTGCATATGATGAAAGGCTCCAATTTCATTAGTTTGCGCATGTATTCCAGTTTTCACACCACCGTTTATTGACGAGACTATCTTTCCCAATTATCCACTCCTGGTGCATTCATCGGAGATCAATTGATGCTAAATGTGTAAGTTGATTTCTGGGCTCTATTTCATTATATGTGTCTATGTGTCAGTTTTTATGGCAGTAACACATTGTTTTGATTACTATAGCTTTGTGATGTAATTTATAATCAGAATATGTGATGCTCCAGCTTTGGTCTTTCTCAGCATTGCTTTGGTTATTCAGGGACTTTGGTGGTTCTATAAAAATCTTAAGTTTTTTTTCTATTGTATTTATGCAAAAAATGCCATTGTAATTGGATAGAGATAGCATTGAATCTGTAGATTGCTTTGAGTAGTATGGACATTTTAACGATAGTGGTTATTTTAATCCATGTGATTAAATGTGAGATGTCTTTCCATTATTTGTCTTCAGTTAATTTCATCAATGTTTCATCATTTTCAGTATATGGATCTTTTGCTTCCTTGATTAAATTTATTCTTTATTATCTTATCCTTTTTGATGCTGTTATAGAAGGAGTGGCTTTGTTAATTTCTATTTAAGTTAGTCATTAGTGTATAGGTTTATTATTCTGTAATATAAACTTTGAAGGTGAATAAATGAAACCAGAACCCTCTAAATTATATAGAGATCTTTCTGTTTTCAATTCAGTATTTTTAGTTTCTACTACTGTGGAATTTAATAATAAACATCATGACTTTATTATATTTTTTACCTATGCATATTCTTACAAAAGTTGTAGTTATTTAATTCATTGTCACCTTTCCACTGTATACTTATCTGATGTTTACTTAACTTCAATTTTTATTATCAATATTTTTCTATCTTTAACATCTCATTCTTTATTTATTACATTTGATTTATCATTTATTGATTTGAATTTGAGTAATGATCTTCTAGTTGGTTACTAAGCTTAAATATTTTCTATGTGAAAATTATTTTCAATAATTTGACTTTAGCTAGATGCATTATTCTTGAAACAGAAACTTTTCATTTTTAGAATCTTTATATTTTGAGGTCGAGAAATCTGAGATTGTTCAGATTTTTGTTTTTTTTGAGATGAATTTAACCTTTGTATTCTGTTTTTGAGGCTTGAAACTTTCTTTTTATGGTATAAGTTCAGAGATGTTATCAATTTTATTGAAGCTTATATAAGTTTTAATAAATTTATCATTGAGTTTATTTTAGCCCCTTCAAGTTTCATATTCAAAGTGTATAGTTAGAAAATGAAATGTTTTCCCTAACATTTTAACTGCTAACTCCCCTCTCCAACTTGTTCTGTTTTCTGAATTACCAATACCTATTTGTGTTGCCCTGGACATGCTGTGACATCAACTTCTACCATGCTCTCATCCTTTTAGCTTTCTTATTTACCTCCATTTCTAGAATGCTTCTCAATTTTGTCCTAGACATTACTGATAAATATTTCTGTATGCCCAAGCTCACTAGGTGCAACTAATGGTCATGATGTCTAAAGAATAAAGTTGTTTTAGTTGCCTATTCAAAAATTCAACCCTAACGCCATTCCCTAGAACAACTTATCCTCTTTTGTCCTTTATTTTACTTTATTTAAAAAATATCACCTTTAAATGTCCTATATATTTTAAATGTTTTATTTTCAACTGCCCCCCTAAAAATGTAAGGCATTGAGAGGTGGAATTGTGCTCATTTTATTCACTGCTGTTACCTAACTTCTTAGAATGGTGCCAATAATGAAGCTTAAAATGTATTATTTCATCATGTTCTATTCTGATTTAAGGGGTGCCGTTGTATTTTATTTTTTATTTTTGTTTAAATAGACTTTATTTTTAAAGCCTGTTTTATTTTTAAAATATTTTTGATTTACTGAAAACTTGAGATATAACACAGAGTTCTCATATATCTCACATTCAATTTTTCTATTATTAACAGCTCACATTCATGTGGTATGTTGGCAATATTTGTTTACTCAAAATCAATGCATTAGTTTCTAACAAAAGCCTATAGCATAGGCACATGTGCTTGGTTTTTATCTAATGTTCTTTTGCTGTTCCATTATCTCATCTGGTTTCCCATATACCTATGGCTGTTGTGTCTCCTTAAGCTCCTCTTGGCTATGACAGTTTCTCAGATTGTCCTTGTTTTCAATGCCCTTGGCAGTTTTCTGGAGGACTGGTCAGTGTCTTCAGAATATTTGACAAATGGAGTTTGTTTAATGTTTTTTTTCACACGATTAGGCTGGGGTTATGGATTTCAGGGAGAAACCTGACAAACGCTATTGTCCAGTTGCCCTTTTTAGTTGCTCTTTACAAGTTTCTATTCCTTGAAGATGGAATGTATACATGAATTAATTCTAAGAGAGGCTTATCTTTTCTCCTGGCATTAATTTACAATTTATTTATTTCACTATAGCTCATGGATGGTTATTTTATGCTTTGGGTACAGATAACAGTATTGTCTTGTTTGTTGTGTTTCTCAAATTGTTTCAGTTTTGTGGGAGTTTGGAGTTTTATTGTTTGTTTGTTTGTTTCAGTTTGTTACTTTCTGGCACTACAAGGTGCTCCAGGCTCATCTTTTATATTTCCCACCCATGCTCTAGAATTGGTCATTTATTTCATGAGCTCTGGTTCCTTATATTAAAAAAGTGAAGGAAACTAAGATCTGCTGGGTGTGCTTGTTATTCTTAGGAATTTATAGTTTCTAGGCCCTCTTAACTGACATAATACGGGAACATGTGATTATAATAACCCAGGCATATACACATATTTATAAGTTTTTCTATTTAACCATCTGAAGCTATGTTAGGCCTAACTTTAGTTCATAGCAATGTTTCCAACCATAATACCTTACCACCTGGATCATTCTAGCCTCCTCATATTGCTAATCAGTAAATTCTCACTCCAACAGCTCCCACCACTCACTGCCTATTTGATTAATTGCTTAATTTTAGACACACGTATAGCAGTTTCAGAATTACTAACCCAGATCCCTGGTGGATATTACTTTTGAAATGAGAATACAGTGCTTAGGAACAGTTCCTTCTCCATTTTTATACATACATTTCTAAAATGACTTAGGTCAGCATATTTCCCTCCACCTTCTTTGGGGATACCTTTTCATAAATTTGTAATATAGTTTGATCATCTTGTTAGAATCTACATTCCTTCCTGAGAGCCTCTGACCTCCTAAATGGTTTTCTTTAATTGAATACATGATGGTTCATTCTTTGCGCTGTGAAGGTCTATAAGTTTTGACAACGCCTAATATCATATATCTACAATTACAGTATCATGGAGAATAGTTATCCTGCTCTGAAAATTCCCTCTGCTTCACATAGTCATCCTTCATCCCCTCCCTCTTAGAAACCATCTTTCTATAGTGTCTATAGTTTTGTCTTTTCTAGAATGAGACATATTTGGAATCATACATTATGTAAACTTTCCAGATTGATTTATTTAACTGAGCAATGAGCACTTAAGCTTCCTCCGTGTCTTTTTATGACTTAATGGCTAATTTCTTTTCATTGCTGAAATAATATTTCATTGTATGAACGTACCAGGTTTTTAAAAAATCCATTTACCTAAAAGAATATGTTGATTGCTTTCAGTCTTTGGTGATTAAGAATAAAGCTGCTAAAACATTTCACCTGCAAGTTTTGGTGTGAACAAAGATTTCAATCAATTGCATATATATCCCAAAGTACAATTGCTAGATAGTATGGTAAGACTCGTTCACCATTATAAGAAACTGCTTCACTCTTTCAGGGTGGCTGTGGCACTGCACCTTCACTCAAGCAATGGATGAGTTTCTATATCTCCACATTACTGCCACCATTTCATATTGTTGTTGTGGATTTGAGCCTACCCAATTGGTGTGTGTGTTTTGTAGATCTTTGTCCCTTTCTTCCACTCTTCTTGTTTGCATCTATGAACCAGTGGTTTTCTGTGATGCTAAGCTTTGTTTCATTTTTCTTTTTTGTTTGCATGTCTGCAGTAATTTGTTTCTTTCTGGTTACCATGAGTCTAACATAAAGAATATTGGATCTGCAATAGACTTGTTTTTTAAACTGATAATAACATTACTCACATAAGAATATTCTAGACTTTTTCTCTACCCCCATAATTTATATTTTTGTTGCCTTAATTTACATCTTTATCTATTTTGTTTTTATTAGCTGCTAATATTAGCTGTTGTTATTTTTGACCATTTCGACTTTCAACCTTCATACTGCAGAAATTTAAGATTTACATAGCACCAAACATCACTGGAGTATTCCAACTTTGATTTATAAATTCAACTCTACTAATGAGTTTTATACTTGCACATGTTTTCATTTTAGTATTTATTTATTTATACTTTCAGTTGCAGCATTCTCTTAAGCACTTTTTGTACGACTGGTCTAGTGGTGATGAATTCCCTCAGATTCTGCTTGTCCAGGTAGTTCTTTATTTCCCCTTCATTTCTAAAGGATAACTTTGCTAGATCTAGTATTGGTGGTAGTTTTTTGTTTTGGGGGAGTTCTTTGAGCACAGTGAGTATATCATCCCATTCTCTTCAGGCTTGCCAGGTTTCTGCTAAGAAATCTCCTAATCATTTGATGGGGGATTCCATTTTCTGTGACTTGACTTTTTTCCCTTGCAGCTTTTAGAGTTCTCTTTGTCTTTGACAGTTTGATTAAAATGTGCCTTAAAGAGTTTCTTTTTGGGTTGAATCTAATCAAAGTTCTTTCAGCTTCCTGAATCTGGATGTTCACATCTGTCCCAAGACTTGTGAAATTTTCAGCTATTATTTTATGAAATATATTTTCTGTGCTCTTATCCCTCTGTTTTCCTACCGAATTACTATAATGCAAACATTTAATAGCATCGCATAAATCCTTTAACAGAGGATTTTTCTGTTTCTCTTCTCAATTCTTGCAGGTTACTCAGCTTCACTTATTCAAATTTTCAGTTATTGGGAGTATCTGTAGTTGTGCTGATACATGCATGAGTGGTTTATTTCATGACACTGAGTTTAACAAAGTTTGTCCCTGAATGTGGTTCACTGGCAATTTTGAAACCCAGGCCCAGACAGGGAGAAAGAACACAAAAGACTGATCAGTATTTCACAAACATTAACATACTTAAATGCACTTCAATAGGAGGGTGTTAGGACTTTCTATTTGAGAATTCACAACCTAGCTTGAAGATATTTTGTACTTTATTAAAAGATATAATATTTTAAATATATTTAGTTATAAAGCAACTCCTGAGTTGAAGAAAGCTCAAAACAATATAGGAAAAAAAATACATTTTTAAGAGAGATGGTATTATGAAAATGAAATGGGATATTGTTTGAATTCTCACTATGTCACCAGCTATTTTATATTTTGCAATAAATGCAATGCACTGACTGCTCAGTCATTTCCAATGTTATTCAAATTCTGATCTCAATCAACATAATTTTTAAAAATTAGGATGATACATAAGTACAATAAAACTCTTGATTGGAGAAAAACATTTTGTGTATTATATGTTAAAGTGAAGATATAAAATAGCATTTCCTGAATTGTGGTAACAAGGCCAATATATTTTGATACTTTTAATATGTTACTAACAAATGTTGAAAACAAAGTAAGCCAATTAAGAAAACTGAAACACTTACATCAATTGACCAAAAGCAATCAATGAGCTAGAAAGAAACCATTACCACAACTTCCCACATGGGGCAGATTAACAATGAAGTGACATCTGAAGAGATTTAAAACATTCTACAACAGACTAATAACAGTTAAAGTCTTATAATACATATTGGTTTGGCTGTTTCAGCATAATCACAATACAGATTTTAATCAAACTTGGTTACTTACAAATTATTTTGTTTGAATGCAGCTTTATAAAATGAATCTGCCAAGTAAATAAAATAAAATTAAAATCCATGCAGAAGAAAGGATTTAACATTGTGGCATTTCTTTTTATTTCAAGTTAATACTGAGAAGAGAAAATAAAGCATCTGAGAAAATTATTTAAAATAATAATCTAAAAAATTCTCATGGTTTCTTAACAGCTAGTGATTTTCCCTTGGGGAACAATTATAGTCCTGTAAGCAGAGGGTATTCTAAGAATGATTATTGAGATTTGGAAGGGAACATACTACTAGAGATAGTAAAACAGCAAAACTAATCTAAAATGTCAGTACAGACAGTCCCTGATTTATGATTTGACTTACAATTTTTCAACTTTATGATAATATGAAAGTGATACACATTCAGTAGAACTCATACTTCAAATACCCATACAACCTTTCAGTTTTTCACTTTCAGTAGAGTATTCAATAAATTACTTGACATAGTCAACACATTGTTATAAAATAGGTTTTGTGGTGGATGATTTTGCCCAACTGTAAGCTAATGTAAGTGTTCTGAGCGCGTCTAAGGTCGGGCTGAGATAAGCTGTGATGTTTGGTGGGTTGAGAGTATTAAATGTATTTTGACTGATGGTATTTTCAACTTGTGGTGGTTTTACTGGAACATAACATCATTGTAAGTTGAGGAGCATTTGTATTTATTTTATTCGGGGAAAGCTTAAGACAGTTTATTCACAATGGTAAACTACATTCTTGGTGGTACTAGAAAGAAAAACAATCCTTTTCTGATGGCATTTGCAACTGGAAATAACGAATCCTTTAAGCTTCAGAGACTGGTGTAAGAGGAAATGGGTTTTATGCCCCGAGGTCCAAAGCCTGAGTTAATCTAATGACCACACATTCCATTTTTATGTAGAATGTTTCAGAGTGCAATGTATTTTTCTTTTTTCCATCTTCTAAAATCTCTAGAATGGGAATTAATAAGTTAGTCTTGAATTACAACTGAATTACTTTTCAGAATATTTGCATGTCTATAAATACAATTTTCTTGACTGACAAGATTTTGAGTATATTTTAAAATATCATATCTTGAACGTTTTGAAAATGTCCAATTTCAAATATACGTAGACCATATCAGTTCTTATTAAACCAAATCGTCATTTAGTATGATCTAATTACGAGGCCTGTTGTAAACTCCCAGTCTTACGAATAGTAAAATTGTGCTTAGCCCGTCTCCTTTAAACAGATATTTTGAGTAAACTGCGGCTTTCCATTTTCATATGCAGAATTATCAAGACCCGCAAGTTTATTTCTAGTACTTTGTACATCTTTGCTTGCAGAAGATGAACTATCAGTCTCTTACTAGCCATTGTATTCTCCTACCACTTTCTACCAGTTATACTTATTATTTTAATTTTGATTATTATATGTGGTAGTACAATGTAAGTGTAAAACATAATTCTATGAAAACTAACCTGACTGGTCTAGAAAAACTTAACTAAATTAGGTAGGTAATTTTGTTGTTAAATGTAAATAACTAAAAGATGTATTTAGATTGTTTCACAAGGCCCTTGTCACTTCTCTTTAAATAAACTGAAATTGGAAATTACTATTGATATACTTGATGTAAAAACAAAATCAAAAACAAAAGGCAACCTAGAACTTGTCTTAACTGCAAAACTACCAAAATTTTAATTTGATATATCCCACCTACTTTGAAAATTACCTAAGATGCAATATTATTTATTTATTCATTCATTATTTTTTTTTTACTATCCTCTATGTTACATGAGTTCTTCTAGTTATTGAAAAAATCAAGAGTAAGTAAAAACAATGATCTGATATCAAAAAGCTCAAAGTGTAGTTGGAGATAGACATATTTTATATTTTAAGTAGTTCTTCAGAAGAAAATGAGTGTTTTGGGGAACAATCAAAAAGCTATTAACTCCCTTTATTGTTCTTGGTTTAAAACCAAAGGGATATGTACATAGAAAACCAGAGAGAAAAGCTGGCCTGGCGCGGTGGCTCACGCCTGTAATCCCAGCACTTTGGGAGGCCGAGGCGGGCGGATCATGAGGTCAGGAGATCCTGGTTAACACAGTGAAACCCCGTCTCTACTAAAAATACAAAAAAAAAATTAGCCAGGCGTGGTGGCGGGTGCCTGTAGTCCCAGCTACTCGGGAGGCTGAGGCAGGAGAATGGCGTGAACCCGGGAGGCGGAGCTTGCAGTGAGCCGAGATGGCGCCACTGCACTCGAGCCTTGGGTGACAGAGCGAGACTCCGTCTCAAAAACAAAACAAAACAAAAAAAACCACAGTGAGATAAATCATCTTCAATATGTTTTGAATAATTGGTTAAACTATTCAAAATATTCAGATAGCAAATGAATATTTAATATTTCATGAGTTAGGCATAATTTGAGGAATCACTGATGTTTGATAAAGTATAATTGGTATATATTATGTGTATATCATCTGTAATTATTCCTAAAATCATTAGCATATAATCTAAGTAAACCTGGTCTTTTATTTGTTTCACAGACTAACTGATGATGAGACAAATATTTCATTTTATTTTTGTTACAAGGTCTTGCTCTGTCACTCAAGCTGGAGTGCAATGGCATGATCATAGCTCACTGCAGCCCTGAACTCCTGGGTTCAAGAACATTTTAATTTTTAAAAATAACATGAGAGCAAAAATGTTTGAACTTAATATAAGGCTATTTTTAGGGTGAATGAGACATGTTATAAAAAATGTTCTAAAACAACAGTGAGAAAAACTACATAAAGTTGTCACGATTATTCCATATCAAGATATTTAAAACTATCTGGAAAGGATTTAATTATACAGTTTGGCTCTTACTTAGACAGGGAAATACCTCATTACTCAGCACTGCATCAAAAGGATGAGATTGACTCCAAGTGTTTTCCTCAAGGGCTTGGAGAGCAGCCAAAAATACACAGTCCTAAATGTAAAGCAGAGTTTATCACATAAAGAAATTTTCAAGAAAAGTAATATTGAAAAAGAAAGAATGTTAAGATGAAAATAGAGCATTAGGGAAATTTTTAATAGATCGTTCTATGGATTTTCCTGTGGTCTTTGCCCTGGTCCCTTTAGTTGGCAACATATGGGTAGCCTCAGAGAAGATTGCTATGACAATACAGAGAGAAACAAGATGCTCATTTTTAGTTATTTTATTTCATTTTTAATTTTTTTGTGAGACGGGATCTCACCCTGTCCCCGTCTGGAGTACACTGGTGTAACAATGACTCACTGCAGCCTCGACTTCCTGGGCTTCAGCAATCCTCCCACCTCAGCCTCCCTAGTAGTTGGGACTACAGGGAAGCACCACCATGCTCTGCTAAATTTTCATTTTTTTTTCTTTTGTAGAGACTAGGTCTTGCTATGTTGTCCAGTCTGGTTGTGAACTCCTGGAACCAAGTGGTCCTCCCTCCTCAGCCTCCCAAAATGTTGGGATTACAGGTGTGAGTCATGGCATCTGGCCTAAATTTTACTTTTAATTTAAAAAGAGACACAGACATAAGGTATAAAGATTTGGGAGAATACCCCAAAACCTGCTTTCCCTCATAGAGGGATAAAGTCAGAGCCTTCTAGGAGCCCGCAGGCCAGCAAACCAAAGCCCACGGGCCAGACACAGCCTGCAGACTGTTTTTGTGACTAAAGTTTCACTGGAAAACTTTCATTCTTTTATTCATGACTGCATTCACACTCCAGTGGCAGAGTCGAGTAGAGTAGCTGCGACGAGACTACAAAGTTGAAACTATCTCCCAGCTGATCCTTTGCAGAAAAAGTTTGCCACCCACTGGCCTAGACTGTGGTGGATCCCTGAGGAAAAGCCCCAGGCCCTTCTCTGCCCTTCCTGTCCCATGCCAGATCCCAAAGGGAAGGCTGTGGGTGAAACATTCAAGAGGCTTGGAGATTTAAGACTCAAGGAGTCAGAACAGGTCTGGAAGATCAAGCTGTTTTGGTTTCACATATTTGGGCTGTCTAGGCTGCTGGTTGCGAGACTGTCTTACTATTTGTGCATTATCCAAGAAGTACAGGGAGCAGTGGTACATTTACCTATTCATGTACTATCATAATGGGCATAAAGGACCTTAAAGGATCTCCCTGAGCTTCTCTTGGGTATGAAGTGGCATAGGAAAGCAGTCAGATGTTTCCTGGAAATCCAAGAAAGATTCAAATATAGTCAGGAATGGAAAACAAAGGAACAACAAGTTGTATGAGGGGAAGCCAATATCCATAGGATACAGGTACACATGTGATTGGATGTTTACTCCAGCAGCTGACACTCAGTGGCAGCTTGCCCTCCTCCAATGGGAACGGTGGCTCTCATCAGTCCCCATCGCCACTGTAGGGACATCATGTACAAACCCAGAGGCCTGTGAGACCCTGAACAGGCTGATAGGATCTTCAGTTTGCAGAGATAACTGAGAAACGTGTCTATCATTTAGGAGCCATTTTAGCTTTAAACAAGGTTCAGTGGTACTTTTAGGGTTTGAGGAACCTCTAGTCATCTTAAAATTACCCTGTGTCCATTCCCATGGCCAGGCCTGTGCTCTTTCCAAACCCAAGATCTGTGTTCCCATGAGACCAGTCAAAGTTGTGATTTGGCCTTAGTGATGATACAGCCACCCCTGGGATCAACATTTGAGTTTGACTATTTGCCATCTGACCTGTGTCCTAGAATCAATAACATTTGTTTAACACAAACATCACCATATTGTTGTTTTCTGTCTGTGCTTTTAGCAAAGGCTTCAGCAATTTGGGATAGCCATTGCCTTTCTGTTTTATTTATTTTTTATTTTTTTTGAGATGGAGTCTCGCTCCGTCACCCAGGCTGGAGTGCAGTGGCGTAATCTTGGCTCACTGCAAGCTCCGCCTCTCGGGTTCACGCCATTCTCCTGCCTCAGCCTCCCTAGTAGCTGGGACTACAGGTACCCACGACCACACCTGGCTAATTTTTTGTATTTTTAGTAGAGTCGGGGTTTCACTGTGTTAGTCAGGCTGGTCTCAAACTCCCGACCTTGTGATCCACTCGCCTCAGCCTCCCAAAGTGCTGGGATTACAGCCGTGAGCCACCATGCCTGGCCCTATTGCCTTCCTTTAAAGTGTTGATCACAGTAGGAATTAACCTGTTAAGGGACTTTGAATAATCCAGTGATTAGGGCTTGAACTAAGTCATATTATAAAGCTGGGAAAGAGGATAGAGAAAAGAAATGATGTGGGGGCAGAACCTACTGAGTGTGGGGAGTGATTGCAAATGTGATTGGACACCATAGAAATTGTTCAGGGAGATTCCAAGGTTGCTGGCTTGAATCGCAGGTAGTATGGGCTCCACAGAACTCACTCAGGCTCTGAAAGAGAAAGTACAAACATGATCTAAGGTATGGAAATGTTGAGACTGGGTTCCTGTGACATACACAGAAAGAAATTTGATTTGAACCTGTATATATAGATATGGACTTAAGAGGAATTATTAGGACTGAGACAGAGGCTTGACACTTAGTATAAAGTTGGAAATTAGGCCACTGTAATGAAAAGATGGGTGAGTCTATAAAGTTTTGATGTTATCAGTTGAGCAGTGATTCTCATTCCTTTTGTTCTCAGCAGGTAAGCATCACAGAGTTCCTTTTCAGTCTTACTGTTGTTCCCATGTTCTAATCACATGATATATACATTAAACACAGGCTAAATATGCTGTTGTACCTGGCAATAATGAGTAATATTCCTGGTATGTTCTTCAATAAAAATTGTTTTCAACAAATATATTTAGTTGTGCATTCTTTTTAATCAAAGAGTGAGTATGATCTAATGAAAAGAGTCATGCAGGTGGGTTCTAGTCACATTCCTTTCATTGTAGCTTGTGATTTCTATTAGTTCAGGGCCTAAGGAGCTTGTTTCACTCCTCAGAAAAAGATGATAGGATGAGCATTCCTGCACACCTAGAAACTTGTAAAGAAGAAATGAGGTAATTGATAAGATACTTTGCAAGATATAAATCCTTATAATAGTGAACAGCAACATGATTATTCATAGCATATCAAATCTCTAGCCTTTGGGTAACCAGAATTTAGTTCTGTATCTTATAATTTTATACTTTGGCAAAATGCATCATTTTTCAAATACGTGGGGAAAAACCAGATCAATGGGTCTTTGCACATAGGCCAACATGCTCAAGAATTTGTTACTCTATCAGACATAAAGAGTTAAAATACACAGCATTAATTATAGTTTGTATTATTAAAATATTTACATTTGTTTTTCTTTGTGTTGTTGTAATGGCCATTAAAACATTTGTACTTATTAATTCAATTCTCATATAATATTGCTCTTGTTTCTAGCAAAACAGCTTTCCTAATGTAATAATGTCAGAGTTTTTGTTTAGTTTATAATCAAAGCAATATGGAATTAGAATCATTAGTTTTACTAATGCAAGTCAGACATTCACATGTGTAATCCTGAGAGCATAGCTTAATATGACCATTCATTTCAACACAGTGAGAATGAGTGAAATAAGATGCCAGATGGATAAATAGGCAGTAGTAACAAATTAAATTTGCAATAATTTGAAAATAGCCTGAAGCAAGAGGAAAGAAAAATACATTTTCTTTTTTATGTTTTTGAGATGGAGTCTCCACTCTGTTGTCCAGGCTGGAGTACAGAGCTGCGATTTCGGCTCACTGCAACCTCTGCCTCCCAGGTTGAAGTGATCTCCGTGCCTGAAGCCTCCCAAGCAGCTGGGATTACAGGCATGCGCCACCACGCCGGCTAATTTTTGTATGTTTAGTAGAGATGGGGTTTCACCATATTGGCCAGGCTGGTCTCGAACTCCTGACCTCAAGTAATCCGCCTGCCTCGGCCTCCCAAAGTGCTGGGATTACAGGCATGAGCCACCACGCCTGGCTGAAAAATGTATTTTCAATATATGATAATGATAGCCTAAAAAGTTATTTTGTTTCTATGGTACGTTAAACCAGGGATCACAATCAGTAAAATTTAAATTTTTCCTATGTGACGAAATCCATTTGTCATGAAGTGAAAACTTTTACCAAGGTAAAGCACTGCAAGAAAAATGAAGAATAATGCTAAAATTAATATCTAAATTTGACTGATTATTTAATTTGTGCCAGCCACAATGCTAAATGATTTACCTGCATTATCTCATTTAATTTTAGGAACAACTTTGAGTAGTAATGCAATTTTCATTTTAAAGATGAGAACCCTAAGGCCTGGTGAAGTTGATTAACTTGCCCAAAGACCGACAGCTGTTACGTGGTTATGATCAGGGTTCAAAGCCCATCTGCGTAACTCCCAAGCCCCAGCCCCCTAATCTCTATTTGCAAAAATCTATGGAAAATTATTCTTTCTTTCTTTTTAAGATTATTTCTTAAATGCAAAACAGACGGAAGCTTTAAAAGAGAAGAACATTATAGTTTATATAAACTAGGACTAGACTGAAAAAATATTGAAGACCACAAATCTTTCGTTGATTGACACCTGACTCTGTGGGTGGGAGAGGTGATATGTGAACCTCAATAAATATTTCACTCTATTGATGTGCATTTATTTGTTTGCTCATAAGTCATTCACCATATATTTATTCAGGGTTTGCTATGAAGCAACTATTTGTCCTTAAGGAACTCATTAAAATTGCCTTTGAATAACACTAGAAAATTCAGAAGAATCCCTTGATAGATCTAAACGCTGATAATTTGCTTTTATTATCACAAGAAAAATATGGCCTTAATAGACAATTAGGCTTGGTATTTAATTATTGTCTCAAAATGGCTTCATATGAACTATTCTAAAACTAAAACTATTATATTTGGCAGAAAATTAATAGAATTTAATTGGGTTCTATCAAATAATTCCATACAGCATGATAATTTGTTTAGGATCTATAGGATTCTCTTTGTTCCTGATGCACCCTGGCAGGTTCACCGGAAAAACCATGTGGATCTACATTCGATGCTTCATGAGAACATCGCTGAAGAATTTTACATCGGCTGTGATAATTCCCCAGGCTCAAGGCTATTCGGCATTCCTCTATGGTAGAAAGTTTAGGCATTCAAGAAGCAGCTGTTGTCATATTGGAAGACACTCAGATTTATTTCCCAGCAAAATTCCCGTTTTGTCCTCAAGCAAAATGTATGCTATTTGTTGTGAGTTTTTCTGCCTTGTGTCATCCACGAGGAAAAAAATCTAAAACCAAATAAAACTGACGCATCACCATTATCTACTTTTGGTTTCAATTTCCTTTATGGTTTACTTTACATAAAAGTATCAAGCTAGTTGAAAGAAATGTACTTCTACCTATGGTGGTACATAGAGGAAAGGAGTGTGGAATGATTATATCATGAATTTTCTCATGTGTATTTAATGGTTGTGGTACTATATTGGCATGTAGTAATTATTGGTCCTTACATAGCAAAAATATTTTCTATATTTTAAAAGCATTTACGGTTTTTGTATATGTTAAAATAAAACCAAACTTTTGCATCTTGAAAGTGTAGAAATTGGAAAAATTGTCAGGCATGGTGTCTTACTAGAAGTAGATGATTCCATATTATTTTGGGGAAAAAACCTTTTTTTGGTGCTTTTTTTTTTTTTTCTGAGAAAACGAGTTGAATGCACTCTTGTACTAAATTAATGGAAGTCACATACACAACCATTTTGCTTGTGAAATCAGGAAAACTGTGAAGTCACTGTTGACCTCATTGGGGATGGTCTGACCTGAGCAGCTGAGTATTTTATTCAGGCCTACATTGCATATCACAGTTTGATTCAGAGCTGGGTCCGGTTCTTAGCATGATGCAAAATAATTTCTTTTCTTTTGTATAAATGAAGATGCTGGACTGTATTTGACAATTTTGGGGGCATGGATTGGGGGCCGTTTGTTTTAAGAGATATTAGAGACTACAAAATATGGTGTTCATGGGGTAAAGATGACAATGCTTACCAAATTGTTCTACATATTTAATGAAACTGGTACCAAAATTTCAGCTGGCACTTGTTGCAGAAATTGAGAAACAGCTCTTTGCAATCATCTGGAAATGCAAGAAACCCACAACAGCCAAAACAACCTGGCAAGAAAGAACAAAGGTGAAGGACATATACTACCCTGTTTCAAAACTTAATACAAAGCTATAGCAATTAAGACATTATGGTACTAACACAAGGAGAGATATATCAACTAATGGAATAGAAATAAGGTTCCAGAAATAAATTCTTACATTTATGATCAACTGACTTTTGATACAGGTGCCAAGATAATTCAATGCAATATTTTCTATGCTACAATTCACTTTATTGACTTGTCAATAAATAGTTCTGGGAAAACTGAATTGTCGCACAAAAAAGAATGAAATTGTCCTCCTACCTCACACCATGCACAAGAATTAACTGAAAAATGAATCACAGAGACAAATGTAAGAGGTAAAATTGTAAATTCTTAGAAGAAAATATAACAGTAAATCTTCATAACCTTTGATAGATATTACACCAAAAGCATACTCAATGTAAATACATACATATATGCATAATAGATTTGTGTCACAATACCATCAAGAAGTGTTCCTCAAATATTTAAACACAGATCTATTATATGAACCAATATTTCAACATCTAAGTATCTATCCTCCAAAATAAAATCATGTCCCCAAAAGACTTATACATGCATATTTACGGTGGCCAAACAGTGAATTATTCATAACAGCAAAAAATACCACAAAATATCATTCAGGCATAAAAAAGGAATGAAGTATGTGTACCTGCTAAAATCTGGATGAACCTTGAAAGCATTATGCAAAGTGAAAGAAGCCAGTCAAAAAGCCCATATTTTAAAAAGAAACAAACTAACAAATGACCACATATTAAATGATCGTATTTGTATTAAATGTTCGGAATGCCAAATGGCTAAAGACAGAAAATAGATTAATAGTTGCTAGTGGTTTGGCAGAGAAAAGAAACGGGGAGCTACTGCTAATTGTTATTTAGTTTTTTTCAGAGGGCGGTGAAAATATTCTAAAATTCGATGTGATAGTTGCATAAGTCTGTGACTACAATAAAAAACACTGGATGCCACATTTCAAATGTGAATGTTATGGGATATAAATTATATCTCAATGAAGCTCCTAAGAAAAATGTATTAGAGGAGTCGTAGAACAGAAGCTACAATAAAGGAAAGCATGAGTTCTGAGGATGGACATGGCCTGTAAGATGAGTAGGACAGAAGGTTTAGAAATCACAGAAATCACTCTACCCCAGGTGACTGAAGTATACCAAAGGCTAATGGGAGAATGGTCTGTTTCTCTGTACCAAGTCTGAGTGTGTGCTGATCTGCAGCTTCACCAGCCTCAGAGGAAGACTAGTTTCTCATGTCAATTGTTCTACTGCGTCTGAAACTTTATAAATCAGACACAGCTCCATCCTTGGCCTCAGAATGTTAAAGCCTATGTTTTACCTTCGAGGACCTATTCATAAACAAACATAAACGCCTCTTCGACCCTAAGAAACATTGAGGAGGAAAATTCTTTAAACATTTTTCCTTAATTTAAACCTGATGTACCTCAAACTTGTAATAATTTGTTCATGTAATTGTTACATGTATTATTCAGTTATCACGCTACTGTGAAGAAATACTTCATAGTGGGTAACTTATAAAGAAAAGAGGTTTAATTGACTCACAGTTTCACATGGTTGGGGAGGCCTCAGGAAACTTACAATCATGTCAGAAGGCACCTTTTCTCAGGGTGGCAGGCAAGAGATTGAGTACAAGCAGGGAAATGCCAGACACTTATAAAACCATCAGATCTCATGAGAACTCTCTATCATGAGAACAGCGTGGGAGACACTGCCCCTGTGATTCAATTACCTCCCACTGGGTCCAGCAGCAGGACACATGGGGATTATGGGTTCAAGATGAGATTTGGGTGGGGACACAGCCAAACCATTTCATTATGGTAATTAACTTTTAGCATAGGTCAACAATATAACATGTATAAATTGCAGTTTATTTACTCTTTGTTGCTATATAAATATTAAGCATAGAACAACCACTAACATATAATACCTTCATGGGATATACAAAAAAAATGATTATAATCAAAGTAGTGTCTAAATCTGATTTTCAGCAGCCACCTTATCTTATTGTCTCCATAGTATCAGCATTCCCAAGATAAGCAGTGGTATGGTTAAACAATTATTGAATATTAAGTACGATTTGAACAAAACTTTCAATTACCAGCCTGAGAGCATGACTAACTATTATTTTTTGGCAGTTTGCTTTCCAAATGGTTCACTGTGATTTTCATGGTGACTTCTTCGTCAATCAAATTCAGCAAACACAATCTGCCATTTTCTCCTCAGTATTTCCTCTCTTCTTGTGAATTTTCTAATAAAAAAGAAAAACAGATCATTCAAACAATGCAAGTGAATCAGCAGAATGACAAATGTTTAAAGTATGAATGTAATTTTCAGTAATTTATTCTTCCATTTTAAATAATGATGATCAAAAGCTGTTACTTGGTCAATTGAACTTATTAAAGAGACTTTATAATTAGAAAATACTCTTTTGAAAGTGCCACAGAAAGCTTAAGACAATATTTATATTAAATATTTATATCACTCTTTGACATTCCTGGAAGTTTGACCAGTTTAATTGTTCTGCATTAATCCATTATGTTTTTCATGATTCTCTATGTTTTTCATGATTCTCTATTAGCATCTCTATTGTATTATAACATTTTAAATTGTTCCTTGACTAATTAGAAGATGCTATTACAGAAAAGGAGAATGTTTATCTGTGTGGACCTAGCAGAAAAAAAAAAAATATATTGGGCAGCCAACAATATATAAATGAAATATACTGAAGCAAAAATAAAGAACATGAAAAAGATATTAATCTATGTTAAGTTTGTGAAGAGGTTGAACATAAGTGAGAATTTTGATACAAAAGGAGATAATTTATTTCTCTCTTTTCTGAAAATAACTGACTATAATTTTAGATAGTAATTGTACTTTGCCTCTTAACCATGGACCTGGCTCAATGCTTTTATAGAAATAATGTGAGAACCAAATTGCTAACATTTATTATGTATTATCACAATTGGCACTATCAACCTTTCTCTCCTGTTCCTCTATTTGCATTTTAATATTATATGTGCTTATTCTCCTAAAAGTGATCACATTATCACTATCCAGGTATTTCCATACTAACCATTCTCATACTGGCATCCCTAAGTTGCAAATCAAAGCTTCCTTGCCTATAAAAGCATTTCCTCAGCTTAGTCTCTGGGAGTAAACATGTTAATCAGCAAATATCCTCCTTCATCAATTTTGTGCAAAGCCTTTCAGGAAAGAAGCGATTCCAAGGGCTCACTGTGCTGTATTGATTAGAGAAAATTACAGACTCATCAACGACACCGTATTTCCCACCTAGAGTTTACCCCAAGCCTAAATCAGCTGTTTACCTAATGCACTCCTAATTTACAACTCCATGTAGATTTATAAATATCAAGTCACTGATTCAAAGAAAAAGGAACGTTTAGAAACTGTTGCTGGAACTATTGCCTCATGGTTGATATAAGCATCCTCCAAGACTGACCATGGTATGTGGAGACAATGGTGGCAGTGTAATGAACAACAATGCCCTGACGAAACACTTCCTATCTTGTGAAGGTCTGGTATCCATAAGCACTTTGAATTTTTACTGAATATTAGCTATTGAACTTGTTTCTTATTGATCATGTGAACTTTTAAACCCTCCTCCATTTAATCAGAGTATTCCTGTTGCTTAAAATAAAAAAGTCTAAAAGTAATATTATATTGGTAATAAATTAACAATAAAATATTAATTTATTATTATTATAAATTAGTATTTATTATTATAAATCACACTTTATACATTTAGAAAGGAGACTTTTTTAATTTATAATTTTTGTGTATGCATGGTATATATATATTTATGGGTTACATGAGATATTTTGATACAGGCATGCAATGCATAAAAATCACATCAGGGTAAATGGAGTATCCATCACTTCAAGCAATTATCCTTTGTTTTACAAACAATTCAATTATCCCCTTTTAGCCATTTTATTTATTTATTTATTTATTTAATTGGAGATGCAGTCTTGCTCTGTCACCCAGGCTGGAGTGCAGTGGCACGTTCTCAGCTCACTGCAACCTCTGCCTCTATGGTTCAAGCCATTCTCCTGCCTCTGCCTCCTGAGTAGCTGGGATTACAGGTGTGTGCCACTACGCCTAGATAAATTTTATATTTTTAGTGGAGACGGGGTTTCACCATGTTGACCAGTCTGGTCTTGAACTCCTGACCTCAAGTGATCCGCCTGCATTGGCCTTTCAAATGCTAGGGTTACAGGCATGAGCCACTGTGCCCAGCCTTCTTTTAGTCATTTTAAAATGTACAATTACATTAATTTTTACTATAGTCACCCTACTGTGCTAGAAAAGGAGACTTTATTTCTTATCTAGGGTTATAGCCTGCAAGGCAGCCATTCTGACAGTCTGGGAAGCGAAGACTTTCACGGAAGCTGGAAACAGGCATTTGGAGGGAGGGAGGGTAAAGCAGGAATTTATGCTGAACAGGTTGGCGAGATATACATATTCAACAGGTTATAGAAGGATCTTATGAATATGTATGAGGGAGTACTAACACATGTGTACTTAATAAACATGCATGTTACATGTGTTTCATGTTCACTTTGGGGTGCAGAGTTAACATTTACGTGCATTACAATTAGGCCGTGTACATCAAAGGGTGAAGCAGGGACACAAAGGCACTCAGTGTGCAACCTCTGTAAGCCCGCCAGGACCAGGCCGGTAGTTTCTTATCAGGAGAAAGTTACTGAAATCAGTTACTTAGTTCAATCAAAGCTGTATTTATGGCTTGTGGAACTGGGGTGGGGGCCAGTATCTGGTAGTGGATGAGCCATAATTGTTTTAATCTTGCTTATCTCGAGGCCAGTGGTTGTTTAGCTGCTGAAGCAAAACCTAAGCATTGTACAGACACAGCGAAGCACATGCTTAGGACAAACCTTGTGGCCAGTCACAGAACTGGTAAGTTGTTCAATAACTTGTCTCTCTCACTCTGGGCTTACCGGTCACTCTGGGCTTTCCCAAGGCCACAAGGAGGAAGGTTTAGTTCACCTAACAAGAACAACTGTTGCATAAATCATCTTTATCTAGATAATCATTTTAAAAAATTAAGATAGATCTTATAAAGCCTCAGGCAACAAAACAATTTAAAAAGGATAAGTGTAAAATGTTAAGGAGGAGTATGTTCCTGATTAGACATTTTCCCCTTCCTAAGGCAATGATCCAAAATATTTGAGAATCAGTGGATGAAAACCTCTAAGAAACATGTTATTGAATAGAATTGTTAGCAGGGAGTAATTTCACAAATTTTAGAACTGTGGCTACTTCTCACTCTTTTTGTGACTACAGCCTCTTCTCGACTATCCCTAATCATCTATCAGTATCAAAAATGACTTATATTTATTTATGGATAAAATGAATTTTTAAAATAATGTAAAATTCCAAGAAGGCAAGTAGGTAAACCAACTTGGAAAACTCCAATAATAAAGACAGCTGGCTATGCTTTATTATTTTCAGGAGCAGAGTCTCTTTCTTTCTAATGGCCTGTTTAATCAAGGGATTCTCATTCAACTTTGATTCTGTGCCATAGGCTGATTTCCCTGTAAGGATGCTTAAATAATGAAGACTCGCCACACAGAAGAAAAGTGGTGGTGGAGCGGTTCCAAGGTCAGCAACTCAGCTGTTTAATGACATTGTCAAGAAAGTGATCTTTTCCTCCTTCTACTCCATCCTTCTCAGTATGCTGCCCATGGATAGGATACTAGCCTTCTTAGTCACAAAATGGCTGCAACAGCTCCAAACACTATACTCTCATACAACTTCCCAAAGTCAGAAAAGAAAATAATGACACTTTGTATTCATTATATTAAAATGAGGAAAATGCTCCAGAGTAAACCCCCAAACTGCCAGGGTCACAAGTATTTTCCTTGGTGGATCGTTGGTCAAGAATCTGTCACAAGGCTGTTTTGAACACTATTACTGGCAAGGTGAATTCAGTTGCCATGGTTAGCTTAATCGAGATTTACTCCATTCTGCTAAAGGCAGGTCCTAGCTTCCTTGAGATGGGGGAGGCTGATGATTGATTAAGAGGTGCAAGTGCCACAAGCGCCTACTCTCATAGGCAAAACTGCACCCATCCCTCGTCAATGCAAAAGACCATGGACTCATATGTTTCTGTCTTTGCATCAGAATAATTTTATGGCTCAGTTATCTTCCAAAAGTAACCCAATTTGTTCGTGCTTCTAATAATCTATTTTATGTATTTTCTTTTTTTATTTTTATTTTTATTTATTTATTTATTATTATTATTATACTTTAAGTTTTAGGGTACATGTGCACAATGTGCAGGTTAGTTACATATGTATACGTGTGCCATGCTGGTGCGCTGCACCCACCAACTCGTCATCTAGCATTAGGTATATCTCCCAATGCCATCCCTCCCCCCTCCCCCATCCCACAACAGGCCCCGGTGTGTGATGTTCCCCTTCCTGTGTCCATGTGTTCTCATTGTTCAATTCCCACCTATGAGTGAGAATATGCGGTGTTTGGTTTTTTGTTCTTGTGATAGTTTACTGAGAATGATGATTTCCAATTTCATCCATGTCCCTACAAAGGACATGAACTCATTTTTTATGGCTGCATAGTATTCCATGGTGTATATGTGCCACATTTTTTTAATCCAGTCTATCATTGTTGGACATTTGGGTTGGTTCCAAGTCTTTGCTATTGTGAATAATGCCGTAATAAACACGCGTGTGCATGTGTCTTTATGGTGCTGGGAAAACTGGCTAGCCATATGTAGAAAGCTGAAACTGGATCCCTTCCTTACACCTTATACAAAAATCAATTCAAGATGGATTAAAGACTTAAACGTTAGATCTAAAACCATAAAAACCCTAGAAGAAAACCTAGGCATTACCATTCAGGACATAGGCATGGGCAAGGACTTCATGTCTAAAACACCAAAAGCAATGGCAATAAAAGCCAAAATTGACAAATGGGATCTAATTAAACTAAAGAGCTTCTGCACAGCAAAAGAAACTACCATCAGAGTGAACAGGCAACCTACAAAATGGGAGAAAATTTTCGCAACCTACTCATCTGACAAAGGGCTAATATCCAGAATCTACAATGAACTCAAACAAATTTACAAGAAAAAAAGAAACAACCCCATCAAAAAGTGGGCGAAGGACATGAACAGACACTTCTCAAAAGAAGACATTTATGCAGCCAAAAAACACATGAAAAAATGCTCACCATCACTGGCCATCAGAGAAATGCAAATCAAAACCACAATGAGATACCATCTCACACCAGTTAGAATGGCAATCATTAAAAAGTCAGGAAACAACAGGTGCTGGAGAGGATGTGGAGAAATAGGAACACTTTTACACTGTTGGTGGGACTGTAAACTAGTTCAACCATTGTGCAAGTCAGTGTGGCGATTCCTCAGGGATCTAGAACTAGAAATACCATTTGACCCAGCCGTCCCATTACTGGGTATATACCCAAAGGACTATAAATCATGCTGCTATAAAGACACATTTTATGTATTTTCTTATAGTCCTACAGTCTCATGTGCCTGAAATCTAGGAAACCCTTTCAGTGTAGCTGATTGTAATAAGCACTAATAGTAATGGGAAGAGTAATAGTATTAATAGTAATAGTACCATCACCAACATCAAATGACTACTGATGACAAAGTTATTATATTTTTTGCTTTTATAATAGCATTATAATATATAGAACATTTTACAGGAGAAGGCAACTGAGGCTTAGGGCCATTAAGTTAGTTGCCCTAGGCCACAGAATTTCTCATCTTGAAAGGATCTCTCCTGGTCAGTGTTGGAGTGTCCTGTGAAGGGACCTGGAATCTATCTGTGCCAACAAGCTTTGCACCTGTACTTGTACAGGTGGATATACAGTGCCTATAGACTGAATGGAGGGCTTAAAAACAGGCGTGATCCAAGGAAAACATGCTCATGCTGTGGTCAGCAGCCTCTTAACTGTGCAAGTCTAAAATACTTTGGGAAAGCCCAGAGTGAGAGAGACTGTGGAAAATCTTGTACAGACACACCGAAGCACATGCTTAGGAATTAAGCAAATCTGGGAGTTACTAAGAAACTGTAGCTAAGAGAGGCAGGGAAGCCAGGTTTCCAGAAATTGGGGCTGGTGTGAGCCTTCTGGAGCAAAAGCATGGAAGAAGTTGGCCATTATTGTCAGCTGCAGATCCAAGCATTTGCATTGTTTCACTTTTGTTCAAAGTGAGAGATTGAGTCTGTGTTCTTCCATGTATATATATAACAAAGTCTTCTCTATAAAGAAGATTAATATTTATTAAACCCCTCTTATGTACATATAAATGTACATACATATTAATATACATACATATCAATATATAGGATAAAATTATATATGTATATACATAATTACATGTGTAGTCTTTTTTATCAAAAGACAAAAGAATGCTTATCATCATTTATACATCAGAGAATACGGCCATAGCACTACTAAGTGACATGGTTAAAATTCAAACCACTGGTTGTGAAAGACTAATTAAAACAGTTTAATATTACAAGTTAATATCAGTGTAACCTTGTGAACAGTTTGCCACATGATACTAAGACTTAGGCATTCTTCTAACTGTTTTTGTCTTGTGGACACTGACTCTTTTTAATACTTGAATCACTTCAGCCTGGAAGGCGGAGTTTGCAGTGAGCCGAGATCATGCCACTGCACTCCAGAATGGGCGGGAGAGCAAGACTCTGCCTCAAAAAAAAATAAATAAAGACATAGATATAAGGAAGTACTTCGGGGTGTGGTACATTTATAGAGCCTGCAGAAAAAGACAGCACAAATCATAATGGTCTACATGGAAGGAAATTTAAATCCATATGGTGTGGGCTCAGACTTTAAATGTTCACATCTTAAATTACATATTGTTATCTTGTTTATTTGGATAATCTCACTCAGAGTGCTTGCTGTGTGCATAAAGATATTTTGTGAAAATCAATCAGCTTAGCTACTTTTATGAGCCTAGATATCTCAACATGGATTTTAAAACTTAAATAAATATAAATAATGTTGTGCTTGGAAATGTAAGATAATAGGGTACTGTGCCAGAAAGATCCAAGTCTTTTGTAAGAAAATCTCCTGGAATGGGGTTCAGGTCATATAAGATCACTTTAACTTATTTTCAAATTATTTGTTGAGATAATTGGTTTTAGAATACTGTGCAGTTAAGCTAAATTATATTCCAGATAAACTGTCATTTTTTTAATAATGTCTAAATCACTGATTAAAGTGAAAGATAATTATTTAAATTACAATTTTAAGAAACAATGTAGCTATTGTTGAATTACTATTTCAATATCATAGCGTATTACTTGGCAATTCCAAATTATTTCTGAATAATTCAGGCCATATCTTTATATTTGAAATGAATATCTTATTTTAGTGGCAGTATCAGACATGTTTAAAAATATGATTGGTTCTAGATTGCTTAAATTAAAAAAATGCATGTCTTTGGAAATGAAGCTGTGATTTTTTTTCTTTTTTTCAGAGAGAAGTAGTTGTGAGTAAAGTAGCAAAGCACAAACACTAAAAACTAAAAGGATTATAGGACTGTAAGTTTGTTTAAAAAGAGAATTTATTTTGTGAAAAATCTAAATATAAACAGCACTGAACAAACAAAGCAAAACAAAACAGAACAATATGAAGCCAGAGAGACTGGGCTGGTTACAGAGTGAAAAGGAAGGGATTTGTTACTGGGAATCAATTTTATTATACTGATTTTTCTTTACCCTCCTCACCGTTAATATTTTATCTTTTAAGTGACTAATAATTGAAGCATATTATTGGAATAACTGCATTGGCTCTATTTCCAAAGCAAAATATACATTTGTATTTTAATGGTAATCAGTGTTGTATCGATACTGTTGAATTATTAAAATAAATGTGCCAATGCAAAAAAATATAACCCTGGCATATACAATGCATATGCTATATACACACAATTGCTTCAATATTGTAACCTAAATGACTTAACTTTTAAATCCATTTTTCACATTCTCCCAAGAATTTTCTCCTGAGGTTAACAGAAAAATTTAATTACATAATGTTATGAGTAATATTCATTGAGCACTTACTTTGTAACATATAATTTTATCAGCCCTTAATATACAGTTAATCCTCATGGCAAACTTATTAGTTAATGATCATTATGATCCATATTTTTGCAGGTCAAGAAAATTAAGTGCTGAGGAATTAAACAACTCGTGATGATACAGCTAAGAAATGAAGATAACATTGAATCCAGGCAGCCTGGCTCTGTTCATCTGGTAATAGATAAAAATAGAAACCAAGAGATGTTAGACAGTTTAGAACTACAGGGTTACACTTTCTGAAAATCTAATATTATCTTAGTAGAGGCAAACCAAAGTTAAAAAGAACGCTACCAAAATATAGTTTATTAATAATTGTCTTTATTAAGTGGAATTAAGTATTTGGAAGTATATGAATAAAATAATGACCTTAAACTTTTCATATGATCTGATGATCAGGTATGATTACATTGCAGACATTGCTAAAAGGTTGATGAACAAAGTAGAAGTATAAAAGCTGATAATGTTGATTTTACTAGTATTTAATACTTAAAGGGATATTTATAATACAATCTCTTGGTGATTTTTGTTTTGTTTTGTAATGTATTGTGCTGTAGTTCATTGGCATCATGAAAAACAAGGGAATTAAATAAAATATCCTGATAAGTTTATAATAACAAATTAATTGTGATTATTTGCACTAAAAGTGCAAAGATGACAAGTCATCCAGTTTTAACTCAATATTGTTTAAGGAAGAGAAATTGTGTATTATTATGATACTAAAACACTCATCTTCTCATCTTAGTTGAACAAATCAATGAATAATAGGTTACCATTACAGAGTTTACAGTTCATTGTTTCTGATTTTGACTTCTCTTTCACATCTTCAACAAGTAGCTTCATAACCTTTAGATATGAATCTGAGTGTCCCTAATACTTCAGAAAAGTCAATAAATATGAAATAAGTTTTCAATGGAGGGAAAACATAATAAAATAATTTAAAATGCTTTTCTTAGGATATAGTCAGCCACATGGAAGGAATATACAAAATTTTAGTATATTTTGGTGAGAGGGAACCAGCTGGAAGTCATCCAAGAGTGGTCTGCTAAGCCACTCCCTTTAGGAGTTCCCAGGTCGGCTTGGCTCAAGGAGCCCAAGGTAACCAAGCCAAGCTGCATGGGTGCACCCAGCTTTTTCTGCCAAGCACCAGTGAGTGCAAAGCTAAATGCATAGATACATTTTTTGAGATGTAGTCTCACTCTGTTGCCTAGGCTGGAGTGCAGTGGTGCGACCTCAGCTCACTGCAACCTCCACCTCCCAGGTTCAAGCAATTCTCCTGCCTCAGCTTCCAGAGTAGCTGGGATTACAGGTACCTGCCACCACGCCCAGATAATTTTTGTATTTTTGGTAGAGATGGGTTTCACCACATTGGCCATAGGGGTCTCGAACTCCTGACCTCAAATGATCTGCCCACATTGGCTTCCCAAAGTGCTGGGATTTCAGGTGTGAGCCACTGTGCCTGCCCAATGCATATTTTTAAGTATTATTTTGTTTACATATTTTGTTACAGAATTTGCTGGATATTTAGCTGAAAAAACAGAATTTATAGCAAGATATTAATTTTTTTTAATTACTCAGGACTTAATGAAGCATTGCACATCTATGCACTATAAAAATGCTTTATGAAAGAGAAAAATGTGAGTAGAAAAAAATATGTGGGTCAGGTGTGGTGGCTCACGCTTGTAATCCCAGCACTTTGAGAGGCAGAGGTAGGTAGATTGACTGAGGTCAGGAGTTTCAGAGTAGCCGGGCCAACATGGCGAAAGCCCGTCTCTACTAAAAACAGAAAAAATTAGCGGGGTGTGATGATGGGCACCTGTAATCCCAGTTACTAGGGAGGCTGAGACAGGAAAATCACTTTAACCCGGGAGGTGGAGGTTGCAGTGAACCAAGATCGTACCACTGCACTCCAGCCTGGATGTCAGAGCAAGAATCCACCTCAGGAAAAAAACAAAAAACAAAAAACAAACAAACAAACAAACAAACAAAAAACTATATATATATAGATATATATATCTCTCTCTATATATATAGAGAAAAAACTATATATATAGTGTATATATACTATATATAAAAAACTATATATATAGTTATATATATAACTATATATAGTGTATATATACACACACTATATATAGTATATATATACACTATATATAGTATACACTACATATACACTATATATAGTGTATATATATACTATAGTGTATATATAGTATATATATATAGTGTATATATAGTGTGTGTGTATATATATATACTATGTACTCAAAAGTACATAATTCTATCTATAGATTTATATATGTACACATCCTGTACAATAGTTGCATTAAAATATGTACTCATTCACATCAAAACAGAGAAATACATTGACAACCTTTTCAAGTAGTAGTACTAAGACCTAACGTGTATTGTACTTGACTAAATATGGGAATATTATGTGTTTACATATTTTTGTTTATTTAATATATAGCCTCTATACAGCAATTTTAGCATGAACGTTTGGCCACATGGAGCTTTTGGAGAACTCTGTTTAAGAGATCCAAAGACCTTTAACTGTTACATTCCTAAACAAATTCTTCTTTAGCAAGTCCTCCTTGCACTGCTGGTCTGCAGCTACCTGCTCCCTCCTCTCCCCCCGTTTCTGAGTACCTGGCCCTCTGTTAAGAATGAAGTGGGAGAACTGGTGAGTAAGCAGAGCTTATACCATTAGAATACTTATAGGTTGGGGAACAAAAGCCATGTTAAAAGAATGAAATGTAACTCATTGAACAAACATGTAGGAGCCATTATGTTTCAGACTATCTTGTTGTGGAACATACAGGGATGAACATGAGAGACAAATTTCTCTGTCCTCATGAATCTTATATCTTAGGGGGAAGAACTGTGAAATAAAAGACTAAACAAATTAAAAATAACAACGTTTCAGGAGGCGATATGTGTTACAAATAGATTAATGCGGAATCATGTAGTTACCTGGGGGAGTTGCTCTGGGAAGGCCCTCATTTCCTCTTCTGCTCATCTACTCTGAGTGGGAACAGAGAGCTCAAATACCTGACAACATGGCAGGGAGTGAGCCATGAACATCTAGAAGGGGCATCCTAGACAGAGATAAAGGCAAATATGAAGACGGTAGATGTTGTAGAATATGAAAAAAATCATAGATGGTAACAGAGCTTGGCATGTTCAAGGTAGAAAAGAAGGCCAGCAGAGCTGTGGGGCGGTGAAGGAGGCGGGAGAGGGGCCACAGTTGTCTGCAACAAGGCAAAGGACAGGTCAGAGAAACATTTGTGGACCATTTTAAGAAGTCTGAACCTTATTCTAACTGTAATGGGAAGTCACCACAGAGTTTTAAACAGGAGTAGAACATTACATGATCTATACTTTTCGATTATCTGCTGTTAAATAATGGCTTTAAAGGAGACCTAACAGGAAACAGGCAGACACCACTGGAAACTCTTGAGAGTCTAATGAGAATATGGTGGTTTAAACTTAGAAATTTTCAGAAAGAATGGAGAATGGTGAGAATGGTGAATAGATCCCAGATACAGGTTGCGGATAGAGTCAGGATAACGTGCTGAGGATGAAGAATTTTCTCCTAAATTTTTTTGTCACTATTAAGCAACTTGGAGGAAGGCAAGTTCCCTTCACTGATCTACAGAAACATTGTGAAGATTAAGTTGGTGATGTAGGAAATTAGAAACTTCTGTGTTGGCCAAGTTAATAGTGAGATGCCCATCAAACATCTTAAGTATAGGTGTCAAGTTGACAGTTGGATGAAAACAAGTGTAGACATACTGGAGATGTCAGATATGCACCTGCACACACACACACACACACACACACACACACACACGCCTTTACATCTTTGTCACGTGCATGGTATTAAGTCAGTTTCAAGATATAGTGTAGGATTACATCCCCAAATCCTGGAGAAAAACAAAAGTTTTCCAGATGGACTAGGAAAAGAAAGAAATACTTTTATTTGCAAATGTGGATTCAAGAGGCTATTCCATGGATTCGTGCTGCATTCATTTGACAACTTTTCAGCCTACATTGTTCTAGGTGTTGTTGCAGCTAGAGGGTTTCTATTTCAAAGCTCACAGTTTATTATATAATCTTTGAGTTAGTGTCTGTTGTAGCAATTGCAAATATACTCTCTGAGGCACATGCAAAAATGACCTGCTATCAAATATAAACAAGGTCAGAGAGCTCTCCCCCAAATAGAACCAGAGAATTGTTTTTTTTTTTTTAAATTTAGGTGAATTTAACAAAATTCATCAACACCAAGTGTTTGGAACTCAAATTGTAGCTGAGGAAAAAATCGTTATGTCAAATAGCCTATATTGCATCACAATGACTGTGGAGTCACTTTAACCCAACTTACAAAACTGATAAATTAAATTATAATGCTAACTTGATAATTAATAATGAGAAATAACTATTATCAGCTTAAAACTAAATGTTCAAAAAATTAAAACTTTCTAGCTGTCTAGGAAAGTTTACTCTGTAGTCAAATTATAATTATAAGATAGTTTCTGTGGACATATAATTTTAAGAAGATGTTTTCAGAGTTTAAAACTTAATTTAATAATTGCCTGATGTGATTCTCTAGACGAACCACCTTTTCATTGTAAAAAGTATATCAAAGCCCATTGGCTACTGTAATGGATGTGGTACCTGGAGTCACACAATTTTATTTCCATCCATTACACTGTCTCTGCACTCTCTGCTAGTCCCAGCCTATCTCCCTTTCCTTTGAGAAATTGCCCTGTTCCTATTCCCTGTGCCTCTGTTGGAGTTATCAACCACAGAGCTCTCTCTAACCGTTTATAACCCAGATCTTACATAGAAAGACCCTTCTCCTTGGTTGTATCCTGGGGTCTGCGGTCAAGACATTAAAAACTCTATTTTATCTCCCTACTCTAAGGCCAATATGGAGTGCATCAGTATGGGGTCCAGGAGGATGGTTGGAACAGGAGGTCTTTGTGTTCTAAATAGAAAGCACAGAGGCAGGCAGATTTCAAACAAAAATATGATTCAAAGCAATGAATCCATCCTCACAAGGTTAACAAGAATTCTGGAGAGAACTATAGTTATAATTAAACATTGATTAGGCTGCACTTGGACTCACTTTCTTATAACCATAAGCCACACAGCACTGGATGCTGACCATCTGCATCCCCATCATTCCCATGGATAGGACCTCTGACATGAGAATCATAAGGCTTTTGTTTAAGAATTGATAAATTGTTTTCAGACCCTGAATTCCAGTGAAACAGCTGACACCAACTAGTTTGAAGACCCCCACAGTAATAGTTGCATTACTATCAGTTACCCTTGTCCCAATCCCCCAGGGGCAATGTGATGAGAGCCAGAAGTCACCCTACATGCACAGAGTAATGGGAAAGGAAGCCAGCCACAATTATGACTATGGCCCTATAGGACAGTTTACAGAGTTGCCAACTCTCCCCTTCTAAGACAGAGAGAGAAACCTAGTCATCACTGACAGTTCCCTTGGGATATAAACCCTGGCTCCTTGGCTGGGAATATTATTCCTCTCTGTAATGTAAATGCATTTTCTCAGGAAAAAAAAAGCCGTTGCCCATTCTCCTTCAAGTTAAGCATTTGATTCTTTAGCAGATGACTCCAGGTCTCATACCCTTTAAATCACAAGGCTTTCCCTTAACCCAGGTTCTAGTTTTCCTTTTTGTGTGTTTGTTTTCTATTCTCATAAAGTCTTTACCATTCTGTAAGGTGAAAATATTAATAGTTCTTCTTATAAATACATGGAAGAATTTTAGAAATTGTTTATGTGAGAATAAGTATGTGGTGTATGTGTATAGGCAGGGGATACAAACGTTGGAATGTATTTAAATGTGGTAATGATGATAATAGAACAGGCATTTAGAGCGAGCCATATGTGTAATCCATTGTGTTAACATGTTTATAACGATAAAATCATTTACTCTTCACTCAGAAAACATGGTGTAGGTAATACCTTATTTTACAATTGAAGAAACAGAAATAGAGTTTAAGCAAGTTTCCTACTTCAAAAAGCAAATGAAAGGTGTAAATGAGATATGAACTCAGTCTTACTTTAGCCTATGCTCCTGCATTCTGTTCAATGTGGATTATGGCAGCTGCAGTCTTTATCTACCCATATACCACTCCTTCTTTAGAAAAAAATATCAACATTTTAATTTTGATATCCACTTTTACCCTAATGGGTGGGTGTGTGGTTCTGGTGAAGCTCTCCATCTTGGCATCCATCTATTATAGGTTCAATTTTGTCTTCTCAAAATATGTGTGGATTCTCTTCCAGTATCTATAAATGCAACTTGATGTGGAAATAGCGTCTATGCAGAATTAATCAAGTTAACATGAGGTCATTAAGGTGGACCCTAAACTAATACAATTAGTATCATTATAAGAATAAGAGATGCAGAGACAGAGGGAAGATCATGTAAAGGTACGCAAGATGTGCACCCCGTGGTGATGGAGACAGACATTGAAGCGGTGTTCAGTAATCCAAGGAATGCTATGGATCCCTGGCAGCACTGGAAGCTAAGAACAGACACTGCTTGGGAGTCTTCAGAGAGAACGCAGCCCTGCTGACACCTTGATTTTGGAATTCTGACAACCAGAACTGCGAGATAATACATATGTGTTGTTTTGAGACATCCATTCTGTGGGACTTTTTTAAGGTAGCTATAGGAAAATCCCTAGGCAATTTTAAACAACATGCGTGACTTGTTTAGTCAGAGTAATTGGTTCAGAGATAGATACATGATAGAAGCTAATCTATAGTACCCACCTTGGGACTTTAACTAAAGTTTTTAAGATAGGAGAATAAGTGTCTAGATTAGGACATGCTCTTTTCTTCAACTGAATGGAGATACCATGTCATTGAAAGCAGGGTCAGAAAGTGAAGGAAATGATGCCACGCTGATGTGGTTATGCCTCTAGATCCAACTATGGATCCAGTTTCCTTTTGTTTAAAGTGTTTTTATTGCTTAAAATAGATATATTTGTAATATACTAAATGATTGCACTTTCAAGAACATCTGCAGTTCAAAGGCTATTGAATATCAACACTTCTTCCCACACGAATTGATACTGCCAATTATTGACACTGTGATCCCTCTTATTTAATTAAAACAATATTTCTTGACCTCAGCATTTGAGCCCAGCTGGCACCTTGCCCTTTGGGGACCAGACATTCTAGCATAGAGACTCCTCATCTGAGCCTGTAGAGAAGCTGTGCCACCTCAGCATCTGAACCAGCTTAGTGCTTTGGATTCAGGGATTGGAGCTTTGGCCCAGGGGAGCAGCCATGACCCTGGTGTTTGAGCTTATGTGACGCCTAATGCCCAGGGAGACATAGATTTTGCCAAACTGTATCACAGTGCCATATGGGCCAAGTATCAATCAGCAGCACCCTCGCTTCTGGATATGGGCCAGCTCCCTGGGGTCTGAGCTGCTGAGGTGCCCCACATCCCTGGGGAGTGTAGCTAACGTTGCACTGTTCCTTGACCTCTGAGCCCTTGCTGTCACACACTCAGCCTCACAGAACTGGGGCACTGCTGTGTTCTACCATTCTAGAGTCCAGAGTCACCAATATGCAGCACCTTCTTTGCTGGTAACCAAGTTGTCACTGTATTTTGTTGGCTTCCAAAGTGCAAATGTGCCCTGCTTCCCCAGGCCCAAACCTCTGGAACAGGCCTCCCTCTCCAGAGCCATGCCAGTGTTGCACTTTGACCTCTAGAATCAGAGTAACAGCTGTAGCTCTGCCCCATGGGGCTAAGCTACCGAAGAGCATCTCAGATTCTTAGTCTGCTTGGTGGAAGAGCTGCATCCATGTAAACTTAAGAGAGTAAACCTGCATCCATGTCACAGGTGCCTCAGTAATTAAACAAGACACTGAGCCCTGCACTCCAGCTCCACACCACACTGAACACCTATGCCTTGGAACACAGCATCAGTTCGGCTGCCTGTGGCCCAAGTAACACCTAATACCAAAAGAGATCCCTTCAGAGAAGTCTCCCCACTGTGTAGAAAATGAGACCAGGAAGATCATTAAAGTCCTTCCCACTGAGAACCCTAACAATCTATATTGCCACAACTGCTGCCACCAACTCCCACAGCCTAGGCCACTGAGGCACCTACAGTCATTGCTGATGTTGATTAAACCCGAAGAAGCTGCACAGACTACACTATTGTACCCAGCTAGAATCAGAGCCAATGCACTCTAACCAAACAACCCTCTAAAACCCATTTGCAAATACAAGCATTTCACTGTGAAAGCCACTCTATAAAATTGGAAGAGGTAATGGTAATGGTTCTACCAGATGCACAGGTATCAACACAGGGATACAAGAAATATGAAAAAAAAAAAAAAAAAAGGAAACATGATGCCACCAAAGAAAAACAATAATGATCTAGTAACTAACCCCAAAGAAATGAACATTTACAAGTTTTCTGAAAAAGAGTTCAAAATAACGATCTTAAGGAAACTCAGAAAGATACAAGAGAATACAGAATAATATCAAAAATAAAATTTATTTCAATAAAATCAAATACAATTTATGATCCAAATAAGAATTTAACAAAGACATAGATACCTTAAAAAAGAACCAATCTGTAACATTAGAGCTGAAAAATCTCAATTAATGAAATAAAAAATACAATTGAGAGATTCAACAGATTAAATGAAGCAGAAGAAAATCTGAACTTGAAGGCAGATCTTTTGAAATAACCCAGACAGCTGGAAAAAAAAAAAAAAAACAGAATAAAAAATAGCGAAGAAAAGCCTGTGAGATTCTCGGAACACCAATAAGTGAACAAATCTTTGTATTATGTAAATTCCAGAGAATCAAGAGATGGAGAGGGGCACAGAAAGCTTATTTAACAAAATAATTGCAAAATATTTCCTAAGACTTGGGAGATATATGCATATCTAGACCCATAAAGCTTAAAAATCCCCAAATAGGTTCAGCCCAAAGAAGTCACAACTGAGGCACAATATAATCACAATGATGATAGGCAAAGACAAAGAGAGAATTTTAAAAGCATCAAGAAAAAACACAAAGTGACATATAAGAAAATTCTCATTAGACTATCAGTGGATTTCTTAGCAGAAACTTTGCAAGCCAGAAGAGAATGGGATGGTATTTTCAAATTGCTAAATAAAAAAGAAAACCTGCTAGCCAAATACTTTACCCAGAAAAGTTGTCTCTCAGAAATGAAGGAGAAATAAAATATTTCCCAGATAAGCAAGAGCTAAAGGGGTTCATCACCACTAGATCAGTGTTACAAAAAAATACTTAAAGGAGTGTGACAGTCTGAAGCAAAAGGAGAGTAAGTTTTACTATCATGAAGACATATGAAAGTATAAAACTCACTGGTAGAGGTAAATTCATAATAAAATTTAGAAAACTCCATTACTGTAATGGTGGTATGTAAATCTTTCAAATCTTAGTATGAATGTTAAAAGTTAAAATGGTCAAAAATAACTATAGCCACAATAAGTTACTGAGGAACACGTGATATATAAAGATGTAAACTGTGATAACAAAAATAAAAATTATACGTTTGAAAAGAAAGGCTAGAGTACTTATATGCAAATGAAGTTAGTTGTAATCAGCTTAAAATACTCTATCATAACTTTTAGATGTTTTAGATCAGCCCCATGGTAACCACAAAGCAAAGCATTACAGTACATTCACAAACGAGAAAGATGAAATCAAAACTTAGCATACAGAAACTAATTAAATTACATAGGTAAACAACAGGAGAGGAAGAAAGAAACAAAGGATCTATAAAACAACCAGAAAACAATAAAAAAGTAAGGAATAAGTCCTTATCTAGCAATAATAATCTTGAATATAAATGAATAAACTGGCCAATCAAAACATACAGAGTGACTAAAAGGTCACTAAATGCTAGTATTTTTTATAAAATGGAGAATTTAAAGGAGCAGATAACTGCTAGAGTTTTGTTCCCAATGTAAGTAGAAGTCTTGATGCATATTAAGCACTCCATTAAACATTGTATTTTTTTTTTCCTTTCAAACTCTTTGGTCCTTATGATTCTGACACTCTAACATTGGAGTATTGTATCATAATGATCTAGCAGGCTATTATAAACAACTATATGCCATTGAATTCGATAGGCTAGAGGAAGTTTATAAATTCCCAGAAAAATATAACCTAGATGTATAACCTGAATATAAATGGATACAAAAACGTGTTCCAACTACATTCTGCCTATGAGAAATCCATTGTAGCTCTAAAGACGCAAATAACCTGAGAATGAAAGCAAGGAAGAAAATATTCCATGTCATTAGTAACCAAAAGAAAGCAAGGGTGGCTATATTTATATCATATAAAATAAAATAAACTTCTAGTAAAATTTTGTTACAAGGAACAAAAATGGTCATTGTTTAGTGATGAAGAGGTCAACTTATTAAAACTACAGAACTATTATAAATATACATATCACATATTAGAGCACCTAAATATACAAAGCAAATATTCATGGACATAAAAGAAGAGATTGATAGCAATGGTAACAATACAATAATAGTAGGAGACTTCAGTTTTATCGTTGAAGTGTTTATCTCAACACTGCATAGATCAACCAGAGAGGAAATAAATTTGAACTGCACTTCAAACCAAATAGACAGATTAAAAACATTCCATCCAACAACAACAGAATATACATTCTTTTCTAGTGTACATGGAACATTGACAGACAGATATAAAACATTCCATCCAACAACAACAGAATTTACATTGTTTTCTAGTGTACAGGGAACATTGTTCAAGGTAAACCATATATTAGGCCACAAAACAAGTCTTAACAAATCCAAGAGCACAATGGTGTTAAACTAGAAATCAGTAACACCAGGAATCTTGGAAAATTCACAAATATGAGGAAATTAAACAACAAGCTCCTGAACAACCAATAAGGCATAGAATAAACCAAAAGAGATATTTTAAAATATCTTAAGACAAACAACAATAGATACACATGTTAAAACCTATAGGATGCAACAAAAGTACTTCTAATTGGAAAGTTTACAGCAACAAATATCTACTTTTAAAAAGAAGAAAGATCCCAAGTAAATAGTCTAATAGCATACCTCAGGGAGCTAGAAACAAAGAACAAACTGATCCCAACATTAGCGAAGGAAGAAAATTATAAAAATCAGAACAAAAATAAATAAAATAGAGAACAGAAAAGTCATAGGAAAAAGTCAATTAAAGAAAGAGTTGGCTATTTGAAAAACTAAGCAAAATCAACAAAATCTTTGTTAGAATAACAGAAAAAAAGACAAGACTCAAATAAATAAAATTAGAAACAAAAAGCAGAGACATTACAACAGAAGCCTCAGAAATGAAGACAGTCATAAAGGACTATTGTGATCAAATATAGGCCACCAAACCGGATAGCCTAGAGGAAATTGATAAATTCCCGGAAAAATATAATCTACTTAAATTGAATCAGAAAGAAATAGAAAGCATGAACAGACCAATAACATAAAAAGACCGAACAAGGGTGGTAGTCTGTTCTCACACTGCTAATACACACCGGAGACTGGGTAATTTATAAAAGAAATAGGTTTAATTGACTAACAGTGCTGTATGGCTGTGAAGGCCTCAGGAAAACTATCATGGCAGAAGGAGAAGCAAGCACGTCCTTCTTTACCTGATGGCAGGAATGAGAAATGCAGAGCGAAGGGGGCCAGGGAAGTCCTTTATAAAACATCAGATGTCATGAGAACTCACTCATTATTAGGTGAACAGCATGGAGGTTACCACCCCATGATTCAATTACCTCCCACCAGGTCCCTTCCACAACATGTGGGGATAATGTGAACTACAATTCAAGCTGAGATTTCGGTGGGGACACAGTCAAATCATACCAACAAGTAGCTACCATCTTTCCAATAAAGAAAAGCCCAGGACCAGATGGCCTCATGACTGAATTCTACCTAACATTAACAAAAAATTATTATTTCCAGTTTTCTTAATCTCTTCCAAAATAAGAAGGTAGTGTGTAAACTTTCAAGTACATTTTACAAGGGTGTCACCACTGTGACATCTAAGCCAGACAGATACTACAAGAAAATTCAACTACAGATCAGTATCTCTGATAAACATTGATGCAAAAATTATCAATAAAATATTAGCAAACTGAATTCAACAACACATCAAAAACATACATTATGATCAAGTGGGATTTATCCCTGGCATGCAAGATTGGTTTCACATATGCAAATCAATCAATACGTTACATCACATTAACAGAATGAAACATAAATACCACATGGTCATCTCAATTAACATAAAATCATTTGACAAAATTCACCCTACTTTATTGATAAAAACTCTTAACAGTTTAGGTATAAAAGGAAAGCTCCTCGACGTTATAAAGGCCATTTATTTACTAACAAACAAACAAACAAACAAAACCACACACACATACAACAAAAAAAAACAGCTAACATCATAATCAATGGGGAACAACTGAAAACTTTCCACTGTGATCCAGTACAAGGTAGAGATGCCCACTCTCATCACTCCCATTCACAATGTATTAGAAGTCCTAGCAAGAGCAACAGACAAGATAAATAAATAAAAGGCATCCAAATCAGAAGGGAAGAAGTAACATGATTTCTATCTGCAGATGCCATGATTACCCCAGAACTGCTAGAACTAACAAATGAATTCAATAAAATTGCAGGACACAAAATTAACATACAAAAATCAGTACTACTTCTATACCAAAATAATGATCTAGCTGAAAATAAATTTTTTAAAAATCCCACTTATGAAAGCATAAAAAATGACTACAAATCAACTTACTCAAAAAAGTGAAAGATATGAACATTAAAAAGTATAAAACATTGACTAAAACAATTAAATAAGACAAATAAGACACAAATAAATGAAAAGATATCCCATGTTCATGGGTGAGAAGAAATAGTATTGTTAAAATATTTATACTACCCAAAGCAATATACATATTTAGGGTTATCCATATCAAAGTTTCAACAGCAGTTTTCATAGAAATAGAAGAAAACAATCCTAAAATGTGTATGGAACCACAAAAACTCCGAATATCCAAAGTAATACTGAGAAAGAAAAAAAATAAAGTTGAAGGCTTTATTCCTAATTTAAGTTTATATTACAAAGCTACAGTAATCAAAACATTATGGTACTGTCATAAAAACAGAAACATAGACTAATGGAACAGAACAGAAAGCCCAACAAGCAATCCAAACCTATATGGTTAAGCAATTTTTGACAAGGGCATCACAATAACATAATGGAAAAGAATAGTCTCTTTTATAAATTGTGTTGGGAAAACTGGATTTACACATGCAAAGGAATGAAGGTGGACTGTTAGCTTAGACCATACACAAAAATCAACTCGTAATAGACAAAAGACCTAAATGTAAGACCTGAAACCGTAAAACACCTAGAAGAGAACATAAAGGAAAGTATTCTTGACATTGGCCTTTGTAATAATTTTATTTAATGTGAAACCCAAAGCTCAGGCTACAAAAGCAAAAATAAGTAAATGGAACTACATTAGACTAAAAAGCTTCTGTATAGCAAAAGGAGCAACTTAAAATATGAAAAGGCAACCTACAACCAGGAAAAATATTTGCAAATCATGTATCTGATAAGAGGATAATATCCAAAATTTATAAAGAACACAACTCAATAGGAGAAAAACAAACAACCCCATTAAAATATGAGCAAAGAGCTCAAAGATATATTTCTCCAAAAAAGACATAAAATTGGCCACCAAATTTATGAAAGGTGTTCAACATCACTAATCATCAAGGAAATGCTAATTAAAATAACTGAGATAGCACCACACATCTGTGAGAATGGCTATTATCAAAAAGATAGAAAACAACAAATGTTGGTGAGGGTATGGTGAGAAGGAAACCCTTGCACACCACTGATAAGAATGTAGATTGGTATAGCCACTATGGAAAACAGTATGAAGGTTCCTAAAGAAATTAAAAATAGAACTACCATAGGGCCCAGAAATTCCTCTTCTGGGTATATACCTGAAGGAATTAAAATCAACATCTCATAAAGATGTTGGCATATCTATGTTCAGTACAGGATTAGCCACAATAGCCAAGGTATGGGAACAACCTAAATGTCCATCAATAAGCTAATGAATAAAGAAAATTTTTATATATACACAATGAAACATTATTCAGCCTTAAAAAACAAGAGGTCCCTGACATTTGCCACAGCAGAGATGGCTCTGAGGACACGGTGTTAAGTGAAATAATCCAGATAAGAAAGAAAAATGTTGCATGGTCTCACTTATATGAACAATATATATTTGGGCTCATATGTGTGTGTGTGTATATATATATATATATATAGTGAAAGGAATGAGAGAGGAAATGGGGAGCTTTGGGTCAAAGGATGAAAAATAGCAGATACATTGAATGAACAAGTTTAGAGGTCTAATATAAAATATGAGGACTAAAGTTAATAACATTTTATTGTATTAGAGAATTTTGTTGAATAAAGAGATTTTAGCTGCTTTTGTCACAAAAAAGCAACTGTGATATGATCGCTGTGTTAATCAGCTTCACTATAGTAACCATTTTACTATCTATATGTGTCTCAATTACATCGTGTTGTAAATCTCAAATATACACAATAAAATTTATTTTTAAATATTTTTATGTAGATTATTCATACGATAATATATACATCACAGTGACAGCCCAAAATCTGCCAATATTTATTTTTTCAGCCTGCTTGGTAGTAGAACTCTGATTTTGATCTTTGCATATGGTAAATGGTAAATTTACCATATTTACCAGCTTTCCTTTTAGCTAAGGAATTAACTTCTGGCCAATAGGTTTCTAAGAGTATTGCCCTATAATTGAGGGCACATGCTTTTCTTTTTCTTTTCTTACTTTCTGTTGGTTAAAGTGCAGATATAATGGCTGGATCTAGAGCAGCAATTCTGGTCCATGAGATGACATTTTGGCATGGAGGCCTAAATGGAGGTTAACAAGATAGAGAATTTGAGTCTCTGACATCGTGTAATACCATGCCTGCGCTGAATCACCTAATTCTGAATTTCTCTGGGAGATAATAATAAGCTTCTAACTTATTTAAGTCACTTCTGTTTTAGTTTTGTTTTCTATTATTTACAGCTAAGTCTAAACCTATTAATATATTATTTTATCATCATTTCTTAAAGATAAAGCGTATCCTATATCTGTTCATTTCATTAAGTGATGCTCTAATCCATTAAACCTAATGACATACATTAACTCTCAAGTTACATTATTATGAATTTATTTCTAGTATCCTCTGGGCAATGATTAATGCAATGTAAGAGGCATTCTTGATGTATTGATAATAGATTTATATAAAGAACGACCAAGATAGCTTGCATTTCTCATTGGGCGCTTCCTACGGTGCTTACCTTAATTAACTTCATGACAAGAAAACCTCTCCAAGATTTTGTTTTTCCATGTTTTCCCATGTTTCCCATGTTTTTAAACATGAACACTGAGGACAAGGATTCTCATTACATCAGCCAAGGATTTTAACTTAGGCCTCTTTAAAGCCAATGTTATATGTCATTGCATATAAAAGATGCAAATGTTCTTTAAAGTGGCAAGACAAGAATAAATAAATGTAAAGCAATAGATAAATTAATATGTACTACAAGAAAAGCCCAAAGTGCTATGGAAATCCTAAAGTGAAAGAGATCCAGTTCTAAGGAACAACTATTAACTCTTACCATTTTCTAATTTTTTATTTGAAGTAGCTCAACTTATCATACACAAAGGCCTTTAGATACTTCAGTCTTGCTATAAAATCAATTTTATTATAAAATTCCTCTTTTTTGAAAAAATGTTTTCTATTCTTTAAAGAAGACATCTTTAGCGTCCCAAAATGACTAATAATATATTTTTTATTCTTCATGTTTCTAATGTATCAGAGGTTGATGTCTAGAAACAGGGACCAAATATACATGATACCTTTCTTAGCTAATTGTCAGTGCATTACTAAACCACAAATCTTCCTGCAAGGCTATCTAAATTCCATGAAATCATGAAATTCTCTATATAATTAATAATACTAGATTGAATGGTTTGTAGTCAAGTAATTCCTAAATCTCATTCAAAAGAAAGAACATTTATCATTGCTCCTAAAGAATGGAATTGCTGTTTAGGCAAGTGTATAAGTGTCTTTCCCATTAGCAGTGGCATGTAATACATTTGCTTGACTATAGAAAATAAACAAGTTTCCATTTATATTATGCTTAAAAGGCATAAAACCTACTCCCCAAAACGTTGTGAACTGTTTACTGTTTTAGAGATTCATTAACTCTTTCATGAAAATAAATTAGGATATTAAAGATCTCTTTATATGTATTTTGGCCCTCAAATAGCCTCTATTACTCTAAAAACTTTCAGAAACGTTTCAACATGTGAATTATGTTTATTCCTCAGGGCACTCATTTCTTTGAGATTCAGGTTTATTTTCTTGACTCATTTTGGAAAGCCAATTTCAATCTGCTTCTTAAATTACAAATCAGAAAAGAATTGGTTTATTTATAGCAGATATATTAACTGTCTCATAGTACTACTGATTATGCATACATTAAAATTATTTACCTTAACATCCAACATTAAAGAAACTGTCGTTAGTAAAGTCAAACTCAGAAGAAGAAGCAATGAGTACTGCAACAAAAGAATTGCTGGAATGACCCTTTCAATTTTCAAATCTGCAGATTATTCAAGAGCAAGATTTCCACCCAAATGCACTGTTAACATTTTAATTCACATACCGACAATCCAATTTCTGTACATTTTATAATATTCACCTAACATTAACATTTTAATTCACATACTGACTATCCAATTTCTGTAAATTTTATAGTATTCACATTACATTAATTATTTAAAATGATCAATTTAATTTGTTGCCACTTCCAAGTCTACAATAACATCATTGGTATACTCCATTCCCAAGTGAGACTGTTACAGGAAAATTGTTTATGTAACGCAGACATCAACTCTCTATTCCTCATATAACTGAATACATTTGGCAAGAATCTGATTCTGTATCCTCTACTAGTTCAAAATTTCCACCGATGACTGTGAGTTGCTACAGAATACTTCCTTATGTGTCTATCTGCTTCCACACATCTAAATCTTTAAAATTTTCACTGTTTTCGTACTTTGTTCTCTTCAGCTCTTGCTTTCTGTCCTCACGGATTATCAAGGTGTTTTTAACCTTCCAAATGGAAATATATCAGCTATTATTATCACAACATTCCCCCAAAATGCTTCATTTAAGCTTTATGTTATATATATAATCAATTAACAATTAGGGTGTACCTATCCTGTGTTATTATTTGTAAGGAAGGTACTAAGATATTTGTTATCATTTAATATTTCAACATGTCAAGGTTACTGTTCAGAGGTAAGAACCATCTGTTGCTGCACAATGGACAAGCTCAAGCCAAGAGGAAGACACCAATGCATGCAGCACAGTTTCTATCCAGCCTGGCTCATAGTCTGTCTCTGTTCCCGAGCCCATATTACAGCAGTTGCCCAACTATTCGATCATCTCAATCCTTAGGTGATATTCTCAATTGTAACAGTTCTTTCCATCATGAGAAAAATAATGATTTTATGCGGAAATCATCGGTAAATGTATCGGTAAATACAAGCTCAACATCCCCAACTCCTAAACATCCTTCCACTTCTAAGTAATTGCATAGTGCATCTCTGCTTCCTACTTCCTTTATCTCTCTACTTAAAGTGCTCTCCATTCATCTGCAGTCCTCTGCTCCCTCTTTCTCTTGTACACATTTCTTTTGTCTCTTGCTTAGAACTTTCCCTTAAATGCATTTAAATCCCTAAGGTCAAAGGGTTCAGTGATGATCATCCTCAAAAGGCCAAACTCACCTCTGATTGGTAACTACAATTGGGATCATCAAAATCTAGTAGATGAGAACACTTTCTTAGTTCCCTATTTTCTGCAAGATCCAGGTCAAACAATTCATCAAGTCCTCCTGAATTTACTTTTACAAACATTATCCTATTTCTTCCTTCCTTTTCAATGCTCCTCTCCATTTATCTCTCTGGTTCAGGATGTGCTGTCATCTTCTCCTACATTATTTTAGCAGCCTCTTAAATTGGCCCCCTGTGTTGGCCCTGAAACCCTGCCTTTGCACACTCTCATTGCAGTTAGAAACATTACTCTTAAATGTCATTATCTTGCTTATAAGTCATCAATGGTTGATCAAAGCCTGCAGGAGAATGTCGAACACGCCATATGATATGGTTTGACTCTGTGTCCCCACCCAAATCTCATCTTGAATTATAATAATCTCCACATGTCAAAGGCAGGACCAGGTGGAGACAATTGAATCATGGGGGCAGTTTCCCCCATGCTTTTCCTGTGGTAGTGAGTAAGTTCTCACGAGATCTGATGGTTTATAGTGGGCTCTTCCCACTTCTCTCGACACTCATTCTCACTCCAGCTGCCTGTAAAGAGGTGCCTTCCGCCATGATTGTAACCTGAGGCCTCCCCAACCACGGGGAACTGTGAATCAATTAAACATCTTTCCTTTATAAATTACCCAGTCTCAGGTATTTCTGCATGTCAGTGTGAGAACAGACTAATGCACCACATGATCCATATCTGGTGGAAGACTTACTCTCGATTTCATTTCTAGAAACACTCTGCCGGAAATTTATAACTGCAGTGACACTAATTTTGAAAGTTCTTTTTTTCTTCCACACTTACTTCCTCCTGCCCTTCTTCATGATTTTCCTTCAGTGTGATTTTTTTTTTTTTGAGATGGAGTTTCGTTCTGTACCCCAGGCTGGAGTGAAGTGGTGCGATTTCGGCTTACTGCAACTTCCACCTCTCAGGTTCAAGCGATTCTCCTGCTGCAGCCTCTCGAGTAGCTGTGACTACAGGCGCGTGCCACCACACCTGGCTAATTTTTGTATTTTAAGTAGAGATGGGTTTTCACCACGTTGGCCAGGCTGGTCTCGAATTCCTGACCTCAGGTGATCCACCCGCCTCAGCCTCCCAAAGTGCTGGGATTACAAGTGTGAGCCTCCACACCTGGCTGGAATTTTCATTAAACCCCAATTTCTGACCCACCAAACTCATTCCTCAACTAACTATTCTCATTGATTTAATCATCAGCTCTGACACTGTATCCTTCAGAAAAATGGTATTACTAGACCAGAGTAAAAAGCCACATCCCCAAAGAGGTAGCAACATGACCCATGAAGGGTACTTCAATATTTGCTTTTACCATATTTAATGACAAACATCTAACATCTCTGACTCTAGTACTTGGCTGAAGGACCCACTTCCAAGTTAACTTTCTAACTAATGTGTCTAGTAGAGTCATGATATGTAAAATTTCCATACTACAATTTGTTTTTGAAATATTGTAATGTAATCTATGTAATTGGCTTCTGAACATTTATTTAAAACTTCTAATTATTTTAACTTTTACCTATATACTGCTTGTTGAAGGTGATTATTTCTTAAATTACACATAGCTGAAATTAATATTTCTACTGATACTTACCTTTGGTCTCTGAATTTGCCAATCAATTAAAAAACTTGGCACATATCTGATGAGCAGGGAATAGTTTAACAAAGAAGAGATCGAATTTGGATTGTTATTATCTGAAAAATTAATGAGTTAGTAAATGAAGAGAAAGTATAGCCAGGATTGTGAGATAATTTAAAAGACTGAAGACTTTCCAGGGTCCTGCTAGGTGAAGTGGTGAAATACATGTATAAGCAAGAAAGAACCAATCAGGTAGGAGGACAAAAGAGGGAGATGGAAGTATGGAGAAGAATAAGGTTCGAGAATTCAGAATATCAGAATAGGAAATACAAAGACTGAGGAAGGATTTTTTTTTTTTCATGTTGACAACAGACAACATATATGTCAACAAGACTCACATCAACATGACATAACCACCAGTGTCAACATGACTTATTTGCTTGTTCCAGGCAAAGTTTACCTGGGAAAGATAAGACTGGAAACGAACAAATAACTTTATTGTTTGCTTCAGGAAATGTTTCCTGATCCATTTGTCAGAGACAATAGTTTTCCAACTTAGCCAAGCCATTCTCTGATCAAGACTTGGTTCAGGACCCTCACTTGGCAGTTTTCACCCATCCGGAACAGTACAAAAATTTGCCAAATTCTAATTAGTTCCTTAGTTCCTTGCCTTGACAGAGATGCCTTAACCTACTGACTTTTCCCCCCATCTTTAACACTGTAAAAACTGTCAAGGTGTTCTCGTCTCTAAAAGTAGTAAGTTCTAAAGTTGAGCTTTATTAACCGTTTTTCTAGTGATATGTTAGGGGAGTTGAACAATCTGGTGGTTTCTCCAATATCCACTCAAGGCCGTCTTGCTTCCCTGGTCTAAGATCTGAAACTTGTAAAGAGTAGGTTCCACTGAGAGGCCCTTTGAGCTTCTGCCTAAGGTCTCTGGCTGTGATAATGGGGTAAGTCAGGTACTGGTTCTAAGCTTTTTCTTGATTTCTCGAAAGCTAACTTTACTTTGTCTCCTAGGAATCCCTCGATTAACTGATCAGATTTGAAATTTGTAATTCTCAGTGGAAACCTGTCTGCTATATATCGATCCTCACCATTATTTTGGAAATCTATGAAAGTGTTTTCATTAGGAAGAAGCAAGAACGCAGAGATTGATAAATTTGTTTCTTGATTTGACCCCAGGGGTGGAAGAGTTCAGAAATTTCTCCTTCCACTAGCATCCTTCTGACAAATTCTATTTCAGGCCAATTATTAACATGTCATGTGAGCTTTTATTTTGTTGATGAGAGTCTGGCACTGCAACAAATCTCTTTCCTAAACTTCTCTTTTGCCAGGAGTCATAGGCAGACTGGGGCCCAAAGCACAAGACCAAAAGCAAAGCTTTCCAATGGACGTTGCTGGACTCATGAGTTTTTATCAGTGGACACCAAAGTTCATGCATCTTCTATCCCAGACCCTTGCTCTTGATACAGTATACATATTTATACTGTAATTCCAGATGACAATCTGCCACGTTGGGTAACCTTTGATAACAACAAATGTTCATTCGAGAGGATACTTAGTACAGAAAGAAAATTAAATTCCCAACCTTCAATGGTCTTCAAAGCTAAAATCCTCTAAATCTCAATTCCTTCATAAACTTAAATCCCTTTAAGAACAAAGCAAGATCCTCAAGATTAGTTGTAAGCTCTGGTTCCCTACTAAGCTGAGAGCCATTGTCAAATATTTTACAAATCCTCTACAAGTTAAACTGAAATACATGGAGTAATTTAAAATAATTCTAGGAGTACACAATACAGGGCTCACAAATCTACCTCAGTTTACTCATACGCTGACAGAAACCTTCAATGCAACAAAAAGAAAAAAATAAATGAAAAAGAGTGGGAACTTCCATGTAAAAGTGATCATTTTAAATAAAGAATTACCAATGGGACTTGTGTGTTCATGTGATTTCCTTAAACGTATTTGTTGCCTTAGGAAAAGCTACTTAAACTTCCTGAACATCAGTTTTCTCATTTGTAAAATGTATGTACTTTATAATGGTGTTGTGAGTGTTGGATATTAACAAACGTTATCTTCCTTAGAGCAGTGCTATATAAAAGGTAAAATCCTCAATAAATATTCACTGCTTTTTCTACAACTATTACCTCCTCTATGAAATCTTCATTGAAGATTACATTTCTTCATGATGCTTTTTAGAAGTAGATTTTTTTTGCATAAATCCAAAGAAAGGTACATGTTTTCATTTTTTTGGATGCAGGGTAGAAATACTGATACCTTGTACATAGATAAACCATTCAAACTGGGGTGTGGTGGGAAACTCAGAGACATCATTCTTTCTGGATTCTTCTGCTTTATTTTCCTTCTTTAATTTTCTCTTCCTGGTTTCATTCATTTTGTGCTTATCTAGTCCTTCTCTTACCAAAAGAACAAATAAACTCATTCTCCTCTCATGCTTCTTGTCTTCTCTTCCATCTCTACTCTTCTCCACTGTTATATTTAGAAATATCCTTCAGTAGGGAATTTAACTATGTCATTGTATTCCACATCTTTATGAAGCTGGAAGCACACAGGCTCCACACTGCACAGTGACTAGCCTTGACTAAGTTATTTACCTGAAAATACAGTAAGAATAAATACCACGTAGAACTGACACGAGAACTAATGGTGACATGTGTAATACTAGACAAATGTGCCCAAGAAATGGTAGTTCTGGAACTAGTTTTTTTCTTAAGGTTGACCCTAACTTTGCAAATAAATGTTTATCATAATCTCTACTTGAATATCTATTTAGAATTTCAAATACAACACTAATACCTGTTACAAAGTCCATTCCTTTTGCTTTAATTCTTAAAGAAATGCATCAAGATTTTAGGCATATTTAAGTTCAAGGGCTGGAAATAATTGTATGGTTTTTTGCCCCGTGCCTTCAACCAATTGCCGGACATTGCTGGCTCAAACAAACAAACAAACAAACAACAACAAAAACGCAGTGACACTTTATTCTAGTGCCACTATTCTAATTCTTATGCCTTATTATTTTTTACCTACATTATTTTATTCTACACAGAGCTGCCATATGCATCTCCCAGTAGCGCTTTTCTCATAATATTAACACTCCCTGCTCAATACTCATAAGGAATCCTTATTGCCTACAGAATAAAGTCTATTTTTTTTTTTTTTGCTATTGCTGATGTGCTGATGGGTACACATCCTACTGCAGTTTAAAAACTTTTTGTCACATTTCAAGATCTCTCCAATTGTAACATCTCCCTTTTATTTCACATAGAACAAATGTTTCAGAATTGTGATGATATACAATATATATGTATTGTATATGCCTGTCATCTGCTCAGTTTGATAGTTCTGTTATAACAGCATGTATAGACAACAGTATAGATACTGTAAGGAGGGGGGGATATGCTTCCTTATCAAACAAGTTTATTTGCTCCTGCTATTATCTATCCACTGAGTACAGATACCTGTGTTAATTCCCTCCTGCTGAAGGCATTTATATTTTCAGTCTCTGACATGAAAATTTATTGGTGGCACACATTTCCTTTATATAAGCTATTTTTGTTCATCGTAATTCAATAGTTGTTTAATGCCTACATGCTTAAATTTAGCATGGTCACAAAATCTACCAATGATTTAAATATAAAAGGTGATAATTTGTATTAATCTTTACGTACATCTATTAACAAAAATATGATACAAGCAGAAGCATCAGATTGGAAACAACTATTGAAAAGATGAATAAAACAAGTGGATGAAATTGGTCAAAGCAGGCTTGAGTAAAAGTGTATGCTAGAACTAGAAAACCAATCTTAATAAATGAAGCACCAAAGAAATCCTTTCAGGATAAATTTAAAGGGTAGTTTTTTATATTGAGCATATCAAAATCCAAATATTTCTGGTGGTTCTATTCATATTCAGTATGAAAACTCTCCTTCTTTCTGAATATAGACAACACCTCATATTACCTTCTCTATCATGTGCTAAGAAAATAAACTTATCTTTTTGAAGTAAAATTTGCCCTTATTTCCACAGAAGAAATAACCACTAACTGTATGCCTGAAAATAGCAGCATACTTGAAAAGGTTCAGCAAAATCCTTTACTGCTGTCAAAAACTAGATTTATAAGCCATATCTAGTGGGTTAACTAGAAGTTAAAAGGATATTAAATTTACCTATATCATACCCCAGAACCTTTGATATAGGAAAGTCATAAAAAGACAAGAATGAGAGAGAGAGAATGTCCCAGGATTTATTTAATTTATTTTAAGCTGAACTTATTTCTATTTTTAGATTACCTAGAATGTCAGGGTAAGTGCTCAGGTATGAGTGGGGCAGTTGAGTTGGGTAAATAAAATAAAGGTTAAAACTTAAAAAGACAGTATGTATAGAAAAGTGTGTCACAATAGGATCAGATTCTAGAAATGAAATCAGCTGGGTAATATTGGTTTCTTAAGTCCTTGAGGTTACTAGGGTTTTAAAAATAGCTTCTGTCTCCAAAGTTGACACAAAATTCTCTATGCTTTTTAAACAAACACTTTTACTCAAGCCACAGAATGCAATTTCAGTAAGTGCTGAACTCCATTATTTTGAGATCCCTTAAGAGTTTTACAGCCTCCTGGTATCATCCCCTTATGCGATGTCTCCACAATCTGTTGCTCACTAAAAAACAATTTATTTTTCACAAACACTTGCTTGAATTTTAAGTAAAATCATTGAATAAGCTACACACCTACTTGTATAGTTTCCACTTCCCTGTCATGAAGAAAATAGGTTTATTTACTCCATTAGCAAATCAACAGAGCAGTGATGTGCTTCCAGAATGTGTTGGGCTCAGTGAATTTCATCTGTATCCACTTGGTGTTTGTTATGGTGAGAGAGAGTTGAAAACAGTGGAGCCTGTAAGTACTTTTAATTTCACATGTGGCCTAATGAAGCATGTTAATCAAACTCCACCAAATAAAATATATCTCACGAACCTGTATGGAGATTTAAAAAATGCTTAGGGGTAATTTGCAAAATGGTCGTTAAAATTAAAACATTGTTTATGATAACAATTATAAAGTATATTGACAGTTTATTGTTACATTTTCAATTAAAGATGCACGTTTCAAAATTTGGAGCAATTTTACTGATTTGTCGAGGCTTCTATAATAAAAGTGACATTTTGGTGATTGGGTAATAGATATTTAATTTTTCTAATGAACAATAATTATATTGACAATTGCCGTACAATATTTACCCGAATGAAAATTGCTAAAAAGACAAAGTGGGAGACAGAGATAGTATGTGTCAGGATTTATTTTCAGCTTAATTTATTTCTATTTTTAAATTACCTAGAACATCAGAGTTTTATCGGCTTTATTTTTTATTTTATTTTATTTCATTTTATTTTTTTGAGACAGAGTCTTGCTCTCTGGCCCAGGCTGGAGTGCAGTGGCGCGATCTCGGCTCACTGCAAGCTCCGCCTCCCGGGTTCACGCCATTCTCCTGCCTCAGCGTCCCGAGGAGCTGGGACCACAGGTGCCCGCCACCACGCCCGGCTAATTTTTTGTATTTTTAGTAGAGACAGGGTTTCACCGTGTTAGCCAGGATGCTCTCGATCTCCTGACCTCGTGATCCGCCCGCCTCGGCCTGCCAAAGTGCTGGGATTACAGGCGTGAGCCACCGCAACCGGCCGCTTTGTTATCTTTATTTGGTCTTTGCAGTCCAATCTTTCTGATTCCTTGAAACAGGTGCGTCTGGATGAGTAATTAGATATACTCTTGTTCCAAACAAAAAGCATCCTAATCGATCAGTTTATTTATTCGTTCCTTTATTGGATATTGAACACCAACTATGTGCCATTACTTTGACAGAAGCTGATAATACAAACCTAAAATTAAATGCACTTTTGGCTTTCTATTGCACATGTTCTAATAGGGAAGGACAATTAAGTTACAGTGAATAAAAACGTAGTACACTGGGTAGTATAATATATAAGTGGCCAGAGTGATGAGAATTAGAGGCAAAGGAGCTTGCATTTATTGTATTTATCAAGTTCCTCCTTGATAAGATAAACTTATGATTCTTCATGTAAAAAGACATGTATTTAAATAGTGAAGGAGCGAAATTGTTGACATACATTTTAAAATGTGAAAAGTTAAAATCAATTCAAAACATTTTGAGTTTGCGAAAGTATAGAACTAATGGGGCAATTAAGGGCCAAAAATATCAAAATAGCAATGAACAAATAACCATCACAGTTATTTTTTAAAAGTTTAATTAAATACAAGTAGAAGAAATGTCCTTAAATGATGTAATTTCTTAATAAATCCAATAAAATGCCATATATTTCCTTTTTTAAAAAATGTTTTAACAGTCCTACTCCTTAGTTTTTAAATAAGTTGACTTGTTTTCCAAGGTATTAACTATAGACTGTCAGCTTCTGGGTTAGTGGATAAAAAATTGATTTTTATTTGTAAAAGTTAATTTCAAGTTAATCTATTTGGCAAGAAATGAGAAATAATGACAGGTGTCCATAAGCTACTTAACCATATCTAGAAAAATGTTTGACTTTTTTGTTCTATAGCACTGTTGGTGGTGGTGGTGGTGGTAGCGGTAATTTTGGAAGGAAGGAAATGTAATTACAATTTAAAGAGAGAGGATGAGTGGGATTTTTGATTTAACCAGTCTGAATTTTATTATCTGTTCAGAATTTCTTGCTACAAAACTTAACATTTAAGATATTAATATATTATTAATAGATTATATTAATATCATGAGTAACATAGTCTATATATCACATTAAGTTTAACTAATGTCAAATTTGACCCATGGAAACAACAATTAAGGACATTATAATTATAAGCTATCTTACGTTTTTCCTAACGTATTTATCAACAAGGTAAGAAGTGATCTAGTTGTAGACTGGTAAAAATCAAACCCAAGCCCCATAAGAAATCTCATAAATTATTTTTCTGGGAAACTTAAATTTATATAATATTTCAAAAAAAATTAAGTAGCTTTTCTAATAAGGTGAAACATGAAATTATGCCCAGAAAGCCAATAAACGTAGGCAGTTTAAAAAGTACAGTGGCCCATCATTGAGAGTGGTCCTTGAATCAGGTCAAAAAAGAGGCAAAATGTCTGTGAAGTTACTTTAATTTTATTCGAGTGTTTAATGAGACATATGCTCTCAAGGTATGTCACTGAGATCCTATCAGAAATGGGCTAGAACTGACCATATCCAAGATAGCTGATTTTGGCTGCAAAGATAGGATCTGATTGGCAATCAATGTGTGCTTCCAGAGACTAATTTAGCAAATTAATTTCTTGAAATGACAGTAATGTGGAATCTAATTTATTATACCAAACAGTACGATTTAAGGTAGAAAATCACAATATTCAACACACTTATTTCCAACATGTGTTTTTAAAATAACAACTGGCCGGGTTCTGTGGCTCACACTTGTAATCCTAGCATTTTGGGAGGCCAAGGCGGGTGGATCACCTGAGGTCAGGAGTTCGAGACCAGCCTGACCAACATGGAGAAATCCCGTCTCTACTAAAAATACAAAATTAGCCGGGTGCAGTGGCGCATGACTGTAATCCCAGCTACTCGGGAGGCTGAGGCAGGAGAATCGCTTGAACCTGGGAGGCAGAGTTTGCTGTCAGCCGAGATTGCACCACTGCACTCCAGCCTGGGCAACAAGAGCGAAACTCCCTCTCAAAATAAAATAAAATAAAATAAAATATATAAATAAAATAACAACTATTAGGTACTCTATTTTATATTTTACTCTTACTATTTTATACTTCTATTATTTTTGTTTCCTTATTTTTAAAATCTATTTACACTTAGCATCTTTGCTTATTCTTCCTATTTGCATGTCAGTCTTTTATCAAGATAATGTTTGCTCATCTGAAATAATTCTTTTATATTTATTTATCATAAGTGCCATCAGATTTGTTTTGTTTTGTTTTGTTCTTGGGTCTCACTCTGTCGCCCAGGCTGGAGTGTAGTGGCAGGATCTTGGCTCACTGCAACCTTCACCTCCTGTTCTCAAGCGATTCTCATGCCTCAGCCTCCTGAGTAGCTGAGATAACTGGCATCCACTGCCATGCCCGGCTAATTTTTGTATTTTTAGTGGAGACGAGGTCTTGCTGTGTTGCCTAGGTTCATCTCAAACTCCTGAGCTTTAGTGATCTCTCTGCCTTGGCCTCCCAAAGTGCTGGGATTACAGGTGTGAGCCACTGTGCCCGGCCAGATTTTTTTTTTTTTTAACATAAAAACTTTTATTTTGTCTTTTTTGATAGAATAGTTTCACTCTGGACATTTATCCTCAGTACATTGAGGATCATATCGCACTGTCTTGGCTTCCACTGTTGCCATTGAAAATCAGCCTGTAAGTCTAACTGCATTTTTTATTTCAATATAGATACTGGGCTCTGTGCTCTTCAGTGGCTTTGGACATTTCTGTTTGTCTTAGATGTTTAACAGTTTCACTGTGATTTGTACAAATGTGGATTTCTTTATATTTAATCTGTTGGGGCTCCTTGGCATTAACAAATTTGAGCTTTTGTGTCTTTGAACAATTCCAAATTTTTAACCATTATAGCAGCAAGTATTTCCTCTTCCCCATTTTCTCGACTGTATCGGTATGAAACACTGGCTAAATCGATATTTAGACTTTCTGCTTTTTTATATTTATCATTTAATGTTTCATTCAAAGTTTCTTCTCTTTATCTCTGTATTGCATTCAGGAAAATTACTTTACTTATATTTCTGTTCTATTTCTAATGCATATAACATTTGGATAATAAGAGTGCATCCTGGATAGATATTTAAAACGAAAGTGATGGAAATAAGTTCATTAGCTGCCATGGCATCGTGGCTTGCCAGTTACTTCTCCTTCTTCAGTTTTGAGCCGTTCTTTGCCATTTCTTTAAGATATATATTTTGCATATTATTATATTTCATAAAATATTGAAATAATCAAAATTATCTAAACGAAGTTATGATTGGATCATGATCTTTGTACAATCTCAGTTTTTCACTCTTAAGAAAGGGGCCATGATGCTTTTCCTATATTGCCCGTTTGTTACATTTTCCACTCGGTGGCCGGAGGCATTATTATGGAAATAGTGTCAAGAAGTAGCGGATCTATCCCAATGTCCTGGATTTGAACATAATAGTTATGAGTTTCCATCATATCTGCTTACTGTCTGAAACATTTATGAGTGCATTTAACTCATGCAACAAAAAGTTGACTCTTGAAGTTTAAATAAACATTGGTTTTCTCACATAATCAGTCTGAAGATAGTTTTTTTAGGAACAATAAGGTGTCTCCTCCTCAATGTCCTTATGGCCCCAGGCCCCTTCTATCATTTTGCTTTGCTGTTCTTAATATATGAATTTAATGACTGTGTGGACATTGTGAGCTATTTGCAATGTCCCCTGTCCCATATACACAGCACAGACAGGCATAGATAAAAGAGAAACAAGCAGTAGGTAAAGTAAATATAAAGGACAATTTATTCGACATTACTTTGTTGTTGGTGAAACAGACCTGTGTATAAAGGATTATTACTTTTGTTTTAATGTTACTCAGCACTAGGATTCTTTATTTACAAATGCATATATAGAAAAAGAAAAAATGTATTTAAACACCTTACTAAAAGGTTTAGATGTTGAGAATTAATTCTCAAACAAAATGATGTAAGTGCATTTTATTCCCATTTTTCCCTTTGCAGAAGCCACATGAAGTGATGTCTAAGTTCTGTTATTTGAGTATGTAAAAGGATTTAGTAATGTCTGAAGAATGATGAGAAAATAAATTATTGCACAATTGCAATTATGAGCATGCTCAGGAAAATACATAAGAAGCCGTTTTTTCAAGTCTTTCAAGTCTTTCTTATTAATGTTAAAACTATTTTCAGTGTGCTCTTCACATGGATTTAAAACCTATTGTTCAGATTAACAAAATAATACAACTCACCCTTATTAAGGTATTGTCATGACTACAGGTTTGCAATCATCTTATACACTTTGTCTTACAGAGGGAAGGATGATGTAAGGTTTCTTTTTAAGAATAGACCTCAGCTGTTGAAATGAATAAATATAACTGCAAAATATGAACATTTGCACAGCCTATCTCAATCATGAATCGGATGTCACAGATACAATGTTCAGTCCAGAGGCACATGAGGTTCTTTTTGAAAAATAAGTACTTTTCTACGTGACAGCCAAGTACACAGTAAATTTGTAGTCATTTCCAATCTCCTTAAAATCAGAGAATATACATTTTGAGAATTTCGTGGCATGCTTTTAATATGGTTTACTATTTTAAATAGTACATCAGTATTTTCTTAAGTGATAACACCTATCTCAACTGGTTTCTGCTTCCCTATGTGCCCATCAAAGAGTATCTTTACAAAGATGAAACTGTTTCTCTTATTGTGAGAAACATGACTTTAGCAGAATTAAAGCATCTCCCAAGAAATATTTCAGGCATGGGATATTTTTCCTGAAGTCAGCAATATACAAATCTACATGAGTAATTTATATGTTATGTACTATCTATATTTTTTATCAGATATGATGGAAATACATTGTTTCTAAGGTTTCAAGTACCACACCTACTGTTCATGTTGTCTGAAAATAAACATTACTAGTGCTGCTTATGTGATTCTTAATAATAATATCTGCAAAATTACTGCTTGGTGAAGTATTAAAACGTCATATATCTTAAGGTAAATATTGAAACATAAATGTTTTTCTGCGTATCGTGTAACTCACTTCACACACCATACCATAGGAAAACATTCCATGCTTGGCCAACAATGCCTTACAAACCCAAGAATCTCAGCAAAATATCATTCATTATGTAAAAGATCATGTGCTTTTTCCTGAAATGCATATGATCATGTTAATTTGCACAAGGTTTTTTCAAGTAATTAAGCTTGTTAATTTTAACAATCTTTGGGATTATTCAGGAACTCTCTATCTACACCAGCAATGGAACAGTTATTATTATCGTTCATATCCGAATGAATATTCAGCTGGCAGTGTATTTTGTTCATATGATGCTTAATTATGAGTTTCGATTTTGAATATGTGGCCCTTGAAAGAAACAGTCAGAATCGGTGGGACTTGCAGCAAATGTTGAACTCACCATGCCAGACACAAGCGGCAGCTCCACAAGCGGGGGTGTTGCATCCTCTACCATTTGCATGTGCAATCTGGACCAAGGTTAGAAAGCTAATTAAAATCTCTCCTGGGGCCATGCAGCAGAGGAAAATGGAGGCATAACTAGAGAAAAGAGAAAAATGGCAACATTTTAAAAAAAGATAAAAATTTCCATCCCTGTCTGTCACACAACAACAGGCAGAAGGAAAGGAAATATGCTTGTTACCAAAATTCACTGAAAATTATAAGATGATGTTAACAGCCAAGATGCAAAGAACAATAAACATAGTCCCCAGAACAAACACAGATGTGTTCTATAATTTCCTGTCAGGTTGATGGACACAGGAGATAGAAGTGCATTAAGTGATTGTAGGGAAAGAAGTCTTGACTCTCAATATGAGGAAAAGACAGAAGGGAAAACTGGGCCTAACCTATTTTGGCTGATATTTTGGGATATCTTAATATCACATAATTATCAAACACAATGCCTCAATCAAGTCACAGTGATTTTTCTCTAGTATATCTTTTCCATTTGCTATTTTCCCACATTATAATCGTAAGGAAAAATTGTAGTGATGTGTTACATTCTAAAATGCAATTACATCAATTTAATAATTATTCAAATATTCTACTACATACTTCAAGTTTCATGATAGAGGTTTTTATGTGTATATGTAGCATAATTCCTGACTGCAATTATTTCTCCATTTTAAAAACATATTTCTCTGCTGATTACAGTTGTTCCCAATCCCCATAATGCTTTCACAGCAATACCTGGACGAATATTATGTGTATTCATAATTTTGCTTCATCATTCAAGACTGATTGATATAAAGCTCAGTGTATTTCATGTATAGTTAGGGACAGGTGCACCTCAGTGCAGATGGTTGCATTGACTGAACATTTCAATTTAAGTCACATTATCATTCTACATGTACAGGCAGTACTGGCTCACTCTCCATAGAACTCATTTCTGTTTTTGCACAGCACGCAACTTGAATTTACCTTTCCCAGCTTTCTTCTTTTTTTTTTTTTTTTTTTTTTTGAGATGGAGTCTCCCTCTGTCGCCAGGATGGAGTGCAGTTGTGCAATCTTGGCTCACAGCAACCTCCGCTTCCCGGTTCAAGCGATTCTCCTGCCTCAGCCTCCAAAGTAGCTGGGACTACAGGCATGTGCCACCATGCCAGGCTAATTTTTGTATTTTCAGTAGAGACAGCGTTTCACCATGTTGGCCAGAATGGTCTCAATCTCTTGACTTCGTGATCTGTCTGCCTCGGCCTCCCAAAGTACTGGGATTACAGGTGTGAGCCACTGCACCCGGCCTACCTTCCCCAGCTTTCATTGCTGACTGTCCACGACAAAGCATGACTAATGATGGGGAGCAATGGTGAGAGGTGCACCTTCCGTGCTTGGCCCATCAAAACTCCCACACCTCTTCCTTTTTACTGGTTGGGATGGAAATGATTCACAGGGTTATTTGTGAATTATTATAGGGTGGGCGGAATCCCCAGAGTATATCATTTGGCTGCCTGCCCATACATTTGCTCATGGCAGTATAATGTGAGGCAAAACTAAAACTTTCATGCATGAAGTCATGAATATTCAGGATTTGTCTTTTACAGTAGATAGTATTAGTTAAGTCAATTAAGCCCCTTAAATTTTTTTCCGACCACACCTACTCCCCTTGCTCCCCAGAGGCAGCCATTCTAATGAATTGAGTATATATATGTTTTGTATGTTTCTTTCTAAATGCATATATTTGAAGACTAAATTCCTTCAGTGCATTATACATACTGAATTTTGTTTCTTATTTATTTTCACTTAGCACTTTCTTCGTTTTAATTTATTTTTAATTGACAAATAGTAATTGTATATATTTATGGGGTACAATGTGATGTTTTAATATATGTTTAGATTGTGAAATGGTGAAACAAGCTAATCACTTCATCGCATCACATCATTATCATTTTTCTGTAGGGAAATATTTAAAATATATATATTCTTTTAGCAGTTTTGGAATACAGAGTGCACTGTTATTTATTATAGTCACCATTCTGTGCAATATTACTAAAATTTATTCCTCCCGTTTAACTGAAACTTTGTACGGAAAGACAAATACCACATCATCTCACGTGTCTGCGGAGTCTACAAAAGCAGAACTCATGGACATAGAGAGCAGGTGGTGGTTACCAGAGTGTGGCATTTGGGGTGGGTCGGGAAGAAGAGATGTGGGACACTCTTAAAATTGATCCATGTTACTAGGTGCAGAGCTTGAGCATCGCTCTTCAGCACTGTGTAGTGCCCGCAGTGTACATCTTCCACATTTCACTGTACCTCAGTGATAGATTTCCAAATGGCCTCAAATGTCCCTCCAAGCCATACGAAAACAAATACCTTCTGTATGTGCCATGATGAACCTCTGTTAGAGTTTCTAGGGGTTGCATACCCAGGAGCAGGATTGCTGGGCCATGTGAAATGCAGGTATTTAACTAAGCAACCCGAGATGCTCTTCAATAGCTGCAGCAGGTGCTTTTCCATCAGCAAGAGGGTTTCTCCATTCCCCACATCCTCTAGTTTCATAGTGTTTGCTAGTGTAGTAAGTGTGAAGTGAGTTGGCATTATTCTTTTAATTTACATGATTCTAGATAGTGAGTCTGAGTAGTTTTGTATGTGCTTGCCATTCTTAAGGTTCCATTTATACTAACTGCCTATTTACATCTTTTGCCTTTTTTAGGTAGAGATTTCTCGTTATTTTAATGTTTTCCAAAAGATGTTTATTCTAGACAATGTTTTATTATGTAATTTTAACATGGCAAATATCTTTCCCAAAGTTATCCTATAGTTGTAAAGATACTCAGAGCAGAATTTGAGAATATTACACACATCAAAAATTATCTTGCATTAGAAACAAGCTAAAGTAATTAAAATTGTAAAAAGGTTGTATTACCTGGCCTCACTTCCTCACACTGCAGTTGTATTTATTTAAATGAGTAGAGATATTTTCAGGTAAACAGATTTCTTTGACACCTCATATAGTGAAATAATACCTTATATGGTCAACTTGTCTAAATAAATGTGTTTTTTTGTTTGGTTTTTTTTTTTTTTTTTTTTTTACAAAAACCTTATGCCACAAAGATTAAGTAGTTACCTTTAGTAATATTAGTGATTTTTTTGCATAAGATCTAATAGATGATAATGTGGATAATTCTACTTATGATATATTCTGTTACAGTATACTTTGAAATTAAGGGTAAGAGTTACTTGCTTCATAAAAGTTATTCTAATAAATTATAATCATATGATTTTAGAAAACTTGGTTTTTTAGATCCAAAATTTTCAAATGTTGACATCGTATTTATGTTTAATAATGTAGTTGATTAACCAGTTTCATCTTACTTTCTAAACTGTTAAGTTGAGTTTGGACTAATGATAATTCCATTTCTGGACTGAAATTTGCCATCACCAAAGTATTGTTTTAAGATGTATTTTCAGACAATGTGGGCAGTTCAGCCCAATAATCGCTACTTCTAAAAAATTGTTCAAGGAACAAGCCGATGGCCTTTCAGCAGTGAGCTAATGCATACATTATTCACATCTTTTAGCTCATGTTTTTCTTTGTTGAGAATTTAATAGCACAGGTTGGGAGCTCTAGGTTCAAGAACACGCTTGAACCTAACAGCTGTGTGAGCTGTGGCACCCCCTTGCTTTTTTGTGTTTCATTTCCTTCATTTGTTAAATGGGAGCAGTGAAGCTTCTCTTATTAAATATTTGTAAGGAACTGATTGTGGAATGTGCACGATATACTTAGCGCAGCACCAAATATGTAATAACTGTTCCATACATTTCCATTGTTAATATTTTCAAAAACTTTCTCCCATTTCAAAGTCTGGAAATTTCCCACTTTCCTAATCAATTCTTTCTTGATTCCTTTAGTTTATAAGGATCTCTCTCCTTCCTCAAAACTTCTGCAGCATAGGTATGATTCACAGCAATTTTAGCACTTGATTATACTCTATAATCTATTATTTTAAAAATATTTTATGGACATTAATTCTGTCTCACTAAACACATAACAAGCAGCCAGAGATAGAGATCACTTTCTATACTTTTCTTGTCTTGTCTTAGCCACAATGGAGGTGGAGGCAGTGAAGACTTTTGACAAGCTCATTGTTCTTTACAAAGAATAGCAATTAAGAATAATTTAAGGGAGTATGTGTTTTACAGTGGTTATTATTTCATGAATTTTTAAAAGAAGGTTGTGTGTAGTCCTTTATAAGTGTGAATATCAAGTCCTGTACTTACGGTCAAATAAATATATTTAAGGCAGCATTAAAACTTATTACCGACCTAAAAGATACCTAAAAGTGATTCTGACCCCTCCTCAGTGTGTCATATGACAATCTCCTGTGATAAAGGCATATATTCATGAGCAAATCAAATGCCCAACACAGTACTCAAGGCTGGGTTGAGTTCAAAATATATTTAAAATAAATGTCTTATTGCCTGGGCGCAGTGGCTCACGCCTGTAATCCCAGCACTTTGGGAGGCCGAGGTGGGCAGATCACCTGAAGTCAGGAGTTTGAGACCAGCCTGTCCAACATGGCGAAACCCTCTCTACTAAAACTATAGAAATTAGCCAGGCATGGTGGCAGGTGCCTGTAGTCCCAGCTACTTGGGAGGCTGAGGCGGGAGAATCGCTTGAACCTGGAAGGCGGTGGTTGCAGTGAGCCAAGATCGTGCCACTGCACTCCAGTCTGGGCGACAGAGTGAGACTCCGCCTCAAAAAAAAAAAAAAAGAAATAAAAAATATAAATAAATAAATGTCCTATTGATTTATTCAATGTAAGATCAACTATATGTTATTGTCTCTGAGCTTCCCAATGTATGAGGCTTAAATAGCCTAAATTGAAAATCATGAAAGTTTCTTGCAAAGATCTTCTTTCCTCTTTGGGAAGAGGAGTTTCTTTCATCAAAATCCTTGAATTTGGAGGAGAAGGATATGGACGAACACTAGAAGGTGAAAATATTAACTTGGAAAACAGCTTTTGATCTAGAAATGCCTCAAAAAACAATTTTCTATATTTATATTTCGTGCTTCGTGGCCAATCCTTTTCCTATACAGCTTTTAGAATTTTTTTTCTTACAAATACAATAGATAAGTTTCCTCCTTTGTTTAAGGTCTTTCAAATGTACCCTGAGTCTGACTTTACTGCAAACTCCTAGCATGGTGTACAAGGCACTTTACTGACACAGCCTGCTCACATGTCCAGGCCAATTTCTTGCCACTGTCCTATGAGAATACAACACAATACCAAATTGCTCAATTCTCAGTTCTCAGAACATGACTATCACTTTGTTTGTTACAGTTTCCATCCATTTGCTCTTCTGCCTTGAATATATTTCTCTTTTTTTTTCCAAATATTTATTTTAAGATTTATTTCAAGTTTGTTCTTTAGCAATCAGGTATGACTTCCTTTTGGAGTCCTCTTCTAACACTATGTACTCTGAAAAAAATCATAACAACCCCTTCACAAACACAACTCCCCAGTACAGACACACACACACACACACACACACACACACACACACACACCCCTTTCATGGGCACATTTCACCCATACCCATGATCTGTCACAGTGTCTGTAAAATTGTGTTGTAGTCAATTTGTTAGTCTTTCTCATGTCCCGTGCTGACATTTTTCAGACAGGAACTTTCTTCTTTCATATATAGGCTTACCATTTTGTCTGACATAGAATGAGTGTTAAGTAGGTGCTTATTGAATAAGTGACTCAGTTACATAGCTTTGCAAAAAGTGTTGGTATTATGGAGACTAAAGAGATTAATGATAATACAGTGCACTTGTATCTCCTTGCTTTATCTTAAATTATTTAAACTACCTTGCAGCAAAGAAAATAGCACCATTAAACTTTACATTTTAAACAAAAACAAAGAAATATGGAACCAAGAACATGTCAGTGGGCAGTAACTATCACAGAGAACCTATTCTAGGATATGCACCTCTATGTGTAACTCTTCCATATGCTGGACACTTAGGAAAATAAATTTCTTATTGCACCTAATAATTTAAGAACACAAATGCAGAGAGTTTATAAAACTTTTTGGCACCAAATGCTTTGGAAAATAGCTTATTCCTTATACAAAGCATTCAAGAATGGTAGAAAAGTATACTAGATAAAATAAAGTCACCAAAATTATGCTTTCTGGTGTTAACAACTTCTAACATTTGTGTGTATCTTGCTATGTGTGTATCCTGCTAAGTATATATAAGTCATATGTGTGTGTGTATATATATATGTTTTACACATATATGTTTTACACATATGTTTTACACATATATGTTTTACACATATATGTTTTACACATATGTTTTACACATATATGTTTTACACATATGTTTTACATATATATGTTTTACATATATATATGTTTTACATATATATATGTTTTACATATATATGTTTTACATATATATATGTTTTACATATATATGTTTTACATATATATATGTTTTACATATATATGTTTTACATATATATATGTTTTACATATATATGTTTTACATATATATATGTTTTACATATATATGTTTTACATATATATATGTTTTACATATATATGTTTTACATATATATGTTTTACATATATATATGTTTTACATATATATATGTTTTACATATATATGTTTTACATATATATATGTTTTACATATATATGTTTTACATATATATATGTTTTACATATATATGTTTTACATATATATATGTTTTACATATATATGTTTTACATATATATGTTTTACATATATATGTTTTACACATATATGTTTCACACATATGTTTTACACATATATGTTTCACACATATGTTTTACACATATATGTTTCACACATATGTTTTACACATATATGTTTCACACATATGTTTTACACATATGTTTTACACACATATGTTTTACACATATATGTTTTACACATATATGTTTTACATATATATAGAGAGAGATTTGCAACAATTTTCAAAAAATTTTTTGATAAGATTCCTATGGTTATGAACCATAAACCAACAAAAGCAATAACAGCTACAGTGGGCTCTTCTTATTTTATTTCTATACTTTGAATTACTATTTTATATTCTGTTTTGTATTAGTATATCCTCTATGTTTTTTCATTTTAATAAATGCAAATCTATATTACATAATGTTTCATTGTACTTATATGCAATATTATTGATCTGCACTATTTTAGAAAATGTCGCTTAGATTGCTTTTGGTGTTTTCACTTATAAACAATATGGCTATGAACATCCAGACACATATGTTTTAGACTGTGAATGGACAGAGAAAGTGAAAAATTGCCACAAGCCTGTGATGAGCTGAAACCAATTCAAAAGGAAAGTTTTTCCCATTTTTTCCACACTATCTTTAAAAGGATGCTGGTCAGGTGTAGTGGCTCACGCCTGTAATCCCAGCACTTTGGGAGGCTGAGATGTGCAGATCCTAAGTTCAGGAGTTCAAGACCAGCCTGGTCAGCATGGTGAAACCCTTTCTCTACTAAAAATACAAAAAATTATCCAGGCATGCTGGTGCGCACCTGTAGTCCTAGCTACTCGGGAGGCTGGCAGGAGAATTGCTTGAACATGGCAGGCGGAGGTTGCAGTGAGCCAAGATCACGCCGCTGCACTCCAGCCTGGGCAACAGAACTAGAATCCATCTCAAAAAAAAAAAAAAAAAAAAAAGATGCTTGCATAGCAAGAGTCTTAGAAGGTTGAGGCAGTGTCTCTCTTTGGAGCAAAAGGCAGCCATGTTTACTCTTCAATGAAGATATGGGTTCTTGACCAGAAGACACAGATGCCACTAACTCATATGGGGCTTAGCAAAGATGTTGAAGATGTTTGAGTTAATCTTAGGACTATGAGAAAACATCAGTGTGTCTACATGAGGCATTATAACAATATATGTGGTTATGGAGACCCATATATATCCACGATATTACTAGAACTTCAGAAGCTGCTCCCATATTCCCACAGAATCACCAATGGTGACTTTAAATACAAAGTATACCTTTTTTTTATTACACTTTAAGTTCTGGAATACATGTGTAGAACGTGCAGCTTTGTTACACAGGTATACATGTGCCATGGCATTTTGCTGCACCCATCAACCTGTCATCTACATTAGGTATTTCTCCTAAGGCTATCCCTACCCTAGCCCCCCCTTCCCCAGAGAGGCCCCAGTGTGTGATGTTCCCCTTCACACACTGTGTGAACAAATGTGTCCATGTGTTCTCATTGTTCAACTCCCACATATGAGTGAGAACATGTGGTGTTTTGTTTTCTGTTCTTGTGTTAGTTTGCTGAGAATGATGATTTCCAGCTTCATCCATGTCCCTGCAAAGGATATGAACTCATTCGTTTTTATAGCTGGATAGTATTCCATGGTATGTATGTGCCACATTTTCTTTATCCAGTCTATCATTGATGGGCATTTTGGTTAATTCCAAGTCTTTGCTATTGTGAACAGTGCTGCAATAAACATACATAAATCATAGTAGAATGATTTATAATCCTTTGGGTATATACTCAGTAATGGGATTGCTGGGTCAAGTGGTATTTCTGGTTCTAGATCCTTGAGGAATTGCCACACTGTCTTCCACAATAGTTGAACTAATCATGGGTGAACTCCTGTTCACAATTGTTACAAAGAGAATAAAATACTTAGGAATACAACTTAAAAGGGCTGTGAAGGACCTTTTCAAGGAGAACAAAAAAACACTGCTCAAGGAAATAAGACAGGATACATTGCTCAAGGAAATAAGAGAGGATACATACAAATGGAAAAACATTCCATGTTCATGGATAGGAAGAATCGATATTGTGAAAATGCCCATACTCCCCAGAGTAATTTATAGATTCAATGCTACCTACATGAAGCTAGCATTGAATTTCTTGACAGAATTAGAAAAAACTACTTTAAATTTCATGTAGAGCCAAAAAAGGGCCCGTATAGCCAAGACAGTCCTAAGCAAAAAGAAAAAGCTGGTGACATCACGCTACCTGACTTCAAACTATACTACAAGTCTGCAGTAACCAAAACAACATGATACTGGTACCGAAACAGATATATAGACCAATGGAACAGAACAAAGACCTCAGAAACAATGCCACACATCTACAACCATCTGATCTTCAAAAAATTCTGACAAAAGCATGGGGAAAGAGTTCCCTATTTAATAAATGGTGCTGGGAAAACTGGCTAGCCATATGCAGACAACTGAAACTGGACCCCTTCCTCTCACCTTACACAAAAATTAACTCAAGATGGATTAAAGACTTAAACGTAAGACCTAAAACCATAAAAACCCTAGAAGAAAACCTAAGTGGTACCATTCAGAACTTAGGCATGGGCAAAGACTTCATGACTAAAACACCAAAAGCAATAGCAATAAAAGCCAAAATAGACAAATGGGATCTAATTAAACTAAAGAGCTTCTGCCCAGCCAAAGAAACTATCATCAGAGTGAACAGGCAAACTACTGAATGGGAGAAAATTTTTGCAATCTACCCATTTGACAAAGGGTGAATATCCATAATCTACAAGGAACTTAAACAAATTTACAAGAAAAAAACAAACAACCCCATCAAAAAGTGGGTGAAGGATATGAACAGACACTTCTCAAAAGAAGATATTTGTGTGGCCCACAAACATATTTTTAAAAAGCTCATCATCACTGCTCATTAGAGAAATGCAAATCAAAATCACAATGAGATACCATATCACGCCAGTTAGAATGGCGATTATTAAAAAGTCAGGAAACAACAGATGCTGGAGAGGATGTGGAGAAATAGGAATGCTTTCACACTGTTGGTGGGAGTGCAAAGTATGCCTTTGTCCTTAACTGTAGTTCACACTTTTTAATGCTTAAATGTGGAATATTTTATCATAATTTATTAATGTTTTCATTTTCTTGAATAGATGTGTATAGGCTAGTTACACTTGCCATGAATTCCATATTGGGATATGTCTATGCATAATAACAAGGGAATGTAGATTCAGGTAGGGAGGAGGACCATTGCTCCAGCTCTTGGTCCTCAGCTGACCCAGACCCCTTTATCTGTGCTAAGCATCCATTTATTGGCACTCTGTACCACTCGGCTTCCTTAGACAGCAGAGACAGATCTCAAACATTTTTTACCAGGAAGTTTTCATGTTGTAAGTGTTTCAAGTTTGACAACCTTTTCACCAGGCACAGTCTTTGCAATACAACAGGTTTCAAAGGGCAATATTTGTAATACTACATGGAGAGGTCCCCTTAAACTCCCTTATTTATTTACTATTTATGAATTTATTTGCATTTAATAACTAAAATGACCACTTACATGATACGTATTCTTTAAGCCGAGTTTATTCTTTTGACAAATATTTTTATATCACACTAGGATAGATTCTGGTAATCAAAAATAGACACAGTCCCTGCTCTTATGGATGGCATAGTCTAATCAACCAAATAATTATATCAAGAATTAAAATTCTATTTGTTGTAAGAGTTAAATAAGAAAGAGTTATGTGAAAGTAAGGAATATAAACTAGTGTGGGTGGGTGCTGAGGGTAAAGAAGCTTCCCAGAGAAATTGACAATAGAGTTGGTAGGCAAAAGGTGAGGTGAAATTAGCAGATGTAAGAATGGAAAGCAAGAGGCTGGGGTAAGGGAGGACTGCATTCCAGGGAGTGAAAAGTGTCTGTAAATCTCCTATAGACATGAATATCTTTTTCCTGAATTATTCCACCTTGATAAACAATTTCCTTTAGATAGATAGATAGGTACACAGATAGATGATAGATAGATAGATAGATAGATAGATAGATAGATAGATAGATAGATAGAGAGATAGATAGATAAAATATATTGGTTCTAAAATGATATGTTTATAGGACTGCTTCCTTAAAGTTTTGTTTAACCAAGCCTCTGGCTGGAATTATGATTTCAATTTACCATATTTCTCAAAACTGTGAAATTTCTCTTCCTCTCTTTTAAAAAATTTAAAAAGGAATGTAGCCTACTACATAAAAATTGTTTATAAAATAATTACAACTGGGAAAATTATACATCCCAATTTTAAAGTCTGAATATTCCTAAGCCCCAACTCTGTACCATATCAACTGAAGAAATGACACTAGGGAAAGTAATGTATCAGGTAGATATAGACATTATTATATTAGGCCTAACTGGCTGCTATTTGGGGGCCAATCATATAAGACATACTACTTGATAAGCTTGCATGTAGTATGACATAAGAATCATGAATTAAATTCTTGAATTTTATGATGTAGGACAGTCTTCATATATGGTAGAATAAATCTAAGACTAATACATTTATATATAAAATGTATATTACACCAATTTTTAGCACAAAATACCATGACCTGTATTAAGGAAAATACTCCTTTTTTCATCATATTTTTCTCTTGTAACTGCATATAACAGATAGATGGTTATGATCATATTATATTTACACTGAATATCAACTCTCCTTTCTCTCACTGACTTATAATCTGTTGACTGCAGCATATTTTAAAGGATGTAAGAATGCGCAACCACCATCTGGCTATTTGAATTTTTGAGCAAAGATATTTTGGGCAATGAATTATTTTACTGTTGCGATTGTCCTAGTTCACGAATAAATATCATGAAGGATTTTTGTCTGCAGAGAAAAGTGACCTCTGTCTATTATATGATCTCAATGAGAGTGTTTGACCTTCCTAAATCCTTGACATAAAATACAATATAGATGCAAATGAGCTCTGGATTTCCAAAATAAGTTCCTTCCATGACACCCTTTATTACATTTTTAAAATCTAGCCAAAGAGAGACAATTCAAAGTGCTCTATATAGTGAATTGAATTCCGTTCTGTTTTCAGCTGCTCACAAATGCAGAAGCTAAATAGAATCCTTTAGAAAGCACACAAAGAGAGAGAGAGAGAGTGACGTAACTGAGGAATGAGGCATGTATAGATGGTCAAAACATGAAGTCAGACAGATAACACATCCACAGAAAGTTCTTATCTTGTGCATACAGAAATATATATTCTATCCTCATTTTCTGGGGCACCGAGGCTCAGCTAGAGAATGGGGTCTGAGACACTTAGCAAAACGAAAATCATGAATATAGACTGAACAATGATGTGAATAAACATTGGATTACCAGTTACAAATAAGCATGGGGATTTGTGGAAACTGTGGGGATAAGGAGGCAGAAGTTAAAAAAAAAAAAAAAAAAAAAAAAAAACTCATGTCAACCCAAAGAGGATGGCTAATGCCTGTAATCCCAGCACTTTGGGAGGCCAAGGTAGGAGGATCACTTGAAATTAGGAGTTTGAGACCAGCCTGGCCAAGATGGTGAAACCCCAACTCTACTAAAAATACAAAAATTAGCCAGCTATGTTGCCTCACACCTGTAATCCCAGCTACTCAGGAGGCTGAGGCAGGAGAATCACTTGAACCCGGGAAAAGGAGGCTGCAGTGAGCCGAGATTGGGTCACTGCAGTCCAGCCTGGGCCACAGAGCAAGACTTCATCTCAAAAATAAAAATTAAAACAATAAAATTTTTTAAAAAATGACAAAGAGGCATAACGCAAATATAGTCCCACAGAGGAAAAAAATAGGGGGGTTTAGTTGCTGTCTAATGGAAAGCATGATGCTGTTAAGAAACCTAGAGCAACATCAAGGGAAAATGTGTAGTCTGTGTATGGAATAATCAGAAGAGGTGGTATTAAGCAAAATTTTCAGATAGGCAATGGTGGCACACTAGAAAATAGGAACAAGGAAGGAAGAATAATTTCAAGGTAAAAAAGGAGTTTACTGGGATAAATGGATCTCAGAAAGACAATACATTGTTTTTATATGATTTAAATCTAACTTTTCTTTCTTGTGTTTTCCTTTGTAAAAACAAATCCCAGAAAATCCAGTAATTTAAGAGATCAATACAATTTTCCTATTCATTGATGAATTGTGTTTGTGTGATATGTGCATCCTACTGCTAAAAACACATTCCGATGGGCAGAATGGTATTTAAAAATGAACACATAAGCATGACTTGTTATTAACAATTTTTTAAAAAGTAAATGTTTTCTTAATATGAATTTCTATATTACTTCAATGACACAGAAATTTATTATTTCACTTTTTTCTACTCTTCTCTGCAGTTTACTTTGATTGCCTTGAGAATGTTTCACTTTCTCCTTTATGGGTAGAGTACAATTAATTATCTTGGCATTAACCCACAAGGATACCAAGAAGAGTTTTTCAATTAAAAGCAAAGAGAAAAGATATTAGAGTTGGTTACATGTGTCTCTAAAGTAATCAGACTATATCACAGAATATGAGCACATGAGCCAGTCAGCACATATCCAATGCCATGCTTCAAAAAATTCTAGACTGGTTTTCCTAAACCACCTAAACTACGGAAGTTCACCCAGGAAAACTATAATTACCAAATAATTTGTATTTGACCCTGAGAATGTAACAATATTTGAATATACTTACATCTAAAAATTTGTGAAGATTGAGTTGTAAACAAAATGATATAGCTGCATTATCAATATTAACTCGAAGATCCAGAAAATCATTTTATCTTGATCACATTACCCTGAACCTTTAAATGTCTCCTTCTTAATTTCAGTTCAATAAGCATTGACACAACATTGATCATTGTGCAGACTCTCATGCACTCCATACTGGAGATGCAACATTTCAGTAGTCCTTGTGATCAATGACATTAGCATAAATTATAGGCCCCAATATTTGCCTTCCTATTTCTAACCATTGCTCTACCTCTTCCACTCCATTCCACAGAGCTACAATAAAAAACAAAACACAAAATCGTGGTTTAGCAGAAAATGACCTCATGCTGTTCATCTGACATCTCTATTGGAAAAAGTGGAATATTCCATATTTGCCTTACAATTTCATCTTTATAAAGATGTAGGTCCCCAAATTACATCATATCATAATTAAATTATCATTCAACCATATCACCAATTTAACTTCTTTTTGTTATCATTAGAACCTACTGATTTAGTAACTTGAATGATCAAAGGAAATGCCTCTCATATTTGCCTTGACCAAAGTCTTATTCTTCAATTCAACATATACGCATTGAGTTTATATGACAGATGCTAAGATACACGTGTGGTACAGTGATGAAAAAGTAGACAAGGCTCCTCCCCTTTGGTAGTTCACATTCTTGTGGGGAAAGAAAAAGATAAAAAATCAAAGTACGTAATCAAAAAGAATCATTACACAGTGTGGAAAATACTATTCCAAAGATACATGATATAAAGAAATTTGGGTCGGATGAGTACACCACCGTATTATGAATAATGAAGTCTTAAGAATGACAAGAAGGAAGAGACATGGGCCATTGCATTGTTGCGTTGTTGAGCTGGGTGGCGACATAGTGTGTACATTCGTCTTCCCAGCCCTGTGTTCAGTGACGTCACGCTTTGGGAGTTTAAATTTACCCTGGTAGGAGTATTTGCACAACAGAAATCAGCAAACATCAGGTATTAGGGATTTTTTTTCCTTTCCTTTCCTTTTCTTTTTTTTCCCCAGAGCCAGCTATTAAATATTTACCAGCAAGCAAATATAAGCAAAGGGAAATATTCTACTGTATACAAGCAAAGGGAAAAGTATAAAGATGCTGATCTAAGAGGTATGTTTTGGGAGGTGGGGGAATTACACCTAATAAGCCCTTATTTCAAACATGGAGAAATAAATGTATAAACTCTATCATTAATAATGCATTTTTCTCTGATACAATTAAATGAATATTGAACAAATACAATATATTTATTTGAAAGGATACCATATTATTAGCTTGACCTCATTTACTTATTATTTCTTGGCAAAAGGAGGATAATGTATCATAAAGGATTATTGTGAAGAATAAATTAGACATTACATGTGGTATACATAGGTAACACAGGTAAAGAACCCTGGCATGTACTAAAGCCTTGATCACTGTTGACTATTATTATTAATTGTTGAACACTCTGGACACTATAGTTATGCCAAAGGCTGAATTTCCCCAAATGCAAAATACTATTTTCGTATCTTAAACATCCTGATCTCCTGGTCCTCTCTTGGCCTCAAAAATTCCTCTGTCTACCTGAAAAAGCTCTATTCATCTATCAGTTATCTACCCAAATTTCACATTCTTACTTTCTTCCTAATTTCTTGTTCATAGTGTCATAATATCTCACATACCAGGCCCTGTTTCAGCACACAAACTGATGCTATAACATACATAATTTTATTTACATGACTTTATCTCTCACAGAGTAAGTTCTGGAAAGAAGTAAGCATGCTCTTCTTTGGAGACCTTTTCTATTTTTAATTTGTTTCAGAGTACTGTGGCATTTGTTACATGGCCTGGTATGGCAAAACATCAAGTTCATTATAATATTCTAAACACATATTAAAATGTTACTTAATATCCATTGAAATTTTAATGTTTTCCAAAGTTTATTACATTGTAAGATCTCTGATGCTGTATAGAAACACTCTAGATGTTATCTACTTGCACATTTAATATGTATGCACCAATTATATCTTTTACTAATTTATTCATGTTCTCTGGTTGCATTATATATATTATACACGCATAATGCATTATAATGGTAATATGTATAATTATATATTATATAGAAATATAAACATATATATATGAATACTTTATTTTGTCATTCATTAAGTTAACTTATACTTTGTGTCCTGCTTTCAACCAGCATTTCTGCGTTCTTGATTTATCACAAATGATATCTCTGAATTAATGAAGTGTAATGTAAGTTCTTTTAAATCATTTTCAATGGTGCTAGGACCTTAGAATACTTTGCTTTCAATTACTCTCTCCCTTCTTTGTGTAATTATTTTAAACATGCCTTTGTTAAGATCCCAGTAATATTTTTATTATTTTGTGATCAAATATTCAGTTTTAAATAAATGGAAGTAAGATTGCATTATTAGAAATTTAATACGCATGAAACAATATGTTAAAAATATAACATTTAAAATATTACAAACCTTTTGAAAGTCATTTTATGTACAGAATTACACTTGATGTTAATTATACTCAAAGATATTATTGCCACTTTGTAATCCTGTAAGCAAAATAAGTTCACTTTCTCATTTTTAGGGAACACATATGCATCTAAACACAGAACTACCCATCCCAGCAAATTCACTTATGATTTTTAACAGAAACAACAAAAAAAGATCTAAAACTTAGATTTAAATTGGAATAAAATATGATTGCACTTCATTTCTTTTAGGGATTTTTATTATATTCTGCTGATTATTATTATACTCATCACTTTATTTCCCTTAAATGCGTAATTGTTTCTGTCAGACTGCAGAACATAGCTGTTTATGTCAATACAGTTCAAAAATGTGAAATACTCACAGACACATACATAATAATTTATTTTATTTTCTGCAATACTGGAATGCACAACAGATGATATTTCCAGAGTTTTCTTTTAACATTCTTAAAATAAAAATATAGTGTTTTGATTATCAAGTAATTATGTGTCATTTAACTCATTCTGTAAATCCTTGGCATATTTAGCTACGTAGGTAAAAAGGAGCAGGACACATGCCACTTCCCCGCGTACTCTTTTGACCTCTATTTTTACCTTGATTTTGCTTTCTCTGCTCATAGATGTAAAAAAGTTATGCTAATGAAAAAGTATTTTCACTTTATTATACATTATAACTCACAGTTTATATAACAGCTGAAGGCAGTAATCAAAACAGATTTTCTATTCTGACACATTGTTTTATCAAAATTGTTTATTCTTTAGGTTGTCTCTTAAAGGATTTTAAGCTATCTCATTTCTCCAATAATTCTTACTTCCTGTTAGCTTGTTACACTAAATAGATGTTATATATAGATACAGATATATAAACGTAGATAAAATTAGAAGTTCTTCTTTAAGATATTAACCTGAGTACTAGGTTTCAAGTGAAAAATATCTTTAATATTCATTAGATGCCCCTTTACCATCTGAAGCTAGTATAACAAAACAATAGAATTCATAAATTCGTATTTTTCCTTTCACTGTACATTAAGATCACAATTGATACCTACTTGGAATGCTATTAGTTTCTGACATGTGTATATTTTAATCCACATTGCTAGAGCTGTGTAGACCAACGCTACACATATTGCAAGTGTGCACATGTAATATATAGGGCATGTTTGTATATTTGCAACCACACATATACACAAACTATCACAACAAATTAGGCTATTCACTAAAAAAGTTTTATTAATATACTGCTACCAATTAAGCACTGTGCAAAACACAAGGAATATAATAGTGACCAAAAAAACTGTCTAGACTTAAAATAATATTTCTCTAAACCATCTCTGAAACTGGGAAAATGAAGTTTTATTATTAACACAGAACTTGCAGGGGAAATAGAGGGGAAATGTGCTCAATGAGAGAGAAGTCTTTAGAGTTCATTCAGGTAGATGACAGCGGGAGCAAGATGAAATGACAAATATTTACAAAGAAACAAACTCTTTCAAGGCTGGAAAAGATTATTCCGTGATTAAAGCTCAGTTATTTCTAATTTCTAATTCTTACTAGACTATGTGTTATATGAAAACAGAGTCACAGAAAACCCTTTCTAAAGAAGATTCTTTGCAGAGATTTAAGAGAATCCTGCAACATCAGAAACAGTTTTTCTTAAAGCTGTCACCGTGGAACTGAGCAATAGAAAATGATGACAAATGCTCTGGAAATGTGTTGTTCCTGCAGAGATGTGATCCAAGTAAGCGTCAGTTTCTTTCAGCAGCAGCAATTACTCTGCTCCAGGAGACATAAGGTGAGATTTAAACATTTATTTATATTAAGAGATTTCAAAACTGTCCTTTAAAATGTATATATTCAAATTGCCTGTTTGTGGTTCTTTCAGATTCTCTGGTCTACTACTCAGAAATGTGTGAAATAATATAATTCCATTTTCATTTGCCTTACTATCCTGCTTTGGCCTACACCCAGAAAATAGCTATACAAACTATCTAAAGAGACATCAGCTATCACTTGGAAAAAATAAAATATTTTGAGACATACGAAGGTCAAAAATAATTGAAATAAGGCAAATCTTCACAAGGTAGTAAGTAGATATTATCAAAAGAAGACTAAACTAGAAATGTGAACAGAAAAATCTATGAAGATAGCTGCTACCCTAGGGGAACACATTAAGTGTGCTACTAAATAACTACAGTAGTGAGAAAGTCTGATACTTATGCTTAAGATATGACAAAAAGCTTAATATGCAATATATAATAAAAAGATAAGTAAATACTCCTCTAAGCCTGAGTCCACAATGTTTATTATTATTATTATTATAGTAAATCAATAAAACTACTGTCCAGTAAGCAAGTGGTTATTAATTTGTTCCTTCATTATTCAACCCCAAATTAGTCAAACACATTAGTTATTTACAGCTAACCCTAAGCTGAGCACAAATAAAAAACATAGTCTACAATGTTAAAAATACAATGCTTGAGGGCACCAGAGTGCTAACAACATCAAAAGATTATTAGACAAGTTTCAGAAGGGATAAGAACTCTAGAGAGATGAGCCCCACTTTGGGTGCCACTTTTATCCTGAGGGTATTATCCAATGTGGGGAAGTTCTGGAGTGCTTTTTAGCATTCTTTCAAGGCTAAGTTAAAAGGTATAGGCTGGGTCCTATTGTGCCATGTCCACACTCCCTTAAAGGTAGGTAGGAATCAGAAGTAGACATCACCTTCCCTGTCAGTCTCAAATGGCCTGGGGTGCCCCCTGTTCCAGCTCTTTTAGCCCATAGTCTTTAAGTTACCTCTTGAAATAAATGGATGATGCCCACAGAGACCTCCAGGTATCTGAACCAGGAAATATCCTCTCACTAGGGACAGTCAACCTAGCAGTACATCTATGAGTTGAGTTTCCCTTTTGGAAATGTTATAGGTGGATGCCTCCTCTCCATCAACACTCTTTTATTTCCTGGTATTGAGCCTCTGTACTACTTGTGAATAGCCTAGAATGGCCCACACCTGCCTTGTTTATGGATGCTGTGATCTTTGTGTATGTGGGTGAATGTTCTCCAGAAAGAATGGGTTTTTCTTCATCCTAACCAAGAACTCCCTATGGGGACATGATGCTCAAAAATTTCAGAAATGTGACATCAATAGGTTATGGGCTTCAACTTAAAACCAGTAAGTTGCTCAGTATCATATTTATGGAGGAAAAGTTAATAAACAGAAAATAGACAAAGATCACCAGGAATCACTTGTGGTCCTTCATTGAAGAAAAGCTTGTGAATGCTGGCATTGAAGTTCATCACAAGAACAAGAAGGGTCATTTGAGAACTCATGTGATACATGGCCTCCAGGATGTAGAGAAGATAATCAATGTAGGACAATCTTCTGCTGGATTCCAAATCTTAGTGTGCTGAAAAGAAGTGCTCCTGGGATGAAACCCTATGGATTTAATACACATGAAAAATATAGGAAAGCCTTTAGCTGTCCCTTATACCGTGGGAAACAGAAAAACTCACACTGAAGAAAGACTCTGTGGATGCTTCATCCTTTTAGAATCATATCAAAGCTTTCCTGAGCACTACCCCGGTTAATCTAAGGAATGAGGACAAGCCTGAAATTGTCTGTTGAATTTGAGGACTCTCGTGAGGTCTCTCAATGAAGAAGAACACTATAAATGGGAGGATTGCAAGGTTGCTGTCTGTCATATATCAGGGGTCACACTGGAAAGATTTAATACATATGGACAGAATGTGAAGAAACACTTGTTTCTCACTGGTCATTAAATATTTGAGAACTCATGGTGGAGAGAAACCTTATGAAGGTATAAAATGTGGGAAGGCTTGTAGTTATTCCTACCAACTTAGGGCACCTACCACGCACTAGACAGAAGCTGTATAAATGTGGAAACTGGGGGAAAGCTCTCAGTGAATTTTCCTACCTTGCTTCAGATGGGAGAACCCACAAGGAGTGAGACACCATAGAAATGTAAGAAACGTGAGAAAATCTTTCCTTCAACGTATAATTTTAAAGATACGTGAGAACTCACACTAGAGAGAACACATAAAGATGTGTCGTGTGGAAAAGGGGTGTTAATTACTTACACCTAACCATGCACTGAGAAAACACACTGGAGATGCAACTTAGAAATATAAGAAATGCAGGAAAGTCTACATATCTTTTTTTTTTTTCCATTTTAGGCAACATGTGGCATCTCACACTATGGAGAGACTATAAATGTGAAGAATATAGGAAAGCCTTCAGCTGTCCCTTATACCGTGGGAAACATAGAAAAACTCACGCTGAAGACTCGTGACTCTAAAAAATGTGGGAAAGCTTCCTGTACATCATCTCTCTTTTTTGCACAAAAGAAAATATATACTGAGAGAGAGATCTTTTTTGAAAATCTTACACTGTGAAATTTTCTTTATTCATATCTTATCCTTAAAAATGTATCTCTGAGTAATTTCAACTTTTTATTTTCTGGTATAAACGGTATGGTCACAAATATGACTTTCAGTACCCTTTCTGATAGAGCACATTGGTTTAGATATATAATGCCATGATTATGGTTTGGTTATGTAGAGATTATCTTATTTCTATTACAAATTCTTTTGGGTAAAAAGGCAGACAGATCCTCACAAAGAAAGTAATCTAACTTCAGATCATCTGGGGAATCTCAGAAAATCTGAAGACTCTTACAAGGAAAGTGATATCTTTCAGGGACCCACACATTGGTGGGGTCCCATCAGCACAGATAGCAACAAAGTTTCTTGGAAACAGAACTGCTTGTCCTCAGATACAAGGAGAAAACTTTAAATATGCCATAGATGTTGTTTTATCCAACTCTTTGTAGAAGAAAAACCTTAATTTTATCCTCATTTAAATATCTTACAAATGCTACAAAGTGACATTTATTGGTGAAATTAATTTTCTCACCAAATTGAATAGAGAAGCTGGTGTTTTCCAGTATTTTATACAAAACCTCTTCACATCATGTGACTTATTGTCAATGTGACAACTTTTCTTTACGGTTTGAGAAGGGAACCTTTACAAGTTTTCACGCTATATTTTATCCCAGCACTTTCCTCACTTCAGTTATACACGGTAATGTAGGAACTATGAGGCTCTTCCTGTTCAGGGTTGGCATCCTACTACTGAATAACTTCCTGAATTTTCTCAACTGAATATAACTTTTTTTTTTTTAACAAAAAACAATATTAATCTGTTTTGAGACTCCAAAATCTATTCAGCAACTTACAGAATAACTGATTTTCGGATGTGTCTTTTCAATTTTACTGAAGTAGTTGCATCATTTGTAAATGGTTAGTCACAGAGGCTGTGCAGTGGACTAGGAAATCTTGGGTTAGCCCTTATGTAACACTCATTGATAAGAAGCTTTCATGTTAAAGGCGGGCTTTTAAAAACTGTCCTTGAATGCACCTGTGCAGTAAAATGACTCAGAAGTCTGTAATTCTTCATCACTAACTTTGTCAGATTTGACTGTAAACCTCGGCTTTGTGTTTTCCTCTTCCAGTTCATACATCAACTTCAGGAATTTCAACACTGGGTCATTAGGCATGTTGGCAAAACACAAACACCGATGAAATTCAAGAGAGAAAGATGCAATAAGTAACAAGGAGAATTGGCAAAATACATGCAAACATTATTGCAAAATTTGCTTCTAACTTACACAATTCAAGTTTTGCAAAATAACATCAGCAATAAAAGGCCACGGTGCAAGCTGCATCCTGGTGCCTAAAGAGCTTTTTGGGGAAAGATGAGAACATATCTCTGATGTTCCATGGTAAGGGTAGAGTTTGCTTGCTCTCATTGGTTCATCAGTCCTACTTAAAGGGAAGCTGGGGAAAGTGAATGCAGGAAGAAGCATCTGACTTTATCAGCCTAACATTATACATTCTGTCAATGATCTCCACTTTCTTATGTGAAAAGCTAATGAACTCAACTGAATGATCACAGTTCCACTGCACACCACCTTGCAGGGCTGGAAGACTGCTAAGGAAATTGCCTAGTCACTATACATCTCTGTGAGCAGTAGCATCATATTGCACACAAAGTTCAAAACACTTTTCCACATCATAATTTCTCAAGGAAACTATAGAGACAACTTTAGAAACCCTCAGCTTATGCAGAAGTCTTCTTGAGAAACATTTTGGTGTCTACCTCAATCTGTCTTCTGTGTTCAACTTAATGGTCTGTCAATACATTGCTATATTCAAAAATGTTTCTACATCAAAGAGACTTAGGGCTTATTACACTAAAACATTAAATAAACAATAACCATGGTCTTGTTGTTGCATAGCCCACCTCTGGTTGGGGATGAGGTCTTCTGTAGACCCTCACTGGAAAATTCTCATTAAGAAAACCTTGAGGAAGAATATTCTTTTTAGATCTGAATGTTCATAATAGACCCTTTCATATTTCCTTTAAAATTTAGCCAAAATTTTTTGAGCTCCCATCTAGTGCGATATGGGAAAGTGGAGATCATCTTCATCTGCAACATCACAGAGGATTCCCAAGAAGTTTATGTTTCTCTCGGTTCTCATTGGCTCTTTTTTCTTGCTTCAAGTCAGCCACTCCTTCCCTCTTATATTTGTCTCCTCTGGATCCCATCTGTTCCTGACACCAATGGATCCATGCAAATCTCCACCTTCATGCACTGCCCAATACCAATGCTAACACAAGGCCACAGTAGGAGCAAACACTTCTTATGATCAAATTAGGAGGGATTGTTTTTACGGTACACATCAGTAGAGGAGAGAAAGTTAAAATTACATGCTACATTGCTGGTGGGAATGCAAAATAGTACAGCCACTGTGGAGGACAGTTTGGCAGTTACTGACAAAATTACGCATACTCTTACCATAGGATGTAGCAATCATGCTCTTTGGTATTTACCCAGATGAACTGAAAACATGTTCATGTAAAAACCCACATGTGGATGTTTACAGCAGCTTTCTTCATAATTGCCAAAACTTGGAAGTAATGATGTCCTTCAGTAGGTAAATGTGTGAATAAAATGTGGTATATCTAAACAATAAAATATTACTTAGTGCTAAAGAGAAATGGCCTTTCAAGCTATGAAGACTTGTGGATAGATTAAATGCATATTACTCAGTGAAAGAAGTCAATGTAAAAAGGCTACTTACTGTGTGATTCAAACGACATGGTATTCTGGGAAAGGCAAAACTGTGCAGAAGTAAAAAGATCAGTGGTTGCTGGGGGACAGGAAGAGGGAGGGATGAATACATGGAGCACAGTGGATTTTTACGGCAATGAAACTACTTTGTATGATACTACAATGATTGACATATATATATATATATATATATATATATATATATTTATACATTTGGCAGAAACCTGAGAATGCACAATACCAAGAGTGAGCTCTAATACAAACTTTGGGTGAAAATGAGGTCTTGATGTAGATTCATTCCTTATAACAAATGCTTCACTCTGGGGCATTAATGTTCATGGTGGGGGAAGCTGTGTGTGTGTGCAGGCAGGGAGTGATGGGAAATCTCTGTACTTACTGCTTTTGGTGTGAACCTCAAACTGCTCTAAAAAAATAGTCTGTTAAAAAATTGCTAGATTTCAGATTTGCTAAAGTTGCTTGGTCATTCCTGGTATATGAAATTCAATTGCCTAGGTCATCTTCAGGACACCCACCTGCCATAGTCTTGACAAGATCCCTCTTTTATATCAAATCCTCTTTTTTTCATTTTTTTCAGCTCCTCCTTCTAGAATACCTTAAAATCCAAACATGTACGTACAGTCTTATGTTGCATAACAGAAAATTATGCCATTAAAGGAAAATAAAAAGAAACAAATAAATAGGCATCTAACCAGGGCTACAAAGACTTCATTGTCTCAAATAAAGACTTAGTAAGGCATTTTCTGTAGGGAAATTATCCAACAATAAAATGAATGTATCTTTGACATACTGATTTCATTTCCTTTGGCTATATACTCAGTAGTCAAATTGCTGGATCATATAGTAGTTGTGTATTTAATTATTTTAGAAACTTCAATACATTTCTTCCTAATGGCTGTACTAGTTACATTCCCACCAACGGTGTATCTGGGCTCCCTTTTCTCCACATCCCTAATGACACTTGTGATCTTTTTGATAAAAGAAATTGTACCAGGTGTGAGGTGACATTTCATTGTGGTTTTAATTCCAGATCAGAAGACAATTCTGTTATTAGCAACAACATGGATGAACCTGGAGGACATTATGCTAAATGAAATAAGCCAGCACAGAAAGAGAAATGCTGCATGATCTTAACTTATGTGTAATCGAAAAAAGTCAAACTCAGAAAAACAGAGAGTAGAATGCTGGTTACCAGGGACTTGGGGAAAGGGGGAGTGGGGAAATACAGGTCAAAGGGTGTAAAGGTTCAGTTAGACAGACAGATTAAGTTCTGGAGATCTGTTGTACAGCATCATGATTTTAAATAATAATGATGTGTTGCATATTTGAAAATTGCCAAGAGAGTGGATTTTAAATCTTCTCATGCACACACACACACACACACACACACACACACACACACACACGAGTATGTGAGGTGACAGTCATGTTACTTAGTTTCATTTACTCATTTGCTGTTATATACATACCATAACAGCACATTGTACCCCATAAATAGGTACACCTATTGTTTTATGTGTCAAACAAGAAATAAGAAATATATTTTTCTTTTAGAAGTAACCTTTCTCTTTTTCCTCAGAATAGCATTTTCCCTTCCAGTTACTTCAGTCTCTACGAGATCTTCAATAAACTTCATCAATAACTTGTTTATATCTTTTTATACCTACTGTATATAAGAAGTACTAAGAGCAAGAACTCAAACCCTTATTTTGTTAGTCTTTAAATTCTGCACACTCTGTACCACAGAAAGATGCCGTTCCTCCATCTCCAATTTCCATGGGATCTGCGCATGTACTTTCCCCTGGATCTTAAGGTGATTTATCTTTTCTGTTTTTGACATACAGGTGCACTTGAATTTTAGACTCTCATTAGGTGAAATTTCAAAGAATTTAAAAGAATTAACTAAAAATGTGCTAAAATTATTTTACAGGTATTTCCATGTTTGCATAATACTCATCAATACCATGATATTGAGTTTTTGTGACAAGCATAATAGAAATATTTTTTACTTATGGGATGTAAGCATAGGCATGTCTCCAGCTGTCCCAGTTTGTATGACTATTTCTGAAATATCTCTTTCCATATGCTGAAAAATAACGTCAAGGAGAAGAAATGCTGCTAGAACAACAGTCTCTTCACCTTCTAAGTGAAGTAGAACTGGTTTAGTCAAAAGCAGTTGTGCAAAATAGTCACTTAAAATATCCATTAGGAATGCTCCATGCTTATTTTAACACAAAGCATTTTGGTTAATATAAGGCTGCTTCATCTCTCTCACTACATATGCTTCTTCAACCTTTTAGTAAAGTGCCACTGTGGCTTAGGCTCTGTAATGCCACAGAACTGTCCTTGTTGCCCCACCTGATGAGCTATCATTAGAATTGTTTGGTGTGGAAAATTCCCACCCACACCCTGGACCACATGCCTCGCTACTCACAGAGATAAGTGATCCCTACAAAGCAAATTACCGGTTGGTTCCTTCATTTTCCCCCAAGTACCTGTCAGTTGAAAATGCACACATACATATGCACATTCAAATATATTTTTAAGATAATGGTATTTTTCACTTTAGAAGAACCAAAGCTAAATTGTAGTCTTAATTGTGAGACATTCATACCTACATTATCATCCCTCAACAATATATTTGGTCAAATCAATGGAAGGACAGAGAGATATGGAAAGACACATGTTTACATGATAATTGTCTTTGATACGTATTTAAGAAGCTTAACTTCTGCTAAAAGTCTTACATTAGGATTACTAGAAGGTGAACTGCTGAAAACAAAAGGGGAGCCTGCACCTTCTTAACAAAATTCTAACATGCATATTACTACTTTCAATATACAAAGTGGATATTTATTTAAAAACTACACCATGCACATGGGCTACAATGTAATCATCCTGAGAAACTATCAACATATTCTGAGGATGGTTTTATACAAACACACACACACACACATACAAACTCACCACTCTCATCTACACCATCATCCAGTTCTGTCATCTGACCTCCAAAACATGTCATAACTCAGCCCCCTGCCCTCCCTCCTCACTGCCACCTTCCTAGTAGAAGCCCTCATCTGTACCAGGAAAGTGCAATAGTCATAAAAGGGTGATTTTTCTGTCCATTTTGACCCTTATATTGCTCATAAAGCAGAGTGATCATTTTGAGGCTGTAAACCAGATCAAACAATTGCCTTTCTTAAAATACTCCAGTACCTTCTCCTTACACTGCGAGTTCAGTACTGACTCCCTCTTTTGGCTTCTCTGTGCAGCTCAAGTTTGTCTTTCTGTTGTGCTGTTCTCACCACTGTCCTACAGACTCCAGCCACGCAAGCTTTTCTGCTCCTGCCTCGCCCAGGTTGCTTCTTTCTAACACCTTATATACTAGCTCTTCCCTGTGCTTGATACATGTTTACTATTAATATTTGCCAAGTCACCTCCTTCTTGTCATTTTATTCCTCTTGACATCTTATTAATTAACATTTTATTAAGGTTTTTCTTGGTTATCATTTTTGTAGAATGTAAGTTTTCTGATACCAGGATTGTATCTGCCTTGTTCACCATTGGATCTTTATTGCCAGTAATACTCTGTCACAGAATAAAGCTTTTGATATGTTTAATTTATTTGGTGAAAATATGAACAAAAGAATATGTAAATTGACTAAATCAAAAGCAAATAAATATATGAAAGAAGAGAGAAGAGCCTTAAGGCTACAATTTAATTTCTCTGTAACTATTTGTTTTGATACAATTACTATAAGTTATTCAGCATTACACTATATGTTCAAGCACTAATTTTGAAGAATATATTTTACTCTAAATTGATTAATGAAAAGGTAAAAAAAAAACATGTCCACTAACAAACACAAATACATTGCAAAGTTTCATACTTGACGAAGGTGCTCAATAAAATGCTATTATGGTTTTCTATGTTTTCAACGTCGTGGGATTAATACATTTTTGTCAGTATATATGAATGTACTTGAGTAAACCTCTATGCAAACATAATACGTTTCCATTTTTCCTCACTTGAGATTATGTTACTTTCTGCTCCACAGCAACTGGCAGATGACTTCTTGTTTGGATTATTATTACTTATTCTATGCTAGTGGTTCACAAACCTAGCTGCTCATTAGAATTGTACACAGAGAGCTTTGTAAAAATATACATGCTATGACTCTTTCTCCAGAAATCCTCATTTAGGACTTTTGTGTGGGGCCAAGCAATGTGTACATTTTCATAAGCAGCTGAGACATGCTTATGTATAGCAGGAACTGAGGCTCACACGTGTATACTAAAACTCGATACCATGACACTTCATTCTGACACCTTCTTTTCTATAGGAAAAAAATGCACCTAATTCATAAAAATCTTACAAGCAAGGCTGATTTGGCCATTGCCTTTACATTTCAGAAACAATGTCTCTTCCTTGTGATTAAATCCAGAAACATCCTTCTGAAGAGATAATGAAAGTCGAGGATTTGCCTTTAACTTCCTTCAGTGAGTGAACCCACAATTATCAGAGACACATGGCAGAGTGCAGCTCCTAAATGAACTAAGACAGCTCAAAGCCATGAGTTAAGACCCAACATCTAGGCCACTATAAAAATTCTTAGAACTTGGCCGGGCGTGGTGGCTCACGCCTGTAATCCCAGCACTTTGGGATGCTGACGCGGGTGGATCACAAGGTCAGGAGATCGAGCCCATCCTGGTTAACACGGTGAAACCCCGTCTCTACTAAAAAATACAAAAAAAAAAAATTATCTGGGTGTGGTGGCGGGCGCCTGTACTCCCAGCTACTCGGGAGGCTGAGGCAGGAGAATGGCGTGAACCCGGGAAGGCAGAGCTTGCAGTGAGCCCAGATCGCGCCACTGCACTCCAGCCTGGGTGACAGACTGAGACTCCTTCTCAAGAAAAAAAAAAAAAATCCTTAGAACTTGACAAAATAATGTGCGGATGAATGAGTTATTTTAATATTCAGCACCCAAATTATCTTTGTCTTTAGTTCCAGAAGGAATAGCTAAAACCTAAATTTTAAACTTAGGCTTTGAAAGCCATATTTATTTTCTCTCTTAATTTAAGATAATTCTAACATAAAATTATATGAAAATTCAAAATTCTGCAGCCTTTCCTAAGAGAGCAAGAAAAACTTAGTGACAAGAGGAGAGAGGGTGAGATATGTTAAATCGTGATACCCTGAGGTGGGATGCCATCTCAGGATTTTGAGTGAGTAAAGGTATCTAATTCTAGTTTGATAGTCTGACTACTCCGTTAAGAACAATTGGCACCTCACATTTAGGTGGTGGGGAAATAAGTGCTAAATCCTCTTTCTGCCCTGGGAATCAGCACGCCACAGTGAGTAAAGACAGGGACTCTGGAACTCTGTGTCCTGTGCCTGGTTCCTAGCTTTGTGACATGATAACCAGATGGCCTTGGAGAAGACACTTACTCTATCTGTGCCTCATTTTTATAATCTGTAACACTAGCACTTAATTTATAAACTTGTTGTAAAGACTATATGAGTTAATAAATGGAAAGCTCTTTGAATAATATGCTACAATGCAACTTGTTGTTATTCAAGTTATCCTCTCTAAAAGTTAGCCTCACAATCCACAGAAGAAGGTATTAACACATACTCCTCTGAGTTCTTGTAGTATTAGATGATATGTAATAGATGTTTATTAATTAGTAGCTTTTGTATGATCTGATCATGTGTCTGTGTGTGTGTGTCTGATTTTTGACAGAGCACAGAACACAAATATGTCTTCAACCTTTTGTTTACCTTGTGCCATCTGCAAAACATTTAATGTGCCTCCGACTGCAGGTCCTTTTGTATCATTTTTTGTTCCCATCATTTTATGAGATATTCAGCTTCTGAAACATTTTTACACAGAAGTTACTTAGAGACTTCCAATATGATGATTTCCAATAACAAAGAGAGTAGCACAAAAATTGATATATTTTGGGGTTGTCAGTGCTTTCCAGGCGCTTCTGCAGATGGGTGTACTGTAGCCCATACATAACCAGGTTTTCTAAGGTGGCAGTGATATAAAAAACCCTGGCCTGTATTCATTTACTTTCCTTCTACAATTTAATAATTTTAACTCAAAAGAAAAAGTCATATATTAATGTCTTATTGAGATGATATTTAATTTGTCATATTCTTTCTCTGTTTGTGCTCATATGTAATCACTCACTATGGAAGACATACCCTAAGGTGAGTCCCAATGAGTCAGGTCCTTGAATGGAGGTGGGACTTGTGACTTCCTTCTAATCAATAGAGAACGGCAAAGGTGATGACATGCCCATGGTTGTGTTATGTTAGACTCTGTTTAGCACACTGAGGTGAGAGATTTGTCTGCCTACTTTGAAAAAACAAATAGCCATACTGTGAACTGCCCAGTAGAAGACCACGTAGCAAAGGGGCATGGGTAGTCTCTCAGACCTGAGAAAACCCCACAGCCAAGAGTCAGTAAGAAGCTAGTTTCCTTAGCATTCAGCTGCAAGAAAATGGATTCTGTCAACAATCTGAATGAATGGGGAAAAAGATTCTTCCCCAGAAGAACTTCCAGATGAGAACACACTCCAGCTTCTTCCTGCCCTGCATCCTTGTGAGATCATGAGAAGTGGACCTAGCAGAGCAACTCCCAGATTATTAATCCACATAAACTGTGAGATTACGTGTCATGTGACTTAAATTTGTTCTGATCTGTTGTGCAGCAATAGAAAACTAATACACACAGTCATATGCAAATTGCTATTGAAAACTGACTTTTTAAACTCTATTTTCCCACCCTGAAATTACAACATGCTTTCCATTTTAATTCACTGATTTTGCCACATAGTGTATTTTAGTAATATGATAGTACAAGAAGCAATAGATTCTCATAAATAGTTTCACCTATGTAAATGTGTTTTTAATACCTGTATATGTAGAAGATACCTTCTACATTAAACATATACTAGTCAAAGTTGGGCTTTTTTCAACAGCCATGCTTATTTCTCCCTAAAAGTGGATGCCCTTATTTTTGCAGCATCATCTCTTCTGCATGCACAACTCTAAATCTAGTAGTGCGTTCTGTGCATCAGGCACAAAATAATCTTTACTTGATGTAGTAGCAGATAACTCTCAGTTCATTGGTAATTAAATTGGGTAACATGTTTTCATCTCCTCTAGGATGATCTGAACACCACTTCTTTCGGTACTTATGATGTTACACCTCCATTGCCCATACTGTTCATATTTCTTTTACCTTCTCAAATTTTATGCACTTGTAAATACTGTCATTTCTTTGGTGACTGCCATCATAATGGAAACTTTACTTTTTTTTGGTGATAATATATGCCAATTGTCTTCCACTTTCTAGGCAGTTAGCTCAACAATCCTCCATCAGGAATCCTGTAACGTATTATTTCCCTTGCTAATGGTGCAAGTATTGCAGAATTTCATGAAAGCCTACAACCAAAAGGCAGATGTCTCCTTTAATTTTTCTTTATGTCTCCCCATAAGGGAGTGCATCTTTTTAAACAATTTTGTTTTGTGTAGAGTAGATTAGACCAGAGTGGAATCTTTCAAATTTCTCTAAAAACTGCCTAACAGTGTTCAATATGGGGTGAATCTCATTACTAGATGTTACCTCAGAATTACTTCATTATCACTAGCATTTTAGTCTTTAAATGTTTCTTATTCATTTGCATTTGATCTTTTATTTAGATTGATTGCTTGGACTATTTCTATTTTATTCTCATTTTGAAGGCATGTTGTTTTAAAATAAATCATTAGATGGTAATAGTAAAATAGATATCAAAAAAAATTTTCAGAATATCTTAATCTTCTTTTGTGGCCTGAAAAACATGGAGTGATAAATACTAGAAAAACTGTCTTTTTAGTGGATTTGCCTTTTTGTATTTCTATATATTTTTTCTTTGTTTAAGATGGAATCTTGCTCTGTTGCCCAGGCTGGAGTGCAGTGGCATGACCTCAGCTCACTAAAACCTCTGCCCCCTGAGTTCAACCAATTCTCCTGCCTCAGCCTCCCAAGTAGCTGGTACTACAGGTGCATGCCACCACACCCAGCTAATTTTTGTATTTTTAGTACAGATGGTGTTTCACCATGTTGGCCAGGCTAGTCTCGAACTCCTGACCTCAGATAATCCACCTGCCTCGGCCTCCCAAAATGTTAGGATTACAAGCGCACACCAGCACGCCCGGCCTTGTATTTGTGTGTCTTTTAATAACTTGTTTCCTCCCTGTGTGCCTCTCTGAAAGCAGAAGCTTCTAGTACTTCACCTCCTTAATATACAAAGTTGCGTGTGGTCCATCCATTGTGGATTTTACATTTAAGATAGAGAAAGCCTCTAAAGCTCAATGAATATAATGAAACAAAGTTGAGTTTTAGGCTCCATGACAGGCAGCAGGGATGTAATTTAGGCAGGGTGCCTGACTTGTGCACTTCGATAAGTGTGGCATAAAATAAAGAATGACAACTCTGCTTAGACTGAAAAACAGCAAAAGCTTCCCTGTGCCATCTATTGCCTGTGAGGCTGGAATAGGGACAACTTAATTCACATCTTTGATGCTCAGTTTCTTCATCTACAAGTAAATCTGTGACATAATACATACATATATATATGTATACGTAATACATACACATATACATATATATATATATCATCAGGAGCCACAGATAACAAATTCAGTTTAATTTTGCATATCAAAACAATAAGGAAAAAACAAGATATAATGGCTTATGTGGTTTTCACTCAAAAGGAAAGAGAGAAAAAATGGAAAGCAGACTGTGTGTGTGTGTCTGTGAGTGTGAGTGTGTGTGTGTTTGTGAACAAAATAAATATATATATGACATTAAACTATACCGTCAATAGGTCAATACATAGATATATATGGCATTAGATGTTAAAAAGTGTATTGTGTAAAATCTTAAAAGGGACATTAACTAGCATAATAGGCACTGCTTTTATCTGCAATTTCGCTAAAGATAGAGAAATTTTCTTCATGTGGCTGTTTCTTAGAATAACCTTCGATAAAAGACAAGGGCACAGCCTTACATGGCAATTCAATTAAGGCACTTCTATGGAGGCACTAAGCCAGTCGAGCTTGTGCATGAGGTTTAACCGCCTGTAGCAATAAAGTTCGGTGTCTCTATAGCTCGGAAGTGAATATGCTCTAAAGTCTGTCTGTGTCTCTCTGTCTCTGTTACTAACAACAGCGTTTCACTTCCTTATCAGTTTCTGCGTCAGTGACTTGAGCAGGAAATGTGGCATGCATTATTTGTGCATCACCTATTAACAAACAATTCATTTACATTACCCATTCCCTCCATTACTGTAAATACTTTATTTTCTTCATTGACTTGTAAACTTTCAACTCTTCAAGATTATTGAATCCCATATTTGAAACAAATATTTAAAATGCATGACCACAATTCTTGCAATTTTGGGGAAGCAACAGTTTAACAGATTCATGTGTTAATATAACAAATCTAAATAGACGGTTAGACCTATGGAACGTGTATATGAGCAAACAGGTGGGATGATCAAGTCTATCAAAAAGGGAACCTGGTTTCGATCAGAACTCCTTGGACTTGTTGATTTCACAGTTACCTCTGGAGAGGACCCATTATGTTCACCACCACATTATGATCATTATGATAACCCTCTTTCCCTAACACCTCAGGCCAAATTATGAACTCCTTCTGAAGTCATAATATTTAGGCAATTTACTGAGCCCTATCTCAGAATTTTGGGGAAGTAGCAAGAATTAGAGAAAAAATAAAGTATATTCTTTCTTTTGAGAGGAAGTAAAAATTGCTATGTTTCCTTTAATCCCTAATAAGCTTAATGAAGGTGCATTTGAATTGTACTCTTTCACTTACGTGACTTATTTTACTTATAGAGAAGTCAACTGGACACATTTCCTTGGAGGCTACTTGACAGCTTGTTCACATGGTGACATTTTTCTGACCTTGGCTTATATTTTTTTCTATTTCAGAATCACTTGGGAGACTACCATGAGACATTTTAATTTGGGCTATAAGTGTTCCCATTCTGTCACACCCTCGACATATGGCAGACGCACTGCTGAAGGACCTAACTTTCAGTTCAGTGTTTTTAAGAAGAAAAAGTAGAAATTCTTACATTCATAGCTAATCTATCTGTCAATAACAGAAAAGTCAAATTATATTTTAAAGTTATATTTTCAGGAGAAACTCTAACTTGTATGTTCTCATTTCATTGAAGTATTATTTTGAGGTAAATTTATTGCTTAATCCTGTGGTAAATTAAAAATATTTTAAGTATATTATGAAGTTAAAAATTACTATAATAATATATTACATATATATTACTGATGTTAAAAATCTGATAAAGCTTAAATTAAAGCTGATAAAGATTAAAAGATGAAAATACTATGATCTTTTAAAGAACTCTAATTAACATATCTTCCGTAAAATTCATCCATTTATGTCATTTAATTTTGTTTTCATTATTATCAATGCTGCTATCTTTTGAATCCATAAAAGACTACCATTCAAAATTGTTGAGCAAAAGAAACTAAATTTTTTTTTTTTTTTTTTTTGAGACGGAGTCTCGCTCTGTCGCCCAGGCTGGAGTGCAGTGGCGCGATCTCGGCTCACTGCAAGCTCCGCCTCCTGGGTTCACGCCATTCTCCTGCCTCAGCCTCCCGAGTAGCTGGGACTACAGGCGCCCGCCACCACGCCAGGCTAATTTTTTGTATTTTTAGTACAGACGGGGTTTCACCGTGTTAGCCAGAATGGTTTCGATCTCCTGACCTCGTGATCCGCCCGCCTCGGCCTCCCAACGTGCTGGGATTACAGGCGTGAGCCACCGCGCCCGGCCAAGAAACTAAATTTATTAGAATTACTAAAAGGTAGAATGCTACCTTAATAGAGTCTTAGCAGTTTCTCAATATGAGGAAATTAGAGAAAGGTATTCATGAGGTTTGACAGGCTCGGCTGAGTGGTTCTGGGATTAAACTTGTAGGGTGAAGTTTATCTATGGGTGGAGTTTAGTTTATCACATCCTAGCTTGGATTGGGAGGCACAGAACAATGTCTTGAAAGAAATCTTGAAGAATTCACTTGATTTATGTAAGTAAATAGTTGTTTCATAGTCTTAGCTTCCAGAAGCAAATATTTGTTGGGGCAAGCAGCAAATTCTTTTAATTTAATCTTAATATACTTGTATGTGTGTGTTTAGTATAACATCATTATTAAATTAGGTGATAAGTTTACATTTTAACCTAAAATATTAACTATTTTAGTGTATTCAATAACTATGAGTCTCTTTGAATTTACACCTTTAATATACTGTAATGCTTTCCTTAAGAATCCAACCACATTAATTTTCTTGTATACATATTAATAGTTCAGTAACTGTTGTATCTAATTGAAGGGAGAGTTCACTTATGTTAAACAAAGTGATCTCTCTTTGATGTGCATTTTAAATGAACTACATAATTCATGTCGAGCTTCCCCTACATGGCCAGTGCAATTTCTTATCGTCCTTACAGCCACGAATCCCACCGGGGCATTACACACGTATGTTAAAAGACGAAGCAGGCAAGTGTTTGTACTGTAGAGCCAAATGGTGAACAGCCATAAAAATAGTACTTGCTGGTGAAAACGACACGTGTGCAAACCAGGTGGCTCCAGAACATGACCAAAGACTAGTCACTGCCAGCCGGAGCTATGACACATTCTCTAGACAGTCAAAACAAAACAAAGCTGTTCTCAGTACCATTAAGACTGATGAAAGCCCTTTTGCTACGTGGAAAAGGTGACTCAATCTAAGTGTGTTCTATAAAGAGGCTGATGGAATGCAGCCTTCTGAAGTGACCAGCAATGTAGACATTCTGAAGAGAGGAACTTGAAGGATCTACAAGCACCCTTTTCCCTTTGAAATTCCTTTTATAGGTTAACAAATAATGTGGAGAAAAAAAAACAAAAACAAAAAAACAAAATTGAACTGATTGTGTAGTGAGGTTGGTTACCAATCAATTGTTCCCCATGGGTTAGAGTTTTCACCCCCATTCAGATTATCAAAAGATTCATAAAAAAGAAATTCCTGATTGAGAGTTTCAAGAAAGGACATTTCAGTTTAGTCAAAACACAGGGCATACTTATTACTATTGTAGTCAGAGGCTTTGTGGGCCTCAGGGAAGTGAGCTGTTTCTGATTTAAGGGCCTGAAATGTGATGCTGAGGATATTTCTATCTGATCTTGTTGGAACATCCAGATTGTCATAGTTGTACAATGGATACCATTTTCCAGATCAACAGAAAAACCTCATGATGAGTACATTTTACAAGATTTACTGTAGGGAAGAAGAATACCACTTTGCTAGAACACAGTATCTCAAAAGAGAAAAAATTCAGGAAGGGTATTTATAATGTTTTATTTCTCATCCAGATGGTTTTAAAGCAGTTTTGGGTAGGAACAACTTATGATACAATAGCTTTGGATTGGTAGGCACAGGAAGGCAAATTTTTTGAAGAGGGTCTTGAGAGCAAACTGCACCGATTCATTCACATTCTCACATTCGTATCTTTCAGGAGAAAGCATTTCTTAAGCAGGCAGCTAAGTGTTTTACCCTGGCCCAGGAGTGTTTAAGAGGGACTGGAAAATGTAAATCGTCCCTAGATTGTTTATTGTATCAATAAGTATCCATTCTGCCACTACTACTTATTTGTATTTTTATTTATTTATTTGAGATGGAGTCTCATTCTGTGGCCCAGGCAGGAGTGCAGTGGCTCAATCTCAGTTCACTGCAACCTCTGCCTCCCAGGTTCAAGCGATTCTCCTACCTCAGCCTCCCGAGTAGCTGTGACTATAGGCACATACCACCAGGCCTGGTTAATTTTTGTATTTTCAGTAGAGACGAGGTTTCACCATGTTGGCCAGGCTGTTCTTGAACTCCTGACCTCAGGCGATCCAAAGTGCTGGGATTACAGATGTGAGCCACCACGCCCGGTGCCACTATTACTTATACCAGACATGCTGGGATACAGAGTTAAACAAAACACATTTAGTAATGAGTTGACAATCTGGAAAACATGACAGATGAATAGAAATAATGGCAGTCCTCGATATCTTATAGTACATGCTAAATATGGTGTATCAACTAAATACTATGGTGCTTGATTTCTGATACATTAACACAAATGCTACTTACAAATTTATTTAAGGAGAGTAGTAAAACATTCATGAGACTTGATGCAAGACATAATGTAATACTTTACTACAGACAAAATCATCTACAAAATACTTAGGAAACGCTAAATTGATTTCTAATTGATAAAAATTTATTCTAATCAGATTTTTCATATATATATTTGTGCAAGATAGTGCTTTGTAATGGTTTTGCATCATAGTTATATGAGTTTTGCTCCCAATCTTATACACATATAATATATCATATCTAAATGTATTAAATGTTTTATTAATTTACTTAGATTACCCAGTGTGAATGACAATAAATAATATCAGTAATAAGTGTATGTGACTTAAAGCTAATGATCGCCTACAAAGAAAAACAAGGATGCCTTCTCTATTTTTTTTTTAAACCACATTTCATGGTCCAAGAAACCCCAACAGCTTTTGAGGAATGGTAATGAGGCAGTGTCCTCTTGGGAAATGTTACCTTTGAGAACATTATACTTTCTCACAGACCTTTGGAGAAAAAAAAATCTGGTACTCTGAAGCAATCGCAACAATTTTCATCTTATGTGAATTGATAACAGAATCTTGTAAGGAAGATTGCTGTATAAATTGCTATGGCAAACTCTGCTATAAACTAAGTTGAAAATTAGGGGTGTAAGAGTGTGTGTGTGTGTGTGTGTGTGTGTGTGTGTCAGGGTGGAGGGGGACATTTAAAGAAAACCAGAAATAATGTATTTGTAGCATATTAAAATGTGAAGAAGTCTCAAACATTATCTCATCTAACCCTTATCTCTCAAATTCTATTTAATAGCCCTCTGTTTCCACAAGGTGAATTCGTTTGTCAAAGGTCTAGAATCTAGTTCTTCGTGACATTTGAGAACCATCTAATCCTCCTGAACTAGTCAGATATGGATTTTTTTCTTCTAAAACAAAATTTTGTTTTTGTTTTGTTTTATTTCTACACAGACTCGTCTTGTACCTCTAATTCTGCTCTTCTCAAACCTTTAGGCCATAGGATGGATCTAACTGAAAATCATCCTCCTATGAATTGCTGTGTGCTTTTCCCATATTTGCACAGTTGACCTAAAACACAAGCTTACAGATTATTTATGATCAAGTTCATGTGGATAGAATCACTGTTCTTTCAGAAACTCCATTAATTATTAAAATAAAAGACTTACAAATTGCATGATTGTGAGATATGTCTATTTACAAAACAACTTAGATATCACCTCTGAGTTCCAAACTTATATATGCAACTTCCTACTTGAAATCTCTCTCTCTTCAATGTTGCCAACTTTGGCCTTTGCATCCTTAACCCCAAAGCGGGCTCTCCCCCAGAGTTCTCTGTGTCAGTAATGGGTATGACAATCCTTTCATTCCCTAAGATTAAACTTAGTTCCAGCCCTTAGCATTTCCAAACCACCATAGCTATTTCCATTTTAAATATGCACCATTTCCTTCCCCATAATTCCATGTGAAGCTATCACCTCTCTCAGGACATCTGCAGCAGCCACCCGGGGACACCTTCCATATACAAACTTGCCCTCTTCTTTTAAAAACTGTCTTAAAAAGAGTTCTTTAAAAATGAGCCAAAGTGATTATTTTAATATTGAAGCCCAGGTTATGTTTTCCTCTCCTCACGTCAACTGAGTCCAATCAATGGCTTCGTGGTTTTCAGAAACGACTTCAACAAGCCATGCACACATCTATAGGGTCTGGCTACCGTGAATGTTTTTACCACACTTCAAACCGTGATCTCGGTAGGGCTCTGCACTCCAAACACCCTGGCCTTCCGTTTTTTCCTCCTTGACCCCATTCTTCCTGTTTCCAGATCATCTCCACACTGGCCACAACTTTCTTCTTTGCTTTTGCCTACCATTTTATCTCCTTCTCTGCCTTCAAATATTAGCTCAAAAGTCACTTCCTCAAGAAAGTCACAAGTTTACACCTATTTAGCAAATACATACCTCATCTTCTAGAATAGGATCTTTTGAATGGAGTTACCTTTTCTGTTTTTTGTTTGTTTGTTTGTTTTTGAGACAGAGTCTCCCTCTGTTGCCTAGGCTGGAGTGCAGTGGTGCGATCTCCGCTCACTGCACCCTCCGCCTCCCGGGTTCAACTGATTCTCCTGCCTCAGCCTCCTGAGTAGCTGGGATTACAGGCGCGTCACCAGGCCCGGCTCATTTTTGTATTTTTAGTAGAGATGGGGTTTCACCCTGTTGGTAAGGCTTGTCTTGAACTCCTGACCTTGTGATCTGCCCGCCTTGACCTCCCAAAATGCTGGGATTACAGGCGTCAGCCACCACACCTGGACACCTTTTCTGTTTTTATACATCATTTATCCTCTATGCATAGTGGTTAATGAACTGACTAGGCACACACACACACACACACACACCCACACACAAACACACACACGTACCCATGAATGAATATATGGTCTAGACTTTCTTTTTCCAAGATAGAGACATACTAAAAGATGAAAGTATTTGTAGTTAGTTTTTCCTTCATAATCAGGTTATACAACAACAGAAGCTACCCCCTCTCATGCAGTATTAAGAAAAGCTACTCAAGTGGTTCCCTTAATAACCACTTCACAATTAACAATGAGTATGTGTTGTTAGGGGTCTATTCTACAAGTTGATTTCATTTTCATTTCTGTCTGTCATCCTGGAACCTGTGCTCAGAATCTTTTTCTTTATTTTTAAGCTAATATGAAATATACCCTTCAAAAAATAAAAATGTGTCTTAAGCTTGATGCAAAGTCATATCACACTAAGTTAATGTATATTTTCAATGAGATAGGATTTAGACCTGTCCTGTCTTAGTGTAAATAGACCAATAATTTGACCAGGCAATAAGAGTCTAAAGTGTATAAAAATTCAAATGGAAAAAGAAATACACAGAAATAATAGGGAAAATCCCAAAAGGAAGAGGTTGTGAAGTGATGAACCCTATCAAAGTGTACTTCAAAGCCTCTTTAAAAAAAAAGAGCTTGGCACAGGTATGCAGAAACCAGACCAGTCAGATAGATTAAAAATTCCAGAAATAGACACAGTAATACAGTAAATAATAAATGTTGTATCTCAAAATACTGGGGCAAAGATGAACTTTTTATCAAATGTCCTGGGACAACCAGATAGTCACCTGGGAAACGATGTAATAAGATTCATTCCTTACACCAAACTCACAGATAAACTTGAAATTCACCAATAATATAAATGTAAAACATGACACAAGTATTAAAAGAAAGCATAAGTAAATTTTTCTATAGAGAGGTTAAAGTGGAAAAAGTATTCTAAACATGATACAAAGCCAAAATATAATATAAAGCAGGCGAATATATTTTTACATTAAAAGCAATAGCCTGGCTAATAAATAAAAACACAAAAACAAAGTTGAAAGACAAATAACAAACTGGAAGAAATGAAATGTATAAAAAGAGTATGTGATAAAAGCATGGAACAAAATGGTAATAATATGTGAATTTGGATAAAAAATATACAGCTGTTGTTTTCTCTACTACTATTGTACTTCACTGTTGGTTTAAAATTATTTCTAAAATTTGAGCTAAAAGTTAATAAATAAAACATTCTAGTTATATGAATATCCAGTTTACATTTTAAATTAAAAATAATGATTGAGGAAAGTCTTAATCATTTCATAAGGTTTATTTGTCAAAGTTAAGGACGTGCACTCAAGAGACAGGTCTATGCCTTTCTCCAAAGATGACTTTGAAGGCTTCGATATTGAAAGGGGAAAGGGCAGATATTGGAATAAGAGAAATATTTGTAAAATGTGTTAGTAGATAGAAAAACAAAATGGTTGCATTCTTTTGAGTATTTGATCAGCCTTTCACTGAATACACAATTTACATGTGACAGGTATTAGAGGAATAGTTACTTACACCTTCATCTGGCTCAGTGAATCAGCATTTTTACATAAGATAACATAGACAATAGGGCACAGGAAGCTAACAGATATGCATTTGTCTCAGGTGAGCAGAGGGATGACTTTGAGTTTTCTCCTTTGCCCTGTACCCACAAAGATACACTATCGATTTACATTGCCAGGGTGAAATTCAACAGAACTGTTTTAGGGGAAAGATCTTGGGTCCCACAAGGAATTTTGTGTGGGGGTGGGGGCGGGGGGAGGGAACTGTGAGGGAGGTATGTAGCTTTTTATCTTTGTAGCTATCTTATTTAGGAATCAAATGGAAGGCAGGTTTGTGGGGCCCAGTTCCCAGCTTGACTTTTCCCTTTGGCTTAGTGAGTTTGAGGTCCTGAGATGTATTCTCCTTTCACAATATCACATCAACATGGCATATGTGGAGGTAAATAAAGCAATCTTAGGACCCACATGGATACTTAATGATGTATGTATTGACTGCGTATAAAGTTTATACTCTTAAAATTAGCTTTTAAAGAAGAATTCAGTTACCATCTGTAAAAAGACTATTTGATAACACTAATAAGAAAAAAAATTCCCTTTGAACATGTAAACTATAGGCCACACTCTGACTTTTAACACGACCCAATTGACCAAGTATTTTAATAGATGGCAACTATTTTCATTACTGCCATTCTATATGCCCGAAGGTAGGTATCAACGCAAATAGATGTGTGGATGGCTACAGAGAAGCAGAAGGTAAGAGACAGAGAAGAGCTATATAATGAGTGAATATTATCAAAGTAGAAGTTGCACCAGGAAAATTTAAACAGGCACGGAAAACTTTACTCCAGACTCTTGCACTAAGGAAGAGGAATCAGAACTGAGTCTGAGCTCAGCTTCTTGAAAAAGAGGGAAAAGTTTTAAGAGCTGGTGTGGGGAAAATCTTAGGTCATCTGTGTTTCCTAATTGGCCTCTCACCAAAGTAAAAGTAAAATTTTCTTTATCTCCATCATAGGAGGAAATTTTTCAACTTGGAGCAAGATGCCCACAGAGGTTAGGCACCTACCCTCCCACAGATGCTGGAAGACAGAGGCACCATCTTCCCTGATGATTGCATTTCTTTTTTGTGTGTTTGTTTTTGAGATGGAGTCTCACTCTGTTGCCCAGGCTAGAGTGCAGTGGCACGATCTTGGCTCACTGTATCCTCCACCTCAAGAGTTCAAGCAATTCTCCTGCCTCAGCCTCTCGAGTAGCTGAGATTACAGGCCCGCACAACCACGCCCAGCTAATTTTTGTATTTTTAGTAGAGACGAGGGGTTTCACCATGTTGGCCAGGCTGGTCTTGAATTCCTGACCTCAAGTGATCCACCCACCTTAGCTTCCCGAAGTGCTGGGATTACAGGTGTGAGCCACCGTGCCTGGCCGACGATTGCATGTCTAAGAGACACCTCAAAGGTCACTGTGAAAGACATTGCCTGGCTCTGAAAACAGGGAGGAGGTTTCAAAAAATGCTTATATTTCAAAGGGGCAGAAAAATAATTTAAACTTACAAGTATTCTAAAATAAATCCTCTAAGTAAAAGGATGTCAGGGCTACAGTGTTAAGAAAAAATATGTCTAAGAAGTCAAGCCAAACAGAATGTTAAGGTCCTCATGGTATCTAAAGATGGTGACTTTTATGGCAAGATGGGAAGTTAACGGGGAGAATAAAAATACCCTTATTCTACGGAAAAGTGAGGATCACACTAACCTACTTCTCAAGTTTTGTCCATGCTACAGATGGCTCTGGAAATATTTCAGCATTTTAAGAGAATAATTTGTACAGCATTCATGACAGAGTTTTTATATTTTGTCTTAATTTATAGTCATGTTTCCTGAATTTATCTTCTAAAAGGAAAATTCAGTAATATCATGTCCAGAAACAATGTAGTTAAATATTTTATTCCTTAGTATTAATGGGCTAAGTCACATAAAATTTATGAGGTAGTATGTTACAAACATCTTTAAAAACAATTTTTAGGAAAAAAAAGTATTATCCAATAAATAAATATTATACAAATCACTTAAATGGATGGTAAGTTATATTATTTTAATTTTAGCTATGACTCACTGGTTCTAACATCCTAAATGGTATGAGGTTTATCCAACATTTCTACAGTAAATTTTGAAAGAAAATCCTGGTTTTCAAAGTTAATATGGTATCATTAATTAGTTTACAAATCAAAGAGCTAACTATGGACAAATTAAGTTATGACTTGTTGTCAACACCTGAAAATACAACTCCTTATGAAAATCGTTTATAGTCCAACTATAATCTCTGTCAAACAAGTATGTGAAAGTAAACATTATTACTACACATACTACTGACATGGGAGATAGAAAGAAATTACTTAGGCACAGAGTAAGGGTAAAAGAGTCCTTGGAAGAATTCCCCTTTTAATAAAAAGCAGCCCCCAAATCATTTCTTTTCTAACAAAGAGCAGCCTGAAAAATCGAGCTTCAGACACAGATAAGGAAATGGAAAGCTTGCACAGGGGAATGCTGGCAAATGTGCCAATAGAAAGGGCCACCTGTAAACCAGGCATGTTCAACATGGAGGCTCCATCTCCCGTTTTCTTTGTTACCATGTGTGCAATAAAGAACCAAGCAACATGGCGCCGGCCAGGCAGACAGCCCATCTGTATAATAAAAGATTAGGCCTGTAATCCCAGCACTTTGGTAGGCCAAGGCAGGTGGATCACCTCAGGTTGGGAGTTCAAGACTAGCCTGACCAACATGGAGAAACCCCGTCCCTACTAAAAATACAAAAAAATTAGCCCGGCGTGGTGGTACATGCTTGTAATCCCAGCTACTCGGGAGGCTGAAGCAGGAGAATTGCTTAAACCCAGGAGGTGGAGGTAGTGGTGAGCCGAGATCGCACCATTGCACTCCAGGCTGGGCAACAAGAGCAAAACTCAGTCTCAAAAAAATAAAATAAAAATAAAAATAAATAAAAGTTTAGGGTGGGGCAGCCAGGTATTCAAATCCTGTGCAAATGGCACACCTAGCTCTAACCAGTTTTTCACACCCTATGCAAATAGCACACCTGGTCCAACCAATCTTTTGTGCCCTATGTAAATCAGATACGACATCCTCAAGCTCATCTATAAAATCCACTGCATTTCACCCAGAAAGTGGCAACCCATTTCTCAGGGACCCTTCCCCCTGCAACAGAGACAGCTCTTTCCTTTCTTTCACCTATTAAACTTCCGCTCTGAACCTCACCCTGTGTGTCTGCATCCTAGTTGTTCATGGCCTTAAGACAACAAATCTCGAGTATTTACCCCAGACAACAACGCTGCTTCGCTAATACAGATTATTTAAAAATGAACATTGTTACCCATCACAGGAAGAAGTTTTACAACTCTCCTGCTTCCCACTACCTTCTAAAATATAATTCATTTTAAGAATCTCATCTAAACATCCCAGAAAGGCCTCCTTCATAATTCTGAAAACTCTTGTGGGATTTGTGATCTGTGTGTTTCTGATCACACGCTGGCTTGGACTTGCAGTACTATGTATTGGCAATGCTCCAGTGACTATGCTCTCAAGTAAACCACATGTTCCTGGAACAACTAAGATGACTTTATGTCTGTCTTTCTATTTCCCCAGAAGACAACACTTGTTTTCATAATATGTTTGATTTTTTAAATACATATATAAGTTGATTAACAAAGGTAAATCAATGAGTAATGAGTGCAATAGCTTTAAACACATTATAACTTGTTTCAAGTTATGCTGTAGTTTTTATACGAAGGAGGGAGTATAATATGGCTATTTGATATAAAAGCCAGTCAATAGTTTAAGATTATATCAACTTAAACTCCAGGTAAGAAAAGGATATGCACATAGTAAATACTTCAGGGATATGTACATAGAAAACCAGAGAGAAAAACTGGCCAGGCGTGGTGGCTCACGCCTGTAATCCCAGCACTTTGGGAGGCCGAGGCGGGCGAATCACGAAGTCAGGAGATCGAGACCATCCAGGCTAACACGGTGAAACCCCATCTCTACTAAAAATACAAAAACTTATCCGGGTGTAGTGGCAGGCGCCTGTAGTCCCAGCTACTTGGGAGGCTGAGACAGGAGAATGGCGTGAACCCGGGAGGCGGAGCTTGCAGTGAGCCAAGATCACGCCACTGCACTCCAGCCTGGGCGACAGAGTGAGACTCCGTCTCCAAAAAAAAAAAAAAAAAACTGGAGAGAAAAGCTACAAATCAATTGAGTGCTTAATAGAAAACTACATCCTGGTATTTGGATTCAGAGAATTTTAAGTAAAAGGTGAGCTGAATCTTAGTTCTGCTGCTGAGAAAGAAACAAAGATATTTTAAACTAAAAACCTTCTGAGAAAAGTAAAATGAGTCACGAGGCATTGTTCTCTCATTAAGGGTATGAAAGACAAGTTGTTGTGTCCCACCTGGGGGTCAGGAATGAGACCACCCCTCCCCCGCTTATCTTGTCTACTGCAGCAATCACAGTTTTGCTTCCTTAGCAACCATTTCAGAAACCACTTTTCTCCCATCTGAGTCCTTGTTTACATGAGGCTGTTCTCACCCTGTGGTCGCAAGGCTGAGCCCAATCACTTCAGCGATGGAATCAGGGATCTGGATGTGGCACAACATCATGGATCAAAGAGAGTTTTACCAGAGAATTTTGCAGCTGCTATTTAGAAAAAGATGCTTTAGTGACCTTTCACTGCTGGATAAGAAAGATTTAACATGGCAGTTGCCCGGGCCAACTTTTAAAAGGAAACCATCTGAAAATGAAGCCAGTTCTGAGAAAGAGAGTGAATAAATGATAGAGATTAGAGAGAGAGAGATTAAATTTCTAATCATATTCACATTCACATTGTTTGTACTTTTGTGTGTATTTGTTAACTAAGTCAACCTTATCCCTGTACTTCCTGGTGTCATGCGTCAGTAAACTCCATTCTGTTTGAACTTGATTTGCTACCATTTGCAATTGAAAGGTCTTAGTTTTTATCACAGTGACTATATGTATAAATATATGTGCTAGCCCTTTTATTAATGTCAAAATTAATTGGAGTCAAATTTAATCTCACAAGACGAACACAATGAGAAAAGTTTAAATAAAATATCATTAAATGTTTAAATTGTTTGAAATATTCTTTCACTTAGAGGGTAAACATATCTAGATCATATGGATATATATATCATCTGCTCCTTACAAGATAGATAGCTACAAAATAGTACCTACAAAAATATTTTGTATTGATTTGTTAAATCAAAAATATTTTTCAACAAGGTACTCTATGCTAGGCTCTGGGAATACAATGATAGCCAAATATTCATATGTCTTTTACCCTTAGAGCTGTCATAGTTTAGTAGAAGGGATAACTATGATAAAATAATCACTCATATAAATGAAAAACTATAACTTTGTTTAGGGTAGGATAATTTAATCTAATCACTGAAGTTAGGAAATGCTAAAAGCCAATGAGTAAACATAAGAGTTAACATAATTATAACCCAGCTCAACAACGAAACAGAGCAACATGCTTTTTGTGAACATAAAACTTTCAAAATACAAATATTCAGTGCCACAACCAAGACATTAAGAACAAAAATACTCTTAAAACACATCCAATAGTTGTAGTCAGTAATTTGTAAACATGTTGTACAGTAGTACCTATATTATTTCAAAGCATCTGTATTTATTTTATTTTACTTTTCTGAGCCTCATTGACAATGGTAACTATATATTACTGCATCTTATTCATTTTCTCTAAGAGATCAAATGCTTTCCTATCAATGATTCCAAAAGGACACATGTAGATAATTCATTCAAAAGTCCATATTCGATGCTGAGAGAAAGCAAACTAAGTTTCTGTATTAATTCCTCCTCTGTTTGCATCTAGAGAATATGCACATATATGCGCACACATAAACACACACGCACGCTTTTAAACACATTACAGCTAGAGAATATAATGTGAACATTATCAGGGAGGATTGTACATAAAAAGTAGCTAAAACGATAGGAGGAAGGAAGTCACTAGATTTGGTCAGAGAATATTAGCTAGAAACTAATTGATGATGGAATAGTTAAAAATGGCTACATGGTTTGGGAAGAAAAAGTGAGAGAGTATTTTTTTTTTCTATAGAGAAGAGAGAAAAGTAAAAGCTTATCAGTGAACAAACAAGTAGATAATGATGGCCCCAGAATGAAAAAGATGGAGGAGAACTTCAGCCAACCTACTATGAATTTGCAGCTTGAGCAAGAAATAGGCCTTACTGTTTTAACCACTGAGATTTTGAACTTTTAAATCACAATGTAACTAAACCTAAAGTAAAATTGTGTATCTATGGCTTTAATATTCCTAGCTTGTTTGTAAAAGGCCCAGGCAAGTTTGGCATTTATGGAATTAAAGATAATGTGGAAAATAAGAAAACAAATCATTAAAACATTTTCAGTGCTTTGAATCGTTAAACAGAGAGCACTGTACAATGTGAAGTGTTGAGAATGGGAGGTTGAAAGAAATAGATTCCTTACAAAGTGTATGAGATATGACATTAGAATGAAAATTATTTGGATTTTTGGTCTGCTAAGAATTACGTCAGGGGGTAGTTGGGTGATTTTTGTTGAGAATTCAAAATGTAAGGAAATAGTAAAATATTAGTCTTGTAATGCAAATTTTCTAAACATGTGCAAAGAAATAATCATTAAAGAAGAAATGTAGGGAAGTATACAATTGAAAGGGTTAATAAGAGTGGGAATCTCAGAAAAAGGCATAGAAAAGAGGCACTAAGGAATTCAATCAAGCTATGGAGCTTTTGTCATCAGAGTCGCGTTGTATGTGTTGAGAATATTATTGAACCGGCAGAGGAACAGGTGTGTACAGCTCATGGGTGAATGAAACCTGGCAATCAGATCCACTGCCAATCACTCAGCCCATCAATTGGCTTGAGGAAATGGATGAAATGAAGTCCATACTTCTGAGCAAGGAAAGTAGCACTACAAATGAAACACAAATGTTGGATGCTTTAGGGGGAAGAGGAAAATTAGGTAATCAATGCACCATTTTCAAAGGTGCAGCTACTCCATTTAACATGAGAGGGAGTCATAAGTGGATGACAATATGCTTTTCAGGATACATGCAACAGACTGTGGAGTGGCCAATAATCCTTGAATAAACTGTAAGACTGACAACTCTGGCATGTAAAGAATGCTGACTTTTAAAAAGTAGTACTCACCTGTGAATCTAGATTAATCTCACAAGGCGATTGTCTGTCTGGAGCTATGTCTTATACAATAGTGTTTTAATGCAGTAATCGATCAAAAATGCATAACTTTTGACAGCTCATCACCTGTGTTTTTATTGTTTGCATTCAAATTCAGTGGCTTGCCATCAATAGGAATATCTTGGTTGGGTTGCTCTTAATACTTGGATTGCTCGTGCAATACCCATGTAACATGTCACAAAGTATAGGGGATGCAGATGCTTCCAAGCTACAGTGTGGCTCATAAAACAGGCATTATCAGAATAAACATTCAACTCTGCCATTTTAAAAATCATAGAATAAGATTAGAGAATAAACAGCAGGATTTACAATTGAATGAAGGCCCTCTGAACTCCCGATCTTCCTATCAGACCGTAAAAAGATCTACTGAGAGAGAAAGAAAGATCTTTTCTCTCATGGCTCTAAATTGACTATGTTAGCTCTAATAACAAAATGCCAGTTTAGGAAATAACCTGGCACATGGAAATAGATAAAACACACATAAAAGAGAAATGTTAGCATGCAGAAGAATAAAAATACATAGAAATAGGTGAAGATTACCTAAAATCATTAAAAAGCATTTTCTAAATAAATACCTCTCAATAATATTAAAATGGACTTTATTATATAATAACAAAATATTGTTAGAATAGAAAGATAGTAGACATACTTCTTCTTATTCTTCCCATTTAGTAAAACCTAGGATATTGTGTACAAAATAAACATAAGGAGACTCTGAAATACGAAAAGAAGAAAGCACACTGGCTGAAAACTTTGGCCATGTAGTGCTTTAAAAGAACTATATGACTGTGTGTTCCCTGGTTTTTGTTTCATTTTGTTTTATTTGGCACATATATCCCAGAAATGGAGATAAAGAAGCCAGCAACCTGGAAATCCTAACCAAAGACTGCTCTCTTGCCAAAGGGCCAAAGGTACAGCCTCCGCAGACAGAAGACTTTCGGCAACCCCACGCTACTCCAGCCAAACACAGTGAGAGAAACTGTTCCTTGCCTCCACGGCCACCAAAGCCCCTTACAGGGCATGTCTCACTCCCATGGGTTGGTGTCAGAGAGGGCCACGTAAGGAGACAGGTCTCCATTGCCACGGGGGAAAGCCTAAACTTCTTCCCCCACTTAGCAGTAATGAGGAGCCCACCCTGCCTCCCCGCTGGGTGTGTCAAAGGAGGCCAGGTGGTGAGCAGAAACCAAAATTCCTAGTCATCCCAGATGGAGCGTCTCAGTGGAGGTGGTGAGCAGAAACCAAAATTCCTAGTCATCCCAGATGGAGCGTCTCAGTGGAGGTGGTGAGCAGAAACCAAAATTCCTAGTCATCCCAGATGGAGCGTCTCAGCGGAGGTGGTGAGCAGAAACCAGAAATTCCTAGTCATCCTAGATGGAGCATCTCAGTAGAGGTGGTGAGCAGAAACCAAAATTCCTAGTCATCCCAGATGGAGCGTCTCAGTGGAGGTGGTGAGCAGAAACCAAAATTCCTAGTCATCCCAGATGGAGCGTCTCAGTGGAGGTGGTGAGCAGAAACCAAAATTCCTAGTCATCCCAGATGGAGCGTCTCAGCGGAGGTGGTGAGCAGAAACCAGAAATTCCTAGTCATCCTAGATGGAGCATCTCAGTAGAGGTGGGGAGCAGAAACCAAAATTCCTAGTCATCCCAGATGGAGCGTCTCAGTGGAGGTGGTGAGCAGAAACCAAAATTCCTAGTCATCCCAGATGGAGCGTCTCAGTGGAGGTGGTGAGCAGAAACCAAAATTCCTAGTCATCCCAGATGCAGCGTCTCAGTGGAGGTGGTGAGCAGAAACCAAAATTCCTAGTCATCCCAGATGGAGCGTCTCAGTGGAGGTGGTGAGCAGAAACCAAAATTCCTAGTCATCCCAGATGCAGCGTCTCAGTGGAGGTGGTGAGAAGAAACCAAAATTCCAGTCATCCCAGATGGAGCGTCTCAGTGGAGGTGGTGAGAAGAAACCAAAATTCCAGTCATCCCAGATGGAGCGTCTCAGTGGAGGCCTAGAGGTGATTCAGAACTTGCATCTCTGTCACGCAGTAATGCGGAGCCTCTTCCCCAGCGGCCAGGTGAGGGACCTGGAATTATAACCCTAGCTGGGAGTAACCCTTCCTCCTTTGCTGCCAGAGCAGTTTCAGAGGAAATCCAGCCAAAACAGAAGGTTGAAATAAGATCTGGTGTCTCATTACATAATACTCAAAATGGACTACACCTAGGCATGTCATAAGCGAACCAGAGTCAATGAGAAAAATTTTGAAAGAAGCCCAAGGAGAAAAAAATACCTCACATTTAGAGGAACAAGAATAAGAATGACAGTGGAGTTCTCATAGAAACCAGGAACACGATGATGGAATGAAATGTTTAAACTGTTAAAAGAAGAAAAGCACCAATCAAAACTCTATATCCAATGAAATTATCTTTCAAAAGTAAAAAAAAAAACAAAATCTTGCTTGAATAGACAAAACATAGGAATAAAAATACCAGCAGACCTGTCCTTCAAAAAATGATTTTGTTTGAGGGAAGAAAAATTATGTAGGTTGGAAGTGGGAATCTATCTAAAGGAAGGATGTTGGAGAATGAATAAAAAATGGTATAACAGAATCTTTTATTTTTGTTATTCTTAATTGATCTAAAAAATAACTGTTTAAAGTGATAATACCACAAATCCACTGAATGAATATGTATAGTGTATGGATAAGTGAAATGAATGGCAGTAATGCCACTAGGGTTGTGGGAAGGAGAAATAGGGAATACTCTCTTATAAGGCACTGCACTGCTTATAAAGAGGAATCGTCTATTTAAAGGTGGACATAGATCCGGTCAAAATGTAGAATATGGACTGTAGGGAAATGACTACAAAAATGTGCAAAAGAAGTAGAATTGATGCGTGAAGATGGAAGACCAGAGGAAATCATAAAATCTGTCAAATCCCAAGATGGCAGAAAATAAGCATCTGTTAAAGGTAGAAAGCAGAAACAAATATGGGTAATATTAACCCAAATATATTGATAATTGCTTTAAAAGTGAAAAGAAAAGACAGAGATTGTCAGAATGGATGAAAAATAAAATATAGGTCTAAATGTAAAGTACAAAAGTGTAAATTTTCTTAAATAAAACAGGACAAATATATAATATCTGGGTTCAGTAATGATTTTTATATATGAAAACAATAGCTCAATCCAAGAAAGAAAGAATAAGCTAATATTATAACTTTGTTATAATTTTAAGCTAATTATAAAATAATAATTTATGCTTTGAAAAAGATACTGTTAACTGAATATAACGATTAACTACAAGCTTAGAGAAAATGTTTTCACAACACATATATGTAAAAAATTTGTATCTAAAATTTACAAAGAATGTTTCAATCTCAACAATAAGACATCAAACAAACCAATTATAAAACTGGCCAAATCTGTGAACAGACATTTCACCAAATAAGATATACAGATAGAAAATGAGCATATGAAAAGATGTTCCCTGTCCTTTTCACTATGCAGTTGCAAAATAAAGCAATGAGGTACCTATATGCACCTACTAGAATGGCTAAAATCCAATAACTGCCATTACCAATTACTGACAAGGATACACAGCAAATAGAAATGGACTAAATTTGTATACATCATAATAAACACATATTCAGCTTAATAGAAATACAGATGCTAACAGAAATATTTACAGACATGTGTAGATATTAACATGAGTTAGTGTACACATATATATCCCCTTGATCTTTAAACTGAGAAAGCCTGGGAGTAGCAGTGAATAACATCCTCATATCAGTGAATAACATCCTAGCAGCAGTAAATAAACCTCAAACTGAGATCTTTACCAATAAAAAGAGCCATAGCATGTTGGAGAAGTGAATGATTTTAAAACTTGTTAAGAAAATATACAAGAGGAACCTGGACCATTTTGCTGTAACAGTAAGAAAGTGCTCAACACACACACACACACACACACACACACTATGGGAATTATGTCAAAGAATACAAGAGTTAACTGAAAAAGCATCCAATAACCAAAGGTAGAACAATTTGAGCAGCAACATAAATAAAATAGCATTGGATTATAACCCAAAGTATTAAGTGAAATAACATGAATCCGTGAAGATATAAAAAAATTGAATAAAGTAAACAGATATGGAAGAATAGGCAAATCTTCTGTGCAAAATAAATCCAAATTCATATAGCTACCTTGCCCTTCATGAGGTGGATCATAGCTCCCCTCTCCACATGCGTGGGATATCTATAGTGACTTCCTTCCAAGGAGTGCACTCTGGAAACGAAGAAGAGCACAGTAATATTCCTGTGCGGAAACCTGAGAAACACTACCTCAGGCCAAGTAAATAAGGTTAGTGTTGACAGGGTTAAGTCATTTTATAACAAACGCCCTTCATATGATGTGAACAGAATGGCATTCCACTTCTGTCTTCCTCTCAAAAACACGTTAATATAGTTTAATCATGAGAAAAACATAAGACAGACCCCCATTGGGGAACATTCTAAAACACATTAGTAGGGATACTTTTCCTAATCTCTGGAAGTTGTCATGATTATTAAAATAAGGAAAGTCTGACAAACTACCACCACCAAGAGAAGTCTAAGGAGACCTGCCACGTAAATACAATGCAGTATCTTGGATCAAGTGCTAGAACAGAAAAAGGACAATTAGAGCTGAAGAAATTCGAAGGAACCTTAGTTGATAATAATGTATGAATACTGGTTTATTAATGGTGAAAAATATGCTTTAATATTGTAAGATGTTAATAATAAGAGAAACTTGGAGTAGACATTCTCTGTCCTGCCTTTGCAATATTTCTGTAAATATAAAAATTCATTAAAAAGTTTATTTAAAAATATGTAGACATAAATTAATAATCTAAAATCTTGTTGCAGAAACCTAGAAAAGAAAGAACAATATAAACCTAAAGCAGAGAAAAAAGAAAATCATAAAACACCAGAAATCAATTGAAATAAAGATAGAAAAACAAAAGATAAAATCAATGGTCCAAAGAACAATTTCCCTGAAAATATCAATAAAATTGACAAACTTACATCAAGATTAACAAAAAAGAAAACAAAGGGAAGAGATGTCACCAATAATAAGAATGGAACAGAGGAATCACTACAGACCTTGTAGATGTCAAGATGATTATAAGGAAAATCTATGAAAAAGTCTACACACATACATTTGACGAATAGATAAAATTGAAAAATTTCTTTAAAATTGAAAAATTTCTCAAAAAGCACCCAGTACCACATCTCACTCAATATGAAATACATCCTTTAACTATTCAGGAAATATAATTCATGATCTTAAAATTTTCTGAAAATAAAATATCCAGATGCTGATAATTTTACTGGAGAATTTTACCAAACATTTAAACAAAAATTAACATCACTTCTATACAATTTCTTCCAAAAAACATCAGAGGAGGGAACACTTCCTAATTCATTTTATCATTACTAAATTTAAGTCAGCATTACCCTGATACCAAAACCAAGGACAGTACATAAAATGAAAAAAAGAAAGAAACTACAGAACAATATCCCTTGTGAATAAAAATGTAAAAGTTATTATAAAATATTAACAAATAGCACTTATCAATATATATAAAAGAATTTTACACATGAGCAACTGTAGTTTATTTCAGTGTTGCAAGGCTGGCTCAATAATTGAAAGCCAATATAATTTACCTTTAACAGTTTAGAAAAGAAAAATTACAAGATCATATCAATTGACGCAGAAAAATTACAAGATCATATCAATTGACACAGAAAAATTACTTGACAAAATTCAACGTTCATTGAAGACAAAAACTCTTGGCAATTCTAGGAATGAAGGAATATTGATAAATGTCATCGACAAATAGTAAAGTTTTACTTGTAAAGGACAGCTACAAAAAAAACTTGCAGCTAACTAACTTCACACTTCATCAGGAAAGACTAAACGTTTTCCGTCAAGAGCAGGAAAAAAGTAAAAATGAATATCTTTTCTTACTGCTTTTATTTAATACTCTAATTCAACTTAATACTGGAGGTTATAGCCAGAACAAAAATGTCTGAAAAGAAAGTTTAAGAAAATACCGAGGAAAACGTAAGAAATAAAATATCCCTATTTGCAGATGACATGTTTGTCTATGCAGAAAATTTCAAGAAAAGAAAAGCCCAAAATGAGTAGGATAAGCAAGATAAGCATGCAAAAATATTCACATGCTTTAGTCCATTTGGTGTTGCTATAAAGGAATACCCGAGGCTGGATAATTTATAAGAAAGGAGGTTTATTTGGCTCATAATTCCACAGGCTGCGTAAGAAGCATGGGTGTAGCATCCGCTTCTGGTGAGGACTTCAGGCTGCTTCCACTCATGACAGAAGGTGAATGGGAGTTTGCATGTGCAAAGATCACACAACAGGAGAGGAAGTAAGAGAGGGAGGAGGGAGGGGCCGGCCTCTTTTGACAACCAGCTTTCATGGGAAGTACTAGAAGGAGAACTCATTCATTACCCTGAGGATGGTACCAAGCCATTCATAAGTAATTTGCCCCCATGACCTAAACATTTTTCATTAGGCCCCATTTCCAACACTGGGGATCAAATTTCAACACGATGTTTGGAGGGGTCAAATATCCAAACAGTACCAAGATATTTATATTCTAACATTGAATATGTGAAGACTGAAAATCAAAACATAATATTTACAATCAATACAAAGAAAAAAATACTCCATTTTGCATAATCTTATGAAACAAGTACAGATATATATGTTGAAAATTACAAAATGCTGATGAAAGAAATCATAGATCTAAAGAAATCAAAAAACACACTGTGTTAATGGATTTAAAGATTCAACATAGTAAAGTGACAATTTTCCCCAAGTTGATATACAATCTTAATGCAATTTATCTCAAAATGAGAGAAAAATTATTTGTAAATACAGATGAGATTATTTTATATTTTTATGGAAAGGCAAAAAAACTATAGTAGTTAGATGAATTTTTAGATAGAAAAAGACAGAAAAAATTAGTCTACCATAGTTCAAGACATAATATAGCTACAGTCAAGATTTGGTAATATTTGTGGAGAGATAGACATATGGATCCATGGAACACAGTAGAAAGCTCAGAAATTGACTCACATGAATATGCCCAATTCACTGTTTTCAAAGATGCAAAGGCAATTCAATGGAGGAAGGAAAGCCATTCCAATAAATGCTACTAAAGCAATTAACATCTATAAAATAGACAATCTCAAATTAAACTTCACAGTTTATACAAAGTTAACTCAAAATGGATGATGGAGTTAAATGTAAAATGTACACCATCAGCTTTTAGAAAAACACATAGGAGGAAAATTTTTGAGATTTACAGCTTGACTAACATTCTAATGCTTGACATTCATCTTAATAATCTATTTTGTGCTACACTATCATAACAGAATACTTGCAACTGGGTAATTTATAATGAACAAAGATTCATTCTTACAGTTCTGCGTCTGGAAAGTTCAAGGTTGAGGGACTGGCATCTACTGATGGCCTTCTTACTGCGTCATCCCATGGTGGAAGGTGGAAGTGGAAGAGAGCCAGCATGCCTGTGAGAAAGGAAGGGAGCCAAATGCATTCTTTTATCAGGAACCCACTCCCACAATAACTAACCCACTCAAGCAGTAACAATGCTTATCCGTTAGTCTCCTTTTAAAGGTCCCACCTCTCAACATAGCATTGGGAATTGAGTTTTTAACACGTGAACTTCAGGAGCCACAAAGCATAGCAACACCCAAAGCACAATTCATGGAAGGAAAAATGGATCAATTAGAACTCATTATTAATTGCTATTGTTCTGTGAGAGCTCTCGTGAAAAGGATAAAAAAGACAACCTACATATTTGAAGAAAATATTTGCAAAACAACATCTGACAAAGGATTAGTACCTAGAATATAGAAAAAAAATTTCAAAATTCAACAATGAAAAAAATTCAATTAGGAAATGGGCCAAAGATATGATTAAGCATTTCATGGAAGATATAGATGGCAAAAAAATACTTGTGAAACATATTGAAAATCACAACCTGGTAAGAAAATACACATTCAAACCACGATGAGCTATTACTATACACCTATCAGAATAGCCAAAATAAAATATAGTGAAACACCAAATGCTGGTGATGATATGGAGAAACTGAATTACTCATAACTTTGCTGATGGGAATGTTAAATGGTACAGCCACTGTGGAAAATAGTTTGGCGGTTTCCAAAATAAACAAACATGCAACTATCATAACTACAATACAACCTGGAAATTGCACTTCTTGGCATTTATTTTACAAAAATGAAAACATGATACGTACAATACAGTCAAGTTGAATTATTCTATAAAACAAATATTTATTGGCCAAGATCGTAAGATATATATCAGGATCTACAGAATATACTAAATATTTTATATCCAGATATGAAAAGATCAGATCCACAAATCAAATTAGCTAGGCACAGTGGGGTTGTGCCTATAGTCCCAGCTCCTGCAGGAGGCAGAGGTGCGATGATCACTGGAGCCCGGGAGGACGAGGCTGCTGTGAGCTGTGATCATGCCACTGCACTCTGACCTGGACAACAGAGCGAGACCCCATCTCAAACAACGAAAGAAAAATAAAGATCTACAAATCATGTTACAGAAGTAACACAAATTTAAAGTAACTTCCTTTTACAAATGATCCAAGAGAAACATTCTTCTATTTTATCAAGGAGGAATTTTCCTCAATATTTTTAAGTTTGAAACCATCCACGGTCTTATAAATCTTTAAAAAATAATTTTTGAATGTAAGACCACTTAAAACAAAAATATTTTCCTTATCTAAGTAATCCTATTTGCATTTACTCCATCACAGTTACAAGATCAATCAGAAAACAAAACAAATACAAAAAAAAAAAGCTCAATATCTACGTAGATAACAATGCTTTTCAAAAAAATAAAGCTAAAATGTACACACTTAGTGATAATTATATTAGAGAGAACATATACTAACTGCTTATTACTTGTCAGGCACTGTGCTAACAATCTTATCTCCTCACAATATATTCATTAGACAAGCAAATTCCATAGCTAGAGTGCAGAAAATTGAGATTTGAAAATCAAGCTAAAGCAGCCACTGCTCACATCACACACACACACACACACACACACACACACACACACACAAACAAGCATGATTCCATACACACACACACACAAATTAGGACCTTTTTCTCCTTAAATCCCAGCAATCATTGTCACTACAGATATCATAAACAGCAGGAACAGATGCTCAAATGTGCCCTTAGGGCAGCCTTGCATGCTCTGAAAGCCATAGCCTTATGGTAGATATAATTCCAATACTTTTTAAAAGTGAGAATTAAAAAAAAATTAGTTGTTTTTATCAAGCTAGCAAAATTGATAAGGAAAACACAAAATACTTTATTATTTTATATGTCCCAATTTTACAACTAGAAACCCAAAGAAAATAATCTAAAATTTTATAAATGGAAAAAGAAGGTAAAAAGATGACTGGTTATAAAATTAATATGCAAAATCAATACTAAAAATAAAATAACCATTTAAAATATAATGGAATTAACTTATCAAAAGACAAAAATTTTAAAAAACTCACAAGCCTATAATAATAACTAAATCTATTGAGCATTTTTATTGCAAGGAAATAGTCTGTGTTATATTAGCTTATACAAATACAATTGTAAAACGTTTTCTTTAAATCAAAACATATGTCTTAAAATTTTAAAGCATAACTTGCTCTTCAAGCTTAGGGAATGATTCTAGCAATTATTTCTTAATTCTTCTGAACATTCAGTGGGATAACAATTTAACTAAATAGTGTTTGTTTGTTTTGATTTGTTTTGCTAGGAGATATTAAATTAATTTGGTTTTCTGGAAAAAAAAGCAAAAAAGAAATCACAAAAAAACCCAGGATATTTTGAGTAATAGGAAAAATTTTTTTTTCCCTGCTACATTTGATCTTTTAAAGGTAGAGGAATTTTTAGAAGCTAGTATCTACAGGGGAATAAAAATGTAGATCAATGAGTTATAGTAAAATAATGAAAGATACATGGAAATAGTTTCCATTATTAATTGTCATAGGAAACACCACTTTCAAATTTTAGATAACAAATCTGCAAATTGGGCAGCCCTCCGAAGAGGCAGCTTGTCTGGGATCCTCTTGGTGTCAGCTCCAACCACTAGAGCCCTGGAGGCATCTGAAGGGCACCCTTGGCCGTCTGAACCCCAGACTGGGAAGACTCAAACTGCTGAGGCCTAAGACTCCTGGCTCCCATCAGGAATCTCCTTCAGTTTATTTATGGTCTCTTTTCTCATTGGCGGTTTTGGGATAACTGGACTTAATTTACAGGTTCAGGACTCCCAGTGTGCATTTCCCAAGAAAGACGGTAACAAGGGAGAAGCCTCTTACAGACCAGCCTTAGAAGTCACATAGCATCATTCTCATTATAGTCTGTCAGTCCAGCTGGATACAAAGGTCTGCTCCGGTTCGAGGGAAGGGAACAGACCCGTCTCTCACTGGGGCAGTGTCAACGTCACGGAAGAAAGAAGGGCAGTGACTAGGATAGACACCGGTGTGGTCGTCACTGGAAAATATCATTGAGAACAGAAATGTGTTCCAGACTACAGGTGGCATTTCAAATTAGTGCAGACGAGTGGGTATTTAATCATGGATGTTCTTTGGGTTTCTAGTTATAAAATCAAGACATACACAATAATGAAGTATTTTGTGTTTTCCTTATCAATTTTGCTAGCTTGGTAAAAACAACTAATTTTTTTTTTAATTCTCACTTTTAAAAAGTATTGGAATTATATCTACCATAAGGCTATACCTTTCAGAGCATGCGAGGCTGCCCTAAGGGCACATTTGAGCATCTGTTCCTGCTGTTTATGATATCTGTAGTGACAATGATTGCTGGGATTTAAGGAGAAAAAGGTCCTAATTTGTGTGTGTGTGTGTATAGAATCATGCTTGTGTGTGTGTGTGTGTGTTTGTGATGGTAGGAGTGGCTGCTTTAGCTTGATTTTTAAATATAGCAACAGAAAAAAATAATAAATTTTTTATAGCAACAGAAAAACTAATACAGCTTTTCTATATAAATAATCATAAATTATACAAGTTCATTTTACAGTGGAATAATGTTAATACCAGTCAAATATTAAATGATTAAATGAAATAAAACCTTCAAAACACAAGAAGTAATTTGGATAAATTTATTTCTAACTGAAATGTTAGAGGCTTTCTCAGGAAGACACGGAATTTATAAAGGAACAAATAAAAATCTCCATAAAAATTAAATCTCATGAAAAGAAAATTAAAACTAATATGAAATGAGACACTGAAAAGTTTGAAAAATATAAAGCAATGGGGTTTATAGCTTTAATTTGGAAAAAGTTCGGAGAAAATATTTTTTATAAAGAAAATAGATTCAATACAGAAATTAGTAAAGGAAATTAATGATTACAGAAAATAGAGAAAAATTAGAAACTCTCAGAAAGTATAAGGAAAGTCCTTAAAACCATTTATAACTTAAGAAGTGCATATCAAAATCAAAGAATATATTGGGCTAGGAAGATGTCTTTGTATGTATTCTCATATTGCTTAAAGAGCAGAAACGATTTTAAGGCTATTGTATATTTTCTGTACATATATCTATGAAACAAATACTTTTCTTTTATGTCCTTTTGCCTAGATGAAATTTTACGCCACACCAAAATAAGACTTAATTTTCCTGCAGCATTGATATACAAATATAATGCTTATTTAAATACTTGAAAAACAGGAGATGATGAATATTTATAGTATGCATAATCTGAAGATCACATTTCTGTACCTGGATTGAAAATGTTCAGACTGATAAAAAATTGAGCCTATTCCAAACAGCAGGACTCTAGAGGCCAGAACAAGGTTCTACTCCCTGTGGTAATAAATGAAAAATACAAGAATAAAGCCGACTTTGCTGAAGAGAATAAAATGCTCTGATTTCAATAGCAAACGTAGATTAACAAGAGCAGATTCCTTGTCAGTTGAGGTTAAAAGCATTTGCTTTATTGATACTCAGAATATCTCCTAGTAAAGTTTGTGTTTTGTTATTCATCTCTATGATATATATATCCTTGGGCTTAATAGCAAAATTGATAGATAATGAGAGAGAGGTGGACATGCACCTTACACACACACATCCCTGCGGTGAAAAAATTAAACCTGGAATCTAACATCATTGTGGCAAATAGCCAGCTTCCTTCCATTTTTCATGTTAGTAACAGAGAATTAATAGCTGAAACCAGGAAAAGTTTTAATGAAATCAGAAAAATATGCTATAACAAAGAAGGCATCATAGAAACTTTGCCATTATTAATGTGGTGTTACACGTTAGTATAAAAGAAGAAAAATTGTAAAAGGAAGACAAATATTCTTTTCTGTCCTCTAATTTCTACCAGTAGAGACTGATGCTATTCTCTAAGAAAAGAAATTCAATTGTGACTTTAAAAATGTCTTAGAAAGCACTCCACTGAAGGATGAATAAAGCTATCTGAAAGACTCCAAATTCAGGCTTACTGGCATTAACTCCTTTTTACTGATCATAGTTTAATTTGTAACTTGCTTATCAGTTTTGAAAAAAACAACATTTTCTGTAAGCACATTTAAAATGTGCTTACAAAAGGTCATTTTTGATGCCCTCGAACTTAGCTTTTGATGTCTTATTCATTTATTTTTTTCTTTATTATTTTCTTTTTCTACTGGTTGTATTCTTTATTTATTTATTTATTTTTGCATCTGTTTATTTCTTTATGTGGATGTTTGCATAATTACCGTTAAGTCTTGTCAAATTAAGTTTGGCCAAAAAGCTGCCTCCTTACATATTTTAAATTCCACCTAAAGGTCTCTCCATACATAGTGAACTTTAATCCACTAGATGTGTAAACACGTTTTTACTTTTAACAAGTAGCAAAGTCTCAGCCAATCACAGTGGCTGACCTTTGACCAATCACAGGTGGCCAACTGTTCACACCTTGTTCAAATAAGGCAAAAGCAAAGCTGTAACCAATCTAGCTGTTTCTGTCCCTCATTTCCATTTTCCAAACTTCACTATCCTTTTTCTGTTGATATATGTTACTGACCACGTGGCAGCCCAAGTCACACTGCACCTGTTCTGGTCCCGTGGCCTGCCCAATTCACAAATTGTTCTTTGCTTGTTTAAACTCTGTTAAATTTAATTTACCTAAGTTTTTCTTTCGACAGCCTGAGTTATTATTTAAATGTATGCACTTGAAGTTTTAAATTTCCATAATATGATATTTTACGGCATCACTGAAGTTTTGTCATGTAACATTGTTATTGCTTTTTGGTTCTGTTTCGTGGAAGAAAGACTTTAGCCCCTTGTCTTGCACGTAAGTAAAAAATATTAACCACGCAACAATCATTCATCCCAATTCACTGAAAACACAGAAAGCTAGGGTTCAGGTAATGCTCATCTATTAAGATGCCTTAATGTAATTTCACATTAAATGCCTTCTGTCAAATGCTGAGCCCCAGAAGGTTTCAGAAAAACACATTAATCAAGCAAAACTAAGGTTATTAGATTTAGTGCAGTAACAGAGAACACTACCTTGACAGAATCTTAATAGTGTTTCAAATTGGGGAAATTAAAAAAAAAAAAGAAAACATAAGGATTTAGAATTCAGATTGGATGAGTTTAAGGTAGGTCTCTCAAGCCTGGTGTCTGAGTTTGGGCAGACTTTATGATGCAATATCCTGTAATTTCTATTTTATTTTTTATTGGATCCATGGAATATGTTAAACTATGTTTTTCTTTTGGCGTTCAATTGTAACTTTATCTTTTGTTTATTGATTTCTGGCTATTTGCATTGTGATCAAAGAACTTATTTGTATGACACTGATTTTTTGAAATTTTTAGGACATTACTTGGGGCCCATTGTATAAGCACTTTTGTAGTGTTTCGTAGAAATTCACCTTCTTGAGTTTGGCAGTATATATTTCTATTTATGTTTGTTCAATTCGATATTTGTGTGTTGTTTAAATCTCCTTTGAATTTAGGTATGTGTTCTCAACTTAAAAAAACTTCAATGAAAAATTTGTCTATCTCCTTTTGCAGAACTGATAAATCTAGGTATTTTCATTACTGATATATTTCTAATATTTATATATTTTCTCTTTTTTTTTCTATCTGGTCTTTTTTGATTGAAGTTTAAAATGTCATTTTGTCCCCTCTTTCATTTTATTTTCATGTTGTGACTTATAAACTCTACCTTGATTCTTAAAGTGGTTACCCTTGAAATTTTACTATGCATTATTAAATTATTGAAGGCTGAAATTAATCATTATTACTACTCCCTTTTAATATAATACAAGAGCATTAAAATTACCTTATTATAATTTCCCCAAATGCATTTTGTATTATTATTGTTGCAGCTTCTCAAATTAGGCATAAATATTAATGTTCATAACAGAAAAAATGCGTATTGCTGTCACTACGTTTATCACCTTCTTTGTTCACTATCCCCAAAATGTCAAACATTATATTGGTTTTTTGCCTGAGGGTAGCAGTGCCTCCAAATTCCTTCTTTTAATAAAGGGGAATATATTTGTAACGTTTTGTTCAATTGAAATATAAAGCATGATTTATCCACTAAGTTTTTTTTTCAATCCTACTTATTTCAATAGTTTTTGCATTGTCATTATTTTCTAAGTAAGAGTTTCTCAGGAGAATGATTTTTTTAATATTCAAGAGTTTGACTTACATAAATGCATTTATATGCACATAAGGTCGTTGTTATTTTCTAGTAGCCATAAGTATATACTTTTATCTTCTAGAAATTGAATAAGGTTTTATTCTACTTTTTTCTCTCATAGTAAATCTATTACTCATGCTCATTATTCAAAGATGCTTACCTTCAAAGCATTGCCTTTTACTTTGAATTTCATATTCCATATATATGGGAAAAGTTTCGTATGTATGCATACATTAAATAAACCTTATGAATTGTAGAGCTTCATACTTCTAAATTATTTTTCCTACTTATTGATATATTACTGGCTGGAAATGAGTTATAATTTATATCAATATCCTTTTCCCTTGTTTCCCTCTTACTCTGCAATATTAAAGATACAGGTCTCAATTTGTTCTATTACATTTCCTCTAAGTTATCCATAATCAATTGAATTAGACCAAACTAGATGTTAATCTTCAGAGTGAGAGGGAAAGTTTCCCTGAATCCTGCACAGTGGGTTGTGGTATAATGCAGCCCTCTGAGGTACAATTGTAGGCAAATCCCTTTAAGCAGATCCCATTAATGTTCCCACTATTCCCCAACTGTCACTGTTTTCTCTGTAGCAACTCATTTCTTCTTTTGAAGAACACTTTTCCTTAAATCTCACTGTCTGATTAGTGATACTGATAATTTAGTTCTAAAATAACTCAACCTGCATCTACTCTTTACCCTTATTTGCCCCATCTATAATGTTTCATCAGGAGAGAAGAAAGTATTACCAACTTCTACTCCTGTCATTTACAGGGTTGAGAATTTCAGCTTAAATGCATGAATATTGATGCGTGGAAGGGAGGTGAGGGAGCTATAAGGGCAGCCCAGTGGAGGGCCTTTTCTAAAGGCAGCTCGGTGAGACCTGAGTGTGCCCATGTCCACACAGCAGAACACGGCAAAACCGACAGATCCCAGATATGAGACCACTGTATCCACAGTTTTTGTTCTAAGAAGCACTTGTCAAGAAAGAAATCCTATAAACCAATGATTAACTTTACCTTTTACTCCAGGAAGTCTCTACCAAACAATTACCCAACACTTAAGGACTTTGAGAAAACAGCTTTCCTGAAAAAAGCTTACTCACCTGGGCGAGCCGTTGGTGATCAAGGACACTTCCTGATTAAGACTTGCTTTTAGAACTTCATAACTGCTGTCGGGCGCGGTGGCTCGCGCCTGTAATCCCAGCACTTTGGGAGGCCGAGGTCAGGATCACGAGGTCAGGAGATCAAGACTTTCCTGGCTAACACAGTGAAACCCCGTCTCTACTGAAAACACAGAAAATGAGCCGGGCATCATGGCGGGCGCCTGTAGTTCCAGCTACTCGGGAGGCTGAGGCAGGAGAATGGCGTGAACCCGGGAGGCGGAGCCTGCAGTGAGCGAAGATCGCGCCACCGCACTGCAGCCTGGGCGACAGAGTGAGACTCCGACTCAAAAAAAAAAAAAAAAAAAAGAACTTCATATTGCTGTGTCCACAAATCCCAGACTATTGTGGATCATGTTTTCAAGTTCATGCTCCTCATTTGAAAGACTCACTGTCAATTATTTGAATCTGTACCCCCAAACCCTAAAACCATGAGCCTCACAAGGTGGTGTTCTCAGTTCCTGCAGAAAGGCCAATTAACTCGTCTGCTTGATCCACAGGCTTCCTGGGGCGCTGCAGGGAAGGCTAGTAAAGGAAGCGCTCAGGGAACAATTGCTATGTTTTAGGTGAGGGACTACATGGGAGAAAGAGGTAGAAAACATCATTCTTCTGATTTTCAGTTACTATTTTATAAAGACAAATCTTAATATATTGGGTGATGAAAATTGTAGATATTCTCATTTTAGTTCATTCACCTTAAATTAGGATGACTTCCTTAGAAATTCTGACATCTTTTTAAAATATGTTTATATGTAGTGCAGGAACAAATTGGAAAAGGCTGCACTGGGGACTGTAAGCCAGTTCCATACTGAAATAAAAGTAACTAACTCAAAATGTTTCTCTTCTTCTCCAAAGACACAATATCATAAATATCTATTCCCTTTTCATGCCAAAGGTGTGGCGGTGAGTGGAATTGATACGAGGTGAAGATCAAAAAAGGGTTCATTGTAGAGTTCAAACTTTGTGTGGCCCCTTTTTATTTGAGTTTAAAATTTCAAACAGTATATGAGGTATGATAATTTGTAATTGGTACAATTCATACAAAATTTGACTTAACTAATGTTTTCAGTTTTGACATTTGTTTTTGAATTCTGAGTTGCTAGTTTTAAAACAAAAGAGTGATTCAAGAGCATAGAAATTAAATTCCCAGCATGGCCAATCTGATGCAGGTTTCAAGTTATCACTAGTGCAGATGTTTTGGTTTCATTAACTTTATTAAATAAAATTATTAATTCCTTGATAATTATTTCTGTAAACTAATAGAATAGCCTTTGGTTATAGTGATGAATGTTCAAATTTTTTGGCAGATATAGAAACTATTGCGTAAAGACTTATACTTTTTGTATCCTGCAGGAATTTGGAGGAATTTGTAGTAATTTAAATATATTTACAAAACCAGCCACTAGCATTTAATTATTCTGAATTCTATAAGAATTTTAAAGGAGTTGCCCTTGCCAACAATGTCACAAAGCATTGACCTTGTGAAGCTCAATCAATAAATAGATTAATTAATAAATAAGGCAAAAGTGGAGAAAATTAAAGCAATGCCTATCTTTCGAAATATGTTACACGTTTTATAATTATTACTGAAACACTTTCATCATGTAGAGCAAAAGATAGTCAAATAATCTGCTTTAGATATTAAAAAGATTAAGTTTGCTATTGTCATGGTTCAAAATTGGACATACTATCATCTAGTGATTTTATTTTTCCCAAGCGTGATCAGCCTTACAAATGTTAGTTCTTAGGAATTAGAAAGTTATTTGATATTCAGATGTAACCTTTAAGCATCACATTCTAGAAATTAATAAAATTTTTCACTTGGATTAAAAAGAAACAGAATGTTTTGAAGGCCCAAAAGGTTTTAATATCAACAGATGCATTGAGAAACATCTTTCAGTGATGGAAATTGATTTATTCATTGTGCATTTACCTGTTTGCTAATTAGTAGCTTAAATGGTTTCACTTCGTGTAGCTAATGAACTCAAGGGTGTATGTTATTCTGTACAAGAATACAGTGGATTTCTTATAATATATTAATTGTTTAAAACAAACATTTGAGGATCATTTTCAAAATGTATTTGCATGGCAATTACTATTCCACTAGATTCCTTCAAACACAAGTATCAGGATATCTAATGAAGCAATCATTAAAATATTTTTCTCTTAAAATTATCTCAATACCAATGAACAATCTTTTAATGTATTTAGTAGAGTCATGTCAATTTTACAGGACTGAATGGTTAAATAATTGAATATATACAGAAGAAGGCTTTGGCTTTTAGTGAGGCAACATTCACTCTGTGGCAATTAATACAGGCATTGTGACATTAAGCAAGAAATGTTTAAGTAGGGAAACATCCTAAATAGTTTTAGTTAGGTGTAGATGAAAGAATTTTAATGAAGTGGCAATGTCATTGTGCGCATTAATTTCTTCTATAATAAAAGTGGTTTTTTTACTTTGAAAATTATTCAGAAATCAACTTGTCTGATAATAATAAAAGTACTACACTATTAGTAATAACAATGGTAACATTGATTAAGTAATTCCCATGTGCCATTTACTATTCTACCTTCTTTTCATTTAATCTTCTCAATAAGACTATCAGATAGGTATTACTGTTCCCCACTTTATAGAAGAAGAAACTAGATATTCACATAGTACGTGAATCTCTCACCCAGGTCAAAAGTCCATGGAATTCTAATCAAGGCCTACAATATATTATTCAGAGCTGCACTATATTATTTTCTTATCAGCAACCACTTTGTTAATCATCCCTGAATTACACCAAAAAGACAGCCAACATTATTAAGAATGTTTTCAAAGAAGCAAAGCTTCGCAGAATCCAATCATGATGAGAATTTGCAGAGAGCCTTGAGCAAGCCTAAGAGTAAAGTTAGCTTTAGGACAGTACATTAAAGAACACAGTCAATCCAAGTGGAGATGGAATTGGTCAACAGTGTGGGAGTGTGGTTGCAGAATATGCACAGGCATAGCAGAGAGAAGAGGAATCTGAAGCTAATGAATGCAGAGACTTGGCTATATAGGATCACAGTTCTGACTAGACCCCTCTTAAGAGAAAGCTAGCACTACTTCAGAATCTTAATCTACATCTTTTATAACAGATATATATTTATGTCACAGTTAATATAAAGCAAAATGCATATGCTTTTCTTTTTTTTTGTCTTCTTTTGGAGGCAGGGTCTCACTTTGTGGCCCAGAATGGAATGCAGCAGCATGATCTCGGCTCACTGCAGCCTCCAACTCTCCGAGCTCAGAGGATCCTCCCACCTCAGCCTCCCGAGTAGCTAGGGCTACAGACCTGCATCACTGCACCAGGCTAATGTTTGTGTTTTTTTATATAGAGATGGGGTTTCTCCATGTTGTCTAGGCTGGACTTGAGCTCCTGGGCTCAAGCGATCCTCCTGCATTGGCCTCTCAAAGTGCTGGGATTACAGGGTTGAACCACTGCGCCCTGCCTGGATGTGCTTTTTATTTCATTGTGGAGATTTATTCATTCTCAACAGACCCTTCAGTGGTCTCTAGAAAACTTATGACTACAGAACACATCTAGCATTTGTTATATATCCACACCTGCTACTAGTGAAGTACATGAGCTGAATATGAGCAAAACACATGACCCAGTGTTCTGCACAGATTCTATAATAATGCTAACACAATTATAATTATAATCAAGACTCTGATGTTCAGAAAAGGCAAGGTAATTGTGCTACACGGTATACTAAAGATCAGCTTTTAAAAGTTTCCAGGCAAGGGATTTCAATGATACAGTCTCTAGAGGTAAGCATCCTGAGGCATAAATTGAGGCACAAAAATTTAGAGGATACGTCTAGGCTAGAATAGGAGAAAATGGACAACAGCCATCATATTGGCCATCTTTTCTTCATTTTTTCTGTAAATGTTGGATGATTTTTCAATCCATAAAAAGAACAATCATAGAGTTTGTACACGCAGAGATGCAGTTGGAAAAATGAGTCTTGGGATCCAAAACATACAGATATGTACATCTATCTATATTTTGATCAATTGATCTACTGCTTAGTCTATTCATCTGTCAGTCTATATATTATCTGAAGTTTATATATATATGTATAGAGGGGGGTGGTGGTATATAGATAGATGAATGTATGCTTATGCTCAAATTTATTATATATGTTTATAACCAAAACATATATAATCAACATAAGAGTATGTATGTACCTGTGTGTGTGCATATGTGTGCGTATGGATGTACATAACTCAATACAGGGTATAAGTATTTGAAAGTAAGTTGCAGACATAATCATACCTAACCTACATGAACTTTAGCATACATCTCCTAAGCTTAAGGGCCTTCTCTGCATAACTGCAATATCATTACCATATTGGAAACAATAAATGATAATCTTAAAATATCATCACATTCAATCCATGTTCAAATTTTATATATTGCTATAACAGTTCTGATTTGATCCAATATAAAATTAAGGATTTCATGGAATATTTGGTTTTTATGCCCATGCCCATTTAGTAACTTTTGAATCTTGAAGGCAACCAAGTTTATTTGTTTTTTTATGATAAGGATTTTTTTTGAAAGTCAAGTCTATACAGTTTTGCAGATTTTATTCCCCAATATTCTAGGTTTGTGTGACATTTTCACTAAATATAAAGTATTCCATGTACCCCATAGATAAGTAAAATATTGTGTATTACTTAAAAATTAAGTTTCAGTTAAACAATTCTTCAACGATACTAACCAATAGTTTGGTATTTTCATTGCATGATATTGGGAGTCACTTTTTGAAATGTTGGGTCAGCTGGGCAGATTTTGCTCACTTAGCTAAGGTGGACCACCGGTTCTTTCCATTGTGCAACTGCAGGTAAATGTTCCCCTTTGCTATTAGTCAGTAATCCCTAAGGATGATGTTTAGGCTTCACACGAATAACTTCTTCAAACATCTTTCATCCTGTTTAACATCTGTTAATGATTCTCACCGGAATCAATTATTATATTGGTATTTGCAAAGTGGTGATTTTTCTATTCTTAAATTATTTCTATGCTAACAGCCAAAATTATTTTATCAAAAATTGTTTTGTTTTTCTCTCTTCTATTTTTATGTTATGTTAATTTCATGAATAATCTAAATTATATTTCACTCCAAGTAAATGCACATTTCATCGTTCCACAGCAAAGAGCAAGATTTTCCGATACTTGAAATGACCTCAGGGAAGGGACTGTGTGGCACTTGGCAGTATGACTCAAAGGAGTAAATAAAAAGACTACAAATTACTGGTTGTATATAGTAATTTAAGGGAAATTTTTAAACGAATCTAGAGAAATGAATCTTTTAAAATGGTTGTGAATCATGAACTGTTAAAATAGAAACAAAAATATTTTAACAGTTCAAAATGTTAATTTAATAGCTCATTCTGTTTAACTATCTTTATAGAAACATCTCACCCACTGGATTGTTTCCATTATTTTGAGCAATAAAATTTCTAAATTTGAGTTTTCCAAATTAATGATACGTAAGTTCTGAATGCTTCTGAAATGTATCAAATAGAATGTAAATTATGGACACTAAAGTGATTCATATGTATTTAACAACAAAATGTGCACAACAAAATACAATCAAATGTCATTAATTAGAACTGTCAATTTACATCTTCGTTCTTGCAGTAATGTTTAAATTAAAATTTAATGATTTTCGAATAAGTAATGCAGTCCAATGGTACAAAATTTATACAGAAATCTCACATTCTTCTGTGGCTTTTGACCAATTATCTTTTCAGTGGCAACCTCTCTTGGGTTTCTTAGTATTCTATCTGTTCACAAATCTAAACATATTTGTGTGAAGGTGTACACACACACACATTTGTCATTTTTTTCACAAATTATAGCAAACTTTAATTTTTTGTGTCTTACTTGTTCAATTGTCAGTATGTCTTGGAAGTTCTATGAGACTATACGCACAGAGCTACCTTATAATTTTTAACAGCTGCATGGTATTCCATTATACAAAAGTATTAATGTTAATTCGCCGGATACTTTTTATTAAGTATTTAAATATTTATATAATTCCTAATCTTTTAATGCTTTAAAAAGAGCTGCAAGAAATACCCTGAGAACAAATTATTAGCATTTGCATTTTTAATGGTAACAAAACTTTCCAAATTGCCTTTCCATAGAAGCGTTATTATACTATCTTCTCACCAGAAGAATGTAAATCTCCTTGCCAACAGTTTTTTATATATTTTTTCCTTCAAACAACTGTTAAATTACTATCTGCATATTAATTAGCTTGCCTCAAAGGTTATTAAAATCATACCAGAAGTTTTTTGACTGTTTATTTGGTGCTAGGCACTCTGGTAGGTACTGGAAACACCATTGATTCCCTTGGTTAACCAAATACATATTGCCGTTATATAAGATTAATACAAAGGGATGTGTTTGTATTGTGATTGACCCCAGTTACTATTCATTGTCCAGTGACACCAGTGAAACTGTGCAATAGAAGTGGGTGGAGATGAAAGAGTCTCGAAATGAACGCCTCCCAATGTAAGAGCTTGTTTTTATGAGTGAAATGGATAGAACTCAAACTCTCTAATATTAATTTTCCTCCCTTCCGGCAAGAATAGAAGGGCCAGATTTGTTTTCCCTATTCTTTTGTGACCCCTGGAGAGATCCCTTGGGAAATCATACAAAGCTTCCTGAAAGGTTTGAAATGAATCTCTGTCACTACCAAGCAATTTTCTCGTACAAACAAAAACTCTTTGCTCCCCGAGGCCTGCACTATCATTTAGTAGTAAAGCTGCGATATCTCAGTGCTCATTTCTGTGGCAGCAATGCTGCCAGCTGCTCTTACGTCAGGGCTACGAGGCTTTATATTCCTCAATATATGTCATGCTCCGGAGAGCTTGACAATAAGCAAACACTACTTTTTAAATTACTGAACACCATCTCTGAAACAGTGTGTAATACTGAATTTTACTCTGTTTGTACATAATCTGCAAGCACAGTTAATTTTAAAAATATCACAGGAAATAACATATACATTGTCATGTCTGTAACTGCGATTACTTGAAAAAAGCTTGGCAACATCACAGAGTGAGCATCACAGACTTGCGTATGGATTGGTGACTTGAGAGACTGGGGACAGTAATTAAACAGTGAAAACAAACACAGGTTCACTCTACAGCCAATCAGCAAGCTATCTTCTGGAAGACAGAATATGAACTATATAATGGCAGTGACATTTTTCCATTGTATACATACACACCACCAAGTGGTTGGGACTTAATACATCGTTGTTGAATCCATAAATCAATAGTGAAAATAAATAAATCTTCTAGCAAACAACAGTCTAGACTAGGGCACAATTTTCTCACCCTTGATCACCAATCTTAATTTTATAATAAAAACAAAAAGACATATGTGCATTTTCTGAGATTAATTTTTCTGTTCAATTTTAACTCATTACTTATGCTAATGGAAATAAAAGGATGACTTCCCTAATTACAATTGATTTAAATATAATGTTGTGGGGAAGTCCCATGTCTCCCCATTGTGTTTCTCTTTGGCTCGTCTTTGCTCCTAAATCTTGAAGGAAAGGTGCAGAGTCAACTTTGGACTGTGTGGTAACCAAAATAATTGTCTAGTTCTCACATTTCTACTCTGATATAAGGCAATTCTGTGCCTTGATCACTTCTGTCAGGAAGAAGTTAGGAACAAGTCCTAATAATGTGGGTTTGCATACTTTTATTCAGTAGGTTTCTTTTATTTTTAAGTAGGACATCGGTGACTGTAATTTAACAACAGAGATTAATATGAAGAGTAACGTAAAGTAAAATGAAAATCAAGGTAGATCTGTTCTTTGACTAAAGAATAGTTGGAAAAGAAAAAAAAAAAAAACCTCACACAATAAGTGCACCTGAGTCTGGAAATAAGAATAATATGCTCTGAAAATTAAGGCTAATAATAATAATTTCATCATATTAAACAACAATAACAGCATATTTTAGAATTTGTTCTTTTTCTCTACTCCTGTATTCATTACAACAATCTCCTATTAATATCACTGTATTTACTATATAAAATTTTTCACTTGGTCTCACTTATGTATGTCAGCAGTCAGAAAATAGCTCCTACTCAGTTGCAGATCTCCCACAGAAGGGCAAATTTGCGCTTTTACATTTATGAAAGTGCAGGTGATCCTCAGTATTTGTGGACTCAGTATCTGTGAATTTAACCTACTTACAAAAATTTATTTGTAGTCCAAACAATATCGGCGCCTCTTCCACAATCATCCTGGACATGTGCAGAACGGTGAAGGCTTTGAGGGGTCTGATGCCACGTCCTGAGCGGAGGTTGAATTAGAGAATGCTCTGCCTTCCTGTTTGAGCTCTCAGCCTGCAGCACAACAAATATCCTCTTCACAGCATATTTCGTCCCTGGATTTCCACAACTTTGTACTTTTAGTTGGTGATTTCACAGTTCAGCATGACTTCCAAGCACAGTGCTGAAGTGTTGTCGAGAGTTCTCATGCTGCCATGTGCCAGAGGGAGAAAATACCTGTGCCCCATAAGCTTGATACTGGCGTGAGTTATATAGTAGTGCTGGCTGTTAGTTCAATGTTAAAGAATCAAACATATATATGATTTATAATATTTATTAGTGGCCGGCGTGGTGGCTCACGCCTGTAATCTCAGCACTTTGGGAGGCCAAGGCGGACGGATCACAAAGTCAGGAGATCGAAAACATCTTGGCCAACGTGGTGAAACCCCATCTCTACTAAAAATAAAAAATTAGCTGGGCGTGGTGGTGCGTGCCTGTAATCCCAGCTACTCTGGAGGCTGAGGCAGGAGAATGGCTTGAACCCGGGAGGTGGAGGTTGCGGTGAGCCAAGCTCGCACCACTGCACTCCAGCCTGGCAACAGAGTGAGACTCTGTCCCACTCCCCCGTCAAAAAAAAGAAAGGAGAAAGAAAAGAAAAAGAAAAGAAATTATTATTTATCTATATTTAAATAACTGATAATCAACTATTATAGAATGTACACATAAATCAAGGATTTATAAGAAAAAGGCATTCACGTGAGTAGAATAAGGTGCAAGGACTTTATCAGACGAGGAGGTCCAAATGGTCAATAATTATATAATAGAACAATGTGCTTAACCTCGTTTCTAATCAAATACACGCCAATAAAATAGAATTGCTTATTCAAATCCCTAGCTATGCTTTATTGCTTAATTTGGTTGCTGGTTACACCACCATTTATTTTTAAAATATTGATGAATAAGCACCAATACATATTTTACACATACTTCTAAAAATATAATATAGTTTCACAGTAAAAAATATTTGTAAATGTCAGGGAGAGAAACTTTTTTAGAAAAGCATTTTATGTGGGAAGTTTAATTTCCTTAATGCTATATTCCATATAAACTAGTTAATATGTAACTTGCTACCTAACATTCAAAATTCCATAGCATGGAATCAAATCCAAAACAAAAACAGCAAAATATTAGAACTTGATTCCAATATGTAGACAGAAACATTAAGAATTATACCAGCAAGAGATAGAAAAAGTAATAAAATTTTCCCATATACTTAAAGTATATGGACTTAGAGTGTATAACCAGTAGATGTAATAATACCTACATGGCTTTAAAAGTAAAATAATAAAGATTATTTTTGATAAAAAGCAAAGGTCTCCAGTCCTAATATTTGTCACTTGCTCTGCTCCTACCAGTCGCACATTATTTTTCTGTTTTTGTTTTGCACATGTTATAAATGCCTCCAACTCGATTTCCTGAGTTTTTTTCACTATTTTTTTCATCACCACCAGCCCATGATCTGTCGACAGATTCGACTCACTCTCCCTGCACCTCCACCCCTCTACTCGTCATTGTCATCACCAGATTTATTCTCTCCATCAGTTTCGTTTTAAGCTAAATGATGCGGCTTTCATCAGCTGTAAATGCTGCTTCTTTATGACCCCTTTATAAGTTAGGGATATTAGTGTTCCTTTTTTTTCTTTTCTTTTTTTTTTTTTTTTTTGAGACGGAGTCTTGCTCTGTCGCCCAGGCTGGAGTGCAGTGGCTCGATCTGGGCTCACTGCAAGCTCCACCTCCTGAGTTCATGCCATTCTCCTGCCTCAGCCTCCCGAGTAACTGGGACTGGAAGGCGCCTGCCACCACGCCTGGCTAATATTTTGTATTTTTAGTAGAGACGGCTTTTGCCGTGTTAGCCAGGATGGTCTGGATCTCCTGAGCTCGTGATCCGCCCGCCTCGGCCTCCCAAAGTGCTGGGATTACAGGCATGAGCCACCGTGCCCGGCCTTTGTTTTTTCTTTTACTTTTTCCTAATTCCACTTAGATGGGCCGGTTTGTCTTGAATCCCTTGTCTCCTCTATTCTTTATTTATTATCAAGAAATGTGGGAGCAAAATTTGTGCATCTTCGTATGTTAAAAATAAAGTTTTACTTATTCATTGAACTTGATAAATATATGCATATGCTTTTTAAATATTTTATTTGCCTATGTTATTGAGATTTCAGATTACCTTTAAAAATAATAAAAAGAGGAAGCAAGTAGGAAACTCTTACCCAAATAAAATCAATTGAATGTGAGGTCCGTTACCAGGACATAGGTACATAATGACCCATGGACGTCAAAGCAGAGAGAGCATGAATGGCACATCCCTCTTTGACATCAGAGTCGCATCATTGTGTTACTCTTTAACATCAGTCATACAATAGTGTGGCAACCGCCTAAGTGAAAAGTGGAGACTACTATTTGTGAAGGAAGTTAGAAATAAAGCCTAGTAGTCTCAAGGAGATACTATCTTACTTCTTATGTCTTTTTTCTTTCCTTGAATTACTGACAGCACCTGTCTATGAATGATGTGTGATTATTATATATGTTTATTTGTTTGTTTGTTTTGTTCTTTCTTTCTTCTTTCTTTTTCTTAACGACGAGGTCTCACTCTGCCACCCAGGCTGGAATGCAGTGGTGCAATCATAGCTCACTGCAACTTCAAACTTCCAGGTTTAATTTTCACTGTGGTGAAACAGGATTAGTTCTTGTGGGAATGGATATTTCCCAAGCAGGAGTGTTGTTGTAAAGCTGGGACACTCCAGATCTTGCCTCCACCCATGTGTCCACTTCCCTTTTGACCTTCTCTGCCATGTTTTGAGGCAGCGCAAAGCCCTCGTTAGAAGCTAGATCATGCCCTCGAAATCCCCAGCCTGCAAAACCTTGAATAAAACAGACTCCTTTTCCTTATAAATTAGCCAGTCTGAGTATTCTTGGCTCCTATTCTGTTATAGCAACACAAAACAGACTAATACAATTATCTTTTCAGTGAGATTTCCTATCGCCTATAATAGATTCACTGCCTTTTTTTTTTGTTTAGGATTTTACTTGGTTTTAAACCCATTTTATCTGTAATATAAATAGCTGCAAATTTCAAATGCTAATTATTCAAATGTCAATGATCCCAATACATTCATCTTCAATAACTATAAATCTTGTTACAAACTTAAAAACATTACTTCCAATAGTATTTATGGAAATAAGCTATGATGCACATTCCATTTTATCAGATTTAAGGATTTAATTATTTAATTTTTGAGTGCACTGTTAAAGATTCCACCTTATTTTTAAGGTTATTTATCTTTGTTCAAAACACATTGTTTTTTCTTTTTGTTTGTTTGTTGCTGTTGTTGTTTTAGAGAGATTGGATCTTTCCCAGGCTGGTCTTGAGCTACTGGCCTCAAGCAATCCACCTACCTTGGCCTCCCAAAATGTTGGGATTACAGGAGTGAGTGACAGCACCAAGACACGTTTTTGATCCTTTTAATTACAAACGTCCAACTTTCACTATTATGTGTTATCTTTTAAAGTTGTCTTCCAGGTAGTAATAGAAAGATAAAAATTAGAAGTAATAGAAAGATAAAAATTCCTCAGGAAAGTGTTATTGGATAATATTCTCAAAAAGTATAAAGAAAAACTACTTTTTATTGACTTCAGATTAAGGATATTATGTATTTAGGTCTCTCTGTCTCCAACCCCCGTTGCCTCACATACACACACACCCTTCTGGCATCTTCAATTTTCTAATCATGCTACAATATGATTTTGATTGGATCAATATTCAGTATTCAGTGTTCAATACTATGATCAATATGTAAAATCTCTTCACAGCTGAATCTTTGGACAATCCTCTTTCTGGAAGCTTGTTGGAGTCGCTTGCCCACACCAAGCTTTTGAGACTTTACAATTAACTTGCTATGGATCTAGTTTCATCCATAAGATTTATCAACAGGCAATTTCTTAATATATATACCTTTTAGCACTTGGAATTTTACTTTTTATAATTTTTTTCTCTTTGGGTTTTTTTAATTCTCTTTGTTTTTTTGGAACTTCTGTTAGTCATATGTTAAACCTCCTGCATTGGCCTGAAAAAGTCCACCTTTATTTGACATCTCTGTACTTTGGTTTCATTCTTCAGGATTTTTGCAACTTTATTTTTCAGTCCTTCCATGGAGCTTTGCATTCTTGCTATCAAATTGTGATTTTTAAGAACCCTTGTTATTTTACTTTGTAAACTTTTTGTAGGTTTCTGCTACAAATTCAACAAATAAGGACTGGATACCCTGTGCAATTATTGATATTTTTAATATCGAATATCATATATAAGATATTGATACATATTCAATCATGTCTTTCTAAGATATTATTGGTAAGTATCAGTAAATAAATATCAATAAATTTGCATTAATTACCTCTTTTTCTCTTTATTTTTCTCTCTCCTCCCTTTGCCACAAAATAGGTTTCTGGTTCTGAGGCAAATATATCAAATATCATGCCAAATAGATCAAGCATTGCAGAGGCACTGTGGTAGGAAAGGAAAGCCTATATCCAGAGTATGAGCTGATTTCAATAAGGATAAACAACAATTTCCTCTGCGGTATAATCAACTTGCCACCAGGTTGTTGATAGATCTCTCCAAAACATATCGTCACGTCAACAGCTAAGTGTCAGTCAGTGCACTCTGCTGTGGTTAGTTGAGTATGTTAGCCTAGGTGAGAGGGTCCCATGCTGCTGCACAGGTCTACGGTCTCTATTTCTGCCTCCAGTGCCACTCTGTTGTGGATTCATAGCATTCAGAGTCAGACAGGATCTGGCTGACCTCAATTGCAAAAGTCCTTCTTATACATGTTTGTTCAGCATCTCCATGATGGGTGTTCTCTGATGGATTACAACATGAGACACAGAGGCTCCAAGATTTGTCCCTACTTTCACAAATCCACCCACATAGTATTTTCTAAGGCCCTTTATCACTTGTATTCCAGTCCTGTTTCCTAGAGCCTGCTGAACAAACAGCCAAGCCATTTGCCACTTCCCAGCTTCCCAGATCCCATATGGGTCCTTACCTAAGGTGCTTACTCACTCCCTTTGAACAAAGAAGAGTACTGCTTAGAGCTCTACCGAATAATAGAATTTTTTTTTCAAGGTTGTTTCTTGAGATAATCTTTCAGTGGGGTTATGATATACAGTAGTTCATTTCCAGATAGTGTCAAGGCATCACACCAACAAATATGTGAAATTGGCTCAAACCATGGTGTCATTGACTTTGAACCTCTGTAAATTGCTCATAAAGAACCCCTTGTGGTCCAGAAGAGAGTGAGGCATTCAGAGAGCAGAGGGAGCGGCCATGCATCCTGGGTCATTTGTCCATTTTAGTGTAATTTCTGGAACTCCTTTGGTCTGATCTTACATGTTTTTTTCTTGTTCAGAAAGCTGCTACTGTTTAAAGGAATCAACAGGTGAATCTGATAAAATTCATCTCACAATCAGTATCTCCAGTTACACACTCACTTGGAATCACGGTCAGGCACTCAGCCTCTAGGAGGGGCAGGAATAATTTTTTAAATGGTGAAAAATCTTCTGCAATGAGAATCTGCTTTGTGGGGTCGCCTACTGGGACCCAACAGAAACCTCATATGGAGTCCATCTTCACATGGACATCTATAGTCCTAATATTTATAGTGCCATAAGATCAATTAGGCCAAATGGCTTGAATGTAAGGATAACTCGTGACAGTCTGGATCCCATGGGAGGCCCCACTCAATAGTGACAACCATCTCAGAGCAGAATCTAATTCCGAAGTTTGATATATGATTGGGAGATTCCAACAGGTGACCAAACACTGCCTGTCTTCCTCACTGTCAGGAGGTGTGAAGAGCAGCAACAAGCCTTGTACCTTACCAGGTGTGTCCTAGGTGCATTGGGCAACTGAACTCAAAAAGGAGCTGCTAGGGGGTAGGCTCAGGGTCTCCATGAGGTCTTCTCCCAACTTTTGGAAGCAGGTGCTTGTTTCAGCATTCCAGGGATATCATCACCCCACTTTCTAGCAGCTATGGGGGTTTTATTGGCTTTAGACTGATGAGAAATAATCAACTCCAAACCAAATCTGAAGGACCATCCACTCCTGGTACCAACTGCCTGAGCCCAAGACTCTGAGGAAAATCCATCCTCACCCACACGGAGAAGTGCAATGTCAGGGAAGGAGGGGTGAGGGAGAAGGAGAAGCAGTGAAGGAGGAAGAGAGGGCAAACACGAGGCACTGTGGTCTCATAGAAGTTGCTCAGAGAAAATTAAGAAAAGGCTTAGCATGTATTTTTGCTTGCCTGGGATAATTCACTTATATTACTGTCACAGTATAATTGTTAACAGTGTTCCTGCCAATTCTGACAAAGTGCCCTGGCTTGTTCAAGAATTATTTGTTCTGGCTGGGCATGGGAGCTCTCACCTGCAATCCCAGCAGTTTGGGAGGCCAAGGTGGGTGGATCACTTGAGCCCAGGAGTTCAAGACCAGCCTGGGCAACATAGCCAGACTCAGTGTGTACAGAAAATACAAACATTAGCCCAGTGTGGTAGTGCACACCTGTGGTCCCGGCTACTGGGAAGGCTGAGGTGGGAGGATCACTTGAGTCCAGAAGGTTGAGGCTTCAGTGAGCTGTGATCACACCACGGCACTCCAGCCTGGGGTACAAAGTGAGACCTTGTCTCAAAAAAAAAAAAATAATATATATATATATATATATATTTGTTCTATGAAATATAAGTGACTACATCTCAGAACAGTTCCTCAGGGACTGAAAGAAGGAGAATTCATCTGCCTGGCTTGTTTAGTTTTCTGACTTCCATTGGACAGAATCTGCTCACAGGAATTTCACTCCTGTAGGCACCCAGACTGTATTTTCTGGCACCTCCGAGCAGCTTCTGGCAAGGTGGGACCACAGAGGCTTGTCTCTTGGCCGAGCTGTCTGGACAGAGTGCAGGCGAGGCAGCTGGTTCCCATCCAGCATGCTGTGCTTGCGGTTCCTCTGTCTCTCATTGGCATGAGCGGTCGCCTGGCTCTACGGCTGTGGTAGCAGTGTGTGTGACTGCTGAAGTCTTTCCTCCGTGAACAGAGCAAACCGCCAACGTTTGGGTGACGGGAAAATTGGGCATGACCACAGTCACAGCTCTAAGGTGGCTCAGGATCAGAATCTAGTACACCATGGCTTTAAGTGGCACCCATTAAGCAGTCTAGATGTCACGCAATGTTTACTAGTGACCACACATAATGAGAGCCCAGGAAGAGCTGACTGTAATGCAAACAGAAATTATGGAATATTTATATGATTGCAAAGCAATGGAGAGATTATACAACATTAAAATACTTTATAGTTAGTCTAATGAAGTTACTGATGAAAGAACTACTGGCAGATGTTGTATACAAGGACATGAAGATAAAACGATTAACCTTTTAAGGGAAAAAAAGGAAAAAGCAGGAGACAATAAAAAAATGTGGAGAAGAAAATGAAAATGATACAAAACCTCAATGGAGAAATTTGAAGAAATTAAACAAAAGAAAGTGGCATGCTTTCAGCCTCACTTTCCAAAATAGCATTTCTCTGATGTAATCTGGTCTTGAGAAATTCTTACAGTTTCAACGTGGATGTAGACAAGGACGAAGGAAGGATTTTTATATCAGATGTGACTTTTGTTGAGTTCTAGGAAATGTAGATGTAGTTATATGGCTGGGTGTTAGGGAAGAATATTTCCATTTCTCCGTATAAAAATGACATAGACTCCATGAGGAAATATCTTTTTTTTTTTTTTTTTTTTTTTGAGACGGAGTCTTGCTCAGTCGCCCAGGCTGGAGTGCAGTGGCTCCATTTCCGCTCACTGCAAGCTCCGCCTCCCGGGTTCACGCCATTCTCCTGCCTCAGCTTCCGGAGCAGCTGGGACTACAGGCGCCCGCCACCACGCCCGGCTACTTTTTTGTATTTTCAGTAGAGACGGGGTTTCACCGCATTAGCCAGGATGGTCTCGATCTCCTGACCTCGTGATCCGCCCGCCTCGGCCTCCCAGAGTGCTGGAATTACAGGCGGAAATATCAGTTTTAAGCAGAAGATTTTAACTAATTTGTTTTCCCATTCTTTGCAAAGGGGAAATCGGAATATAGAAATTAACAGCAGAAGGTGAAATGTGGTTGTTCCCACTCACCTTGCAGTGGTATGTTTTCCGCAGTAAAAAGTGATCACATCTTGTTCTAGGTTTTTAACATGCAGTCTAATTCTCCCCTAAATTACAGTGATTTCTGCTTAAACCATTAAACTTTTTATCTGAATTACTCTAAAGCTTAGGCTTTGTCTACATATCCATGGGTCTAATAAAAAAGTTAGTCATCGAAGGTAAAGCAAACTTCGTTTTGGAAACTGCATTTATATTGAACTATATGGTGACTCTGATGTTGCAACAGTACCGTGGTAGAAACAAAACCTTATGATTAACAGAGAAAGTTAGCTCCTGCTGCTGTCTGCCATTAGTAAACAATTTACTGGTTTAATTGTGCTCCGGCAATCACGGCCTTATCATACATGCTCCATCCGCCCTAGGGAAGATAACATGTATGGCTGAGACACCACGCTGTCAAGAAGTTCATGGGTTCATTCATTAACTCATTTTCTATTACAGAATGCAACGTTATTAATTAGAAACCAAAAGTGTATTTTGTTTTGAAGTTAAAAAAATTAAAGTAGTCAGGTAGTGGGAATTTTTTTTTCTTCAAAGTCAATATATATAATAGGGTTTCTCATTTAAAACAAAATAAATGAACTTGCACGAATCTTTTAAAAACTGAAGGAAGAAAAACAATGCTTAATTTTCCCTGGCACATAGTAAGTTGTCAAAAAGTCCTGCATTTCCCTTGTTTCTTGGGAGGTTTAAGGGGAGGGGGTCACTGCAGAGCATCCAGCTGAGGTGTGTTCATGGCAATATCTCAAATGTGCGCCTAATTCCAAGTGGTCAAATACATTCATGTACACATTTTCTTACAGGCATATAGTGGAAAGTTGGTGGCTTAATGAAGTTATATAGGACAAAATTACAAAAATCTTAAGCTGATAATACAGTTGGGAATCAGAAACAACTGATTACAATTTGTAAATACTGGCTTTTCAGAATTGATTTATGTAAATCTTTAAATTTGGGGGCATGATCATAACGTTTACTGCTATAAATGCTACAAAAGTAATTGCAATTGATATATACTACTTCAGGAACAAGGTTTATGTAGGACATGTTTTATTCATTTTTCATTTTAATGTTTAATTAACATCCTTTGTTTTAATGGCATCGTAACTAATAGTACAATAAAAATGTGTTGAGAAATAGCATAACTAGAAGTAGGAAATAATATAAATAAGTGTTAATAAGTAATAAAATAAATTTTGTTTATTCCTGAGAATTTACTTTGTAAAAATTTTTATATAAATTTTACAAATATTTAAAGAAATTTGGAAATAATTTGAAAATACTTGACTCTGATGGAAACAAACAGATTTTTTGGTTGAGTGCAGTAGCTCATGTCTGGAATCCCAGCACTTTGGGAGGCAGAGGTGGAAGGATTACTTGAGGCCAGGAGTTCCAGAGTAGCCAGGGCGACCTATTGAGAGCCCGTCTCTACAAAAAATAAAATTAAAAAAAAATTAGCTGGGCATGGTGGTGCATACCTGTAGTCCCAACTACTCAGGCGGCCTCAGTGGTGGGATTATTTGAGCCCAGGAAGTCAAAGCTGCAGTGAGCCGTGAATGCCACTGCACTGTGGAGTGCCACTGCACTCCAGCCTGGACGACAGAGTGAAACTCTGTCTCAAAAAAAAAAAAAAAAAAATATATATATATATATATATATATATATATATATATATATATTTACAATGCTTTATGAAAATTATTTTTTGCATCAAGCATATACTTCAGTGGTGAGTCCAAATAGAGTTTCAGTTTGGTAAGTCTGCTGACCACCAACGGAACTCCCTCTTGATTAAATAAACAAAGTCATCTCCCAGGGTGTTTTTAATGTGAATAATGACAAAATTTGCACTACATTCTTTATTGATTTCTAATATTAAAACATGGAAATTTTATATTATCGTGTAGGCATGAGAAAAGTTGATTTAATGCATGCACTCCCTGAAATCAAATGCAGGCTCTCCGGATAGAGGTTAGAATGTTAGTTAGTGCTGAGCAGTACATGGCAATGCATACCACAGATTGTACAGTGATAGACACAGAAGAACAGGGAATTTTTGCCTTAGCAGGTAAAAGCTCTGGGCTTTGATTCTGCCTTTCTCTGGGAGCTGGAGGCCATATGCAGTAGGTAGATGTGGCCCTCTGCTGTAAGACCATCATGGAACCACTGCCCATGTGCAAGGTGACATGCGCTGAGGTAACCATAGATAGGTCTAAAATTTAAGATAACTGGTAAACACATTGCCTCTGCTTCCCAGTGTGCTGGGGTTACAGGTGTGAGTCACCATGCCTGGCCAAACATATTTATAATAGCTGATTTAAAGTTTCTGTTTGCCATGCCTGACATCTGGGCACTCTCAAAGGCAGTTCCTGTTGCCTACTTTTATTTCCTATGTGAGTCATACATTTCTTTATTCCTGTGTGTGTGTGTCTATGTGTGTGTGCGTGTGTGTGTGTGTAGATGTGTGTAAACCACAATTTAAAAAAAACTGGACACTTTCAATAATATATTGTAGCAATTCTGGTTACTAATTTCCATTCCCCTTCCTCTAGTTTGTTGTTGTTTGCTTCTTTATTTGTTTAGTGCCTTGGCAAGACTCTTTGAGTGATGTGTATTCTCTGCAGTGTGCAGCCAATGTCATTGTTCATCAGATGGTGCAGCCTCGGACATTTTCATCCTCAGATGACAATGATTAGAGCAAGGCTCTTTCTCTCATCTCTGTGTTAATCCTTATGCCTCCATTGGTATTACACCTCGCTGTTAGCTTACACTAATTGTAGAATGATGTCCCATTGTTTTCAGCAACGTCCAGAGGTATAAATTGTCCTACAAGCGAATCCAATTAAATTCAGTTATTTTTGCTCAGGTAGTCTTTAAGTCCAGTCTTTGAGGATTATTCCAACCAAGAAGGCACTGAGCGGTCTCTATCCCAGGCTCTGTCAGTTAAAAAACTAGCTGCTGTATGGTTTAGCTTGTTGCTCTCGGGGAACTAGCAATTTTATTGCTTACATCAAAATAACCATTGTTTATGACTGTGGCCATGGCCTTTGAACCTTCCTGTGTTCTCTTTCAAGTAAAGGCAGTTCCTCTGAGGTCAGCAAGGAATCTTGGAATGTTTATGGGCTACCACTGTGGCTATGTAAAACCTCAGAACTCTGCTCCAGAGCTGGGGGCAGGGACAGTACCTGCAGGCTTCTCTCTTGCCTCACTCATCAGGTATGAACAGTTCTCCTCAATTTGCCTTCCCCAGCATTGAAACTCTACTGTAAGGCTGGGCGCGGTGGCTCACGCCTGTAATCCCAGCACTTTGGGAGGCCGAGGCGGATGGATCACCTGAGGTCGGGAGTTTGAGACTAGCCTGACCTACATGGAGAAATCCCGTTTCTACTAAAAATACAAAATTAGCCAGGCATGGTGGCGCATGCCTGTAATCCCAGCTGCTTGGGAGGCTGAGGCAGGAGAATTGCTTGAACCCAGGAGGCGGAGGTTGCGGTGAGCCGAGATCGCGCCATTGCACTCCAGCCTGGGCAACAGGAGGGAAACTCAGTCTCAAAAAAAAAAAGAAAAAGAAAAAGAAAAAAAAAACCGTACTATACAAGCAAACTGGAACAAAGACTATTGGAGGCCGGTATTCTTGACCTGCTATGCTTCCACTCTAAAGTATGAACTGATTAGAGGAAGGGAGCCCAAAATCTTTCAGCCACTCTTACCTGAGGAGCTTCTGCAACACAACACAGAATTTGGCAGGATACAAATGCTGCTTACCTGCCCTCCTGCAGAGATTTTATAGCTGGAGCGTGGGAGCCGGGGTAAGATGGAGCCCTGTGTTTTTGGCTACATGTGTCTGGAACACAGCTTCCTGTCAACTCTGCTTGGGGGGAGGGAAAAAGAAAGGAGGTTGTGGATAAATTGCCAGAGGTTCTTGCTGTTACCTACAACCATTTAGTGACGTTCTAGAATAAATGTTTCTTCACTTGTTGTATGCCCCTTTGGATAATTTCCAGAGACTTACAAGGTGCTTAAATCTGTAGTTGCCAGGGCTCTTCAGAGAAACAGGGCCAATGGAATGTGTGTATGTATACAGTCTGCCCTCCATGTTGGTAGGTTCTGCACCTGTGGATTCAACCCACCGTGGGCATGTTTGATCCAAGGTTGCTTGAATTCTTGCATGAGGAACTCTTGGATAAGAAGGGCCAACTGTCAGGGACTTGATTATCTGCAGATTTTGGTAATCGCAAGAGATGCTGAAGTCCCGTCCCACGGATACCAAAGGATGATCGTGTGTGTGTGTGTGTGTGTGTGTGTGTGTGTGTGTGTGTTGGGGGCGGGGGTTGATTTCTGAGAGAGAGAGAGAGAGAGAGAGAGAGAGAGAGAGAGATTAAGGAATCGGATCATATGATAGTGGACGCTAGCAAGTCCAAAATCTGCAGAACAAGTTGGCAGGCTGGAAACCCAGAAAACGGTTTTCCTTCAAGTCTAAAGGCCATTTGCTGGTAGGCTGGTAGAATTCTTTCCCCCTCTGGAGAGGTCAGTTTTATTATTATTATTATTATTATTATTATTATTATTATTAGGGCCTTCAGCTGATTGGATGAGGCCCACCATATTATAGAGGGTAATCTGCTTTACTCAGTCGTCTACTGATCTAAATGTTAAGTGTGTCTAAGAAGTATATTCAAAGGAGCATCTAGAATAATGTTTGACCAAATATCCGGATGCTGTGGCCTTGTCAAGTTCACACATAAAGTCATTTGATGTACATTTGTACATATACATATAAACACACATACAATTTTCACCAGATAGTTTCTTCACTCACATATTTGGCACCTTGGCAGAGATGGCTAGAACCGCAGGGGATGAGCTGCTTCCCCATAATCTGTCTATGTGGCTAGTTTGAACTTCCTCAAGGCATGACTGTGCTGGTACAGTTGGGATCCTTCCATGGCATTCGCCTGTGGTGAACTTTCCATGAAAAAGAAAGTAGAAGTGGCCAATCATCTTGGAGACTGGGTCCACAGTCAGCCCAGTGTAATTTCTGCCGCATTCTCCCATTTTCTTAAATTTTTAATTTTTGTGGGTACATGGTAGGTGTATATATTTATGGGACACAAGGGATGTTTTGATACAGGCAAGCAATGTGAAATAAGCACATCACGGAGAATGGGGTATCCATCCCCCAAAACATTTATCAGTTGTGTTACAAACAATTTGACAGCACAACAAGATGTCCCACTATCTTGGTCAACAAGCTAGCTTAGATTCAGGGCCTGGAGGAACAGGCCTCACCTATCATTGTGGGAATAATATGAGCATGCTCTAAAGACAAGCTACCACAGAGGTTTCCTGAAAAATACAAGCAACGATGCCAGTTCATTTCGGAAAAAAAAAAAAGCAAGATTAATAAATTTGCTTCAACAAGCAGAAATAACCTATGTTTAAATAGAATGTGATACCTGCATTTGGCAGCCAGATTAAACACATCTGACATATATTTTTCCTTTTTGTCTTCTTTGCTAGCTACAGAATCTAGCCATGGTAGAAATTCAGAAAGGAAATTCAAAGCTAATGGTATCATGCACTGAAATAGACAAATAAATCTCCAATGGTCACAACCCCTTCCACTAGCACATCTTTATTATTTATGCAGAAGTAGCCACTTTCCTTTAAAATGATCCCTGGCCATTTACATTCCTTAGTCCAAGCATAAGAATTGGTTCTTTAGTCAAGCAAGCCATCTCTGCACCGAAGCAGCAGGTGGTGACCAGAATAGGTGACTGCCATTTGCAGTGTTGGCTGACATTTCGAGAGCACGGGAGTAGAAACCAAACCTAAAAGAGATTTTAGAGGAGTCATGTTATACAACTTCCACTGAGACATTTCCTGACACCACACTGGAAGGAGCAGCAGGTCCTTTGTTCCTCAATACGCAGCAGGGCGTATTATGTTCATCATTTCCAATGGCAGGTGACAAGCCTTTTTGTGTGTGGAGATATATGGTGCTATATTTACCTCTGAAAAGGGCCTGTGAACAGCTGCAAGACCTGTGACACCTAGTCATTGCATATTCAAGTTTTATAATTACTGAACATTTTTCTTATAATGAGTAGCCGACCAAAGTGGATTGACTCTCTCCCCCACATACACTCCCTTCTATTATTTATTTCTCTTACGAATCCTTTCACACTTTTGAAGAGTGTAAAATTAGCTAGCTAGGTTCATTTATGAAATCCCTGGGAGATATATTTTTACAGTGCAACAAGATTTTTAACAATCTCTTTAAGTAAGAAAAAGAAATTAAATCCATGTTCATGCGGGTGATGCCACAGATGTGGTTGAAGCTGAAATCCAGGGACTCATTTCACTATACCACATTTCCCAACCACCTAGGCATTCATCATTCCATAAGCTTCAATCACTCGAAATCACATTTTAAAGAGAAAGGGACCCCAAAGTGTAATTGTTGGAAATGAGCAAACTTGTTTTCATTGAAACTCTGGCATTGATGAGACGTGACATCTTGGACTTATCATCTGTCTCAGCTTCTTCTGCCACAAAATGGATAATTTGGATTATCCATTATCCAAATTGGATCTCTCAGTGGTAGGGACAATACCTATAAATCACTGGGGACACATTA